>NC_000021.9:31154799-31784722 GCF_000001405.40 Homo sapiens
CACTCCCCAAGCAAGAAGTCGATAAATCAGGAGACATAAAAGTTAGCTGCATTTCACCCAAGGTACAAGCCTCATTAATTATCAGACTCCCAGTTCAGTAAACTATCTACTTTGCAATGTTGCAAAGATGATTTTACAAGCTAAGGTTCTTCCTGTTAAAAATGGACACTGAGTCAACTTTCTAGATTAAGAAAGATACCCATACTTAAATAAAAGTTTCTCCCTCTCCAGCTTCTCCAAAGGCAAAAAGATACCACTCCCCTTTAAGAATAACGAGATTAGCCCTAAAATAGGCCTCAATGGGAGATCCCAGTCTCCACATCTACCAGGGATGAATCAGGTGTAGACCATAAAGGTTGCACACGTTTTGTCATCCATTTGAAACGTAGGATTCCAGGATTCTAAAATTCCAACTCTTCCAGTTACACAAACAGTTCTCCAAAGCAAGGGCTGCTGTAAAAACCCATGAGACCAGTAGTTTTCCAACTTGGCTGCTTATGAGAATCACTGGGGAGCTTTTCAACCTCCCGATGCCCATGCACACCAGAGATCAATTTCATCAGAATCTCTGGGGTGGGATATGCAGATATCAATATGTTTTAAAGCTCTCTGTGTAATTGCTCTAGAGGCTATGTAGTAGCACAAAATTTAATTCACTAATATTTGTTCCAAAGCACCACTCAATGAATGTTTGATGGAAATTTTCTTACTTTTTTTTTTTTTGAGACGGAGTCTCGCTCTGTCACCCAGGCTGGAGTGCAGTGGTGCGATCTCAGCTCACAGCAAGCTCCACCTTCCGGGTTCACGCCATTCTCCTGCCTCAGCCTCCCGAGCAGCTGGGACTACAGGCGCCCGCCACCACGCCCGGCTATTTTTTTGTATTTTTAGGAGAGACGGGATTTCAACATGTTGGCCAGGATGGTCTCAATCTGACCTTGTGATCCACCCGCCTTGGCCTCCCAAAGTGCTGGGATTACAGGCGTGAGCCACCGCGCCCGGCCCCGGAAATTTTCTTGAAGCTAGTGGCTGTCCTTCTCACGCTTCTCTCTCTGCTTCTATTGTCTAATTCAACTCTAGGCACAAAGCATTTCCAGTAAATACCGGTGCAAATAAAGAATAACTTCTTCTATCATCCACCTACCTAGCAAGAACATGAGAATACCCTCCCAAAAACAATCGTTGGTGCACAGAGCTAAAAGTCAAGGCTGCTGTTTTGTGTAGGTCAGAAAAGCTAAAATCAAGTGTATGCCATGGAGGAGTTTTAAACACAGAGGAAGGCAGCCAACACTGAAGAGCCTTTCCCTCATTAGCATATCCAAAAGGGAAGGAAGTCTGGAATAAAGATGAGGCAAGGACAGGGAAAATCAGAACCTAAGAAGGATGCATTAGCTGCAGTGGCATGACAGGACAGAGGAGAGCCAGGACCCACATCCACATAATTATTATTCTAATTCTCTTACAATTACCACAGCTTATTCATTGCTAGCACTAACCCTGGTCTTATATGCCA
Organism: Homo sapiens; assembly: GCF_000001405.40. Classification (NCBI taxonomy): domain Eukaryota; kingdom Metazoa; phylum Chordata; class Mammalia; order Primates; family Hominidae; genus Homo; species Homo sapiens. The sequence continues at coordinate 31,156,310 of NC_000021.9, forward strand.
GAAGGTGTCAGTCACCTGTCAGTGGCACTATTCAATGTTTTCTGTGGAAATGCATGTTTCTGACACTGAGTAACCCCACAAACAATTTTCCCTTAGGTGACTGACTGGAAAAATTGACCAAAATGGGCTCAGCTCTATGGTATGTAAATTATATCTCAACAAGGCTGTTAGAAAAGAAAAACTGTGTTTTTCATCAAAGCTTGTTTCAGTAGAAATAAACTAAACAATTTTATTTAGTTAGCTAGAATTTCACTAACTCAAAATCATCATTAAATATACAGTCAAGTAGGGCTTTGTCTTAAAAATTACAAAGGAACAAATACATCCATTTTAGCAAAAAATCTTCATGTGTCTTTTAGATGATCCAGTGATAACTGTAATAGAAAACTCATTATAACACAGTCATAATGAGAAAGAAAGCAAACCCTTGCCAAAATGAAAATCCATGGACAGACAGTGATAACAGCTGACAACTAACTGTGCCCTGTCCCTGTCTTATCCCAAACTCTCCTTGGTTGCTTTGATTTGGTACCTGGCAAAGGCACCTAACACAACAAATGTATAATTGGCACCTCGCTTTATACCATCCTTTTCTAAAGCTTCCAACAGTAACCACAGCTGTCTGTTTTTCACAGAATTAATAGGAAAGCTACTGCTCATAGCAAATATATTCTTCACTGCAGTCTATTACAGTGAGTCCTCACTTAACATGGTTTATAGGTTCTTGGAAACTGACTTTAAGCTAAACGGCATAAAGAAACCATTTTTACTGTAGGCTAATTGATACAAACAAGTTAAGTTCCTACAGCACATTTCTGGTCAAAGAAAAAATCACCACGCTTCTAAATAAAGACCAAAAGACTTCTAATATTAAACACTGAAATAAATGTAAGCCAGATATCCATTTAAGTAAGATAAATAAAAACAAGTTAAGAGAACTATTTACCCAGCTTTTGGTGAACTGGTGAGTGACGGTGGTCATAGCGGTAGTGTGTTAAGTCAAGCAATAAATGTTTGCAAAGCAAAAATTGTTAAGGGGCACCTCCTACCATCATGCAGTTCAAAAACTAGCAAGAACAACTTTGGCAGGATCTCTGAATACTTTTGTACTGCATAGTTTCCTGCTATGCATTTGTATGATTGTATACTTTACAAGTTTTTATTTTATAATGATTTGTATTCACTTATTCACTCATTTTCCAACCCACTTATTCCAGCTCAGGATCATGGGTGACTGGAGCCTATCTTGACAGCTCAGGGTGCAAGGCAGAAACCAACCCTGAATAGAATGCCATTCCATCACAGGGTGCACACACATACACACTCACTCAGGGACCACTGAGACATGCCAATTCATCCCATGTGCGCGTTTTTGGGCTGTGAGAGCAAACCCGAGTACCCAGAGAAAACCCACGAAGACCTGGATTTAACATGCAAATTCCACGCAGACAGTGGTCCTGGCTAGAAATCAATTTTTTTCACATAAACGTTATGATGAAATGATGTTGAACAAAACGTTATCTGAGGAACTGCCACAGAGGCAGAGCACACCTTTTATCATTTAGGCAAACTGTGTGAAATCGTGATTCACGAAAGGCAAACATGGGGATCTGACACATATCAAAGGCAGGAAATTCCAAAAGACAAAGGAACCTAACACATTCCTTTGTGCTTCCAATTCACACCTCACTACCTCTGGGTTTTCATTCCATCTGTTCTACCATAAATACTTTGAGAATTCCATTTTTAAGAGTGTGAACAGGGTTTCTGACTTGGTCTATGTAAGTTTACCACGCCTGAGGTTTGGCATCCTTAGTTTGAAGCAGGCCTGTGGGGTGAGCTCAGGTTAGTAGGATGCAGGCTAGGGCTTCAGTCCTCTAAATTCAGCTGTCTCCTAGGCCCAACCTCACCCTCAGACAGCCAGAGATAAGTTCTGGCTTATATTAGGAAACACCTTTAGCATCTCAGGGGACAGCTAAAATTCCCTTGGGTCCTCTTTGGACATTTCACAGCCTTAAGTATCCCTTCCTTATTAGGTACGACCTAGGCCTAGGATAGACTTAGCTGAGTGGTCTCTCAAGTTGAGCAAGGGGCAAAGCAGTTTCCCCACCGGCAACCCTACTCAATGAATCAAGGCACCAACCCTCAGGTGTAGCACAAGGAACTGAGTCCAGATGGATGTAATCTCTTTACTGTCAACTGCACGTTATTTGAATAAAGAATAAAAAGGTACCATATGCATCATTACAAGTTATAATGCACATACATGTTGTTAAGCGGTGTTATATACAAGCCTCTTAAAATTTGCTTGGAAACAAATTAAAAGGATGTCATCAAGTTTGAAAATTCTGTTTTATTAAAATAACACCCCCCCAAATTTTTTTTGGAAGGAATTATGAAATGCAGGTTTTCTTTAGAATACCTCTAAGCTAGAGATTTTTCCATACTGTGGGGCTCAGCTTTTAAATCCCCCTCCCTCTTTACTGTGGCCAAACTTCTTTACATCAAAATCCATCAGGCCCTTCTCCACGCAGCTTAGCCATGATGTGGAATATAGGAGGAGTTGGGTTCAAGGCTTTGCCCCGCTCCACCACTGAGTGTTACAGATGGCATCCTAGTCATTCCCACACCAAGCGCTGTAGCCACAAGTGCCAAGAAAGGTCGCCTCAATGGGAGCTTCTCAACACGCTCCCAAAAGCCAAGTATCCTGGATGTGGGACAAGCAGCTTAGGACTCCAGCAAGGGGAAGGCAGACCAGGTTTCTCCAGTGGGGAAAGTAAAAACCTCTCCCCTACTTGAGGACTGTAATCAGTCACCCTGGAAACCAAAAAAGTACTTACAGGCATTTTGAGAGTTTAAAACTGTTAAAGGGTAGCAGAGCTTTTCCACTGTCAGGACTAAGAATTATCCAACCAACATACAGACAAGGAGAGGACAATGGCAAGAGGAAATGGGCCACTTTACTGAGACCAGCGTGATGCTCAATGTTTATAATGCTGCTTTCCTCCTGTGGAAGATGAAAAGAAAGTACAAAAAGAGGGGGTAGACTTTTAAGTACACACTATCAACTCAAGCCACCCAGCTGTTTAAGCTCTTCCTGTTATGCAACCACCAAAGGCAATTTCTAACTCTAGATGAGTTCACAGTTCTAAAACTGTTCTTTGAGTCTGACCGATTTAACACATCCCACAGATTTAAAAGGGGCCAGAGTGGCCTAAAATCTTATAGCCTTTACTTAAGCTTTTTTTGGGGACAATGCGCTCCATAATTTCAGAGACACTATGTACAATGGTAATCCCTACAGTTCTCGATCACCTTTTCAGTTTCCTCTTGAACAAACTTCAAAGAAGAAATATCCAAGAAGGAAGAAGGCTTATTTGAGCAAATCAGGTGTACGCACTGTAGAAGTTTAAGTTTGATTAAATGACACAACATCTAATAGTCGACAGACTGAGCTATTAATAATAAACTATTAAAAGGTTGAATCTGATTTTGCTAAATTATTTCTTGCCATTACCCCACTACACTTCCTCATTGGAGAGTGAATATTTACTGTAGGAATAGACCTGTTCAAATAGGTCAGTTGCTGTCAAACCAGTAACACGTCCCCTGAGCCAACCCTTCTATATCTATCTCCTTCTCAAGGAAGCAGAAATAAAGTCAAAAACACCTCAAGCCTTATAAAAGGAAACAAGTTGAACATCCTATTTCCAGACCTCCCTGCCGATCACTCGGACAGCCCGTTCTGAGGGGGGATGGGAGATTCTCACCATGCACGTAACACAAAACACAATCAAAATCTCAATAACCAAAACAAAGGCAAAAAATGCAACTGACCATTAATTAAACAAAAAAATGCAGATTACATCTTTCTGCCATTTAAGTATAAAAGAGTAGAAAAATGTAAAGATGCTAGGCAAATTCAACTCCATACCAACTCTGAACCTCCCCACGTCCCCCACCAAAAGCCACAATACAGACTTTATGAACAAGGGTATCCAGAGGGTAAAAGGACAGAATACGGGGAAATGGGAAAGGTGTAATCACTGTCATTCGGATTGAAAAACAACTGAGCTAGAAAGTCATAACACAATCAAACCTAGCAAGATAGGATTCAAACAGCAAAGGCGCTCACCAGATGAAGTGTTCGATACATAGAGTCACCGGACTTGTCATTGTTTTCAATCCTGGGCTTGCGCTTTATTTTCCACAGTGCAGACATCATCAGGAATGTATTCTCATGGTAATTAATTCTACCACCTGACGTGTTCAGCACGGAGACAGAAGTTTCTTAAAATATTCCCAGAGCACCAAACGCCTCCTAGCTCTGAAGAGAGCATCCTCTCATATGGACGTCCCATGCTGGTTTTCCCATGAAAATCTACGGCCACGTCTCAACGCAGCAAGGACAGCGACGGTGAGACCCCGGAGCTGCACTCGCTTCCCACCAGTGCCCTCTGGGAAGCTGTCAAAGGCTAAACTGTGGACCAGAACTCAGGCTTTGATTTCACCTGGCTAAACAACAAAAGTTCCAGAAAGGGAGAGCTGAAACTGGCAAGAAAACAAAGCACAAAATGCCTCCCCGGGATGTAAGCGTCTCTGCCCTGCAGCCTGAGATCAGCTGATTGGCCAGCATCCTGCACTGCTCAGGAATATTAAACCTGCCCGGCTCCGACAACTTTCAAGGTATTCCACACTGAGTCAAGAGCAGGCAACTAAGAAAAGTTGTGTGTGTGTGTGTGTGTGTGTGTGTGTGTGTGTGTGTGTGTTTAACAGTTGATAATTTCACATTTTTCCACTCATGCTTTGTTATAAAAGCAGACATTTCTGAGACAAAAACAATATGGATGAGAAAGAAAAAGTCATTCCTAATGGAAATGTCCTGAAAATTATTCTAATACATTTGCTAAATGGAAAACACAATCACAGCTGCCAGGCGGCCTGGAATGCATGACACATGACCGCACTGCCCTGAAGCTAATTAGCATTCATCTCCAGAAACAAGAGTTTTCAATGAGAAGCAGAGAAAAAAGTAGCCAGTGATGATGAGGCTTTTTGAGGTTGTCACCCACAGTCACAGGAGAGAGGAGGCGGCTCAGAAAGAGAAAGGCTGCTAGACTGTCCCTGCAGTGTGACATTCCCCTGCCCCTCCCCAGCGGCTGTGACATTCCAGTACCACCACGCTCAACAACAAGCATACAATTATTTACTTGCTCAACTCTAAAAGGCCACACATAGCAAAAACTGCTATTCAGTACAAGTGCAAAACATACAGAACTCCAACATGCTTTTTCTTTATGCTGACCGATATCATGTAAAACAGTCCATTTAGAAAGAAACCAAGAATATTACACAAAATCAACAGCTCTAACATATTCAGCTGGAATAAAAAGTGATTATTTGTTTCTGTTTATTTAGTTATTTACACATTTACATCTCTACACTCAGCCTCGTGCATTCAGACAAGGCTAAATCATGCTTCCGAGTTTAGACAGCTAACGATTGAAAAATTAATTTTCAGCTTATTCTCAAGAAAAGCTTCACACTTATATAGGAGACGCATCAAAAAATATTTAGCCTTGATCAAGAAACTTCAGGTGTTTTCTTGCTCTTACTTTAAATCATAAAAAGAGACACACAGAAACATTAAGCATTAGGAAAAAATTTAAGTGGTTTATGGCTGTATATATAAATGGCCTACAGCACCACTAATAAATTAATTCCTTCTTTTTATGAAACCCAGTATTTAAAACCAGATGTTAACAATCTGGACACAAGGTAGTTTTAACATAGCCACTAACAAGACAAGACCTGGAGCCAAACCAGGTTTGCATCCTGGTTTTGTCATCACAGAGCTGTGTGACCTTCAGCAAGTCGCTTAACCTCTCTGTTCCAGTGCCCTCATCTATAAAATAGGGCAGATAATAGTATCTCCCTCAAGAGTGTTGTGAGGCTAAGATGAGTTAATATGGAACAGTGCCTAATATATACAAGACCTTAAATAAGTATTACTTCTCATTTACTATTAATAACACACAGTAGAACCCAGCCACCAAGAACTGCTCATTTAAGCTTTTTGCGTTCAAATACCCTAAGTGAGAAATTTAATTGACCAAAGGTTATTTTAGCTAACTAATTTGAGTTGCATGACAAAATTTCAAATAGAGAAGATGAAGTCTGAATCAAAGCAAAACCAGGAAGTATTTCGGACACAGAATTACACAGTGCTCCCCACATCCAACCCAGCAGAATGAAATACGAACTTATGGTTTGAATGCAGTCTACTGCATGATCTTTAAAATATATTCAAATCATCACCCAAACTTCTTAATCTTTTTTTTTTTTTTTTTGAGATGGAGTCCCACACTGTCTCCCAGGCTGGAGTGCAGTGGCGCGATCTTGACTCACTGCAACCTCTGTCTCCCAGGTTCAAGCAATTCTCCTGCCTCAGCCTCCCGAGTAGCTTGTCAATAATTTTGAGAAAATTCTGTCCCTTTTTAGAAAGCCCACTAAGAATTTCTACAAGAAAATCTTTGAACAGCACCATCTATTTCTATATTTGACCCTTCATGTTCCAGATAAGTTCAAGAGCCTTGTTCTCTGGAAAAAGAACCACGGAGTCAGAGCGACACATGGGACCAGTCAGCAAAGCCCTGGAGCCTCTTCCGTCCTCTCCACTGCCAGAACCTCATATTATACAGGACTCTGTTTATGACCTCATGACTCACTATATTTAACATGGAAACGATCTCTCTCAAAATCCACAAGGAGATGAGAACACTGACCTATCAAAGTAAAGTAAAAATGACCTAATCATTTTGGATCCAATACTTTTTAAGTGTTCAGAAATAAATGTTTTAGATACAGGAAAAATAGCTATTTGCCTAAATCCAGTTAGAAATTGAAAATTAATATTTTTAGTTCTTATAATACTGTAACTTAATAGATACCCTTCAAATTGTCTTACATCAGTATAGAAATATCTGTTTCTCCTGAGGACAACTGACCGACCCCACAAAAGTAAGTGGGTAAAAGAAATGTAAGGGTCACCTAAATAAAAAGGAACTTTAAGCAGTTGGTTTTTTAAATTTGCCTTAAAAGGAAACATGTGCATTTCCAATGATCTGCTTTTTAATTAACAACCAACAACATAATGCCTTTCAGTCTATAAATATTAATGTTGCTTTCAAATATTAAATTTTATATTGTGCCCAACTTAAAAAGACACTGAGAATGAAGATCCTACAGTCAGGAAAGAGAAACAAATATGGATAAAAGATACTGAAGAATCAAATATGTGCACACAAGAAAGTCCTACAGAATATACACATACAGGGGGAATCAAAACAGGAAATGTACAAACGTAGGTTTTCAAAATAATAGTTCATGTTTGAAAAGCATTTTTCCATTATCAATGTGCTTTCTCATAGTTATATTATTTGACCCACCCAAAAATCCAATCTCCAAGCAAAGGTAAGAATCACCCTGATTTTGCAGATGAGAAAACAAAAGTATACAGTTATGTGATTTGCTTAGGTTAAGTGACTAGTAAGCGTCAAGCAAAAAAAAGAGAGATCGTAGAGAAATATACATATCTCAACAACATTATAGAAAAAGATGAATAAGTATGGAAACAAAATCACACGCAATTGCTTTTTTTGCGGGGGCAGTGTCGTTTGGATTCAGGTAACACAGAGGTTTTAAGTTGGGTTGTGTTTTGAAGACTGTGGTAAAAGAGGCTACTGACCCATGGAACTCTTTATGAAGTGGAATAGAAGCATGATAAGTTATGGGCAACAGGCCGGGTGCAGTGGCTCACGCCTGTAATCCCAGCACTTTGGGAGGCCAAGGCGGGTGGATCACGAGGTCAGGAGATCGAGACCATCCTGGCTAACACGGTGAAACCCTGTCTCTACTAAAAATACAAAAAATTAGCAGGGCGTGGTGGCGGGTGCCTGTAGTCCTAGCTACTCGGGAGGCTGAGGCAGAAGAATGGCGTGAACCCGGGAGGCGGAGCTTGCAGTGAGCCGAGATCACGCCACTGCCCTCTAGCCTGGGCGACAGAGCGAGACTCCATCTCAAAAAAAAAAAAAAAAAATTATGGGCAACAATTTCAGTGTCTTGCACCAAAAAGTCAGGAGAACTTTCTTACTATGTTCAACTAAGGGAAAGTGTATTTGGATTAATTTTAAAATATGGTTTCTTTCCCTTTAACATAAAAGTTGCTCACTTTTAACAAGAGCTGAATGCAGGTAATTCAAAAGGAGTTCATTACAGAAACCCTAAGTAGCAAGAAAGCATAGCTGACTCAATCCCACATACTTTTGATGCTGTTTCATCCTACACAAATGAAGATGTAATAGGGAAATGGAATAAAATTATGGCATTAACTGGGAGCTCCAGCAGTGGCAGAAATTTAAGAAAAGGGATTTTATTTCATTACGAGTGATTTCTCCCCTATATTCTCACATACAGGTTTGTTACCAAGGCTATAATTTGGATTTCATTTCCTGCTATTCAGCAACATCTCAGAAGCAAAAACACTTCGTCCATGGAGAGGCCTGGTAACCACATACAGCTGTGTAGGTGACATTGTCAGCTGTGATTCTTCAGTGGTTCAAAGCATGGGATGTGAAAATGAAAATCTCTCACCTTGCTGCTGTGATCAGTCTCATCTGAGGATTCCAAGTCTGGCCCCTCGGTCTCCTCTGGAGCGGTCTCAGCACTGCTGCCCTGCTCGCTGCAAAGGCTGTGCCCTGTCAGATGAAATCAGAAGAAAATGTGGGTCAACATGGACAGTAATTGCTAAAAGCCACCCCTGTGTGAGGGGGACAAGGAATCTCGCTCATGACATGTACATATACTGTAAGACCCTCCAAGTACAAGCTCCATCACCTGGGCTCAATCAAATTAAAATGATAGTTGTTACTGTTACTACTAGTATTATTACTTTATATTTTTCATAATAAATAATAGTTGTTGTGGATTGAATGTCTTTGTCTCCCCCCATACAAATTCTTATGTTGAAGACCTACCCCTCAATGTAATAGTAGTTAGAAGAGGGATGTTTGGGAAGTAATTAAGTTTAGATGAGGTCATGAGGGTGGGGTCCCCATGGATGAGATTAGTGTCATAAGAAGAGATAGAAACCAGAGTTCGTTTTCTCTCTACCATGTAAGGACACAGTAAAAAGGCAGCCGTCTGTAAGCCAGGAAAAGAGCCCTCACCAGGAAACTGAATTGGTTAGTACCCAGATGATGGGGCTTCCCAGGCTCTAAAACCATGAGAAATAAATGAGTGTTGTTTAAGCCACTCAGTTTATGGTATTTTGTTACAACAGCCTAAGTTAAGACAATAATAATTTATAATAAAAGAATATATATATTATATACTAAAAAATTAACTGATTTTGTTGATTTTACAATTAGCAAATTGATGAATTAATTCATTAATTACTAAAATAATTAAATAAGCCATACTGAGAACAGTACAACAAAAAAAATGACTGTCCCATATCCATTACCTGAAAAATCCTGCAACGTCTGTTTTTGCCATGTCTGGCAAACTATAAACATCTTATAATACCTGCTCTTCCCATGATATTCTGTGCAAAAGTGCAAGCAACTTTCTTCCTTTGCTATTTACTGAGTGCCCACCACAGTGGTTCTCTATAGTGGTCCTCTGCGTTGAGAAGAGAATATGAGGATCACTTTCCCCTGGGGTGCTTCTCAAACTGACAGAGCATCTGGATCCCCAGGGGAACATGTTTAATGCAGATTCTCATTCAACAGGCATGGGGTTGGGCCTAAGACTGTGTGTTCCTTACTAGCTCCGAATGATACTAATCAAAACTGCAGGTCCATGGACCACACTTGGAATAGAAAGACTCTAGAACATTAAAAACCTTCTCTAATTGAATCTGAGAAGACAGTGGATTGAGTACCACTGTCCTAAAATATGAGGCACTGGATCACGGACTAGAGCACTATCAATATAACCAGACAAGAGAGAAGGAAAGAGAAGAAATGGGAGCAGAAGGAGCCCCTGATGCTTTAGATGAAAGATTCCGTCTGCAAAGTGGCTACCTTGCTCCAATGACACCATTACAGCTGTAAGCTGCCTGGCAACACTTTCTATTCAGGTCCAAGCTGGCCAGGAAAGTTAGGGAGGAAGTGGACCCCTGAGCAAACTTGGCACCAATGCTGCCTCCTACCATCCCTTTCTTCTCTGGAATGAAGCACCAACTAAGTGAGTGTACCCTGAATGGCTTAGAGGTTTCTGTGTGTTTCCCCACCTTTTGGCTCTGGCTCTTGGATTTTCTTGTGTTACTTTTCAGTATTCAATCACTCATTACTTGCTCTTAAGGTGGTAGTGGTCAAAGAAGGAAGCTCAGTTAACTTGGCAGATATCATCTATGGCAACTGCCATTGCCAAAGCAAAAGTGCTTGAATATTTTGCACAGGGGCAATGACCTAGGTACAGGTACTGATCCCTGATGTGGAACAGCTGACAAGCTCATCTGGGAACACAATGGCAACAGCACTCAGTGCTCTGATCACAGGAACCACAGCATCCTCAGTGGGACGTCCGGAGCAGCCAGGAGGCACGACTGACAGGGGCCCCCTTCACACTGTGGTCTGCAGAATCACAACCTCCTGGAGTTGAACAACCCATATACACTGTGCAGAGAAATGCTGTAACCCTGCACATCCCATCGCTCACAATGCCTAGGATAGCTGATGCTCATAAAATAGTGGGAAAGCAAATAAAAGGATTTCCTTTTTTTTTTTTTTTTTTTTGAGATGGAGTTTCACTCTTGTCACTCAGGCTGGAGTGCAGTGGTGCAATCTCAGCTCACTTCAACCTCTGAGTCCTGGGTTCAAGTGATTCTCCTGCCTCAGCCTCCCCAGTAGCTGGGATTACAGGTGTGCACCACCATGTCCGGCTAACTTTTGTATTTTTAGTAGAGACAGGGTTTCACCATGTTGGTGAGGCTGGTTTTGAACTCCTGAATGCGCCCACCTCGGCCTCCCAAAGTGCTGGGATTACAGGCATGAGCCACAGTGCCCGGCTGGATTTTCATTTTTAATAATACCGTTGAGAGCCAGGTTTCCTGAAGAGCAAACAAATAAATCTACAAAACACTTAGAAATGCTAAATAAAGTAAAACAAATGTCCTTTTTAAACAAAGCTGAGCTCCGAAAACTCTCCAAAGCCCAAATGAAGAAGATAAAGTTGATAAAGGAAGTGGGGTAGTGTCCATGCTATGGCAGCCTAAGTATATCCATCAATCCCCAAGCCCTAAAACGGCGTTTCCCACAGGGTGTGAGAACCTGTTGGTGTTAGCAGGGGGACAATTCTTTTGGGACAGAATTGTGCACTTCGTAGGTACACTTGGCACTAGGCTCCCTGGCTCCTGAGCACCAAACGATTAGGACTTGATTGCCACTGTGACAATCAAAAATGTACCCACACATTTCCCAACAGCAGCACCACCCAGTTTGAGACCCACTCCCTGGAGCCTTCGGTTTTAACTGTAAGCCCATGATACATGATACAGAAAACAGGGCTTGGGTCAGTACAACTTCAGGAGTTAGAAGTGAATGTCCCACATTCATATGGTTCCCCTGAGGGGCTACACCCCTCAGTCTAAAAAGACATAGACTAAAAGAGAAAAGTGCTCACTGGCAAAAGAAAAAGAGATGGAAAAAGAAATTCTGCCTATACTTTGGGGTAGGAGGGTGGAAAAGGAATACAGCAGGTTTCTTCCCTGAGATTCTTATTATTTTTTTTTTTTTTTGGAGACGTAGTTTCACTCTGTCGACCAGGCTGGAGTGCAGTGGTGTGATCTCAGTTCACTGCAACCTCCGCCCCATGGGTTCAAGTGATTCTCCTGCCTCAGCCTCCTGAGTAGCTGGGATTACAGGTGCCCGTCACCACGCTGGCTAATTTCTGTATTTTTAGTAGAAATGGGGTTTTGCCATGTTTGCCAGGCTGGTCTTGAACTCTTGACCTCAGGTGATCTGCCCACCTCGGCCCCCCAAAGTGCTGGGATTAGAGGCATGAGCCACCAGGCCCAGCCTGTTCCCTGAGATTCTTTTTCTTTTTTGAGATGGAGTCTCGCTCTGTGGCCCAGGCTGGAGTGCAGTGGCGCAATCTCGGCTCACTGCCAGCTCTACCTCCCGGGTTCACACCATTCTCCTGCCTCAGTCTCCTGAGTAGCTGGTACTACAGGCGCCTGCCACCACGCCCTGCTAATTTTTTGTATTTTTAGTAGAGACAGGGTTTCACCATGTTAGCCAGGATGGTCTCGATCTCCTAACCTCGTGATCCACCTGTCTTGGCCTCCCCAAGTGCTAGGATTACAGGTGTAAGCCACTGTGCCAGGCCCCCTGACATTCTAATCATAGGACTGACTTCATATGTTTGTATTCCAAGGCATCTGGTAGGAGCAAAAACAAATCTACTCTGGTAGAATTCACTCTTAATGATGATATCATATAATACCCAGAGATAGAGCTTGGTCAAAGAAGAACCCATAATCCCATATTATAAAACACAAGAGGCAACACATCACTATGAGCAAGAGGCAACAGACACAATAACTGACAAAATCAGGCCACCAAGGAATGACACCGCAATGATCAGATGTAGAATGTCAAATAAGTATGCTTAAAATATTTTTTTAAAAGAAGAAAGGGGGCTGAACACGGTGGCTCATGCCTGTAATCCCAGCACTTTTGGGAGGCTGAGGCGGGTGGATCATCTGAGGTCAGGAGTTCAAGACCAGTGTGGCCAACACGGTGAAATGCCATCTCTACTAAAAATACAAAAATTAGCTGGGGGTGGTGGCACATGCCTGTAATCCCAGCTACTTGGGAGGCTGAGGCAGGAGAATCACTTGAACCTGGAAGGCAGAGGTTGCAGTGAGCCAAGATCGCACCACTGCACTTCAGCCTGGCAGACTGAGTGAGACTCCGTCTCAAATAATAATAATAATAATAATACTAAAACAGAAGAAGAAAGAGATAATTTCAAAAAACACCAGGTAAATTAATAGAATTTTTAGAAATAGAAACTATAACCAATGAAATGAACACTCAATAGATGAGATGTAAATTGACGAAATGAGAGAAGACTGGAACATCTATCCGAAGACACTGACTTACTAGAGCTCCTAAAGAAACCTTCAAATGTTAAAACTATCAATATGGAATTGCATTTTCAGCTAAAATATCATCCACGAAGGAGACTTTAAGACTTTTGAGAAACAAAGAATGAGAAAGTTTATCATGAACAGAATCTCACTGAAAAAGTTCGCTAAAGGATGTACTTTCAGGTGGGGAAAGAAAGAAAAAGATCTGGTATACAAGCGAAAATGATAAACAGCTGATACACACACAGGTAAGTCTTAGTATATATGACAACCCCCTCAACTCCCCAAAAAAGGTACTTGGGGGCAAAAAAAAAAATACAAACTGTAACTAAAACAATGGTGGAAGTGATTATATTTAAAGCCATTTCATAATTTTATGCAAGAGGGAACTAGAAACATTAACTTTGGTTTCTGTTAATAATCATCTTAAAATTTTAAGATCAAACACTAAAAGAACAGAAATAGATTATACAGGTTGAAAGGAGAAAGCAGAATTTATAAATGCAACCTAGAAGAGGACAGGAAAGGAAAAGAAAAACAAGCAAGACAAATTCAGCAAAACAAGATAATAGAAACAAATAAAAATACACAGATATTCTAAACAAATGTAAAACAGGCTAAACGTAATACTTAAACTTCATGTTTAGATTATAGAAAAAAACAGTGCAAAACAAAGCCCCAGCTGCATGCTATATGGAAGTAATAGACTTAAACACAAAAGACACACAAGATTAAAAGGCTGGAAAACTATATTAGGCAAACATAAAGAAAGCCTCAAAAATGTCAGACACAATCGATTAGTCAGGATACAGAAGATGTAAAAATCAGTAATTATACAGCTTGATCCATGAATGCATTTCAAACCTATTCCCAAGAAATTGGTGAATATACATTTTCCATAAGAATTAGCAATTTATGCAAGTAGGCCACATATTAGGCCACAGTGTAAATTTCAAGCAATACCAAAGAATCTGTATGGATGCAGACCACACTGGCAACATTTTTCTTGGAACTAAATATTTTATGAAAGAAAAAAAGGCCAATAACACCCAGGACAGTTTTTAAAAAGAAAAACAAGATTAGGGTACTTTACCTACCAGATCTCAAAACATATTATAAAATTACAGTAATCTAAAGCAGTGCACAACAGGCTAACAGAACAGAGAGCTCAGAAACAGAGCCTCCATCCCATGCAGATGTTCCTCAACCTATGATGGGGTTATGTCCCAATAAACCCATCATAAAGTCAAAAAATCATTAAGTCAAATCATCATAAATTGGGGACCATCTGGCCAGGTATAGTGGCTCACACCTGTAATCCCAGCACTTTGGGAGGCAGAGGCAGGCGGATCATGAGGTCAGGAGTTCGAGACCAGCCTGACCAACATGGTGAAACCCCATCTCTACTAAAAATACAAAAATTAGCCGGGCATGGTGGCACGCACCTATAATCCCAGCTACTCAGGAGGCTGAGGCAGGAGAACCGCTTGAACCCAAGAGGCAGAGGTTGCCAGGAGCTGAGATTGTGCCACTGCACTCCAGCCTGGGTGACAGAGTGAGACTCCATCTCAAAAAAAAAAAAAAAAAAAAAAAAAAATTGGGGGCCATCTGTATATGGAAATGTGAAATACAGCAGTTATGCCATTGCGGACAAGTGAGAAAGGAATAGAATATTTGATAAATGATGCTAGGACGGTAGATTACCCACGTGAAGAAACATAACATTGGAACCTAACTCACACCATTCACAAAAATCAGTACCAGAGATATAAATCAGTATATGAATAGCCCAAACTGTAAATCTTTTAGAAGAAAATATAGAAGACAGCGTTTATTACTTCAGGGGAGAGAGAGATTTCTTAAACAAGATGTAAAGAGTACAAACCATATAAGATTGAAAATTCAGATTTTGCTGAAATTAAACACTTTTGTTTGTAAAAAGGCACCATAAATACAAGAAGACATCACAGACTGATAAAAGTTATCTTCAATACATCTAACTAACAAAATGTTAACATCTAAAATATAAAAGAACTCTTACAAATCAATAATTGGCGGCATATCTGATTCTAAAGCATATATTTTTTTATCCCCATATGTCATGTTTTCTACCCTTAACTGAAGGTAAAAATCAATAAAATGAATTAAAATGGGCAATGCAGTTTGTAGCAGATCATTTGCAAAGATGACAGTGATTATTTCTTTCATCTCTTTAAGCGCAGACTTTTATGTCTATTTCGCCACTCCATGAATTTGGGCTGGTGTTGTGATTTGCTTTGATAATATGTTAATTGTGATCCAAGGCCTCAAGTGACTTTGCAGTCTCTGGTCTTGCCCTGCTGGGAACTCTGAGCCCACCATACAAAGAAATCTCAAGCTAACCTCCCATGAGAGACCCCAAGGAGAGGAGGCCCAGCTGTTTAGTCACCATACGTGGGAGTGAGTAAGGCCATCTTAAACCCTCCAGCCCCAGTCAGACCACTGGATCACAGAGTCACATGAGTGACTCCAGGGAAGGTTAGCAGAACAACCAACCAGCTGAGTCTGGCCCAAACTGCTGAGCCACAGAACAGTGAGCAAGTAAAACAGTTGTTTCAGAGTGGTCTATTACGTGGTAGTAGATAACCAATAAGTGGTGAGGGGGAATTTCATGATACCAGAAAGCCAGAAAGCAGGAGGTGACAGTGGTACGCTTCAAGGAAGCTGAGGAGAGACACCAGCATGGCAGGAAGAGGGAATTCAAGTGGGAAAGGGCATTGTTCTCACTCCCATACTTGAGGGCCTTCTCTAAACACTCCCAGCTTAAGAAGTGTAGACAACAACATGGTCAAGTTTGTTTGTTTTTTTTTTAATCCCATACAAACAGAGTTTTGCAATTTCCTACTCTAGCTTCCCCTGTGCTACTCACAATAGTAGTAGGTGAGCGGCTTTCCCCTAATGACAGAAATTGGAGGAATTATCCTCTTTGTTCTGGACATTCCTGTCCCCACCTACTTACCAGGAAACAAAGCACGACAGCTCTGCTACCAATCAGAGAGAGAAGAAAGCTGAAGATAAGGCTCAGTCGTGGCTGGAGAAGCAGGATGCCCATCCACATCCCAGTACTGAGCACACTGCCAGGCATGCAGCAGGGGACCGGGGGAGAGGAAGAGGGCTCGGTCTAGAGAGACAAAGTCTCAGGGAATGAAGAAGCCCAGAGCAGGACTGTGGACTCTCTCAGACAGGGATCATAGGCCAAATCAAAAGCTGCTATAGAGCCCGGCGCAGTGGCTCACAACTGTAATCCCAAACTCTTGAGAGGTTAGAGCAGGAGATCACTTGAGTCCAGGAGTTCAAGGCTGCAGTGAACCATGATTGTGACACTGCACTCTAGCATGGGTGACAGAGAGAAACCCCAACTCTATTTGAAAGTAAGAAAAAAAAAAACTGCGGTAACCCTGTAAATAGAATTGATTGTTGTGAACAGGTAAAATCAATGCTTTGCCTTTTAAGTTACCTACAATAATATTTTTGTGACTGCAAAAACGTTTGCAATCAGTACCTCTGACGCACCATCAACAGGACAGACAACGAGGAGATTTGGGGAAGTACAAACATATTAGTGCAGTTTACATTGAGATTTACCTTTCATTTACCCAGATTACACACATCTACTTTGGTTTCATTCAAGTCCATGTGGGACTTAAGCTTAAGGAGGAAGAAAAAAAATTCTGGCCTCGTGAGATGTCTTAACAATGTGCTCTAAGCAGACCCTCCAATTCAAACATTGACAAAGAGAAACAATTACAACACGAAACTTTTAAAAGGTCTTTTTAATGCCTGAGTTTAAATCCCTGATGGAAAAAAAACGTTTGGGGGTGGGGGCAAAAGAAAGCTTAAACACTGTCAATAAAGATATTTAGCTGGAACTCAACTGTTAGGATATAATTTTATTTTGCGTTTCAGTCATTTTACTGTTATAAGATTTTAAGAATTCCATATAAATACCCATAATAACATCAGCATAAACACTCACCCCTCCAACAAAGCTAAAAAACAAAGCAAGAAAGAAAGAGAGAGCGAGAGAAAGAGAGAGAGAGAGAGAGAGAAAAGAAAAGAAAGAAAGAAAGGAATGTTACAATTTGAACTTGGTAGACAAATAATAACTCCTTTTTAATCAAATGTCACAAAATCTCAGTTTTTGTTTCCTATAAAGAGAAATTTAAAATTCCATTAAAACTGTAGATTTAAAATAGTAACTTCTTTTTAGTCAAATGTCACAAAATCTCAGTCTTTGTTTCCTATAGAAATTTAAAAATCCATAAAAACTTACTAATCCTGTTAGCTTGTTGTGAAAGTCAAATATACATTAACAATCTTTAAAAATATCAAAATAGAGCATCTCAGTCTCCGAAACATGTTTTTTCACACGCAGGATTTGACGGTGTCATCAGTCAAATCTCACTGGAAGTTACCCCGCCCCCGGCCATAGCAGGGCCCACGCAGGCAGGCCATGTGCTGTGTGACAAGAAGCACAGCAGGCCGACAGTTTACGAGGCGCGCGTGTCTCCAAATGTTATCGACAAACAAACAGAGGACCATGTGCTGCCGGGTATCTGTGAGACTTCAGAGAATCTGAAGCCCTGGACCATATTTGTTTGTGGGAAGAGAAATCTGTGCAGTTCCTCTTCCTTTGCCGCCCCTCCCTGCCGCCTGACTGTCTTCGGTTTTCAGAATCGAGCTCCAGGCCATCTCCATGGAACATCAGACCAAAATAGAACCTCACACTTCACGGGTACTGCACAGAGGCACGTCCTGCCCATGCAGACCAAGCGGCTGTCCGTGCTCAGCACTTGGCAAT
Source organism: Homo sapiens (assembly GCF_000001405.40). Classification (NCBI taxonomy): domain Eukaryota; kingdom Metazoa; phylum Chordata; class Mammalia; order Primates; family Hominidae; genus Homo; species Homo sapiens. The sequence goes on from NC_000021.9 coordinate 31,174,306, forward strand.
TCCTCTCTCTGAAGCAAGGTGCCTTCGACTTTCACGGCTATCACAGAGGCCTTTCCTGTTCAACAAACGCTGCTTAATCTACTTCCTGCAGGAGGGACACTGGTCTGGACTGCAGAGCACAAGCTTCCACTTGGCATCAGACAGACACGCCTGAGGTTTATCAAAGGATCTGACTCTGCAACTCCAGCGCTGGCCCTAATTGCCTTTAACATGCCATAGGCCTGCTGTTAGCCACACGCACTTGGCTTTCTCCAACACCACAGCAGGAATAACCATTTTTTGAACAAGAAGCAGCTCTTGGAACGCTGGAACTTTTATTATTTTTAAAATTGTTACCTTTTTTCTCTTTTTCTTTTTTTGAGAGAGAGTTTCGCTCTTGTTGTCCAGGCTAGAGCGCAGTGGTGCGATCCCGGCTCACTGCAACCTCCACCTCCCGGGTTCAAGCAATTCTCCTGCCTCAGCCTCCTGAGTAGCTGGGATTACAGGCACCTGCCACCACTCCCAGCTAATTTTGTGTACTTTTAGTAGAGACAGGGTTTCACTGTGTTGGCCAGGCTGGTCTTGAACTCCTGACTTCTGGTGATCCACCCTCAGCCTCCCAACGTGCTGGGATTACAGGCGTGAGCCATCGTGCCCAGCCTGTTACTTTCTTTTTTAGAGATAGGGTCTTGCTTGTCTCACAGGCTGTGTGTAGTGGTATGATCAAGGATCTCTGCAGCCTCAACCTTCTGTGCTCAAGTGATCCTCCTGCTTCAGCTGCCTGAGTAGCTGGGACTACCGGTGCACACCACCACGCCTGGCTAATTTTTAAATTTTTAGTAGAGACAAGGTCTCACTATGTTGCCCAAGCTGGTCTCAAACTCCTGAGCTCAAGTAATCCTCCCGCCTCAGCCTCCCAAAGTGGTGGGATTACACGTGTGAGCCACAACGAACGCTTGGCCTCTGGCACTTTTATTGTAATCCTGTGGGCTACTCACTGAGGTAAACCAAGGCACCTGCTTCGCCCCAACTGGTCAAGTGGAATTCTAGGGACAATCACAGCACAGCTGTATAAACCACAAAAATAAAGTGAACGTGAACCCAAAGAGAGAGAGAAACAGGCGTTTGAAACTTCGGAAAGACACTAATGGTGTCACTTCAACTATGATTCTTATAATTTGCATAAAAGCTGAGGTTTTGCATAATTACTGTTACATAATTCCATTTATTTTTTCTTGGCTTTCTTCTTGATGTAAAAAGGAAAAACAAGGCCATAAATGGGGATTTGTGTTGGAATTCTCTCAATAAATGCTTTATAAAACTTTTTTTTTTGAGACGGAGTCTCCCTCTGTCGCCCAGGCTGGAATGCAATGGTACGATCTTGGCTCACAGCAACCTCTGCCTCCCAGGTTCAAGAGAGTCTCCTGCCTCAGCCTCCCAAGCAGCTGGGATTACAGGCGCCCGCCACCACGCCCAGCTAATTTTTGTATGTTTAGTAGAGACGGGGTTCCACCATGTCGGTCAGGCTGGTCTGGAACTCCTGACCTTAGGTGATCCACCTGCCTCGGCCTCCCAAAGTGCTGGGATGACAGGTGTGAGCCACTGCGCCCGGCCTATAAAACTTTTTTTTAAGAACTGTTTTACATCTAGATTTGCTTTGCTTTCCTATATTGATGTTCCCTGCAACATTTCCCTAAAAGGGTGATAGAGCTATACCTTTTAATAAATTAGGCCAGTAGTTCTCAACTGGGTAAGATTTGGCTGCCCAGTGGCCTTTTGGCAATGTCTGAAGATATGTTTGATGGGCACAACTTGGGGAGGTGGCGTACTATTGTCTCGTAGTGGCTTGCAGGGGTACTGCTAAACATCAACACACAGGACAGCTCCCCACAGCAAAGCATTACCTAGCCCAGATTGTTAATATTGCTAGATAAGATCAGTATTCAAAATAAATCACACAAGAACACAAGAGAGACTTTTTTGAAACCTCATACAAATACAGTTCTGCAACTTCCTATTCTAGCTTCCCCTTCACTGCTAAGATCTTTTTATAAAAACAGCCACTGAAGGAACTATCTTTTTGTCCTAGACATCCTTCCCTTTTTTTCCTACCAATATGTATGAAAACAAATGCTTAAAAAAAAAACCAAAACAGATGAAAGTAGCTCCAGTAAGACTGCAACCAGAACTCAGGGATGGCAAACAGCCAAGGATAGGAAACTGAGTCTTACAGAGAACACTCAGCATAGACTCTCCTTATGCAGATCCTGGCTTTCTAAGCCAACGTGGCAACCCATTCAGCAGGCTTCCCTCGTAAACCAAGGAACGGGAGAATGGAGAATGTACTACAGGACCACCTAACAAATTTTCATTACAAAAAAATCTCAATGAAGCAGATCACAAAATGTGATCAAGAAACTATAGAAGGTTTGCATGTCACCGTAAAATTCCAATTATCTTATGATTCCACCAAGACAAGAAAAAGGACAGGGAGCAGTAACCAGGAAGAGTTGGTGACCTAAGGCAGTGGCTCCCAACCAGGGCTGGACATTAGAAGCAACCACCGGAACAAATGCAGACCCAGACCCCATCCCACACTAGGTGACTCATGAGCTCTGAAAAAGGGCCCAGGAACCTCAGCATTCTAGACTACAGCATTCAGTTCTTTCTACTCGAGAAAGGAAAATATGAACAAGCTGTAATTCACAAACTTAGTTATCAGGTAATTCACCTGTTGCAGACTGAGGTGGCGTAGAAGGCAGGGAGAATACTGAAAAAGAGCAATCTCTGGTCATAGGCCAGGGAATCCTCATGTCCCCCATAAGAGAATGGCTTCAGGTACAAAACATTTATTGAGCGCTTACTGGGTAATATTCTAAATGCTTTACTTTTATGCCTCATTTGGTCCTCACAACAGCCCAATGAGATGACAGTGTGGCATTATCCCCATTTTGCAGGTGAGGACACTGAGGCACAGAGGGATTAAGCATGACCAGGTCAAGGTCATGAAGCTGATGAACATAGAAATGGACTGATTTCTGGCCAGGCATGGTGGCTCATGCCTATAATCCCTGCACTTTCGGAGGGTGAGGCAGGTGGATCACCTGAGGCCAGGAGTTCGAGACCAGCCTGGCCAACATGGTGAAACCCTGTCTCTACTAAAAATACAAAATTTAGCCGGGCGTGGTGGCGGATGCCTGTAATCCCGGCTATTTGGGAGGCTGAGGCAGGAGAATCACTTGAACCTGGGAGGCAGAGGTTGCAGTGAGCCAAGATCCTGCCACTGCACTCCAGGCTGGGTGACAGAGTGAGACTCTGTCCCCCCCACCAATGACTGAGTTCCAAAGAAATGGACTAAGTTCCAAATAACTTGGTTCCAGGCCCTAATCTTCGCCACTAGGCTGTGATGCTTCTACATAGAAGAAACAAACCTCTCTATGAGAAAGCAGTTCAGAAATAATCCAACTTTGAAAGCTAATCCCATACTCACTCAGGGTCCTTAAGGGAGGACCTGGCCAAGTCTGACCACTTGAGTTTGTGAGACTGTGGAGCTCTGCAGGACAAGCCTCCAGCAGCCAGGTAGCAGCCAGCACTCACGTGGACCCCAAGGTCCCTGAGACCCAGCAAGGCTCTCTGTCGAGGACACCAATCATCCACCTTAACTTACTCCCATCAAACCTCAAACCTGCCACTCAGGATGTTTCCTATTTTTGTTACTTCTAAATTTAGACTAAGGCTGTAGTCCATCCTGCCCGTTGTACAAAATTTTCTCGGTTGTTTTCTATTTTAACTGCAGTGGTCTGCTGATACTGCTTTATCTCTGCCCCATCACAGAGCAATCTTTCAGTTATTTTATCCTGTTTATTTGCCTCCACTTTTATCTTCCACTGTTAAGTGGGGACTAGGAAGCAGAAGCAATCAGAAGGCAGATAGGCAGAGACCCAGGTGGGGAAGTGAAATGCCTTCTCTCCACCAGCAGGTCCAATTGGGCTGCTACTTGACCAAGTATTCAGGAATTCTTTTTTTTTTTTTTTTTTTTTTTGAGACGGAGTCTCGCTATCGCCCAGGCTGGAGTGCAGTGGTGTGATCTCGGCTCACTGCAGGCTCTGCCCCCGGGGTTCACGCCATTCTCCTGCCTCAGTCTGCCGAGTAGCTGGGACTACAGGCACCCGCCACCTTGCCCAGCTAATTTTTTGTATTTTTAGTAGAGACGGGGTTTCACTGTGTTAGCCAGGATGGTCTCGATCTCCTGACCTCGTGATCTGCCTGCCTCGGCCTCCCGAAGTGCTGGGATTACAGGCGCGAGCCACTGAGCCCGGCCAGGAATTCTTCTGAAATTTACTAATTTTGAAGCCAGTTTAGAAACTTTACCAAAAACAAAAACAACAAAACAATACAGTGGCTTTACTTCCATGCTTTATTCCTGAGTCAGTCTGATTACCTAACTTGACAAAGCAGACTCTGTTCTGGAGGATTTTTCTTTTTTGATGGAGTTTCGCTCTTGTTGCCCAGACTGGAGTGCAATGGCACAATCTTGGCTCACCGCAACCTCTGCCTCCTGGGTTCAAGCGATTCTGCCGCCTCAGCCTCCCTAGTAGCTGGGATTACAGGCATGTGCCACCATGCCTGGCTAATTTTGTATTTTTAGTAGAGACGGGGTTTCTCCATGTTGGTCAGGCTGGTCTCGAACTCCCGACCTCAGGTGATCCGCCCACCCTGGCCTCCCAAAGTGCTGGGATTACAGGCGTGAGCCACCACACCCAGCCTGAAGGATTTTTGATGATTGTAAAACTACAAAATTTTAAGAAATAAAGCAATGTGGCCGCACACAGTGGCTCATTCCTGTAATCCCAGCTCTTTGGGAGGCCGAGGCGGGCAGATCACCCGATTTCGGGAGTTCGAGACCAGCCTAACCAACATGGTGAAACCCCATCTCTACTAAAAACACAAAAATTAGCCAGGCGAGGTGGCAGGTGCCTATAATCCCAGCTACTCAAGAGGCTGAGGCAGGAGAATCGCTTGGACCCAGGAGGCGGAGGTTGCAGTGAGCCAAGATGGCGCCATTGCACTCCAGCCTGGGCAACAAGACCGCAACTTCGTTTCAAAAAAAAAAGATAAAGCAATGAAAAAATGAAAAACTACATTAAAACATAAACTGGAGGACAAAATTTGAGTCATAGTTATTATCAAACTTTCAGCTCCATGCCTGGCACATAGTAAATACTTAAAAAATATCAGCTCCGAGTTATGGCCGCTTAATTGAAAAAAAAAAAAAACCTTCCAAAGATGATCCCAAAATTGCAGTTTTAATGTGTTTTAAAATAATGGCAGGGTCCATGGATTTAGCGCACAGCCTCCAAAGGTGAGCGGTCTGAAGGAGGTAACGTGGTCAGTTGTAAAGTCCAGTTGTTTAGTTTAAAACTCCACCACACAAAAGACCAGACAGCAACTGTATACACAGAAATACTCAGATATTTCTAAAATAGATATATATAAAATGCATTTTAAAAATCTTTTAAATGCATTTCAAGATTTATTCAATGCATTTTAAACTCTATTAAATGTATTTTAATAGATTTTTAAGCAAACACACGTACACGTACATATACATACACAGATTTTTTTTTTTTTTTTTTTTTGAGACGGAATCTTGCTCTGTCGCCCAGGCTGAAGTGCAGTGGTGCAATCTCAGCTCACTGCAACCTCTGCCTCCCGGGTTCAAGCGATTCTTTTGCCTCAGCCTCCCGAGTAGCTGGGATTACAGGCGCCTGCCACCACGGATGGCTAATTTTTGTATTTTTAACAGAGGTGGTGTTTCACCATGTTGGCCAGGCTGGTCTCAAATTCCTGACCTCAGGTGATCCGCCTGCCTTGGCCTCCCAAAGTGCTGGGATTACAGGTGTGAGCCACTGCGCCCGGTAGACTTTTTTTAAAAAAGAAGAAAGAAATAGACGAAAACATTAACCGTGTCTATCCTTAAAAAAACAAATTGTGAGCAATCTCAGTCATACTTTACATCAGGGACAGCGAATTTGATGTGTAAAGGGCCATAGAGTAAACACTTTTGGCTTTGTAGACCCTAAGTCCTTGTCACAACGACTCAACTCTGCCATTACAGAAGGAAAACAGCCAGAGACAAGGTGTAAATGAATGGCATGACTGTGTTCCAATAAAACTTTATTTACAAAAACAGGTGGTGGGCTGCTTTTAGCCTATGGATTATAGTTTACCCACCTCTTTTTTTTTTTATATCTGTAACCCAGAAGAAGGGCTCAGACAGAAGAAAAAAATCCAAAGAAAGTTGAGTACACACTGTTGCTTATAGCACATATGTGCAAGCTTATAAAATCCTTTAAATAATCTAATCTAACATAATATGTCTCATTCAAAGTCATATTCCAGAAACAACTCTATCTGTGAACCGTTTTATGGGATCGATCCTGCCATCTTGTGGTCACATGAAATAACAGCCTTTATAGTCTTCATTCTCCTTTACTAAGGGTACACAACTCACTGGAGCCACTTTTCAAAAATTTGATTGGGATGTGGGGACCACAATAACATAATGAGTCAAGGAAGTCAACTGTAACTGAGAGCAATCAATTTTCTGAAGCTTCAACTTGTCAAAATCTTCCAAGGAGCCAATGGACAAAAGAATGAGGGGTCCAACTTCCTTAGCAAGCCAAGCTTCAGAAAATGATTTGAAAAACAACAATAGCAGGGCAAGAATATCCAACTACCCAAGAGCCTTCCATTTCAGATTTTGAACAGAACGCTCCTTTTGTATCCCAAGCTTTGAAAAGAGAAAATAATGACAAAACCCCAACTTACTAAATCAACCCAAACCCGAGAACCCGGTCATGGAGAAATAAATGATAGTAATCTATGCTGTTCATCTGTTCCATCACTCACTCACTCTCTTGCTGAACAAGAAAGGGCCACCCATGTAGCAAACCACATGTAAAGAGCCGGGAAGACAAAAATGAGGAATATAAACCCAGTCTCAGGAAACACATTTAGGCGAAAAGAGAGACACAAGCAAGTAAGAATCGCATGATCTAATGAGGGCCCATATGGAAGTCAAATTTGCAGGGTTGTGGGGGCCCAGAGGAGAGAGCTAACTCTATGGGGTCCCAGGAAGACTTCGAAAGGCAGGTGGCACTCACGCTGCTTCTAGTAGAATGAGCACAGGTTGCCAGAAGGAGCGGGGAGAGGAAGGAAGGGCAGGGCAGGGGGGTCACTGAAGCGCTCGGGTTCAGTCTTCAGGTTGAAAAAGTCCAAAAGACAAACAGAGCTCTGCACACATTTCCACTCTGGGCCTCTCAGCATCTCAGCTCACGTCCTTCTCTCAGACAGCAGGAAAGCAGGGCTGAGTGGTGGTTTGGAAGATGACGATAGAGAAGGCAGGAACAGAGGTAGGACTTAGTCTCAGCATCTTATGTGATTCCCAGCACTTCTTCTTCTTCTTCTTCTTTTTTTTTTTTTTTTTTTTTTTTTTTTTTTTTTTTTTTTTTTTTTTTTACGAGACAGGCCTCTGTCTCCCAGGCTGGAATGCAGCAGTGCAATCACAGCTTACTGCAGCCTCAAACTCCTGGGCCCAAGCGATCCTCCTGACTCAGCCTCCCAAGTAGCTGGAACTACAGATGCTCTCCACTATGCCCAGCTCATTTTTTTTTTTTTGGAGAGATAGAGTCTCGTTATGTTGCCCAGGCTGGTCTCAAACTCCTGACCTCAAGGTATCCTCCTGCTTCCACCTCCCAAGTGCTGGGATTACAGGTGCGAGCCACCACACGTGGCCCAATTCCCAACACTTCTGTGCCTCTGTATCTCTATCCACAGCAAAGTCTTCTAAATATTCACCTTTCCCCAAAATGAGAAACAGCAGAAGCATTATAAAGCTGCCCATGGGTGACAGGTGGATCTGTAGCAAAACAGCTCTATGAGAAAATAAAGTTCCCTGCGCCTTTGAAATTTCAACAGGAAATGCAGGGCCAGTCATCAGCCCATCTTGCACACACATTTTATACCACCTGCCAGACAGAGGCACTCACTGAAACACACAAGCCGCATGATAAACTCCCCGGGTCGTGGCACAACGGAGTTCAGACTCGCCCCCAGCACCCTGCACAGCCATACCTGGGTTGCTGGTGAGAAAGGCGAGGGGGCTCTCGCCAAGGTCGGCAGGGCCGTCCACTCGGTGGGGCGGGCTTTCCAGCAGCTCCACTCCTTCCTCCAGCTCGGGGTAGGTCCTCACCAGGAGGCCCAGCGAGGGCTGTGAGAGGAAATCTTTGAGCATAGAAGAGTTCAGGGCGTCAGCAGCACGATTATTGATCTCAAGAATCTCATCTCCTGCTTTCAGGCCTGCCAACGCAAGATGGAAAATTTTTAATTTCACACACATTATCAGAACACAACAGCTTAGGAGCTCTGCTATAAAGGGCACACCTGCTGTGGGTCTCACAGCCCCAGGTGCTGCTGCAGACAGGCTGCGGTGCTCGGGAGTGATCCTCAGGAGAGGACAGGGGCCTCAGGTTCTGAAGGTTCTAGATTTGCAGGTTACAACATGCCTAGCTGGTCCTTCATACATCAAGCAAACAAACTTACTCCTTCATTAATTTGTGTGTTCCAAGCATCTGCAAATTTCTCACAAATGCTAATTAATTCCGGTTATCTTCCTACACTTTTGGGGCGGGGCGAGCGGGGAATGGCAGTGCTCTCTGATGACTGCCATCACTGTGTTTTGTACATGTTCATGCCTCAGTGCACACTTAAGTCACAGCCAGCTAATATCTATTGATTATTTCCAAGGAACCAAAATGCAGGGCGTTCACTCTGGCTATGAGGACAGAAGTAAGAATGTCTCATTCCAAATACACTTAGAGATGACAGTTTCAAGAACCCAATGCAATCATTTTGTCCTTTTTTGTTTTGTTTTCAAACTACATCTGAACCTTGGGATGAATCTCTTTTGGTAGATCCCCAAAGGATCTGCTAGGGGAATTGCCAAAATTTGGGACCCAAGGGAACGACCATGAACAAGCCCAACCTAGAAGAACAGCAAGTTGAGACACCAAGGTGCAGTTCAAACTCGCACTGGAAGAACATTCCAGCAGCCTGAGAAATGGAGAGGGTGGGAAGAACATGAAAGAAAATAAAATAATCCTTTCAGCTAGGGAGAGAAAAGGAGCCCAATTTCTAATTTTATACACCAATATGGAAAAACCAACTTGAAAAAGGGAGTGAGCGAAGGGCAGGCAAAGATAAATTGCAGGAACGAGAAGCCTCCCAGGCCCTCGGGCATCCCACTCAGATTCTGCAGAAAATGACCCTACAAAGAAGTTCTCGCTTCCCAGCTTCACAGAGTCACATGCCCTGGACATCCTTATTCAGGTTTCTAAAATATCTGAAATCATTTTTTTTTTTTTTTTGAGACGGAGTCTCACTCTGTTGCCCAGGCTGAAGTGCAGTGGTGCGATCTTGGCTCACTGCAACCTCTGCCTCCCAGGTTCAAGCGATTCTCCTGCCTCAGCCTCCCAAGTAGCTGGGATTACAGGCACTCACCACCACGCCCAGCTATTTTTTGTATTTTCAGTAGGGACGGGGTTTCACCATGTTGGCCAGGCTGGTCTGCTGACCTCAGGTGATCCAAATTTTTTAAAATTTTTATTTATTTATTTTTTCTGAGACGAAGTCTCACTCTGTTGCCCAGGCTGGAGTGCAGTGGCACGATCTTGGCTCACTGCAACATCTGTCTCCCGGGTTCTCCCATTCTTCTGAGTAGGTGGGACTACAGTCATGTGCTACCATGTCTGGCTAATTTTTGTTTTGTTTTGTTTTTGAGACGGGGTTTTGCTCTTGTTGTCCAGGCTTGAGTTCAATGGCGCGATCTCAGTTCACTGCAACCTCTGCCTCCCCGGTTCGAGTGATTCTCCTGCCTCAGCCTCCCATGTAGCTAGGATTATAGGTGCGCACCACCATGCCCAGCTAATTTTTGTATTTTTAGTAGAGACAGGGTTTCACCATGTTAGCCAGGCTGGTCTGGAACTCCTCACCTCAGGTGATCCGCCCACCTTGGCCTCCCAAAGTGCTGGGATTACAGGTGTGAGCCACCGTGCCCGGCCAATTCACAGCTAAATTTAACATAAAATACCCCCAATATCTTTCTAGACACGCCAGGTGTTGGGATCGTGTTTGTGGACCAGGAGGACAGAATGGACATCACTCTTGCATCTGTTGAGAACAGAGCAAGGGGGTTAGTACAGATGACCGTTCATCTTCATTTAACACCAGGGCTCTCAGATTCAAAGACCTAAAACAGGATGTGACTGAAACCAGAGCAGTAGATTCCCCACCCCCGTGCCACGCAAACCGGCACACTCGTTGTGATGAAAGAGATAAAAATCAGTCTTTGGGCTTGAAGGGGAAGAAATCCTGTCATCTCTGCTCTTAGCTGAGATACAGCTCAGTGACTGGGTCAAACTCTGGCCCCAGGCTGCCTATGGCCTAGAAAGTATAGAAGGAACAAGAAGGAAAATGCTCCTCTGTGACAGTCAGCAGCAGATAAATTATCCTGACTTTATTTCTCACTCGTCACACCTTTGCCTTTCCATGCATAGCCAAGTCCGCGGTTGTGCTTTTCCAGTGTTTACAGGACAGGTCAATATAACCTGCACAGGTAGCTTTGCAAGCCATGAACTACCCAGAACTCAGCTGAACCAGGACAAAAAAGGCAGTGGCGAAGATCAGCACTCAATTTCCCTTCTCTGCTCCATTCAGCAGTAGTTAACACAACAGATGCAAGGTAAGTACATCTAAGCACAGTTGATCTGGATGTGTTGATCTCTGACGTTCAATACATATTATTTTGCCACTTCTTGGATGAAACTACAAATCCCATAGCAAGAAGAAAGAAACAAAGGTGGATTTCCAGCCCTACCTACCTGTCCCATTTATTTACAGCGAGTATAGTGGGTCGAATAGAGTCCCTGTCCACCTAGAATGTCAGAATGCAACCTTCTTTGGAAATAGGGATAGATATATATCACAGATGAAATTGTAATAATATAATCATTGTAATTATATAATAATTGCACATCATAATTATATATAATTATGCTATATAATTATATATAATTATGTTATATAATTATATATAATTATATTAACGATTATTATATAATGTATTAATATATTCTATATTTATATATTATATGCTTATATATTTATATATAATATGCTAATATAATATATTATGCCATTATATATTATATATTAATATAATATATTATATATTAATATAATATATTATATATCATATAGCTATATATTATATTAATATATTATATATCATTATATGATAATTATATTATAATAATTACAATATCATCATTATAATTATATAATAATTACACATAATTATATACTATTACACACGAAAGTTACAATGAACTCACAATGATTTAGTGTAGGTCCTAAATCCAATGACTGGTGTTCTTATAAGAAAGCCATGTTAATGACACAGAGACACACACAGGGCAGAAGCCATGTGACTTCAGGCAGAGATTGGAGTGATACAGCCATAAGCCACAGAATGCCAAGTGCTGCTTTCACACCAGAAACCAGAAGGAGGCATGAAGCCATTCTTCCCTCAGAGGCTTCAGAGAAATCAATCTTGCCAATACCTTAATTTCAGACTTCTGGCCTCCTAAACGGCGAGAGGATAAATTTCTGTTATTTTAAGCCACCCAGTGTGTAACAGTTTATTACAGTAGCTCTAAGAAATTAGCACTGTGAGCAAATCATCTAGGTTGCAAAGACTTTCCAGGGGTAGAAAAAGGATGAAGAGTTGGGGTTCCCCAAGTAGCCCAAATGCATTATAGGCCATTTAAGGGCTAAAATGAAACAGGCAGGATGTAGCGGGGAAGCGCTCTCTAAAGAAGGGGAGGGAGGCTGGATCTCAAATCCCTAGGTTCTCAACTTTCGCAGATTCTTCTATGAACGGAAGCAACAGAACAACTGGTTTGAAAGAGCTCTGCAGGCTCAGGCAATAGCCAATGTCAGCTTTGACCAGTGTGGACCAAAGTACAGAGGGGTCTTCCCCCATGCTCTGCTCCAGGAAGAACCCCCCCAGGATCCCCACACCATCCTAGAAGATGGAGAAGGACGACCACATGATTAGAATGGAATTTCCCACCAGCCCCAGGGTAATGGGCTCAATCAGTTTAAAATCCAAAAATGAGTGACTTGAGAGGCTGAGACAGGAGGATCGCTTGAGCCCAGGAGCTCAAGAACAGCCGGGGCAACACAGCAAGACCCCTGACTCTGAAAAATAAATAAGTAAATAAATTAGTCAGGTGTGGTGGCATGCACCTGTACTCCCCTAGCGACCTGGGGGGCTGAGGTGAGAGGGTGGCTTGAGCCCAGGATTTCGATGCTACAGTGACCTATGATTGCGCCACTGGACTCCAGCCTGGGTGATAGAGCAAGACCTTGTCTCTAAAAATTAAAAAAAGAAAAAAAAAGTTCAAGAATATGACCTTTCTGGTACACTTAAGTTAATGGAATAAAATGCATATTCCCTGGAAGGGTTTTCAATGAGAAAATGTTCAAATACTTTCCACAAATGAATCCTTTGGGCATATCTTTCTCCTTCAAAAACTAGAGAAGCCCCAAAGGGCATTTAAGACAGACAGACCAGCCCTCCTTCACTGACTTACCTTTCTTGGAAGCTAAACCGGTTTCCTTCACACTATTCACGTACAGCCTTCGAATACCATCTTCTTCCACAGAAGAAAGTGAAAACCCTGTGAAACACAAAAAGACAGAATGGCAGGGCTCACACCTTCTGAATGTTTAGCAAACAACAGGAAGTGCCTGCTGTGAACTAGGTATGTTTCATGTTTGTCATTATAGTTTGGACTGATTGTTTTTTCTTGTTTTACATAGCAGAAAAGTGTATTTTTAGATCACTCTGGAAGTCACTACTTGTAAAAATAAAGATTACTATGTACGTCTATCTTCATATTACCTACCAATCAACTCAAAGGAAAGCAAATTATTTTGTTTAATCTTGCTTCCTGGTAAACGCCATCATTTTTTCTTTTCCATACTCTCCTCCAAAGCAGAAAACAGAAAGATTAGCTTACCTCAAAGTCCCCAGACGTTTTTCATCAAATCTATGTCCTAGAATATGTTAACAACTGTACTGTTGGAGGGTGTGTGTTCATCCATATGTATGACTATATGGACACTGCTTTAATACAATTCTGCAAACAGGAGCAAGATGCAACTCACATTACGAATCTGTAATGTGAATTACACATTACAGAAACTGTACCTGATTTCACACTCTAGCAGTATCTGATCATAAGATTATCTTATACTTCTCTGGGCTCCCAGAGCTCAAAGCCAACTTGCTAATTAACCCTGGGCTCTGCTACATACTTCAGAGAGGAAAGCAGAGTGAGGCCGAGGTATTCTACGTGGCTTGAGGATCCTAGGTACTCAAAACTCTATGGTTACAAGTCCTGGTCACTCCTGTTTCCAGACCGCCTCATGTAAAACTCTTTCCTAATCAATTACTTTGAATGTCCACAGTGAATACCTACTTTGCTAAGGGAAAGAAATACCTTTGCAGATATTTCTAAAAAGGGCAAGGGGAACACATGTCATTGTATATATCTGCAATAATTTCAGCTCTGGGAAAAAAATCATCCCATAATATAGATACCCATCGTAATGCTGAGGGGAGAGCAGTGGTTGAAAAAAAAACAAGCAGGCAAATAGCAAAACAGAATTTTGTAAGATTGGGTTCCAGGGAGTCATTGAGCCTTTTTAGGCCATGTCATGATGAACACATGGTTTTTTGTTTAGTTTACAGGACCAGGAAATGGATAACCTCACATAGGCAAAAAGGCTAATTGCCATCGCCCTCTCAAGTACCGTAACACCCTCAGATAGGGAACAGCAGAGGGCCACCCGTGAGGACTTTCCAAAGTCTTCATTTCATTCTCTTATTTTAAATTCTCTTCTTTCAGCAACTTCTAACTTTCAGATTAAGTGTCAAGAAGCCCTGCTGAAATCAAAATATTTTTACACAAGAACCATTTAAGTTACATTAGCCTTAACACAGGTGTATTTATCTGCATTTTAGTGGAAATTAAAAAAAAATCTATTAGGCGAGATAGAATCAAGGGCTACGTCATAGGAAAGAATGAATAGGATTCATCTAACTATTGGAATTTCCTTTTTGAAATGCCATCATTCTACTACATTCTGAGACCAATTTTTTTGTTTGTTTGTTATTAAAGAGACAGGGTCTTGCTCTGTCCCCCAGGCTGGAATGCAGTGGTGTGATCATAGCTCATTGTAGCTTCAAACTCCTGGATTCAGACAATTCCCTACCTCATCTACCAGAAGACCTGGGACTACATGTGAGTGCTACCATGCTTGACTGATTTTTTAATTTTTTTTAGAGATGGGGTCTTACTATGTTGCCCAGGCTGGTCTCAAACTCCTGGCCTCATGCGATCCTCCCACCTCAGCCTCTCACAGTGTTGGGATTACAGGCTTTCACTACTGAGCCTGGCCCCAGTTTTTTTTCTATTAAAAAATTAGCACCCCTGTGGGGTACCAGGAAACACCTTTGCTTAACTGGAAGATGGCAGGAGAGGCAACATGGTGACAGCCTGCTGCAAGTCACCTGAAGCCAATTAGATGGAGACATGGAGACACCTCAGGTATGATTTGCTCCATTCCCTCTTTTTTTTTTTTTTTTTTTTTTTTTTTTGAGATGGAGTCTCATTCTGTTGTCTAGGCTGGAGTGGAGTGGTGCGATCTCAGCTCACTACAACCTCTGCCTCCCAGGTTAAAGCGATTCTCCTACCTCAGCCTCCCTAGTAGCTGGGATTACAGGCACACACCACCACACTCAGCTAATTTTTCTAATTTTGGTAGAGATGGGGTTCCGTCATGCTGGCCAGACTGGTCTCAAACTCCTGACTTCAAGTGATCCACCTGCCTCGGCTTCCCAAAGTGCTGGGATTACAGGTGTGAGCCATCACACCCAGCCATTCCCTCTTTTCTTGGTCCTCTTTTTGTATAATCAAAAGGTTAAATAGAGGAGACTTCCAGTCTGAGGACTGCAATTGATTATGTAATTTGTACCAGACAACTGGGTAAAAAGACTAGGTCTGAGAAACAGATCAGACATCTCTAATTAGTGGGGAAATCTCTATGATAGGAAAGAGGATGGAAGAAACGATAATGGGCATAAGTTCCTTCTTTGAAGATCACCCAAATGAAAGCCAAAAATTTACAAAAGTGAATAGCACATTAGCTCTGTACTGGAATTCATATTGGACACCAGTTTAGGGGTCAAACAGGAGCCCCTTTCACTGTTCCAGGTAGGCAGCCCTCCCCACACCTTGCCTTGCAACAAACATGTGAGCGGCTTCCATTTAAAGATGCCAATACTTTGCACACTGGGGGAAAACCTTATAACCATCTTCTACATGAACAAATATAAAGAAAATTATGAAATATCCTACAGCTGGATTATGTGGAACTGAATGAAGAACATAATGATTTTAACAGTTAATCAGCAAAGTCAGATCTATTTCTTTTAAATAGGACAGCAATGTTCTAACTCTCAGCAGACAACTCTAATATCGTCCAAAATGATTGCCAACAGGGGGCAGAGGGAAATTATTCAATATAAACCTATGTATCCACCAACTGGAAGGCTGTTAGCTTCAAATACAGGAAGGGATCATGAGTGGCAACTGGAATAATGATCAGGAGAACGAAGGAAGTGCTTAAAATTAAGTGATGAAACTAAGGTCGGGCGTGGTGGCTCATGCCTATAATCCCAGCACTCTTGGAAGGCTGAGGCGGGAGGAAAGCATGAGCCCAGGAGTTTGAGACCAGCCCTGGCAACACAGTGAGACCCTGTCTCTACAAAATTTTTTTTAAAAAATTAGCTGGGCATGGTGGCACGTGCCTTGTAGTCCCAGCTACTTGGGAGGCTGAGGTGGGAAGGATGGCTTGAGTCTAGGAGGTTGAGGCTGCAGGGAGTCATGATCCCACCACTGCATTCCAGCCTGGGCGACAGAGTAAGACCCTGTCTCAAAAAAGAAACTAAGAACAAACTCATGAGATGAACCACCAAAAGATTCCTCAACCTAGAAAAACCATAACATGATAAACAATAGAGAATTACTCAAAACTAGAGTCCAGGATACAATGAAAATTCAGATAACAAGCACAGGCACCTATAACATGAGGAGAACACACGACTAAAAAATATAATAGTACTAGAAGTACCCAGAGAAAAGGAACATTAAGTTGCTGAAATGACGCATCCTTCTACTTCAAGGCAGCCGAGGGTCTCATGCTTAGTCTAAGTATCATGTAACTGGATATGTGAACTAATTTCAACAGTAAAGTGTGGGAGTGAGCTGAGGGCTGAGATGGAGAGAGAGGCAAGAGAGAGAAATTAAGTAAATGTTCCCGCTTTAAGTGTGTTCAGTCAGTTGGATTATTAAATTATATTCTCCTCCCTAAAGTGTTCTAAAATAGAAAGCAGCATATGATCTGTATTGTGAGGTGTTTCTGTGTTTGTGCCGGCAGCTTTTACTTGTACTGAACTCAGTATCTAACCAGAAGCCACTTAGCTAGGTGTTAATATTAGATACAGATGGGCTGAATTTCGACTCTGCGGTAGCTTTTAATCCAGAGGCAATCAGATCTCTGAGGACTGGGGGAATGTTTCACCTCTTCAATCAATACGCTGCTGGAACATCAAATGCCAAAACCAACCCGAGCACGGAGAAGAAATGATTTAACTGAGCTTATTAGCCATGAGTGGCAGGCTTTTCTTTTCTTTTTTTTTTCTTTGAGACAGAGTCTCACTCTGTCACCAGGCGGGAGTGCAGTGGCACAATCTCAGCTCACTGCAACCTCTGCCTCCCAGGTTCAAGTGATTCTCCTGCCTCCCGAGTACCTGGGACTACAGGTGTGTGTCACCAAGCCCGTCTAATTTTTTTATCTTTAGTAGAGATGGGGTTTCACCATGTTGGCCAGGATGGTCTCAATCTCTTGACCTCATGATCTGCCCACCTCGGCCTCCCAAAATGCTGGGATTACAGGTGTGACCCTCTGTGTCCAGCCTGTGGCAGGGCTTTTCAAAGTGAAGTCAGGGAACAGGTGCCAACTGTTTGCTAATGGCAGTAATGTCAGGACAGAAATCAAGACTAAGCATTGAGAACCTCTTGTAGCTTTGACATTGCCACAACCTCCAAGCATGGGATTTTGTATTTCACAAAAGCAGCAGTGGTCACAAAAGAGTGGAAATTAAAACAAAACAAAATACCTGCTTCTTTACATCGGATGAGTTGGGAAGCACTGTTTGTAACACTCTCAAGACTGACGCCTGGTGCCCTGTCATACCCTCCTCAGGGGGTAAAAGTAAATGGGTTCTGTGAGTAATTCAGTGACTTTAACAAAAAGTATTAAAATGTATACAAACGGTAGCAGTTTCATGCCCAGTTCCAATTTCTGAGTCCCTGAATCACTCAATCTTAGAAGCAGAGTCCAAGAGCTTTGAAATTCAGCCTTCTGAACTTGATCTTTGCTAGTTTATCCTTACTCAACAAAAATTAAGTAAACTGAAGAGAAAAAGAATAATCATTATGGAGCATCTAATTTTGGAGGATCCAGGCACTTCACTGCTACCAATTACAGCTCTAATTACTGAGGTCGGCTTTTTGCTGCATAATAAGCCGCTCATAAACATTTATTCCTTGCCATGAGAAACATTCTCCTGGCTTTATTATGTCTTTAGTTTTAAGGTCAAGAAATAAACAGCATAAAGTTATAACGCAAGTGGCCAGGGTTCAAAACTGGATTCTCTTCATTAGGCCCAAATCCTCTATTGAGTATTCCGAGATGAAGACTGGTGGCCTACAGGGGAAGGTGCAGAAGGAATGTAATATCCCAGTGCTCAGAAAAGAGTTTTAAAGATTTTCAAATGCTAAAAAGCTTAATAACCTGGGCCAGGCACAGTGGCTCATGCCTGTAATCCCAGCACTTTGGGAGGCCGAGGTGGGTGGATCAGTTGAGGTCAGGAGTTCAAGACCACCCTGGCCAACACGGTGAAACCCGTCTCTTCTAAAAGTACAAAAATTAGCCAGGCATGGTGGCACACGCCTGTAATCCCAGCTACTTGGGAAGCAGGAGAATCACTTGAACCTGGGAGGCAGAGGTTGGAGTGAGCTGAGATCGCGCCACTGCACTTCAGCCTGGGCGACAGAGGGAAACTGTGTCTTAAAAAAAAAAAAGACAGCTTAATAACTTGATTCAGAGAGAAATCTTAAGCGAGCATATGAGGTAGTCTTTATGTCTTTCCACCGGGAACTTTGTTCTCCTTCTACCAAACAGTAGAATCACACTTCAGTGCTCCCTCGTAGGTAGGTATGGCTGTGTGACTTGCTTTGGCCAATGAATTGGGAGTGGGACAACACCTGCTTTCCCATCTCCCCTTCCCCCTCTGCAGAGTGACAAGCACTGTCCCAGGTGGCAGCTGCTCCAGACCTGGGTGTGGAATGAGGACAACGTATGGAGTCCCAGCCAACCCACAAGGGACGCGTGGTGAATGTGAGAAATAAATGTCACTGTTTCGAGCCACCGGGCTTTGGTGGCTGTCTGTTACCTCAGCTAACCTCGCCACTCCTGACTGATACAGCACAGCATGGATTTTCCTCACTTAATTTACTCAGGCACCAACTCTGTTACTATTCAAGCCATACAGTGTAATGCTAAGTAAAGAAGACTGGTCTTAAACATATGGAAAGGAATATATATTTAACTCCGCCAGAATGTAGACAACCGCATAGGAAAGCGTTAACACAGCAGGCATGACTGCTATTCTTCGAAAGGCCCGCTTACAAATTTGAACCTTGGCTGGTATCCTGAGAACTTGGATTTTGGGAGGGTTCCCAACACCCTGAGTGGCTCACAGTGCCTAAACTGTGGTACAAACAATGGGATTTATGGTGAACGCCTACTTTCCTCCTGGGAGTCTGGAATTTTGGTGCATGCTAGGCAGAGGGTGCCTAGGGAACCAGCCTCCCCAGAAAAGCCCTGGGCACTGACTCTCTAACCACCTTCCCTAGGAGAGAGCATTTCTCAGGTGTCCTCACAACTTGGTGCTGCAGGAGTTATCCTCATTCTACGTGACTCCACTGAAACAGGGCCCGCTGAAGCTCACACCTGGTTTCCCCTAGACTTCACTCCATGCGCCTTTTCCCTTTGCTGATTTTGCTTTGTGTTGATACAGGAGTTAAGATGAAATGATTTAGGCAGAGAGCGAGGAGAAGAAAATCCTCAGTAACATTTTCCTTTTAATGAAAAGCAACCCCCAAATAATTTTTTTTTGTAACAAAAAGCAGCCTGTAAAATCAAGCTGCACACACAGACAAGCAAGCTGGAAGCTTACACCGGTGAGTGCCGGCAGTGTGAATCGGGAAAAGCTAGCTGGGACTAAGCATGTTCAAAATGGCGGCTCCATCCTCTCTTCTCTTTGTCAGCCATGCGTACAGTAAGAAGCAGTGAACATGGCCCCCGCCAGGCAAAGACTCCATTTGCATAATAAAGATTAGGATAGGGCAGCCAGCTTCCATGCGTGCTGTGTAGACCTCACACCTGGTCCAAACAATCTGTGGGCCTTATGTAAATCAGACACCGCCTCCTCAAGCCTGGCTATACAAATCCAGTGCATTCCGCCGCTGGCCGGAAGACCCACTCGGGCACCCCTCTCTCTCTGCAGGAGAGAGAGCTATTCTCCTTTCTCTTTTTTTTTGCCTGTTAAACCTCTACTCCTAAACCCACTTCTTGTGTGTCCGCATCCTCGATTCCCTTGGCATGAGACAACGAACCGTGGGTATTTACCCAAGACAACGAAGCCGCTTCAGTATAATTTGCTATTAAAAAAATCATAGTTGTGAGTATGACCAGAGGCTGAGCTCTGTGGGTCTTCCTAGTGAATCAGCAAACCTAGGGATGGTCTTGGGGACCCCCCTACACACCACCAAAATAGTTCCTTTAACATTATTTGTATGGGAAGGGAGGATAATGTAGGATAATGGCTTACTTATTTTGAGATTTCTCAAAATTTATAGTTTTCGGGAGGGGGTGTAAAAGAATAATTCCTACATTACTAAGGTACATCATAGTATATGTTAAACAAAAATTATGGGAGGTCATTGTTGTGAACTGAGTTCCTGCATTATGCCCGAAAGGCCAGATCAAATAAAAATGGAATCACTCATGCTGGATGCCACATAATCAAACTAAAACTTTCAGGAAGCAAGTAGATCCCCAAACAGACCAGTTTTTCCTGAAAACATGAGATTCCGGTCTACCTGAGTCAACAAAATAAGTAGGTCCCCTCTGCTTTAACCCTTACAAAAAAGTAACCTGAAGTAAGCTAAGTTAAACAATCAGTTTTCTTCTTCCACTGTTCTGTTTCCTTGTCGCCAACTTACAAACATCACTGTTCTGCCACTGCCCAGAGGGAGCTCTCATTCTATTTTGTAGAATGGAGGCTATCCCATGCATGAATCACAAATAAAAGCCAGTCAGATTTATAACTAAACTTGTTGTAATTTTATCTTTTGACATATAAAATAAGCTACCCACTTCCTTTTTAGGACAGTAGAATCCCAGTAATTAAAGTTATGAAATTTAACACCAAAGTCTACATCGTACCCAGAGTAAATATCCCTGTTATTCCCTAGTGTGGCTGCCCTCCACAGAGCAGGAGCCAGATATACTATCTGTTTTAGATAGGACTCAAAGGCATTTTGTTGAACTGTAAATAAATGCATGCTTACATAAGAAATACTTTACCTTAAAACACAAACAAAGAAAAATAAACTTACCGTAAGTATCAGCAGCTGTATCTGACTTCTCAATGTGGATGCTCTGAGTGACTTTTGGACAGATTTCAATTTCTTTGTACAGCTGAAAGTTACAAAGGGGAATCTAATTAGAATTTCATTATAACTAACTTTTAAAAATGGTCATCATTTCATAAATCTATTTTTTCACAATTGATACTTACGTGAATTTGCACTTCACAATCTTATCATTAAACGAAACTCATTAAAAGTAAAAAGTAAAAGTAAAAACTTCCAGCTGTCGTCCTCAAACATAGCCACAGTTTGGTTTCTAAGTAATTCCTCCACATCACTCTGTCTGTCTATTCCTACCCAATGTCTATCACAGACCTGAAAAATAATGCTAAAGTAATGGAGATCTCTAGTTGTGGGGAGAAAAAGTTTATTAAAATCAAGAAGAGGTTATAAAGATCTTGGTATGGAATTCATGGAAATAAGATAAATCTCTATGCTTCCATTCAAAAAGTTCATCATAGTACAAATAAGTAGAGACAAATGATAGCATTGAAACAGAAAACAAATTACGTAAAGGAGGATATTCTTTTTTTTAGCCACTGAACTGTATCGAAATTAGCTAGAAAACTGAAGTACACAAATTAATCAGCCTTCTAAAAGCCCAAGAAAGGAAATAACTTATGACTAAGTCCTCAAAAGCAACTGCAACAAAAATGAAAATGGAAAAGTGGGACCTAATTAAACTAAAGAGCTTCTGCACAGAAAAAGAAACTGTCAATAAACAGACAATCTACAGTATGGGAGAAAATATTTCCAAACTGTGCATCTGACAAAGCTGTAATATCCAGAAACTATAAGGAACTTAAATCAGCAAAAAGTGAATAATCTCATCAAAAAATGGGCAAAAGACATGAACGGGCACTTCTCAAGATAAGACATATATGTGGCCAATAAATATATGAAAAAATGTACACATCGCTAATTATCAGAGAAATGTAAACCAAAACCACAATGAGATACCATCTCACACCAATCAGAATGGCTATTACTAAAAAGTCAAAAAACAACAAATGTTGGTGAGGCTGCAGAGAGAAGGGAATGCTTTTCTTTTCTTTTTTCTTTTTTTTTTTTTTCACACGGAGTGTTGCTCTGTTGCCCAGGCTGGAGTGCAGTGGCGCGATCTCGGCTCACTGCAGCCTCCATCTCCCAGGTTCAAGCAATTCTCCTGCCTCAGCCTCCTGAGTAGCTGGGATTACAGGCGTTTGCTACCACATCTGGCTAATTTTTTTTTTTTTTGTATTTTTAGTGGAGATGGGGTTTTGCCATGTTGGACAGGCTGGTCTCAAACTCTGACCTCAAATGATCCGCCCACCTCAGCCTCCCAAAGTGCAGGAATTACAGGCATGAGCCACCATGCCCGGCTGAGAAGGAAACACTTATACACTGTTGTTGGGAATGTAAATTAGTTCAGCCACTGTGGAAAGCAGTTTGGAGACTTCTCAAAGAACTTAGAACTACCGCTTGACGCAGCAATCCCATTACTTGGTATACATCCAAAAGAAAATAAATCATTCTACCAAAAAGACACGTGCACTGTATGTTCATTGCAGCACTATTCACAATAGCAAAGATGTGGAATCAATCTATATGCCCATCCAGGGTGGATTGGATAAAGAAAATGTGGTACATGTATACCACAGAATACTATGTAGCCATGAAAAAGAACAAAATCATGTTCTTTACAGCAACATGGATGCAGCTGGAAGCCATTATCCTACGTGAATTAACACAGGAACAGAAAACCAAATACCTTCTCACTTACAACTAGGGGCTAAACAATGAGTACTCATGGACATAAAAATGGCAACAATAGATACTGGGGACTACCAGAGGGGGAAGGCAGGAGGAGGACAAGGGTTGTGAGACTAACTGCTGGGCACTAGGCTTACTACCTAGGTGACAGGATCAACAGTACCCTAAACCTCAGCATCATGCGATATACTCAGGTAACAAACCTGCACATGTGCCCCTTGAATCTAAAATAAGAGTTAAAATTATTTAAAAAATTTTTTAAACAAAAAAGGCTGGAAAAAGAGCTTTGTACAAAGTCAAGATAAGAATGATGCAGAGTTCACACATCATAAATGTTGTTTAAATTAATCAATATTTCATTTTCTTTTTTCTTTTTTTTTTTTTTGAGACGGAGTCTCGCTCTGTCGCCCAGGCTGGAGTGCAGCGGTGTGATCTCGGCTCACTGCAAGTTCCGCCTCCCAGGTTCACGCCATTGTCCTGCCTCAGCCTACCGAGTAGCTGGGACTACAGGCGCCCGCCACCGCGCCCGGCTTTTTTTTTTTTTTTGTATTTTTAGTAGAGACAGGGTTTCACCATAGTCTCGATCTCCTGACCTCGTGATCCGCCCGCCTCAGCCTCCCAAAGTGCTGGGATTACAGGCGTGAGCCACCGCGCCCAGCCGGATATTTCGTTTTCTTATGTCAAGATCTATCATCAAGACAATAACTTACAGAGTTCTGACCATGTGTCACGCCTCTCACGCTAACTCCATGAGACAAGCGTGATGTCCATTTTACAAATAAAGGCAAGAGCCTAAAGAGAAAGTACTTTCCTAAATTCAGAAGACCAGTTCATACACAGCTGGGATTATGAACCCAGGTCTCACTGGCTCTAGAGCCGCATTCTTTCCACTACACTACGATGCCTCCCAGATCAGCCTTCACTGGAACACAGGGTATGAACGCAAAGGGAACCTACCCTCTTAGGTCAGTCAAAGGTTCAAATCCAAAATTTATAATAAAAACTCACAAACAAATAGATGTGTCAAATGCTCATATAGATTTTTAAAATTATTACTCTATCTTAAAATGAAAACCAATTTTGAGCCAAGGTCAATAACAAAAAACGTGGCCGTTAGCACTAAAGAGAAGTCTTGATGATTATCTAAACTTGCCCGTATCCCTGACCACACAGCCATTCGTCCAGAAACGATTTTATTCAGGCAGGTAGAAAAGAGTGGCCAGTTTCTTCTCTTTATTTGCTTGGGGCATTTGAAAGGTCAGCATAATACTTGTGACTCAGGAGCCTGAGAAAGCGTTTGCTATAATAGAATGCCAAGGAGTGTGGGGGATAGGAACGTGGACAGGACAGCTTGGATCCTTTTAAACACCTCAATTTAATGCAATTTCCACCAAATGCAACGTGTCAAGGGCATGACTGAATGTGGTTTCAGTGTTATACTTTAGAAATGTTTCATACTGATACATTTACAAATGAGAAGAAATCAGTTATACTACTTTTTCATTCAGAAAATAGCCACCAAAACTCTAAATACTAAATTCAATAAGGTTTACAATGTATAACCTAACACCACAAAATGCTCAAGGAAATGTTATCAACTACGTTCACTTCAACTTATCAGGAGCCTTACTTTTATTTTTTAAAACTTTAAGAGCCAAACCCTTCCTCCAGGTGGCAGTATATAACTGTTTGTTTTAATCATTTCCACAGGATCTAGTGGGACTAGAGCTTTGTGCATAATCTTTCCTATATTTTCATAATACTACTTCCTAGTTTTCTTTGAAATTAGTGTGAATATCACTGTGTCTTTTGCTGGTCTCAGACAACAACTCAGTATCATAAGACAGGCCCGCTGGCCACAACATCCTTAGGCTGGTTGGACTAAAGCCAGGTTTAGTGAACAAAACTAAAACTATATCTCAAGAAGCGTTTGTACTTTAAAATATATTTTCAATGCAACCACGATATCTGGAACTAGAAATCTGGAAATTCAGTAGTTTTATACATAAATGCACTTAATGATGAAATAGCTCACATCTTCCCTTTCTTTTATTAAATCAATAATGTTGCAACTTTCCCTGTTTTCAAAAACTGGATGAGAAGATCACCAGATTTTAAGAAAAAAATTGCTTACCTAGGGCTCTTGAGTTCTCACAAAATCAGGATCATTTCTTTCTCTGTCTCCTTTGGGTGGCTTGGTCTGAGCCACCGTCACGCTCTTGCCTGACGATGACTCTCTACAGCCTTCTATGGGCCCTGGCTGCTCATCTTCTCATGCCCTATGGGCCCACTCATCTGCCATAGTGAGCCTTTCAAAGCCGACAATGCCCTTTCTCTCTGGGGTTTCCTATGGCACTTAGGCTCTACATGGCCTATCCTTTTTCCCTCCCCCCCACCATCTCCTGCATCCCCTCTTTCGTGCCCTCTCCGCCAATCCTCCTCAAACACCAGGTAAGCCACCTCCACCATGGCCACCCTCCCCCTGCCCAGGCCTTAGCCAGCTTTGTTCTCTCAGCCTAGAACATTTTTTTTTTTTTTTTGAGACAGAATCTGGCTTTGCCACCCAGGCTGGAGTGCAGTGGCACGATATTGGCTCCCTGTAACCTCCGCCTCCCGGGTTCAAGCAATTCTCCTGCCTCAGCTTCCTGAATAGCTGGAACCATAGGCGTGTGCCACCATGCCTGGTTAATTTTTGTATTTTTAGTAGAGATGGAGTTTCAGCATGTTGGCCAAGCTGGTCTCGAACTCCTGACCTCAGGGGATCCACCTGCTCAGCCTCCCAAAGTGCTGGGATTACAGGCGTGAGCCACCATGCCTGGCCAGCCTAGAACACTTGTCTGCAAAATACCTCTATGATTCCACTCCCTCTCTTCACTCACTCACCCTGTTCGAACATCACATTAAAAAAAAAAAAAAACACACAAAAAATAAATAAAATAAAATAGCAACAAGACCCACTGCAGATGTGCCATCTCCCTCTCTCTACTTGCCCCAACTTCTTGTCTCTCCAGGCTTTGAACATTCCCTGACATATTACACATTCACATGTATTTTTACTTGTTTCTGCAAACTTGAATACAGGTTCCACCAGAAGCAGAATTGTTTTGGTGTATCCCCAGTGCCTAGAACAGCTAGAGTAGTGCCAGGCATACAAATGCTAAATAAATATTTGCTAGATGATAGCTGGGTGTGGTGGTGGGCAACTCTATTCCCAGCTACTTGGGAGGCTGAGGCAGGAGAATTGCTTGAACCAAGGAGGCAGAGGTTGCAGTGAGCCAAGATCGCGCCACTGCACTCCAGACTGGGCAACAGAACAAAACTTCATCACAGAAAAAAAAAAAAGTGATATCTTTATATTTACAAACCTTAAACTGAAAATCAGCATTTCCTTTTATCCTAAATGAATGTAGGCAACAAACATAGTAATAGTAGCAGTGCCTGTGACTCCGTCACGAATGGAAATCACAGTTATTTTCATATCATGTTTTAGCTGCTGCTAGTGTCTCAAAATATTATTTATGCTCATCGTTACCTCAGAACAGTGGTAGCTATTAGATCTACTGCTAGGTCTTGTAATTTAATGGTCTAGCTATTAGGTCTATGTCTACCTATTAAGCCTTATAATTTAATAAGCTAATAAATAAGAACATATATTACCAATAATTCAAAAAATATTTTTGAGAACTATTTCAATATATTTAGGGCACAGGTAAGCCTATGTATTCTATTTTACGCGATTGAAAATATCATTCTGAGAAGGGGTCTGGAGGCTCCACCAGGCTACCAAAAGTATCCAAAGGACAAAATAATTAAGAACCTTGGTTGAAACAGAGGTTTTGCAAGACTGTGGCATTTGCATCCTTACAGATCTATGGGCTGGAGACCTTCTGCAACAGGCCAAGAAATAATACCATGGTCTCCCTGTACTTAAGATTCTTTTAAAATACATATATAGCTATCTGCATACAAAAATTGTAGATCCAAACAGACTAAAGAGACCACACAATGGGCAAGGCTTAAAAATAATGAGTCCATACAATTTCAAAAACTATGTCTGAAGTACCTATACCTCTTATGTGAAAAATATGAGGAACATGGAACCTGGTTAGGCATGATCCCTATAATTCAGGATGCAAAATACTCATTAACCCCAAGATGCAAAATATATAATCTAATAACTCTTCTAGTGTTAGCAGGAAAGCACTTCCCTTTTTTAAGTAAGAAAAAAGGGTTTTCTTTCCTTTACTCATACAGCAGCACCAAGACTGGCCTTTTCCCCAGGCCAGAAAAAGAATACATCAGCCCTCTCTGTTAAATGTACTGAACACAGAACAGTTACTGATTTAAGTGATAGTTGGAAAAGGGCTCATTATTTTGATAATCTTCTATTGCATAACGTGCTATAAGTGTTACAAAAGCACACGCTCTCTTACATTTCCTTAAAAGCCCTTAAAGGGGCACAAGGTAACTTTTCAGATAACAGAAATGTTCCAAAGCATGATCACAGCAGTGGAAACAAGACTGTATACATTTGTCAAAACTCATTGGATTGTGTCCTTAAAGTTGGCAAGAGTTTCCTTAAATGTAAAGTATACCTCAATAAAGTTGACTAAAAACACAATTTCCTACTCATTTTTAAATCATGCTTCCCTTTTCCAAAAAGAGAATAATACTTGGGTTTAAATGTTCAGTTCCGCTTTCTGTGGTGAAACCCTCTCTGAAGTCACTGTTATTCACACATCCATGGCAAGCAGTCAGAGCCCCCAGAGGAATGACTAAGAACAGAGAGAGCACAGGAACTCCAAAATAGAGGCGCCTTGCTCCCAAAATGTTTCTTTCCTGGAACTGACAAACGCACCACTTTGCTAAAGAGCAAAGAGCTTGTCACTGGGCTTACTGCAATAACAACCATTGTAATTTACCAAGTAAGCATATTATCTCTAATCTTTGTAAAATCCTAGAAATTAAGTATTAGCATTTCATTTTTTTTTCTTGGCTAGTTCCATATGATTAGTAAGCAGGTCTGATTCAGAACCCCAGTCCCATAAGTATGTTCAAACTCAAATATATGTAAATGTCCCCGAGAAGCTATATAAATACAGTTCCAAAAGACTAGGACATAGATGGCAGCTTTTT
Source organism: Homo sapiens (assembly GCF_000001405.40). Classification (NCBI taxonomy): domain Eukaryota; kingdom Metazoa; phylum Chordata; class Mammalia; order Primates; family Hominidae; genus Homo; species Homo sapiens. The sequence continues at coordinate 31,202,145 of NC_000021.9, forward strand.
TCACCCAACAAGATTTGATCCAGCAGTTTCAACATGGCTACGGATGTCACACAAAATTAGAATTAGCACTGTTTTCTGTAACAACAACCAGCTGATTTTTAAGTCACCAATTAAAATAAAAGACTGGCCGTGCGCAGTGGCTCACGCCTGTAATTCCAGCACTTTGGGAGACTGAGGTGGGAGGATCACTTGAGCCCAGGAGTTCAAGACCAGCCTGGGCAACAAAGCAGGATCCTGTCTCTACAAAAAAAAAAAAAATTAAAAAATAAAAGTTCGTCAGCCATGGAGCTGCGTGCCTGTGGTTCCAGTTACTCAGGAGGCTGGCACAGGAGGACCACTTAAGCCCAGTAGTTCAAGGTTGAGGTGAGCTATGATCACACCACTGTACTCCATCCAGCCTCGGTGACAGAGTGAGATCCTGTCTCTAAACAACAAAATAAAAATACTAAAATACAATAAAATAAAAGATTGCCAATGCAAGGAAAGCTAGTATTATAATAATGACTAAAGTTCTATCTAAGAGATAGCTCTAGATTTTGATTTGTCATGATAGCACTGCACTGCTTCGTGCGTAAACAAAGGTGATCATTCCACTCTGGAATACTGAGCTAAGTAGGGCCATCTCCACCAACTTAAGGGCTATGAATGAAGCTCATTTATTTTTGAACTCGTTCCACTCCACCAACTACAATTAACACGAGAACACTCATAATTTGAAGATAATCTCCCATAAAGTGTGCTTGGACAACAGTCATAACATTACCAGCTCATAGATGTCTTCCTCGGGCTGTGGAACATAGAGCTGCATTTTGTTTTCTATTAGAAATTTCAGGCGCAGGTAATGAGCAGAATGATCCAGTTGATGTGTCTGGGACAAAAAAGAAAGAAAGAAAGAAAATGTCTGTTCAATAGTAAATAGGCACAATTAGTTCTCCACCAACATACGATGTATTCCTATGACCAATAGAGTTTGTTGTTGTTGTTGTTGTTGTTTTGAGATGGAGTTTCACTCTTGTTGCCCAGCCTGGAGTGCAATGGCGCAATCTCGGCTCACTGCAACCTTCGCCTCCTGGGTTCAAGTGATTCTCCTGCCTCAGCTTCCTGAGTAGCTGGGATTACAGGCGCCCACCACCACGCCCAGCTGATTTTTGTGTTTTTAGTGGAGATGGGGTTTCACTATGTTGGCCAGGCTGGTCTCGAACTCCTGACCTCAGGTGATTCACCCGCCTTGGCCTCCCAAAGTGCTGGGATTACAGGCGTGGGCCACTGCTCCCGGCCCAATAGAAATTTGATGCTGAATGGGGGTATAAAGTTTCTATACTTCTTAAAAAGTTTACATCGTAAATGCAAAGTTTTAAAATAACTTTCATTGAACACACTGGTAACATTCCAAGGGTATCTTAGGATTCAATGGAAACAACTGACTCACATCTCCACGCCTCCTTATTTGATTCATTGTGCTCTCTAACACTGGTAAAATTTTCAACACAACACAGCAGATCAAAAAGGTTCTTAAATATAACTTCATAGATAGGTGATTAAAGAAAAGGGTAACAAGAAAGGTAAGAAAATACTGTATTTACAATGAGAGAAAAAAGCTGTGCCCAGGCAAAGTTGTTTTTTTAACCACATAGGGACAGTGGGACAGTTGTTAACAGTTCATTTGCAAGCGAGTCAGTGTGAAGACAAGGCTTTTGGACTTCAATCTTATTTATATACTCCCCAAGTGAGACTCCCTCCAGGGGCAGTGCTAATAGGCGTGTGTCCAACTATGGAAACACACTGAATGACTCGCTCAAAGAAAACAATTCTAAAATTGAAATTTTCAAGGACCCTTTAGTCCAGGATGGAACAATAGATTTTTTCTTCCTGTCTAAAAAGTAATCTTTGAATTAATTTTGAGGAATAAGTAATAATACCAACATGGTTTTATAAATCATTCTCAGTAGACAGTCAAGAGGATACAGGGAAAAAAAGAAAATGCTCTCCAAAAGTTACACAGCAACATGAAAATATATTGCTAGAGAGAAAATGTTTAAACCAAGTGATTTTTTTAAGCATCCTTATCTTTTAGGGGTACATCCTAAAGCGCTAATAGATAGAAATGATATAATGTCTGGAATTTGCTTCCAAAACAAATAAGAGTTGGGGGTGGGAGTGAGTAAATCGATAAAACTTAATTTGATCATTACAGATGCTAGGTGATAGATACATGAGAATTTATTACATTGTTCCCTACTTTTATACAAATTGGACATTTTTCACAAAATAAATATAAAACCTCTTCACATTCAAAGCTCTGCAGGTGAGAATTATTTCAAAATAAATAAAGTTAATTTTAACTGGTTCAGTACTCTTTCTACTTACCCCACCCTCAAAATAATATTTTTAAAGCCAAACTAACAGCATTCCAATAACCATTCCAGTAATATATATTCAGTTACACTTAACGAACTCTTAGATACGCCAGACACCATGTGCAGTAGTGAGAATACAGAAACTAATACAACATAAATGCAGTCTTCAGGAGTGTCTGCAGCTGCAGGTAAAAGCTATGTAGATGTGGAAGGTGAGGCAGCAGTGGTTTAGCATTTTAAATAAATATGTACATGCAGGACAGGCAACCTGCATTCTTGTAAAAGCACATTTCCAGAAAGTGGAAATGAGTTCACTCTGAACACATAGCAGAAGGATAAAGTTTTCTATCAGTGATTCTTGGGAACCCCAACCTTTCTCCTCTCCTGAGTAATATGATAGTTTGCAGCCTGCTGTGCCAGACACAGATGCCATTCACCGAACATGTCCCAGTGCACCTGGCTTTTGTCCTTTCACTGCCTATATTTGAGACCAGATGCTCAATGTCTGACAGATCCAAGATTGTTGATGTCAAAGATAATAAGGCTGGAGGCGAAAGCCCAGGGAACATAAAACAGGAACTTTTTAAGTGTGCTACTTACTGCTGGAGAATCATCAAGATAAATAAACAACAACAAAATACTAATATTTAGGGTGATGTGATGAGCAAGAAAAGTTTTCCTAAGAGAGATCGAAGCTGCAAATGTTTCCCACCTACCTGGGTCCTCACTGAAATCTTTAATTAGAAGCAAAAATTTTGGTTCACCATCTGTTTCCGACTGAGGCGGAAGGGAAAGAAATGAAATTTCATGGGTTCTTAGTAACAGGAACAAATTCACTTGGAAACCTTATCATCATCATTAATAAACACTTTGTGGGCACTCCTTAATGAGACTGCCACTGAAACAGACTGTCTTCCAGAAATCAGGCCAAAACAGCAACCTCACCCAAGAAGTTCTGGTTCCTGAAACTTCAGTGTGAGAGACAGCCCACTGTCAGGCACAAATAGCCTAAGGTGGTCCTGGTGTGGACTGCGGAGAACTGCAGCATCCCCTAAATGCTACAGTACTGAAAACATTTATACAAACATGCAGAGAATGTCAAGGCACCTCACTTGAATTGTGTAATGCATTGCAGAGAACTAAAGAATGATAAATATAGCAATGGTAATAAGAATGATTCTTGGCTGGGCATGGTGGCTCATGCCTGTAATCCCATCACTTTGGGAGGCCAAGGTGGGCTAGTTGCTTAAGCCCAGGAGTTTGACCAGCCTGGGTAACATGGTGAAACCCTGTCTGTATCAAAAATACAAAACTTAGCCACGCATGGTGGGGTGAGCCTGTAGTCCCTGTAGGCTACTCAGGAAGTTGAGGCGGGAGGATTGCTTGAGCCTGGGAGGGCAAGGCTGCAGTGAGCTATGACTACACCACTGTACTTCAGCCGGGGGACAGAGTGAGACCCTGTCTCAAAAAAAATTAATAAATAAGTAAAAGGAAAAAAAGATTATTGCCACAAACCATCATATTTTTCAAACTTCTTTAAGTTACAATAATGTCTTGATAACTTTAAAAAATAAAAATCAGCACAAGCAGCAAACATGAAAATTATAATGGTCTTACTTGTAACTTAAGAGCCCTAATTTTGGTCAGTAAATAGTTACTCTCAAAACAGGACATTGGATCAAAATATATACCAGTGTGTCTTACTATTTTGGTAAAAGTTTCTGAATTATGAGCCCTTGTTAATCACGGCTGGTCTAACATAAAAATAAAATCCTAATGAATTAATTAAATCAGATCATCAGAACGATCAAGAAGAATTTTATGCTCCTTAGATACCTGTTAGTCAATATCAAAGCAAGTCAAACAACTAACCATGTTCAGAATACATCTTTGTGCAAAGGAATTTCAAATGTTAATGAATATTTAAACATAGTAATTCTAAATGTGTGGCCTTGCTTTAGACATAAAACATTCAAGTGAAAACTCAAAAGAAAATTGAGACTCGTAAAACATTCAAGGAAAATTCAGTTAGGAAAAAATTTAAATGGTATAAATTTGTTTTCCAATGTACATGTACTTAAGTTACTTAGCATTTGATGCATTTTGAGGCAATGCAGCCGCAAATTATACCCTAAGTATTATGGTACAACAATTTTTAGTTTAGTTGGCATAATTTTTTAAATTCGCATCTTACTATGACTATTTCAAAGGATGAAACAGCAAAACACAATGTAGATATTTTCAGTAAATAGTTTGCACCAATTAAAATAGATAACATGTCTCAGAATTTACTGCCTTAGAGCTCCTAATCCATTATGTTTTGCTATTTTTCTTCATATTCTTCCATTTCAGTCAAACTTCTAGAAGACATACAAACATGCAATTACTGCATACACAAATGCAAACATGTAGTCACTGCATACAGAAATATGTATACACACACACACACACAAAGTGCTATTGTAGAATTTCTAAAGATATTTTCCCTCCCCTTCAAAGTAACCTTTTCTTTCTCTAAACGCCAATGGTTATAGCATATCCAAAGCCACAGAATGACGTAGTAAAAGCATGAAATAAAACTGACACATGGTCACATGTGAATAATATCAGTAGGTATAAATGAATGAAAATATGTTGCAATTATTTTTGTAGTTGTAACGATCAGAATATATCCAAAACCTACAGGGCAACATGGTTACCTGCTATATTTAGCAACAATCATTCCAGTAACATCTGTGACATGAATTGTATATGAAATGAAGATCTTGAAACATTTACTATACCAGAACTTGACTGGTGCTCAGATGGCAGATGGCAAACTGATGTGAAATGATGTGGATCAGATAGAATAGGAAAGAGAATGAGCTGAATGCAAGAGACAGAAGAAACAGATTGATTATTAAATATTAGAGAAAGCATCTATCACCAAACATTGAGAATAACAATAATGAAACAAAAGACAGGCATTTTTACAATCATGTTTGTTTTCAATGAGGAAAAAAAAACCATTCGCCATTATATCAGATTGTTAATAACATGGGACACTGTTTTCCCCATTATCTCCTTCCCTCTTAAGAATAAAATCAGATCCACTAATTACAATAAGGTGTTTTCCAAGGAAGAAACAAGCTTTAGAAGGCACCTGGCCCTGAGCATACTATATCACTTTTCCTACATGGGTGCTTTTCCAAAGACCATCAATTTCTGAAATGCACACACAAGTCTTCCAGTTTTAAACTCATGAGATTTTTTATGTGTGTGTATTTTTAGTACAGATGGGGTTTTGCCATGTTGGCCAGGCTGCTCTCGAACTCCTGGCCTCAAGTGATCTGCCCTCCTCAGCCTCCCAAAGTACTGGGATTACAGGTGTGAGCCACCGTGCCCGGCATAAACTCATGAGATAGAAGCTTGTTCCACATCACGTTGTTTTTGCTTTTATTTCTATGTCTTGGGAAAAAGACCTGAAGGCCCAGGGAAAATTGGACAGGACTAACTTTTACTGTTGGAGAAAGGGATTTTGTACCTTAATGATGCCATCAGAAACCTTTCAGGTGACAGAAATAAACACTTTAAAGGGGATCAGGTCCACTACATTATCTAGATATGGTCTCTAACTGTCAATGACAATACTATTCTTCATTCCCCTAGTTTCTTCCAAAGCAAAAGCTTGAAACATACGTAAAGTGGGCCAATCATTCATTGCTTCACTCACTGATCAATCTTCCACCAATCAATGGTAATCGGAAAACTTTGGCTTAACCTTCGATTCCTGATCCAGTTTAAAGCCAATGTGCACAGGATGCTCCAAAGCCATGTTATTCTTCTGGAAACACCTTCCAGAGTTCGGCTTATACAAAAAAGCCAGAAAGTTCTACTTTTAACACCTTCATCTGCAGATCTGACAATAACTCTTCAGCTCTGCAGAATGTTAATGGGTCTCTAAAGAATTGTGCTAATTATAAATAAAGGAATGCAGAAATCCTCTACAGACCAATTTTGTTAAGTAATTAACATGAAAAAATTGTGAACTGAGATACCATTATCTCCAAAAGCTAGAACCCTCGTACATGAAGGATTCAAAGCACACAGAGAGGTGATACCATTTATTTTTAGCATCCATGTCAGGGCTGACTTTAGTTATGGCCCAAAACAAGTGATTCTTCTATTTTTCCTCCACATACATAAGACATTTTAAGAGGCTAATTTGAGCTGAACTGTCCATTTCTCTGATTCATATGAAGAGCCATGTTTTTTCTTTAAAAAGCCGTCTGTGATTTGCTTTTTTGAAAATACAAAAATTGCTGATAGTAGAACTACAAAATTGAGGTACTTGCGGAGGTAGTGAAAGTCATTCAGTATTTACAAACATTGTGTTGAATGATGAGATCTTTAAAACGTCATTTCATCCATCCAACTTCTTCTAGGATAAAATTGTGATAGAAAAGTTTTTCATTTTTTTTTTTAGCAGCCCCAAAGAAGACCAATTCACTCCCCTAAGAATATATTCTAGATTCTTCTGAGCCTTACTGATTGTCCTTCCTGAAGACTAACCCAGGTTCTGAGAGTTCTTGTGGACACTCGGCACTGCAGGATGCACCCAGCTGTAGAGAAGCCAGACGTGGGTTCAGTCTCTCCTTTGCAACTGACTGTGATGTGAGTTCAGGCAAGCAGCTAAGGCCCTCTGAGCTTCACTTCCTCCATGTGTACAATGGCAAAGTCTCAGCTCTTTCTCAGGCTCAGACCTGATACGACTACGACATAGAACTATTAATGCTATTCATTATGTAAAAATAAAAACAAGCATGCAAGTAAAGTTCTTCTTTCCTCTCTCTCCCCTCACTCAAGACCATTCACCTGGCTGCCCTTCACGGGGAAAAATGAAACCAGGTTCACTTTGAAAAAGATCAAGGCATTTCTTCCATGGTTTAAGGTGAAAGAGAAAAGGAGCTCAATCATTTGTCATGTTTCTAAAAAGGCTAATTCTGTGTTCACAAAAGAAGAATTTCCCATCAATGGAGGTCAAACTTATATTTCCTTCCATTTTCCCCAATTCTAAAGATGCCCATAGTGTATCGGTTACTGATTAAAGAGCAGGTGACAGAACAGTACCCATAATATGATGCCATTGAACACATGTATCTGTATGTGTGCGGAAAAAGGAATGAATGGTCAAACGCCAAAATGTTTGCAATGGTTATTTCTGGATTTCGTGAATAAGAGTGGCCTTAATTTTCTGTTGTGTTCTTCACCTAGATTTTCTAAAAGGTTTGCAATGAGCATGTGATACATGCATTAGAAATCTATCAAACACACACATTGAAAGATGCTACTTAGAAGAGTTCCTCTCTTCCCAAAGGTGAAGCATTCACTAATATAATTTTGAATACTATCACAAAGGAATGCAATGCTGCTCCGAAATGAAAGGGAGGTGTGTTTTAAGCACCTTCCTCTCCCACACGGCTCTGGGTTTCCACATGTGCCTTAGAAGATTGCTACACCCCATTCTGCTCTTCTTGGAGAAACAACCCAAAGCAGCTCCATACCTTGCAAATCAGCTCCAGGGTGTCCCGTGCAGTGTCGCCTGGCCGGACGACCGTCAGGGCAGGCTGATTATTGGGCAGACAGAACCAGGATGGAGTGAAATACTCGTGGACCCAAATGTCGCAGTCAGGGTTGTGCTGGTGAACGTTAGGTAAGACCACTTCTTTCTCCCTCTATAACAAGAAATAAAGTTAGCAGGGCAGCAGCAGTGGAGCTCTGACAACCCTAGATTCCCAGACTGCACACAGGAATCACCGATTCCCATGAAAACAGCCCAGGGCAGAAGCGGAGGCAGTGGTGGGAGGCAGGGGAACCCTTGGAGAGAGAGAAACTACTGAGAAAGCAGATTTATGGTGCAATGGAGAGATTTCAAACTTCAGCTGTGAGGCAGGCTTCACAACCCACAGCATCCATAGGTGATCACGGCATGAATGAGTGGGCATCAAAATTTGGAAGAAAAGAAAGAAAGAGAGAGAGATAGGGAAGGAAGGAAAAGAAAGAAAGAAAGAAAGAAAGAAAGAAAGAAAGAAAGAAAGAAAGAAAGAAAGAAAGAGAGAAAGAAGGAAGGAAGGGAGAAAGAAAGAAAGAAAGAAAGAAAGAAAGAAAGAAAGAAAGAAAGAAAGAAAAAGAAAGAAAGAAAGAAAAAGAAAGAAAGAAAGAAAGAGAAAGAAAGAGAAAGAAAGAAAGAGAAAGAAGGAAGGAAGGGAGAAAGAAAGAAAGAAAGAAAGAAAGAAAGAAAGAAAGAAAGAAAGAAAGAAAGAAAGAAAGAAAGGTCACCATTCAGCTCAGCTTTATGGCTCTTATTTCTTCCACAAACTCATTTCAAGTTTCAAGCAGGGAATTCCTACAACAAGCACATCTGCCATGAGAACTTTACAGTTCAAAGCAATGGTGAAGCCCCAATCATTTTTTTTTTTCAAAAAGATCATGTTTTAGCACTACATATTTATATTTATATTTATAGACAGCATCATTTTTGTGCTCTCCTTGGACCTTCAGCACGACCCGGCGCCAGAGACAATTCAGTTTTCTGGAGGTCAAAGAACTTGACGGATAACATCATGGCACAATGTAGCAAAAACAAGCCTCCTTTGCTGCCATCACTGTATCCTCTCCATCACTGCCTGAGGACCAGGGAGTGGAATGAAGTTTGTGAATGTGGGAGAAGGGTCGGAAGTCCTCCTTTAGCAGCTGGGTTAAACCTAAGCAAGCTAAGCAGATGAAGCAGAGGATGTTCCTTAGCTTGATATAATGTTACTTTCCTTAGATTGATACAATGTTAGGAGCCCCGCGAAATAAGCAAGGAAAGAATGATGTTAGATTTCAGCAATGTAAACATAATATTGATGCTCAATATATGCTAAGTAATAGGCCTTCATTATTGATTTATAACCAGGCCACTAGTTGGTAAATATGTATCTACTGATGACCAAGAACAAGGCTGGTATCAGCAAATTACAAGAAGGAACAAATTTCCCAATGAAGGCTGAGAGGTGGTAATATAACCTCCATTCAAAAGAAGAATGGAATCCAAGAATGGGGGAAACGTTTTCGTAAAAGCCATTCAACTAAATCCAACTGGGGAAGATAATTTCAGCCTCGCCTTTGAACAGAGTTGCTTTAGCAGATAAGCTGGACTCCAGGGAAGGAATTGTCAAAAAGCAATCAACATACCTAAATCCCATTAAGTATAATTGGAATATTCAGACTCTGTTCCAGTGTGCCACATTAAATAAATGCCCCTTAGCACTGGATCAACCCAAGTTTTGCATCTAAACACTCTGAGAACAAGGCATTCTAGCCAGGATGTGGGAGAAAGACGTACCTTAGAAAAATGGAAAACCAAAAATGCTACACAGAAATCCAATGGAAAAACTTTCGCAGTTTCCAAGTTCTGTGGTCTAGAGAAGATATCTCAGTATTAAATGTGGACTAATAATGGTATGCAAGATGAACTGGCCAACCTCAGAAATGACCAAGTTAACATCAAAAACTATGCTTGGATTGCACATAGGCCCAAAAACTGAATTTCTTCAAATTTCATCAGACAGAGATGCTCAGACAGTGGCCATGGATGAGTATTTCCAAGGACAGTGGCCTTTATATCCAGGATAGCATCATTCATGAGTAGTTTGTGTATGAAGGAAAGAAAAGGCCTTCCCATGGCCACTCTTCTCTCTTCCCCTCCAATAGCAGAACTCCCCATGGCACTCTGGATTCTGAAGCTCAGCTCCATCTACAACATGGGGCTGAGCCACTGATGACTGACACTACTTGGATGCATGGCAACTGAGGGCTGAATTCTGTCATATTGATTCTGAGCCCAAGAACCAGAGGATCCCACCAAGGTCACATTATCAACATCAGACCATCCCCCATCCCCCACACAAACAGGCTCCCAGTATCACTACTAGGGTCTTGAAAACGAGAGACGTCTATTTATTTAGAGGCTGAAAAAAGTGGCCAATTAAAAAACAAATCAGTATTTTTATGGGCTTTCAATCAGAGCAGTTTGAAAGCCCCTGTTTAAATCCAAGCACAAGGCTGAACCAAGCCTGTGAATCTTTTTTTTTTTTTTTTTTTTTTTTGAGAGAGAGTCTTGCTCGGTTGCACAGGCTGGAGTGCAGTGGCTCCATCTCTGCTCACTGCAAGCTCCGCATCCTGGGTTCACGCCATTCTGCTGCCTCAGCCTCCCAAGTAGCTGGGACTACAGGTGTCCAGCTAATTTTTTTTTTTTTTGTATTTTTAGTAGAGACGGGGTTTCATCGTGTTAGCCAGCATGGTCTCCATCTCCTGACCTCGTGATCCACCCGCCTTGGCCTCCCAAAGTGCTGGGATTACAGGCGTGAGCCACCACACCCGGCCGAATCTTTAATTGAATACTTGACTTGGGAGGCAAATGCGTTTTTGTTGTTTTTCTTTTTTTAAAGAACACGCTATCAGAACAGTTCTTTGAAACTAATGGGAGCAAAACAGCATGTGTGGGCAGAGAGGGAGGGTAGTAAGAACACACCTCTTGGGAAGAGAAGTTGTACATGGAAAGAAATTGGCAATGGCATAAAATATTCAGCTATTCAGAACCCAAATTTCCTCTTACATTCTAGTTAGAAACTCACACATCAAATGGTAAGTATGGGAAATGTTATGTCAGCAGGAGAATGTTCCCTCTACCACTCAGTTTTAAATATAAAATGATTTTCCATCTCTTGTTGACTTATTACATAACTTTTAAAAACTGATTTCAGTTTTTAATATTGAGTTTACTTAATTTTAGTAGCTCAAGACAACACTGCACCATGTATATGTTGATGCACTTGTGGTACTTTTAGAAAAGAAAACACACGTTTATTTTTACCTTGCCATCTGGAACAATGTCATCAAATATTCCCTCTAAAGATTTCTTTACAGCTTCGGTTCCCTCTCCAAACACCTGCATATACAAAAGTACCACCTTAAAAAGGAATCTGGGCAACAGGGCAAACGAAACGTAGGAAGGGGGAAGGAAATGGGCATGGCTATGACAAAACCTTACACACGTGTTCAGATACTCCTACATCAAATCCCAAAGCAGGTACAATAATTTATGGGAGCAGACCTGGAAAAACACATCCCTCTATCTAGATCACTTCCCTACGTGTTTGACAGTTGGAAAAAAAAAAGTTTGCTCTCAAATATGGATAATTCATCTCTACTTAAAGAAAATAGGCTGGGCATGGTGGCTCATGCCTATAATCCCTAGCACTTTGGGAAGCTGAGGCGGGAGGACTGCTTGAGCCTAGGAGTTTGAGACCAGCCTGGGCAATATAGTTAGACCTCATCTCTACAAAAAAAAAAAAAAAAAAAGAATTACATTAAATTAGCCAGGCATGGTGGGGTGCACCTGTAGTCCCAGCTACTCCTGAGGCTAAGGCAGGAGGATCACAAGATCACATCACTGAACTACAATCTGGGCAACAGAGGGAGACCTTGTCCCAAAAAAAGTAAAAAGAGAAAGACAATAGGTTAGGCGTGGTGGCTCATATCTGCAATCCTAGTACTTTGGGAGGCTGAGGCAGGAGGATTGCTCCAGCCCAGGAGTTTGAGACCAGTTTGCTCAACAGAGTGAGACCCTGTCTCTATAAAAAATTTGAAAATTAGCCATGCATAGTGGCATGCTCCTGTAGTCCCAGCTACTTGGGAAGCTGAGATGGGAGGATCACTTGTGCCCTGGAGGTCAAGTTTGCAGCGAGCTGAGACCACACTACTGTACTCCAGCCTGGGCAACAGACTGAGACCTTGTCTCAAAAAAAACAAAAAAATAAAAAACCAGAAAGAAAAAGAAAAAGAAAAATATAAATAAAAGAAAAGAAACTAGCAAAAGCAATGAGCTAGATAAACTCACAATGAAGCATTTCTCCTATAGCCTCATATACCTGACCAGATACTTATAAGTAAAAATCTGCTTGCTTTGTAATACATTCTTAAGTAGAATGTGAGAATATTATAGTTTTTTACCTCAACATGGCAACATAGGGGTTTTTTTAATTAAAAAATAGAAAATTGTCTCTTCCTTGAAATGTAATCAATCCTGCTAACTTAAAGATGCCATGAAAATTAGAATAGGGTAACAATGCCACTAGGTAAGGAAACTCATGGACATGAGGAATTTTGTGATTATCCCTAAAACAAGAATGTAGTATCAGGATAATGTACACAATTGAGAAAAAGCCTTTCCTCCATGCAAATAAAATATACAAAAACATACAATGTTTTTAACTTTTTTTCGGTAGAGAAAGCATGTTGCTATGTTGCCCAGGCTGGTCTCAAACTCCTGGCCTCAAAGAATCCTCCCACCTTGGCCTCCTAAAGTGCTAGGATTACAGGCATGAGCCACCACCCCGGCCAAAAAAACATAATTTTTGTCCATTTCAAATTATAGAATTAATGACTAAATTCCTACTGGTATGTTTATGGCTAAGCAAAAGGTTCTTAAAAACTCATACTTTTAGAAAAAATACAAGAATTGTTTCTAAGACATTACATTGTGCTTTGATTTTAGAAAAATGTTAAAACATTCTCTTGAATTCATTTAAATTCAGTCATATATTTCAGTAGAAAAGGGCGGTAACATAACCTGGTGCCAATCAAGCAGAAGCACATGAACAAAGGGTTTTGTTAGAAAACAAGTCCAAACTGTGAAGTCCAGAAGCAGTGGGCTGAGCCATCTCTCAGGGCAGAAGACACATACACAATGACACCACCACCTCCCAAAAGAAGAAGAGAAATGGGCCAGGCGCAGTGGCTCATGCCTATAATCCCAGCACTTTGGGAGGCCAAAGCAGGCAGATCACAGGGTCAGGAGTTCGAGACCATCCTGACCAACACAAAAGTTAGCTGGGTGTGGTGGCAGGCGCCTGTAATCCCAGCTACTCAGGAGGTTGAGGCAAGAGAATCACTTGAACCCAGGAGGCGGAGATTGCAATGAGCTGAGATCGCGCCATTGCACTCCAGCCTGGGGCAACAGAGTGAGACTCTGTCTCAAAAAAGAAAAAAAAAAAAAAAAAAAAAGAAGAGAAATGCTGATGGTTCATGTCCTCCTTTTTGCAGGTTTTAACTGAGAACCATCAAGTCTCTTTTGTTATTTTTCTGATGAAATGTTGACTTTCCTCCACAGTTTTTTCTTTAGATTTACATAAAAGTAAAACCCATGGAAGCAAGCTCAATGATCTACTCTCCCCAAAGATCACAAGACAAACTGCGAAACTGCTTCAGTCTCACACTCGCTTAGCATTTGCTCATCTGCTCTCCGCAGGTTCCATCAAGGATAGGGAAATGCCACATTAAAACAGAGAGTATCAGCCAGGCACGGTGGCCCACGTCTATAATCCCAGCACTTTGGGAGGCCGAAGTGGGCAGATCACTTGAGGTCAGGAGTTCGAGACCAGCCTGGCCAACATGGTGAAACCCCATCTCTACTAAAAATATAAAAATAATAAGCTATTAGCTGCACGTGGTGGTGAGTGCCTGTAATCCCAGTTACTCAGGAGGCTGAGGCAGGAGAATCACTTGAACTGGGAGGCAGAGGGTGCGGTTAGCCGAGATTGCACCACTGCACTCCATCCTGGGTGACAGAGCGAGACTCCATCACAAACAAAACAAAACAAAACCAAAAAACCAATGAGTATCACAGTCAGCTAAGGGACTCAGGGCATCAGCTTTCAGGACTAATCTCTTTTCTAAAATTCATTTCTTAAGTAAATTAATGGCTGGAACTGTCCGAGCAAACAAGGAGAGATCATTCTATCAAGTCAGTCGATGACGTCCTCTCACTTTTCACAAGGGCATGCGGTGAATAGGTCAAACTAGCAGTCTTAGTCATGACCTCCAAAATGCTGAAGGCCTGACTTTCCAGCCACCGCAGCCCACAAACTGGACATTCTTCTTCCGAAAGACTACAGATGCTCACGTTCCTTTAGTCCCTGAAATCTAAACAAGCAGTTCTGGAGCTACTCATTTCTCAAAGCCGAACGACAAGGAAGACAGTAACAACAGACAGTGGGCTTCACGGAAGTAACCCCAGCAGGAGACTGGCCTTGGCGAGTGAAGAAGTCAAATTTAATGGGCAAGAATTGGGTGGCTGTACATGGTCAGTGGACACCCGTCACGGCACCAGGCTATGTTGCGCCCTCACGACATACCGAGATCCCGTTCCAGCCCCTGGACCTGAGCAGAAGGGGGCTGTGGCAGTGGGCGAGCTCTCTCGGATTCCTGTCTCCTCATTCCAGTAGGCAGAGGATCTGCCCATTTAATGTCAGCTCCAAAAAGTCAAGGGCAGAGAATAATCAGAATTCCCTGGAGGCTGCCTTTCATCCAGTGCCAGAGGCAGCTTAAAAAGTCTCTGCATGGCCAGGTGCAGTGGCTCATGCCTGTAATCTCAGCACTTGGGGAGGCTGAGGCGGGTGGATCATGAGGGTCAGGAGTTCAAGACCAGCCTGGCTAATATGGTGAAACCCCATCTCTACTAAAAACACAAAAATTAGCCAGGCATGGTGGTGGGCACCTGTAGTCCCAGCTACTCGGGAGGCTGAGGCAGAAGAATCACTTGAATCAGGGAGGTGGAGGTTGCAGTCAGCCAAGATTGTGCCACTGCACTCCAGCCTGGTGACAGAGCGAGACTCTGTCTCCAAAAAAAAAAAAAGACTGCACTCAGGTACCCACTTGGCTTCATTGCAGAGCCCTGCTTTTTCCTGAAGACTCAGGGTGAATTGTGCGCTTTGAGTAGGTCTGTAATTAATGAGGGTTTGGAAAGGATGCAGGTGGGAAACTGCAGCTTGGTGATAGACTAATAGCAGAGTTCAATGTTATGGGTATGCATTATCTATTAAAAGTGTCTAGCACAGCTAGTTTCTTTGTGCCAACTAGTTGATTTTAAATAACACTCGGCCTCACTGAAGAAACACACACACCCCAAATTGAGGTGGCCACAGAAGTGATTTGTGCGGGCTCACTTTTCATCTGCTCTGGAACCTACCTGATTGATGCTTGGCCGTCCCTGCTTCTTTTTGGAGGTAGTATCCAGACCCCACAGAGAAGAAAACCTGCTCCTTCGCTTGCTCGCGGATCTGGACATGGCCTGAGTACGTCTTCTCACTCCAGTTTCACCAGTGCGTGCTGCCACCTGAGGATGGCAAGGACAAGCAGCCACAAGGGAGATGCATCAGGACCACCCACTTGTGCCTTGAGGTCCCCGTAAGTCCCACCCTTCAAAAAACCCTCCTCCATCATGCCAGCCAACCCTGACCCCAATGCCTAAAGTATTCAATCCATGACCCAGACATATTGGGACTTTGAGAGCCCTTCATGGATTCAGAATGGAAATGAAAAGCTGGCAAATTCAATCCTTGTTTGAAATCATCAGCAAAAATACATAATATAGGAATAAAATATATGTTCTGTTTCCAAAAATGACATGTCCTTCTGGTCACAGGCTTGAACTACAGCAAGGGAAATGAGCCAGGCTTTCTCTCCAAATGCTACAGAGCTGTTTCTGCATTCTATTGAAAAATGGTGCTAAAGCGTCAGCAACAATAGTGGAAAAACAACAGATTTTGGTTCCTGGGTTTCCAGGTTAAATCTAAAATTACCAATCTCTACTATTTTGTTTTCTTAGGATATATAAAATCACGTTTTAAAATCAGACGAGTGATCATTGGCCCCCAATATCCATTCTCTATTCCATCTTAGTCAGAAAAATCTCAAATGTAGGCCAGGTGCGGTGGCTCATGCCTGTAATCCCAGCACTTTAGGAGGCAGATGCAGGCAGATCACCTGAGGTCAGGAGTTCGAGACCAGCCTGGCCAACATGGTGAAACCCTGTCTTAACTAAAAAATACAAAAATCAGCTGGGCACAGTGACAGGCACCTGTAATCCTAGCTACTTGGGAAGCTGAGACAGGAGAATTGCTTGAACCCAGGAGATGGAGGTTGCAGTGAGCTGAGAACACGCCACTGCACTCTAGCCTGGGCGACAGAACGAGACTCTTTCTCAAAAAAAAAAGCGGGGGGTGGGGAATCTCATATGTAAGTGAGCATGCAGCCACTGAGTCCAAGATGACTTATTTTCCTTGCAGTAGGGCATGGATTGGGCTTAAGTCCTGGTCAATGGCATACAAGCAAAAAATATTTGCAACTTCCAGGAACTGTGCTCAATGGGAGGGGGCTTTCTGTTATTCTTTCCGCTATCCTATCTGTTTTCTTTTTCCTGATAAAAGGAAGGTCTGTGTTGTGGTCTAGGATGTCCCTACCTAAGCCTTTTCAAGGATGGCAGAATAACAAGACAAAAGGGACTGGGCTCACTGAAGATGAAGGCACCTTACCAGACTTGCATCACTTACATGTCCTATGTTTAGGTAAATGGGAAAGAAAACTTGTATTTTTTTGTTGAACAAAAGCTAAACTCTGTCGAGGTATTACAATGTGCCAGCAACCCAGAGAAGCATTTCCTTTTTTTTTTTTTTTTTTTTTTTTTTTGACGGAGTCTCGCTCTGTCACCCAGGCTGGAGTCCAGTGGAGCGATTCCAGAGAAGCATTTCACAAGGGAACACCCTAAATGTAAATCTGTCACCAGGATAATTGCTCAAGTAGAATCTCCACAAGGACTCCAGAAAGTCCTCCCAGGCAAAACATTCAGGCTTGAACTTTATCCTACCAGGTGGCAAGCAAAGTCCCAGGAATTTAAGGGAACTTCTGCCAGAAGGTCTCCATGGGCCACCCACCCGCTCGCCTTTCAAAAAAGGGAGTGGCAGGAGGAACAGCGAGTCAGACTTGAAATGAAACTTCTCCACCCACTCTTTTGTTGCCAGAGGTGAATGTCTTGGAACCTACTTGTAGATTCCCACACAGGCAACTCCCAATGTGACAGATGCCAATTGGCAGCAATGCAGGGGATGAGGCACTGTTGGTAACATGAGGGGCCTCCCCAGCAGTCAGCGTGTTGGTTGGAAGGCACGCCCCTCTGGGGCTTCAGTACTGACAATGTAAACACCGCAGAAGCCCCACGGGTGGCAGGGACCCCTACGTACATTAAAAACAGGAATCAAAACGGCTTCTCTACAAGGGTATTAGAGGGAAGGTTTTTGGACCCAAACAAAAATAGGAAGATGAGGGAGCTGAGAGGTCTTGCATTTTGCATTTTCTCAGCTTAGCACGTTAAAAAAACAAAACAAAACAAAAAAAAACCCCAGATCAGGGCATAGAAAAATGTGGTATCCAAGACACTGGTGAGAATTTTCATGAGAAAGATCTTAATCTAAGATTACACCGGAGGTGTCACAGGGAACAAAATCACAAGACAAACACACCGTAAAATATGTAAAAATTTTCTCTTCTCTATTTTCATCACTTTCTCAGTTAAAGGTAAACAAAGGTTGTAAAAGGAATAAATTATAACATGCAGACATGCATATGCTCACATGACTATGTCAACACTGAATAAATGGTGTTAAAAATTTTTAAATTCTAGAGGAAAAAAATGTCCATTTGGCCTCACAGTCATATAGTCATTTTATAAATAAATCCAGTCATTAACAGTGACACATACATAGAGGCAACCGTATAAAATACGTCGACATATATTACTGTTTGCTTTCTTCATACACACAGCAATACCTGTACTTACTGTGTCTAGTTAATTGTTTACTTATTTCTTACCCTTCTCTCCCACAAGAATATAAGCTTCAAGAGGACAGGATCTCTGCGCTGTTCACTATAGTCCTAATCACAAGGATAAAACTGACGGATGCCAGGCACTTACATACATTTGTTGCTTGAACAAATAAATACATAAATACCACAAAGCAAAAGCACATCCTATATAACACGGTGACAACAATGGGTGCATCACACCAACACGGCACATGTATACATATGTAACAAACCTGCACGTTGTGCACATGTACCCTAGAACTTAAAGTATAATGTAAAAAAAAGAAAGAAAAAAGAAAACTCTTCAGTTTACAATTTCCAGACAAAGACAGCATGAAAGAGAAATTCATACACCCATAAATATTCTCAGTTATCAGCTGACTAGTTAGTTTAGTCTGTTTAACAAACACTTTACTTAAGTTTCTTATAAGCAGTAATTCTAAATTGCTTGGGGCCTTGTAAACTGCAAAAGTAACCACTATCCCCAAGACAATAATGACTCAAAATGAGCAAAGGGATTTAGAAAAAGGGCTGGCAGAAGAACTGCTGGACCAGAGCTCAAGAGTTTCCCAATGATCTTTGCCCAGACAATGCCTCCCTTTGTGGCCTGAACCTGATTACTCTATCATTCTGCTCATCTGTGCAAACAAGAACAATGATAACCTTCTTTCAAAGAGTACAGCGAGGACCCTTCAGTTAATTACTGCAAATCACTCAGCATTATGGGAAGCTTTCTCAGTGAATGCTACTTCAATTGTAGCTCCCCAATCTACCCAGCCCTGTTACCCTCACACCTCCTCCTTCCTCCTCCCCCACTAAAAAGAAGAAAAAAAATTTCTGGACAAAGACTAAATTGAAGAATGTTTCAACCCCAAGGAGAAAAAAAATCCCAGGGGTCAAATGACAAGGAGAGGAGGGAAAGAAAATAAGAGTTCCTAATAAATCAGACTGCAAAATTCCCTGCCCGGGATCTTCCACAGGAGCTAAAGCAACAAATAGGAACAGACACCCAACAGGCTCGCCTGACTTGTTCCGGCTGAAATGAAACCCCTCATAGAAAAGAGAAGTTGCAGGAACATATTGAAACACCCAGACTTGTATCACTGACAAAGCGAGCAAAAACCCAAGAAAGGAACAGAGAGTTGAACGTATGGACTTCAATGTTCTTTAAAACCACTGACCAAAACACCTCAGAGTAACTAACTCTCCCATCCCCATCTTCAGCTGGCCAAATTTTAATAGCCTGCCCCCCTGAAAGAAAAGTACACACACATCACAGACATTGAGATGAAGGAAATTAGAGGGTCCGAAGATGAATTATGGAAGAGTAAAACGGTAACCTTCTCAGGGAGGCTGCGCCCAGTGGCTTTGAAGAAAATAATGAAAGCATACAAGTTTTAGGGAGAAAGCAAAATTATTTTCTCCAAAATCTAGCAAGGTACAGTAAGAGGAGGAAGCCACTTCGATGCTCCGGGTTTGGTATTAATACAGATGGTACCTCGATGACATCACGAGTTCCCTTCATAAAAATGCGTCCTCAATGGATGATATTCTGACAAGGAGATAAAGAAGAATTTCTATCCTAGTTTTTTTGTTTATTTTTGTTTTGCAGAATAGGCGAACTGAGATTTGGCTAAGTTAAAAATTGGTGTCCAGGTCTCCAAGAAATAGATCTGGAGTCAAAAACTGAAAACGTTTTGTAAGTTTATTCAACACAGCACTTTGTCCCACCACTACTGAAAAAACAGGATTTAATAGCTGTATGGAGAGGTGGTAGCCAGGGAGACCAAGAGCTGAGCTGTAATTAGCAGAACAAATCAGGATGCCAGTTTTAATAACTCCAGAAATTGGTTTAAGACTTCTTTAAAAATGTAAATCTACCCCTAATTATCTGAATGATGATGCTAATCTATTTATAAAGAATACAAACGCCTCTGACTGAATTATAGCTCTGAATGCAATTGAAGGGTACAGCTGACAAAGCAAGAGAAGAACAGCACAGCTAAGGTTTTACAAAGCAGTTTCTGGAACCTGAGACTTAACATTTAATTCTCTAGCAAATGTGCTAAGGTGCAGTACATTCTAAGTGGGTGTCGACTTGGAAAGACTAAAACCATGTTACTCATACAGCAATTTTTGAGAAGGAGCCAAAAGTACACAAAGCTGCTCGCAATTTAGCAAGTACATGAAATTACAGATTATAAACACACAACACAACTATACAATCTGCCGCTCTAGAGGTCAGATGGAAATTCCCTTCCTCAAGCAATGCATATATGTTCAGCTGGCGAATCACAGAGTTCTTCGCCTTGCTCTAATGCATCGGGTATTCGTGGTCATCAAAACAATGGTAAAAATAAAGTGAAATGGAGAGCTCCAAAGAGATCTGTGTTCCATATATGGTGTATGTGTGTATGTATGTGTGTGTATATATACATACATGTACACATACATATATATATATATATATATATATATATATATTTTTTTTTTTTTTTTTTTTTTTTTTTTGAGACAGAGTCTCACTTTGTCACCCAGGCTGGAGTGCAGTGGTGCGACCTTGGTTCACTGTGACAACCTCCTCCTAGGTTCAAGCGATTCTCAGGCTTCAGCCTCCTGAGTAGCTGGGATTACAGGTGTATGTCACCACACCCAGGTAATTTCTGTACACTTAATAGAGACAGGGTTTCACCATGTTGGCCAGGTTGGTCTCGAACTCCTGACCTCAGGTGATCCACCTGCGTCGGCCTCCCAAAGTGCTGGGATTACAGGCATGAGTCACTGCGCCCAGCCTGAGAATGCATTGATGTATGAGAGTGAGCACTCCACTCACCATTCCCACCAAGTTTATATAAAAAATATGTATTTGGGTTCCAAACATGACACTGTCTAAAGATGACAAGAGCTATCAACAAATACTACATGTGAACAGCGCTGAAGATGGTACCCTTCATATTTCCTTTGCACAATAGCTTAGGCCCCCCCATCAAGAGATAGATGCTTAAGTAATATATTCCAGACAGGTTTAAATGGAAATTTGCATCCACTGCAAAGGGAGGGCATTTCAGAAATCCATACACAGCAGGAAGCTCGAAAAACACTTAGGAGACTCTTGTCAAGTCCTGCTCAGGATTAAGCGTCAAGCTTAATGTTTTTCAAAAATTCATTAGCTTCTACTCACCAGGGCATGAAACGATGATACCGAAAAGATTCCAAGGCGGCCCATGGCCACTTTCGTTGGTCGACTTGCAAAAGCGAGAAGCCTTTTGGGGTTTGGCAGCTCCCCACCCTGAAGGCTGGCTAAATAACAGCGGAAACGAAACAGGTCCATTTGGAACTGCTCGAGATTTTGCTCCCAGACAAAGATCTATGGTAGTGAAAACACGGGAAAAGAAAAAGTGAGAAAATGGGAAACAAATGCTAATATCTTTATCCTATACAGATCTATATGTCGTAAAGGCATTCATTATAATCCTAAGGAATAAACAACAGGTACCTAAGTTTCTTAGTTACTTATGTTTCTTCTGCAAGATCTATAGCCATAAATTCAGCATCATAAATAGAAAGTGACAAGTTCCTCTGTTCCCTCCTATCTTGGAGTTCGTACTGGGGGCATGATAGGTCTATCAACTCCAAGATCTGGACCACAAACTCTAGACTCCAGAAGTAAAAATGTAGAGATTTCCATCACCAAAGAACTATATGACTTAACAAGAGGTAGGTTTTCATACAAAGAAAAGTGAGACGAATGAAAGGCTAGAAGCAATGGACCAAGTGCTTTTGGGAAGAGCGGGGTAGCCCGGAACACAGGGTGGAAGTGGAACACAAGATGGTGGAGACCCAGACTCTGGAATACAAAGTTCCAACTGTAGCATGTCTCTGAGACATTCCCTTATTTTTCAAAGTGGCAAAATAATAACTACCTCCTTAGGCTGTTGGGATGTTTGAAAAAGATAATACAAGCATAAGTACAAGGTCTGGCATAGAGTGAAGGTGCAGTGATGCTGACAATGGTACAGATAATGAGGAATGGTTGAAATCTCCCTTTTTGCTTCAACAAAATATATATCACTGTACACACATGTTCATAGCAGCACTGTTTGCAAAAGGTGGAAACAGCTTGAATGTCCATCAAGAAATGGCCAATAAACAAACCATGGTGTATACGTACAACCAGAACCCAGGAGTAAAGTGCTGATGTATGCTACCATGTGTATCCACCTCCAAAACATGAAGCTCAGGGAAGGAGCCGGACACAAAAGGCCACGTACTGTGCAATTCCATTCATATGAAATATCTAGAATAGGCAAATCCATGAAGACAGAGTGCCGGGGGCAGAGAGGAGCAACTGCTTCACAGGTACAGGGTTACATTTTGGGCCAGATTAACAATTTCAGGGCTAGATGGGGGAGTGTTTGCACCACATGGTAAACGTACTCGATGTTACTGAATTGTTCGTGTTAAAATGGTTGATTTTACATTGTGTGAATTTTGCCTCAATTTAAAAAAATACAATGTCAGGTAACAAAGGGAAACCCCAGAGGGAGAGAAATGTGGAAGGCCCATGTCAATTGTTCAATGATTTAAATATCATTTATTCATGTAATTATTTCCTGAGCATTAGGACAAAGTGTCAAAGCACTACCAGATGGCTATTACTGACAGCTGAATAGCAGGCAAAAATGTGCTTTGTTCATTTCACTAAATCTTTTTTCTTTAGCATGAAATATACTTATGCACATATAAAGCAATTATATATCTAGATCTAGATAGATAGATAGATATATCTCTCTCTATATATATCTATATATATAGAGAGAGAGCTTGCTCTGTTACCCAGGCTGGAGTGCAATGGCACAATCTTGGCCCACCGCACCCTCTGCCTCCCAGGCTCAGGCGATCCTCTCCTCTCGGCCTCCTGAGACTACAGTTGCGGCTAATTTTTGTATTTTTTTTGTAGAGATAGGGTTTTGCCATGTTGACCAGGCTGGTCTTGAAATCCTGGGCTCAAGCGAGTATGCCCACCTCAGCCTCCCAAAGTGCTGGGATTACAGGCATGAGCCGCCACACCTGGCCAGATATATATTTTTAATGTACGTTACCTTTTCCAAATTAAGAATTCAAAATTTACTGAGGAGTCAGAAATGAGTCCCCACCATAAGAGAACTCCAAGTCAGTCTGATAACATGGGAAATGAAATTGCAAACTTTCTAATTACACAGATCCCCTAGAAGAGCACATCATTGATGGGGGCCAGGGCTCCTCTACTGGGTTTCTGTCTTTCATTCAATGTAATATTGTTCCGTTTAGCTATTAACAATCAGCTATGAACAAAGGGTGAAGAACACTGACAGTCACAGTAAAGAACTTAGCATCCTGGATGACAGGCTGTCGAGGAGATATCCGATGATGTTTCACGATTCCAAAACAGCAAAAAAAAAAAAAAACCCTTTTAGAGACCTAACAATTTTGTCCGGACCTAAACACGGAAGAACGATTACCTGATCTAATATTGTTTTCTTTTTCTTTGAGTCAGTGACTGAAGACAGCTGCATTTCACCCATTTTCTTCATCTTTTCATCCATGTCAATCTTCTGTTCCAGTTTTTTGATCTCTGATTTCAGGAGTCGGAGCGTGTCTTCCTTGTGGTGGTGCCTCGCGACCGCAGTGGCGCAGGCAGAGTGGATGGCGGTGATCCAGTTTTCAAGCTCCGTCTGGCTAGTGGTCTGTACCAGGAAGAAGGGGCAGGAAGAAAAAGGCACCTCTTAGGAACTTAAGAGAAATGAACCGGAGCATTTCCAGAGAAGCAATGCCTGGGAGTCGAGGTGACAGGTCTAGACACCCATGGATAAGAATAACCTGACCTCCTCTTTCTTCAGGAAATCAGTAACAAAAAGTGAGTCTCAGGTCAGATGCCCACTCTCCCCTCCTCCCTTTCAAGGGCTGTCCTGAATGAAGCCACCATGTCTGCTCACTCAATGTACTTACTGAACTCACTTGTGAAAGTGATACTCCTAACACACAACTTGGTGTCTACTCACGAGGGTTGCTGTGAAGCAAAGGTCAGTTTCCAGATAGGATCGGTCAGTTATAGGACATGAGTGGGACTGAGGGACATTACTGACATAGGAAGCTACAACAGCCCTGCCCCTCGTGAACCACTGCAACCCAAATCCAAAGGTCCTATTCCTGGTGCTAAGCAGCAAGACAGAACTAGGGTTGGGGAAGTGGTCAGGTAGCCAGAAGAAATACCGTCTTTGGGGACTCTATGGAACCCTCTAAGAATTGCAGCCGCCCAACAACACTCCATGTGCTAAAAGTGGCCTGTTTGAGAAGGGCATTAAGAAAATGGTGAGCGACACCCACCAATGGTGACCTGCATGGGATTGGTGTGACTCGGTGTTCTGAAAGGCAAAAGTCAGAATAGTTTTCAAGAGACAGCACATGTGATAACTCGCTATTAATGATTCTTTAGGAATTCAATCAATGAGTTTTTACAAGTGAGGAGATACTGGACTTTTCCAGATACTCTCTTAAGCCCAGAGAGGTGAAACAAATGCTCAGAAGTTAGCCCATCTCAAGAAATAATCTATTCAGCCACTACAATACTAAAGGAGCTACTAACATTATTTTTCATGCACAAAAACACTTCATTGTTTTTTCTCCTTTGAAGCGCCTTCTTAGTTTTCTAACTAATTTGAGTGATGGCTTGTATACAAAATTCTGTGTTTTTTTTTTTTTTTTTTTTTTGAGACAGGGTCGTGCTCTGTTGCCCAGGCTGGAGTGCAGTGGCGCGATCTTGGCTCACTGCAGCCTCTGCCTCCCAGGTCCAAGCAATTCTCATACCTCAGCCTCCCGAGTAGCTGGGACTACAGGTGTGTGCCACCATGCCCGGCTAAGTTTTATATTTTTAGTAGAGACAGGGTTTCACCATGTTGCCTAGGCTGGTCTCGAACTCCTGACCTCAAGTGATCCACCCGCCTCGGCCTCCCAAAGTGCTGGGATTACAGATGTGAGCCATCTTGCCCAGCCACTTGTAAACAACATTCTATTAACAGGAACCCACCAGCACATGACACTGTGCTGGCTGGCAGCTGGAATTTAAGTCAAGATAGTACTTTATCTTTATTATTTCTGAATCTGATCAGTTTTGTATTCCACAGAAGAAACAGCATCAAATATTAAAAATGGTGTCAGCCAACAAAGTCACCTCCCACTGGGCAAACCTAACTGGTCCAGCAGTTGTTATGTGGATAACAAATATTTTGCCTGTGGATAAACATTTCAATATGCTAGACAATCTGAAGAAGAAACAGCAGAAGTACCACCTGATAAAGCAAATGGAATCACTTTGTAAAGACTGAGTGGGAGGAGGAGAGGCGATAAAGAAACCGGAAGCCACAGGTGAGGACTTGTAGATTGAGAAACTTAGGAGGAAAAATGCATGTCTATTTATGAGATTAAATTTGCTTCACTTTATTTTATAGTTGTCTCCTCTTTGCAGGTCATTATCTTATAGTTTGTCCTTACATATCATCCTGAAGTTCCACCAGAAAAAGAGAGGCTCTCCTGCATCTAATGAGAGCACCAAGCTTGCTCCTGCTGATGTACTGTACAAAGCTTGATCATTGGATCTCCCAGTGCCTCACAATAAATGGGTATCTCGTTAGGTGGGGTTATACTCCCAGCCCTTTTTTTTGAGACGGAGTCTGTCTGTCACCAGGCTGGAGTGCAGTGGCGCGATCTCAGTTCACTGCAACCTCCGCCTCCCGAGTTCAAGTGATTCTCCTGCCTCAGCCTCCCGAGTAGCTGGGACTACAGGCATGTGCCACCACGCCCAGCTAATTTTTGTATTTTTTTTTTTTTTTAGTAGAGATGGGGTTTCACCACGTTGGCCAGGATGGTCTCAATCTCTTGACCTCATGATCCGCCTGCCTCAGCCTCCCAAAGTGCTGGGATTACAGGTGTGAGCCACCATGCCCGGCCTCCTTTTTTTAAAAAAAAAAAAAAAAAAAAAAAAAAAAAAAAAAAAAAAGGAAGGAAAAAAAGAATCCAAGATGAAAATACCCAGTGTTGGCAAAGATATGGAGTAACCAGAACTCCTATGCACTGCTGGCCACTGGCTGGAAAGTAAACTTGTACAACTGCTTTAGAAAGCTGTTGGATATTACCTACTAAAGTTGAATATATGCATACCCTGTGACCCAGAAAATGCACTCTGGGTACACACTCAAGAGAAATGCACTCATATGCACACGAAAATATACACACAAGAACATGCCCAGCAGCAAATCATGGGTGAAACTGGACACCATCCAGGTGCCACCAATAGGGGAATGGATGAATATGTGGGATAATCACACAATGAAATACTATACAGCAAGAATGAAGGACCTATAACTATAGATTAACACATATAAACTGGGCACACATCTTGTTGGGGAAGGAATCAGATGCACTGCAGTATATACTGTAGGATTCTATTTATATAAAGTATTGTATTAGTCCATTCTCATGCTGCTAACAAAGACATATCCAAGACTGGGTAATTTATAAAGGAAAGAAGTTTAATTGACTCACAGTTCAGCATGGCTGAGGAGGCCTCAGGAAACGTACAATCATGGCAGAAAGGGAAGCAAACACGTCCTTCTTCTCACGGTGGCAGCGAGGAGAAGTGCAGAACAAAGCAGGGGGGAAAGCCCCTTATAAAACCATCAGATCTAGTGAGAACTCACTCACTTTCACAAGAACAGTATGGAGGTAACCGCCCCCATGATTCAATTACCTTCCAATGGGTCCCTCCCACGACAAGTGGGGATTATGGGAACTACAATTCAAGATGAGATTTGGGTGGGGGCACAGCCAAACCATATCAAGTATCAACACAGATAAACTAATATACAGTATTAGAAGTTGAGAGGGCAGGTTTTTTTGGTGGGATGAGATGCAATGGGTAGAATCTGGTAAGAAGCACAGTAAGGTTTCTGGAGTGCTGGCCACCTTCTGTTTCTTCATCTGGGTGCTAGTTACATGGTGCTGGGTGCTGGTGTATGACAGGGGTGTGTTCAGTTTGTTAAACACCATCAAAATGTGCCTTTTCTGTGTATACGTTAAACTATCATAGAAAGTTTCAAAGAACATCCTTCCAAGGTATATTATCCTAATATTTGAGTATAATTTTTCTATAACTATGCTAAAAATATGATACCTCATATTCCGGTTTTCATTAAAAACTGTCCTTACAAAACTACAAAGGAAGTTCCAAAAAGCTTCACCCTTCTCCACCATTTATTTCTTTGTCCTCCCAAGTGCCTGGTAGTACCTGATAAAAAGCTGGTTCCTTGACCCGAAACATGCTTTCCATTTTGTTTGTATCGCTCAGTGGAAATGAGGAGCTTTTAGATTTTAGGGGAGTTCGTGTCTTCACCCCCCCTTTTTTTTTTGAGATGGAATCTTTCTCTGTTGCCCAGGCTGGAGTGCAGTAGCAGTGCAATCTCGGCTCACTGCAACCTCCGCCTCCCAAGTTCAAGAGATTCTCCTGCCTCAGCCTCCCGAGCAGTTGGAATTACAGGCACCTGCCACCATGCCCAGCTAATTTTTGTACTTTTAGTAGAGATGAGGTTTCTCCATGTTGGCCAGGCTGGTCTCGAACTCCTGACCTCAGGTGATCCACCCGCCTCGGCCTCCCAAACTGCTGGGATTACAAGCGTGAGCTACCGCGCCCGGCCATCTTCACCCATTTTTAAAGGATAATGTGTGGGCATCCAGATGCAATCCCTGCAGAGGCGCACGCAGCACTAAGGAGAGGCTATGGTTCCTGCACAAACACCTGGCAGGTGGAAGCTCAGGGGCGGTCCACATCCATATCTTCAAGGCAAACCTCTCTCATCTCTGCCTCAGTTAGAACCTCCCAGCCCCTACCCTCACCCCCTAACTCACAGAGTAAGAAAAGGAAATACCTACAACCCTGACATAATACCTGAGTAATGGATAGAAAGATCTGAAATTTCTGACAGCAAGCTCGGCTGAATATATGTTATGAACT
The DNA here is from genome assembly GCF_000001405.40 of Homo sapiens. Lineage (NCBI taxonomy): Eukaryota > Metazoa > Chordata > Mammalia > Primates > Hominidae > Homo > Homo sapiens. Next base: position 31,230,270 of record NC_000021.9, read on the forward strand.
TAAGAATTTAAATAAAAATATTTATCCAGAAGGGACTCAGATGACCATTTTTCACAGATGGAGGAAAAAAGCCCAGAAAAATTAGGAAGAACACAGTCATTTATTATAAATCCCAATCTCCACCAACCCTGTTCTTAAAAAAAAAAAAAGTTTTGGTTCTGTTTTTTCCTTGTTTAATATGACATACTGATCCTGACCCCCAGCTCTTGTTAATTGCTCTGAAAGCCAGGCTGCAGAGTCACAAGCATTACCCATTCGATAATTATTATTTTTTAGACAGAATCTCACTCTGTTGCCCAGGCTGGAGTGCCTGGGCATGATCTCAGCTCACTGCCACCTCCGCCTCCTGGGTTCAAGTGGTTCTCCTGCCTCAGCCTCCCTAGTCCCTAGCTGGGACTACAGGCTACTAGGGAGCCACACACCCAGCTAGTTTTTTGTATTTTTAGTAGAGACAGGGTTTCACCATGTTGGCCAGTCTGGTCTTGAACTCCTGACCTCAAGTGATCCGCCAGCCTCAGCCTCCCAAAGTGCTGGGATTACAGGCGTACACCACCAAGCCCAGGTAATTTTTGTATTTTTAGTAGAGAGGGGTTTCACCGTGTTGGCCAGGGTGGTCCTAAACTCCCGACCTCAGATGATCACCCTGCCTCGGCCTCCCAAAGTGCTGGGATTACAGGCATGACCATTCAATATTTTGAGCTCTTCTCATTCTAGGAATATGGGAGAATAGAACTTTCTGGCCCCCTCTGAAGCCAGGCATGGCCATGGCACTTGGCTTTGGCCAGTAAAATGTGAGTAGAAGTGACATCACTGCTCAACAAAAGCCTGATTCGCCCCATTCTTGCCCCGTTGCCACGGTCACAGAAGCACTGTGTCAAGATAGAGCTTCTGTCTGCCTGGATCCATAAGAGTCTAGGATGAGTACGGCTCTGGAGCCAGCCTCGATCATGCCAGGAAGGAGAAAGCATGTTAAGCCGCTGAGATTTAAGTGCTCCTTTCTTCAGCCTAATTCTATCCATCCTGACTGATCTACCAGCAAAGTAAGAATTCCACTGCAAAACAGGGGATGCCTCAAACATAACGGAGTCTGTGTAGTGCACTTGGAACCCCAAGAAAGACCATAATCTGATATGTTCTGTGGAACTGCAGCCTTTTGCTCTCCTTATTTAATGAAAGTGGGTCTTCTTTCCCCTGTGAGGACCCCAGCCCAATTCAGCCAATAGCAACACAATCCATTCTGATGTCAGAGAGTTCACGTTTGTCTTCCACGTAAGAAGGAAAAACGAAGGAAGCTGACCAAAGTTAAACACCCTTTGAATGGTATATATTTAATTTCGGCAAAGCAGCTATCCTGGAACTTATAAAGAAAGACAGTGGTTGCTAGGGGCCGGAGTGAAGGGGATATGGAATGTTGTTATGTAATGGGGACCGCATTTAAGCTTTGCATGATGAAAAAGAGTTATGGGCCAGGCGGAATGGTTCATGCCTGTAGTCCCAGCACTTTGGGAGGCCAAGGTGGGCGAATCACTTCAGGCCAGGAGTTCGAGACCAGCCTGAGCATGGTGAAACCCCGTCTCTACTAACAATACAAAAATTAGCTGGGCATGGTGGCACATGCCTGTAGTCCTAGCTACTCGGGAGGCTGAGGCACAAAATCGCTTGAACCCGGGAGGCGGAGGTTGTAGTGAGCTGAGATTATGCCACAGTACTCTACCCTGGGCAACAGAGAGAAACTCCATCTCACAAAAAAAAAAAGTTCTGGCGATGAATAATGGTGATAGTTGCACAACAGGGTAAATGTACTTAACGTCACTCAACTGTCCACTTAAAAATGCCTAGATGGTAAATTTTATGTGTGGTGTACCTCAATTTAAAAGAAAAAATAATTATAAAATAAAAAAAGCATAACAATCCCCAAAACCTAGAGAAGCATATATAGAAATGTGTGATGACAGCTGCATGAAACATTTAGCCATCAGCCCTTTTAACTATTAAGTATGCCTCAGCCCCCCAAACTTTTTAAAAACCTGTCAATGGCTGAAGGCAGTTCCATTAGAGAGAACTTTTGCTCCCACTGTCTTGTCTAAATAAAGCAACAGTCCCTACCATTCTCTATCATGAAGCCAAATCAATTTCTCAGAAGGACAATTCAATAAATGAGCTTTTCTGCAGTTTGTCCCTTTGCAGTGGCACACAGGGAGCTATGTGTCCACAAGAGGAGACGAACTCTCCACTGACTGCTTTCAAAAGCTAGTTGGGTGGAGAAAAAGTCTTGCAACATTTCATGACCATTTACTGGCTTAACACCTCAACTGCTCACAGTGGACTCCTGACCTGACACAATGTTGTTCCTCAAGGTCTCTCCAGGATTTAAATTCTGACATGCTAGAAAAAGCCATCCGAAGCCACTAACCTTGCCTCCCCTTCTTGAACCGGGCAAGGTTAGTTAGGGACATCAGATTCATGATGGGTCCCTTCGTCAGAATTCAGAGGCCAAGAAGGCAGGAAGGAGAGACCACCCAATGGTGCCCTCTCAACTTGTTAACCACAAATCACCTTCCATTAAACAAACAGCAGCAGACAGGTAAAGAGAGAGGGAATTCTGTGATTCTTCCTTTGCCTTCTGGAGATGCTATAAATACTGTATACAGTTCGGTGAAGGGAATAAGCAAAGTTCTTGCCAACAGACAAATATAATCAGCAAAAAAATGCATTTTGCATAACAGCCCCTTTGAGTGCAGAGATAAGATGAAGCTCAGGACTTCATTATGTATTTAAATAGATCCAGCTTCAACTATCCAATGGCATGGAGGACACTTGGTGATTTCAGATAATCAATGGTTTACGTAAGTGGCAGGAAAAGGGAAATTCATTTTAAACACGAGAAATACTAGGGAATATATGCCAAATCTAGGAAACTAAAATTTGAGATAATTCAAGTTTATAGAAGCACAAGAATAATTGTAAAGTAGGTCAAACGCTTTCATTTTAAAAGAAAAAAAAAGAAAGTTACCATTTTTTAAGAGGCTAGATAGGAATAAAGCTCCAGTGTGAATTCTGAAAAGGCTTTTTTCTTGTTGATTCTATACTCATCATATTTTGTTTACATAAGACTTATTTAAGCTATTATTTTTAATATCTGTAAAGAGAACTTAAGGCCAGGCATGGTGGCTCACGCCTGTAATCCCAGCACTTTGGGAGGCTGAGGTGAGATCACTTGAGATCAGGAGTTCAAGATCATCCTGACCAACATGGTGAAAGTCCATCTCTACTAAAAATACAAAAATTAGCCAGGTGTGGTGGTGCATGCCTGTAAACTAAGCTACTTGGGAGGCTGAGGCAGGAGAATTGCTCGAACCTGGGAGGCAGAGGATGCAGTGAGCCAAGATGGCGCCACTGCACTCCAGCCTGGGCAACAAGAGCGAGACTCCGTCTCAAAAAAAGACAACTTTAAATTTGAGGTTTCCCTCCCCCACTGAAAATGGTGATATAATGGATCCCTCTCACCCTCACCCACGCCGGGTTCATTCTTTGGAGAAGAAAGGAAGCTCTGGACTCCAGGAAGACAGACACAAGGAAAACAGGGACCGTGCGCTGCAAAGAGGCGAACAGATGGCAGCCTGCCTGAGGAAGGGCAGTGGCAGGATTCATCTCTGGCAAAGCTCAGTCGCCTCCAAGAAAAGACTCACAAATAATCGTCAACCGGAGTCTCTCCACAAGGCCGCTTACTGTCTGTCCATGCTATGAAAGGTCCCAGTACTTCTAATGTGCACAGATGATATAAGCAGCTTTTTCATATCTCACATGTAAATATGACCAGTCAAGGATCACCAGACATTTGCTGAAAGCCCCCAGCATGAAAGGCAGAGACTAAAGCACACAGGAGAAAATGTACTAGGAGAAAGGAGAAGCCATGCCTGAAACAGAGAAAGCTTCCCTAAAATCTACACAACCCTTGGAGATGCAAGGGAATCTAAAACTATAAACAAGTGAACAAAAAGTACAGGTTACAATAAAAAGGAACAATGAGACTGAAAAGAGAGCAGGAGAGGGGAAGGGAGGGAGGGAAGGAGGAAGGGAGAGAGGAGGTGGGGAAGGAAGGAAGGAAGGAAGGGAGGGAGGGAGGGATGAAGGGAAGGTGGGAGAGAAAGCTTCTTTTAGGAATTAAAAAAAAATAACCAAAATTAAAATGTCAATAGAAGGAAATCACTATGAAGGATCAGAACACCAGCAAGGTGCAGTGGCTTAAACCTGTAATCTCAGCACTTCGGGAGGCTGAGGCAGGTGGATCACTTGACCCCAGGAGTTCAAGACCAGCCTAGGCAACATGGCAAAACCCCGTCTCTACAAAAACCACAAAAATTAGCAAAGCATGGTGGTGTGCACCTGTCATCCCAGATATTCGAGAGGCTGAGGTGGGAGAACCACCTGAGCCTTGGGAGGCTGAGGCTGCAATCAGCCATGATTATACCACTGCACTCCAGCCTGGGCGACAGAGTGAGACCCTGTCTCCAAAAAAAAAGAGAAGAAATTGTGCTTGCTTTGGCAGCATATATACTAAAAAAGGATCAGAACACCAGTGATAAGGAAATGATGCTAAAGAGAAAAAAAGAAAATAAAACACAAACATGCTAATCAGAAATGGGAACATAATCAGAAAATAATTAAACCAAGGGGAAATGATCTCCAAGCCAAAATTCCAAATTACTCAAATATTATGCAAGTAAAAGGTAGAATGAAGACATTTTTAAATGTGCATCATTTTATAAGAAGTTACTCCAGGTTATTTTCATGAAAACGAAGCAGCTGGTAATTCTACAGAGGCTGTTGTACATGAGGCCCGGAGAGCAGCCATATGGGAGCAGGACAATGTGCCAGGGGAGGGCAGGCTTCAAAGGAAAACATCAATGATGAACAAGCTAACATGCTGGAGATTTAGAAAATATCACTGCCACATAACCAGGAAAATAAGCAATATGAGCCTTCCTCCCAAAAAAAGGGGGCAGTCATTAACTACAGAAAAAAAAATTAAGAAATTATTACAGAAAAGAAATAAGATCACAGTACACTACTTGACTCAGCAGCCAATACTATTTATATGGTCATAACAATGTAATAACACTGATTAGTGCTTTAATCCTAAATGTTCATATACCTATATGGGAAGATGAGGAAAGAAGAATTTATAGCTAACACAGCTAAATGTTCATCTATCATAATAGAAAGTCAGTAGTATCTAAAATCCATTAGAAACAGCAGTATAAACATGTTAATGAGGGCAAATACAAGAAAACAAAAACATCAGCTAAAGTAGTTTTGTATCGTTGCTTCTAGGGAATAAGCCTCATGAGGCGAAGAGGGCAAAAGGAGGAAAATAATTTCACTTTAAGCCTTTTAATGTTAGCTGAATTCTTTTAAACTATGCTGATATTGATTTAATACAAATTTAAACTAATGTAAGAAAAGGAAGAATACAGTTAGTAACATAATTTGCATGATACATAACAGTATAGAAATTGTATAGGAAGATCTAGCTCAACCACAATTATACCTCTGCAGTGTGGGGAAACCTCTGAGGCACCCACAAGAAGGCATAAAATCTAGCTGATTTCCAGCCTTGTATATTCATTTTGCACTTCAACATCCACATTCTCCATTAATAGTCTCCTAAGAGGTAGGCAAGTGGGGCCCCTGCCAGGGCTCTGCACCTCAGGAGGTCCCATAGTTTGGAGGGCTTTTCTTGAAATTTTCCAAGTCTCCCTCTGTCTCCTGGAAAGGGGAGGTTTCAGGAGGTTTCTCCCCTTCAGGGAGCTCTCTCACCCTGTACCAGCTATTCAGTGTCAAAAAGATGCCCGAAGCTCTTGAACTTGAGTCTGTGGCTAGTGAGTCGCACCCACCAGACCGTGTGGTATTTCTTTCACCAGATTGCTTGAGATTGGGCCACCAGAATGGTGCTGACAGTTGATCCGGAGTGAGCCAAATTCTTTATATAGATAAAGCCTCCATAAAAAAATATTTGCCTGGGGCTCCACATATCCTAGAGTTGGCCCTTCACAACTAATCCATGCCAAAATCAAAGGTAAATATTTCTACAGTGGCTGGCTAGGGGCAGGGATATAATCTACGGTGTGGGGAAAACAGGACTTAGCTACAGACTAAGTCAACACGGAAACCAACAAAGAGAATGAAGACCTCGCACTCAGCTTGTCATATCAGTGGATAATGTGAAGTTAAGAGGAATATAAACACCAGGGAAGATCAAATAAGGATCCCAGAGGATTTCAACAGTTTATTAGAAGGATAAAAGCCACAAGGATAACATATCAAAGAGGTACATTTAAGTTCTGAGTTGGGTTTTTGAAAAAAAAATCTATTAAAATAAGATGGGGAAGGCCTTGTTGGGTAAGAATTGATGTTGAGGGTTTAAGATACCACGAGCTCAGTCTGAGTCAACAGTTTGATGTGGCTTTTAATAAAAGGAATTGACTCTAGAGGAAACAAGGACAACGGGAACCTCACTGCAGCCTGCATGGGGCAGACCACACAGAGGCTCACACAGGATGCTGAGCGCCTGGGCACGCTTACAAGTAAGAACAGGGAGAATGGCTTGGGAACCTTAGGCAGGGTTGCCCAAAGAGACGTGGCAGGAGGTAAATGAAAGCCGTTTTTAAGTATTTAAAAGGTGATGAGTAAGGATAAGCAGAAGACTTGCACAGGACTCTGTGGGTGAATATAGAAACAAAGAGAAATGGCAAGACTCACCAGAAAGAACATATTATCTCAACATGATGAAGAACTTTCTAGGACTTAGGGCTGACTAACAAAACCGATGGTTGAAAGCTGGGAGATCTCCAGGAATGGGAGAGGCTGCCCAGTGGGCAGGCTCACCTGTTGGCCAGGGTCTTGCAGGGACCATACCTCCTTTGAGAGGGGCACTGGGTCAAGATGCCAAATCCCCATTAAAGTCTCTTCTACCACAAGTCCACTTGACACCTCCTTATGAAAGATGATTTACAGGTTTTTCCCTAACCTGGCTGCCCTTGTCCAGGGCATGTGGCCATGACCTTCCTCAAGTCTGACACACACAGCTAGACATGGCTTCCAAGGTAGTTCTCTTGAGCCTGACGAAACTCAAGACCTTAGCCTTTTCACAGTGAAGCCACACTTAATTTTTGTAAAGATGCTTATTTAAGAGGAGCCCATGGAACTAGTCTTTTTTTCTTTATTACTAAAATGGTAACTGTTAAGCATTTGCTATCTATCAGACACTTACCATCATTATCACACTTAATCTTCAACTCAACTTAATGGCATATGAGTCTTTTAATATGCATACAATACCCTTGCACAAGTGACTTTCTAAATGATGAGAAAACTTTCTATGGGAAGAAAAGGCAATCAATTCCTAGAGATAACATTTTCTATACCCCTTTAGATATATAACTGCATATGATTTTCTACTCTATTGTCTTTCTTATTTGCCTGGTAGCTGTGTTCCCAAGGCATTTAACAGACAAATTAATAACTAATATTAGGATATGTTACCATAAAGGTGGGTGAGCTTTTTGGAATTGTATGTGACATCCTAAGGTAATGAATGAATGAAGGCCCAATAGGAAATTGTACTTTGTAGGTGGTAGGTACTGTCTCTGGCTTCAAGTTGAAGGAAAGAACTTAAATTAAAATAGTGCAGACAGCATAGCACTTCTTCCATATACATGACTCCAACATTCCTGCTCATTCCCACTCTCCCCTGGCCTCACACATATAAATTCCTTTTCTACTTTTGTTGGTAACATGAATCTCCTTTCCATGGGTGAATCTGTGGGTATTTGAGTAACAGTGTCAAATCAGCAGCACACAGGCTCTGGAAACTGTGTGCACTGAATTGAGCCCTGGGGCTGGAATAACCTACACATTACTTCCATAATCATGGCTGATTGCCTGTGCTTTAGCCTCACCCCTACACAAACAGGTTTCATTCTGATTCGGCTGCTCCAGAGTTACATGGATTTATAATAAGCAGAAGGCAGAGAATGCCTTCATGGTATCCAAACAGCAGTAATTTCCTCCAAAAGCTTCCTTTTGTGCTCTATCCCTCATAAATGGCATAAAGCTTTCACCATAGCAAGAAGACACAAAGGTTTTCAAAACTAAGATCCTACGTTGTCACATATAAAAAAGTTTACCTCATGTGATCTATTGGGTATTTACATTCTACTAGCAATTTTATGGCCATGAAGTTCCTTTCAAAAGGAATTCACATCAGAAATGTGTAAGTTAAAAAGAAAACCTTCTGATTCCACTTGAGGGTTAAAAAAAATTTTTAAGGGAACCTTTCTGAAATCCATCTGAGAATCATCTAACCTGTGTAGTGAGGCAAGAATAACCAAAATCAGGTTTCACTTTAGAAATATTTCCAATGAGTAGCTTAATTGTAGGAATGAGAAAAAGCTAGTCACTTTTTACTGTAGCCACTGACTCTTGCCCACGTTCTTCTTAGGGTCAACAGTAATAGGACAAATAGTATACTCAGACAATAAAAGGCTTTGGAGAAACATAGGCTTGATTTGAGTTGAGTTTGGGTCCAATTACTAGCTTTTGTAAGCCTCGACTTCAACAAATGGGGTATACAACACACATCAATGGATTAAAATGTGGATACATAATCCAACTAACTACTGCTCTAAGAATTACATGTGACTCACATTAAGATGGTGGTATACAATAAGGGCTAAGTAAAACATAGCCACCGATCTCACAATAATGTTACTGTTGCTGTCAGGTAGTTAGACATTTCCTCATTTGCAAGATTTCCAATTAACAAATAAAAACCATGTCAGATGCAGAAAAACAATTTTTTTTTTTTTTAAGATAGGGTCTCGCTCTGCCACCCAGGCTGGAATGCAATGGTGCAACCACGGCTCACTGCAGCCTTGACCTCCTTGGTGCAAGTGATCCTCCCACCTCAGCCTCTCAACTAGCTGGGACTACAGGTACATGCCATCGTGTCCAGCTAATTTTTTTTATTTTTATTTTTTGGTAGAGACAGGGTCTTTCCATGTTGTCTAGGCTGGTCACAACCTCCTGGGCTCAGTGATCTGCCTGCCTTGGCCCCCCAAAGTGCTGAGATTACAGGCATGAGCCACCATGCCCAGCCAAAACAATTATTTATAACATATATACAAGAAAATTTTCATGACATTATAGCATGTAGATTTAAAAAATAAGACACTCAAAGCATTACCCATTAAGGAAGGCTTAAGAAGTGAGAATGGGCTACAATTAAGTTTCACTGCAACAAATGACACCATTAAGAGAGTAAAAAGCAAGCCACAGAGTAGAAAAAGATACTTGCAATGAATATAATCAACAGCGATGATATACAAAATACACAAAGAGCTGCCATAAATCATTAACAAAGAAACTCTGATGGAAAAAAAATGGACAAGAGAGTAAAATAAGCACTTCACAAAAGATGATATTGAAATGGTCATTAAGCGCATGAATATGTGCTCAATTTCATATTAATATCTTAAAAAGGATTTTAAAAAATCTCAGTATCAAGTTTGCAAAGATGAGGAATAACTAGAATTCTCCTAGGCTGCTAATGAGAGTATAAATTACATTAATCATTTTGAAAACTGTTTGGCATATCCTGAATATGTGCCTAACCCATGACCCTGCAATGCCACTCCTAGGTATATATGTTTGTCCAACAGAAATGTGGACAAACATAACCTGAGAACAGGTACAAGAGTGCTCACAACAACATTGCTTGTGATCCTTAACACCTGGGAACAACTCAAATGTACCTATGGAATGGTTGCTATATGTCCCAGTTGGCCTGGGACTGTCCTCGCTTATACCTGGTATACTGGCATAACTGTTAATAGCGTCTACTCTCGAAAGTGTCCTGGTGAATGCCATCAACATCAATGGGGGTTGGGGTGGGGTAGGAGGGTTAAGAACTTCCAAAGAGCCATTCCTTCACAAAAGCAACACGAACAGTGGTAAAAAATGGTCAAAATCAACTTTTTCACAATTCCAGAAATTAATCTAAGTTCTGCAACAATCTAAGCTGCATTTATTAAAGACAAATGGCTGAACTTCAGTAAAAACAGCAAGTTTTGTGATATTTTAAATTGCTCTATTTCCATCTTTTTCTCCTCATCTATACAATCACATGAAAACCAGCTGTGTAGCACCACAGGAGGGAACAACCTTCCTCAAGTCTGACACATGGAACTAAACATGGCATTCCAAGGTAGATCTCTACATCTTCCCCAAAACACCTTTCTCAGAGAACCATCACTAAGCGACCTGTCTAGCAGGTCCCAGAAAAACCTCTTCACGAGCTTGTTGCTATTTGACCTGACTCAGACCTCATTCATGCAAACACTCTTCACTCCAGGGGGTGCTTGTGAAAAACAATTAATGACAATTGTTTAGCACTACAGTCGCCTGAAGCAGTGATAACAGTCGAACAAATAAGAAGTTGACCAAGAAACTTGAGGAAAAGTTGGGGAATACGATTTCCACAAAAGGCTCTGAAAAGCTATGACACAGTCCTTGGAATCTGGAAGGTCACTGATACGGTTTGGCTGTGTCCCCACCTAATCTCATCTTCAATTGTAGTGCCCATAATTCCCACATGTCGTGGAAGGGACCCAGTGGTAGGTAATCAAATCATGGGTGCAGGTCTTTCCATGCTGTTCTCGTGATAGTAAGTCTCATGAAATCTGATGGTTTTATAAAGGGGAGTTCCCCTGCACATGCTCTCTCTTGTCTGCTGCCATGTAAGAAGACTTTGCTCCTCCTTTGCCTTCTGCCATGACGGTGAGGCCTCCCCAGCCATGTGGAACTGTGAGTCCATTAAACCTCTTTTCCTTATAAATTACCCAGTCTCGGGTATGTCTTTATTAGCGGCTAAGAGAGTCACAACACAGTCTTAGTGAATTGACTAATACAGTCACAAATATGTATAAGGCTGTCCACAAGCCCAGATAGTCCCAAGAAGTTCCTAAGCTCACCCTATGACTGACCCTACAGCTCGGTGAAAGCAGAGATGAAGGCTAAGGCAGAGATGAAGCTAGTTGCCTGAGTGTTGATCATGTGCTTGAACTTGCAAACTTCTGTTCTTAGGAAAGACTAGGAAACTTATTGCTTCTGTACTTTTAAGGAAATCTCTCTCTAATAATTAGCTGACTACTAAACTAGCTGAGCAGAGACTTCAGTGGGCACACATAACAAAGCCTAAATATTTCACAGATTTTAAGAAAGTCACTAAACAAAGAAGCACTATCACCACCGATAATCAACAACAATAGCAAATCCTGGAGGATGGGAGGTGGATCTGCTTTCAGAGTTGCCACATTTATATTATTTTAAATGTACAATTTAAACCAAAAAAGTATGAGACATGCAAATAAACAACAAACAACAATAAAGTATGGGCCAGGAATGGTGATTCATGCCTATCATCCCAGTGGGTTGGGAGACCAAAATGGGAAGACTGCTTGAAGCCAAGAGTTTGAGACCAGCCTGGGCAACATAGCAAGATTCTGTCTTTAAAAAATATTTTTAAAAAATCAGCCAGGTGTGGTGGTGTACACCTGTAGTCCCAGCTACTTGAGAGGCTAAGGTGGGAAGATTGCTTGAGTCCAGGAGTTCAAGGTTACAGTGAGCTATGATTGCACCACTGTACTCCAGCCTGGGTAATAGAGCAAGACCCTATCTCTAAAACAATTAAATAAAGTATGGCCCATATATAGAAAAAGAAGTAGTCAATAGAAACTGTCTCAGAAAAGTCCCATGTTGAGTGTACTAGACAAAGATTTCAAGCAACTATTTTGAACGTATTCAAAGAACTAAAATAAACCATGTCTAAAGAAATAAAGTATGAGGCTAATATCACATTAAATAGAGAATATCAATAAGGAAATATAACTTTTGTTTGAAAGAACCAGGCCAGGCACAGTGGCTCATGCCTGTAATCCCAGCACTTTAGGAGGCTGAGGCAGGAAGATCACTTGAGGCCAGGGGTTTGAGACCACCCTGGGCAATAAAGCAAGACCTCCATCTCTACAAAAAAATAGAAAAAATTAGCTGGCTGTGGTGGTGCACACCTGTAGCCCCAGCTATTCAGGAGGCTGAGCTGGGAGGATTGCTCAGCCCAGGAGGCTGAGGCTGCAGTGAGCTGTGATCAGTGCACTACTGACCCTACAGCTCAGTGAAAGCAGAGATGAAGGCTAAGGCAGAGATGGAAGCTAGTTGCCTGAGCGTTGATGATAGGCTTGAACTTGCAAACTTCTGTTCTTAGGAAAGACTAGGAAACTTATTGCTTCTGTACATTTAAGGAAATCTCTTTCTAATAATTACCTGACTACTAAACTAGCTGAGCAGAGACCTGGCAATTTATGAGACATGCAAATAAACAATAAACAACAATAAAGTGGGTTGGGAGACCAAAACAGGAGGACTGCTTCTATTGACATTCTAGTAGTCAATAGAACCTGTCTCAGAAAAGTCAGATCCAAAATCAGTGCACCACTGCACTGCAGCCTGGGGGACAGAACAAGACTCTGTCTCAAAAAAAAAAAAAAAAAAAGAAAAAAGAAAAGAAAAGAAAAAATGACCAGGTGCAGTGGCTCAGGCCTGTAATCCCAGCACTTTGGAAGGCCAAGGCAGGTGGATTACCTGAGGTCAGGAGTTTGAGACCAGCCTGACTAACATGGAGAAACCCCACCTCTACTAGAAAAAAAAATACAAAATTAGCTGGGCTTGGTGGCACATGCCTGTAATCCCAGCTGCTTGGGAGGCTGAGGCAGGAGAATTGCTTGAACGTGGGAGGCAGAGGTTGTGGTGAGCTGAGATTGTGCCATTGCACTCCAGCCTGGGCAACAAAAGCAAAACTTCATCTCAAAAAAAAAAAAAAAAAATATATATATATATATGTATATTTCATATATATGTATATTTTATATATATATAAATATAAAAAAATAAAAATAACCAGAAGAGCTCAACAGCAGATTTGAGTTGGAAGAAAAAAGAATCAGTGAACTTATGACAGATCAAGTGAGATTAAGGAATAGAATGAAAAAAAAATGAACAGAGTCTCAGAGGCTTATGGGACTTCATCAAGCATACTAATGTAAACACAACAGGAGTCACCAAAGGAGTGGAGCAAGATAAATGAGCAGGAAGACTATTTGAAGAAATAATAGCTAAAAACTTTCCAAATGTGATTTAAATACACAAACACATGCACACAAATCTACAGATCCAAAAGACACTACCCCATAAATATATACACATTGTATTTTGTGGCTACTAGTACCCACAACAATTTTTAAAATTTAAAAATATTAAAAGATACATATCTGAAAGACAATAAATTCCAGGTAAAGTAAACTCAAAGAGAATGATACCTAGACACATAATACTCAAACTGTTTAACGACAAAGTCACGATCTTCAAATCAGCAAGGGAGCCTCATAGGATAAACAGCTGATTTTTCATCAAACACCATGAAGGCCAGAAAGCAGTGGGATTTTCAAAGCACTGAAATAAGATGGTCAATTAAGAATTCTATATCCAGCAAAACTATCCTTCAAAAATGAAAGGGAAATTAAGTCATTCCCAGATAAATAAAAGTGTCCTGGCTTGGATGATAAAAGACATACTCAATTCAACTAGTAGGCTGCATTTGTGAGTGGGGTGGGGTTGGGGAAGGTGGCTTAGGTGCCTGAAACTTCTATTTCTTGTCCTGGTTGGTGGTTGCATAATTACTTTATGATAGCTCACTGAGCAGTACACTTATGTTGTGTGCACTCTTCTTTCTGTGTTTTACATCACAGATTTTTAAAAAAGAAAACACAGATGCTTTGTCTTTATATAATCAAAATTAGCACTTTATATTTCTTACTTTAATTGTCCAAATAGAAACAGCTTCTGAAGCCAAAGCCAGAAACTTGGTGAAATAAATGATTTCTTTCCTCTATACCTTTGTTCTAGCCCCCTCCTTGCATGTTATATTCTTACGGTCCTTGTCACGCCATTTATACCTGCTCTTCCTTTAATAGTCATTGGTAGGCTTTACCACATTATAAAGATTTGCTATGTCTGTCCCCTCCGTTATATGTGAACACTTTTAAGAAGACGAACTGTCAGCTGGGCGCAGTGGCTTACACCTGTAATCCCAGCACTTTGGTAGGCCGAGGTGGGTGGATGACCTGAGATCAGGAGTTCGAGACCAGCCTGACCAATATGGTGAAACCCCGTATCTACTGAAAATACAAAAATTAGCCAGGCGTGGCAGCAGGTGCCTATAGTCCCAGCTACTCAAGAGGCTGAGACAGGAGAATTGCTTGAACCTGGGAGGCAGAGATTGCAGGGAGCTGAGATCGTGCCACTGCACTTCCAGCATGGGTGACAAAGCAAGGCTTCATCTCAAAAAAAGAGAGGAACTGTCAAAATCTTCTTAGTATTCTCAATAGCACTATGCAGAGCACATAGGAAGCACAGAATAAAGGTTTGAGAAAATAATTCTTCAATGGAATCAATAAAGAAAGCCTTCCTACATAACAACACAAAAAAGTTCTTGCAGAGTATATTACAACTATTCCAAACTCAAAAGATTCCCTATCAGAAAAATGTTAATCCTGAAGCAGTTAGCAGAGAAGTATTTTTTTTAAAAAATGTTGAAATTCAAGGATGCTGAGTAGAAAGTTCTGATCAGATGAGGAAGAGAAACTGTTTAGGTGATGCCAGTCATTTCTGAGATGTCATTATTTTACTTTATGATTAATATGAGAAAGGAACATATTATAAATAAAACTTTTTGACAGCTCAAATCATGTCTAAAAGAAGAAATTCACGATCCCTTTCTTAAATGCAACAGAAATGGTACTGAGACCACACAAAGATATCCTTCAACTCATGACAAACAGAGCAAGTTTCTCACATCCAACTCATAGCCCTCCTTAGCCTTCACTTGGAAAACTTCTGAATGTACCTACTCCTGGAATTTAATATAGATGTTTATTTTGTCATTCACTGTTTTTGTTTTTATAATGAGCAACAGATTAATCTCACCACTAAAAAAAAAAAAAAAAAAAAAAAAAGCAGTGGAGGGAGACTGGGTGCCTAGGCAAGAAAAGAAGGTAGCCAGTTCAGAGGTTTGAAATGCCCTGCAAAGGAAGTGCCCAACAAACCTGAAAAAGGAAGGCATCACCCAGGGAATTGCTGAGGCAGAAGACAAAGTCCTTCTTGGGGTGCTCAGGCACCGCCTGCACAATGCTGTTCTCCACCCAGACGGCGTGTTTGGGGATGCTGTTGTGGTCTATCCCAGACCTGCCGTCGCTCTCGTAGAAAAATAGCGTGCATCCTGAGGAAACAGAACAGGGGTGTGCATGAGTATTCAGTGCTTGGGAAACAAAAGAACCCACAGTTGAACCTAACATGTGCACCCTGTCAGAGGCTGAAAATTAAAGCACGTGGAACCCAGGAAGTAAAGAGAATGGAGCCAGGCTTGGACTCAAGTCTTGGATGGGCCTAAAGAAGGACAAAGATCTTAAATTGTAGCTTCTCAGCCTGCCCGGGTTTCCTTCCTGCATGCCCTCAAGTTCTCTCAAACCCTTCCTTTGGGTTTTAGAATGATTCATTACAGGTCTCCTCACAGACATAGGGTCTTGTGACTCCTCTGTCCCGAGGCAGAGGTCCTCCAGGCCAGAACTTTGCCTGGCACTATGTGAGGATCAGAAGTCACTACCGTCCGATTGAAGCCCATTCAAATATGTCTCGTATGATATGCAACCAGAAAAATCTAGAAAATGTATTTAGTTCCAGACCATGCCCTTGGATAAAACAATATATAATACCAGCGTTAAGTACTTTAAGGATAAGAAAAACAATGATACATTTTTGGTCTAACATCCCATCTATAAACTTTTTTTTTTTCTAGAAGCCAACCATGCCCTTGTTCCTACTGAAAGAGGAAATCTATGGCACACATACAAAGGCCTGGGAGAAGCCGGAGTCCTGGTCCATGCATAATTGCACTGTGAAACTAACAAGATAGTAGCAACAGAATATTTTATAGACTTGTGGCAAGATGGCTTCCATAGACTCCTTCCATTATCATCTAAACTTGAGGCTCACTTTAATAGCAATTATGAGCTGAACATTTACTCCAAACTAACTGAAATCAATTTCAGGGGAAGCCAGGGTATAACTTTATGACTCTTCCTCAACTTCAACATAAGCTGTCCGTCCATTTTCACCATTTTCCTTACCACAAACAAGTGCCACACTTCCTGTGAACTGCACAACCCTTGAAAGTTCAATCTATTCGGCTACAATGGGAATCTGTCAAGCAAATTTGCTTATATGCGATTAGTAGTGTAGAATGATGCAGATCAATGGAAAGGTCACACTGGTTCAAGGGCAACTTTTCCTAGCCTATAATATTTCACATTACCACAGAATAGCTGTTGAACTCTACGTCCCTCCAAACAGATGAATGTAGCATATTGATATGCCCTGCCCACTTATTTCACATTTTTTTTCTCTTGGTACAGTTTGACCATGGGCTCTGCTTACAAGTCCTTATTGCACGGTGCTGCTGAGCATCATGATTTCATACTTGTGGTCCTTGTCTCCATAATTTAGGAGTCTCAATTATTCCTTCTACCCATTCAAGTTACAGTTGCTTCTTTTTTCAAAGGTAAAGCCCTATGCTAATGCTTTTTTGAAAGATAAAGTTTGCCAGGCACAGTGGCTTATGCCTGTAATCGCAGCACTTTGGGAGGACAAGGTAGAAGGATTACCTGAGCCCAGGAGTTCAACACCAGTGTGGGCAATATAGCGAGGCCTCGTCTCTACTAAAAATAAAAAAAATCAGCCAGACATGCCTGCGGTTCCAGCGACTCAGGTGGCTGAGCTGGGAGGATTGTTTGAGCCCAGGAGGTTGAAGCTGCAGTGAGCCATGATCATGCCACTGCACTCCAGCCTGGGCAACAGAGCAAGACCCTGTCACAAAAAAATAAAAATGAAAGATAAAGTTTTATATTGCTTATTGTTAAAAAATTTTAGTGGAGTTCTGCAGGGTTATTTTTATTTTTTATTACTATTATTTTTGTAGATATGGGGTCCCACTGTTGCTCAGGCTGGAGTACAGTGGCACAATCATAGCTCACTGCAGCCTTGAACTCCTGGGCTCAAGTGAACCTCCTATCTCAGCCTCCCAAATAGCTGGAACTACAGGCATATACAACCATACCTGGCTAATTTGTGTATTTTTTTGTAAAGACAAGGTCTCACTATGTTACCCAGGTTGGTCTCAAATTCCTGGCCTCAAGTGATCCTCCTGCCTCAGCCTCCTATAGTGCTGGGATTACAGGAGTGAGGCACCACACCAAGCTAATTTCTTTTAGTTTGGGGTTTAAAAGTTGCATGGTACAATTTAAATACATACCTGTAGAGTAGTCTGCCCCAACTCTATTTTTCTCAAATCCCAAAGATTTTGAGGATCTCAAGGCTTTTCAGGAACACTTGTATGAAAAAGCAGAATAATCTGTACCTCCTATTTCCATGCCTTAGGCTAGCACAGATTAGAGAGACAAAGAAATAACAAAAATGGGAGGGGGAAACCGTTTTCCTCTAAGTCAGAGGTTCTTATGATGGGGCAAACTTGGCAATGTCTGGTGACCTTTCTGGTTGTCACAACTTGGGGGAAGGTGCTATTGGCATCTAGAGGACAGAGCCTAAAGAAGCTGTTAAGCATCCACAATGCCCAAGACAGCCCTCACAACAAATAATTATCCAGAAAATGTCAACAGTGTCACTGTTGAGAAACCCTGCTCTAAATAGTTTTTACGACTAATTCAACACTAATGAAAAGTAGATTCCTAACATAAAAGGAGCAACACACGTTAGCATAGCTTAAGAAGAGAGAAAGAAGCCTGTGGATAATGAATTAGGGGACACTCACCAATCCTAACACACGCACCTAGTGAATGTTGTATGGTCCCATCAGGTAACTGTTTGTATAATTTTTCAACTTTGATTTAGAATCATCCACAACAAAGCACCACCAAAAGTGATTAAAATCAGCTTTTACTCATGATCAACTCGTTCCAACTTTAAGATGAACGCGAAGCAGCAAATCTGAGAACCACGTTCTCCCTGGTGAAAGTCTGTTTACCTTCATCTTCCCTGGAACATAATCTGTACGTTCTTCCGTTGTCCATGGAAACACTCCAGAGACTAATTCCAAATGAAATCTTTTTTTAAAAAAATCAATTACTTTGCCTAATGGGAAAGAATCTTTAGGGAAAAAAAATCTCTATCCCACAGTTCCAACATGTTCTGCTTTTTATTTCCCAATATTCAAGCATTGCTAAGAAAAAGTCAGCTGCAAGTCTTGCTTTTGAGCAGCAAGGACAAAGCCCTGAGGATGTCAACAAATCCTGGGAACCCATCAGGATGAAGCAAAGAACTCGGTGGCTCCATGTTCTGGGCCTGAATTCCAACAGGCTGTGTCACTCAGCTCTGCGTCACCAAGAAAGTAAAGACTCCCTTCCCTAAAGGGCCTGTGGGCTGTGCTCCTGGACACCTGCACCCTGACTTCCTGTGTCATTTACTCTCTGAGGGAATGGCAGAAACAAAATAAACCCCTCTGATATGTCCCAAGTAAAAAAAAGCCAACTAATCATTTTTATTTTATGCCACTAACATTGCTGCTCTCAAACTGAGAGTGAGAATCCCCTGGGAAGCTTGTTTAAATCACAAAGTCAGGGTCTGCTGAAGGCTGAATTGTGTCCTCCAAACATCCTAAATCCAGTTAGCTCAGAATATGATCATCTTTGGAAATAGGGCCTTTAAAGAGGTAATTACGATAATATGAGGTCACGTGGGTGGTCCCTGATCCAATATAAATGGTGCCATTATAAGAAGGAATTTGAACATAGACAAGTAAAGGGAAGACCATGTGAAGACATCGGAAGAAGACAGCCATCTCCAAGTCAAGGAGAGCAGTCTCAGAAGAAACCAACCCTGCCAACACCTTGATCTTGGATTTCCAGCCTCCAGGACTGTGAGATGATACATTTCTGTTATTTCCACCATCCAGTCTGTGGTGCTTTGCTATGGCAGCCCCAGCAAACTCATCCAGGGCCTACCTCCAAATCTTGTGATTCAGCAGGTGTGGGGTACAACCCAGAAAGACCCTCAAGAGGCTGTGATGCAGGTGATCTTCGGATCAAGCTATTAAGAACTTGGCACTAATTAATAAAATGAATGCTAAGATGGGCTGCTAAGGATAAGAGGCTGCAGCGTCCAGAGGTGTGCCCATCTAGGGGAGAAGCGGGAAGTGGAAGAGGAAGAAGCCTTTCCCCTCATCTCCTCTCACTCCCCCAGAGCAGAGCAGCTGGTGTGATCCAGGCCCCTCAGACATAACCCTGTAACACCTCCAAGTTAAGCCAAGGCACGTCACACATGAGAAAGAACACTGCAGTTCTCCAAAATGCTTCCACACGATGCACATCTATGTCTCATAGGCAAGACCACTACAGCAAAAAATCATCAAAAGATAATGTTCTAGGAGGCCGGGCACCAATGCAACTGTAAACCCAAGGCCAAAGCAGGAGGATCGCTTGAGGCCAAAAGTTGGAGATGAGCCTGGGCAACATAGTAAGACCCTGTCTCAACAAAAAATAAAAACATTAGCCAGGCATGGTGGCACATGCCTGTAGTCCCAGCTACTTGGGAGGCTGAAGCAGGAGGATCACTTGAGCCCAGGAATTTGTGGCTGCAGTGAGCTGTAACTGTGCCACTGCATTCCAGCCTGGAAGACAGAGTGAGACCCTGTCTCAAACAGAAAAAAAAAAAAAAAAAAAAGAAAAAGATAATGCTGTAGGAATAGCTGAGCAACAAAACTTCAGAAGGAGCCAGGGCCTCTGAGTGACTTCATAGAAAAGAGTTATCACACAAGCCTTAAATCATCTATTTTTGATAGGTGGGAGGGAAATAAAGTTCTGTCTTGCTTATGGCATTGGGATTGGCATTGCTGGTCTCTGGCACATGCAGCAAAACCTATATCCTGACCAATACCCTCCCTTCCTGTGTCATCAGGCATCTGAGCAACAGCTGGCACCAAGAATAATGGGGCCAACGCAAGTCCTACTTGTGCAAGGGTTGACCTGCACCTGCACATCACCGCATAGGCATTTGTGTTCACCTCACTGAGCAGAGCTCTAGGCTGCTCCATGTCTCTAGGATTGCATGTTCCCAAACCAACCACAGTCTGTGAAATCCAGTATCGAACGGTCTAGTTTGATACTGATAAGCCCAGGCTTCTTCCTCTTGTGCCCTTCCATCAATCCTGTTGACCTATCTAACCTAGCCTGCCATGTATTAACCCTGTTTCAAGTCTAGCTTGGGAAGAAAAGTCTGTGTGTTTGAGAAGTGTTTTTCCTTTTAAAATATAGAGCTCATAAATATATTACATTTTCTAGGCTACCAGGATGTATGCAGTACGTGCAACAATACGTACATGTACTTCACGAAAATGTGCAAAATGACAACAAATACCAACAAATACAAGCATGGTTATATAAACAGAAAATAAAGTGATCTACACATGCATGTCTGTATCTATATATACACAGTCAAAAACACAAAGTTTGACTATTAAATAGTGACTGGCTTTTTCATAAACATGATGGTCTATACAATCCATTAATATCAGGTTGAATCCTATGAAATTAACATTATTCTACCAATTTTTTCCTTTAAACATGGCAATTTCATAGAATTCAAGCTAATAAATTTCCCTCCAAAATAGTCACTTTGAAAGACAAAAAGCTGGATGAGTCCAAAAAGATTTGGTTTTTTTGGAACTCATCCTTTGAAACTGTCATCAAACCAGTTGCATACATGCCAAAACTAGACATGAGATGCTCCTCTAGCGTTAACTGTGAAAAGAGAAAATCAAACATCATTTGCAGGGGTGGGGATGGGAGAGTTACTAATTAGGGGGCATAAAGTTTCACTTAAGTCACATGAATAGGTTCTAGCTTATTTATTTGTTTGTTTGTTTATTATGAGCTGGTGTCTTGCTATGTTGCCCAGGCTGGTCTTGAACTCCTGGGCTCAAGTGAACCTCCTGCCTCCCAAAGTGCTGGGATTACAGGTGTGAGCTACTATGCCCAGCCCAGATGACTAGATTCTAGAAATCTGCCTTACAACATTGCACTTGTAGTCGATAATGCCATATTGCACATTTTAAAATGTAAGAGGGTAGATTTCATGCGAAGTGCTCTTACTATGATAA
The DNA here is from genome assembly GCF_000001405.40 of Homo sapiens. NCBI lineage: Eukaryota > Metazoa > Chordata > Mammalia > Primates > Hominidae > Homo > Homo sapiens. The sequence goes on from NC_000021.9 coordinate 31,251,607, forward strand.
ATGTTTTAAATTAGTATGATTTTCAAATTCTGTATAACAACAACAACAACAAACCCACCCATCCCGTGAGTATGTGCACAACGGGGCACCTCTATTGGTGCATTTGGCACATAGCCGGGGCCCTCCCGCTCTCACCTTTCAGGGACACCCAGTAGTGCTTCCACTTCCTCCGGGTGGCTGACTCCACCTTCTTGTTCTTCTTGTGCACCAGGAAGTTCTTGACGGCCAGGGCGCCGGCCTTGCGCACCGTGCCCTGTGCGGCGGTCAGCAGGATGTCCGACTGGCCCGGAGAGCTCAGGGTGCCGCTGCTCTGCTCATCGCTGTGCGCCGAGCCGGCCTCCTCCAGGCTCTCGCTGTTGGTGGTGCTCATCTCCAGCTCCCGCCGGAAGTTCTCGTACACCCCCTGACGAGCCGCATCCCCGGTGGAGCTGCTGCCGCTGTCGCTGCCCACAAAGGCCCGGCCTGTGGTGGGTGAGTAGCTGGAGTTGGTGGCATTAGATCGCCTGGACAGGAGGTCCGTGTCGGTAGTGGCCCCTTCAATCCCACTGTCTGCAAACTCACTGCCCTCGCCTGCATTAACATCCTTGGGAGCAGAAAGAGAGAGCAAAGAAGACAAGCGTCACGTGGAGAAGGAACCCAGGGTCACGTGGAGAAGAGCCCTGGGTCCAGCCAGGGCTCTGTAGCAGCGGGATACGCATAAGGCACAGCCACTCCTGACGGCTCCTGGACCAGGTCCTGCTCAACCCTGGACCCGCACAGACCCAGCAGAGCTGCTCAGGAAACCTTCAGCCGCCCTCCGTGAGAGCACACGATTTGGAATGTTCAAGAAATATAAAAGAAATAAGGAGCACTTCAAAGAGCTTATTATTTCTCTAAGATAATTAACGAATTGGCAAATTCGCGATTGAGATTCTACCGCTGCCATGCTGAGAACCCAGCATCCTCAGCCTCATCAGCTTATCCTGAACTCCAGGAAATTCTGCAGGCAGATGAGTTAATTGTTCCAGACGTAGGGGGTGACAATGAATAACTAGGTCTTTATAGCTGATATCTTTAAAAATAAATAAATAAAAGGCATGCTTAGGAGTCTCTTTTATAATGGAGTGACTGAAAAGATAGCTAGTGCACCGCCTCACCCACTCACCCAGCACGGCTCCGTGTTCCAGGAGCAGGCAAGAATCCTCATCCTCTAATCAGATTCGCTTCTTGAAAACAAGCAGCCTCTCACTCTGCATTGTGCTAAATAAGTCTGTGGGGCCTACAGCTCCATTGAGCTCTCCAATTACCTTGCCCTTTCAAAGCTGGGATGCTAGGAGCCTTGGGCAGGCTACTTGCTGCCCCAGGGCCAAATGACAGCTCGGGGCAACTGCCAAGATACTGAGGGTATCAGTTCCCAGTTTAAAAACATTGGGAACTTCCAAAGCTGCTTCTGCTCTGAAGCTGAACATTTCCGGGACAGACAGGTCTGTTCTGAAATCAGTATCTTAATTGCTCTAAAGAGCTACAGGCATTTCCATAAACAATAATTAAATAATGGTAGTCATCAAGGAAGGATACTCACTGCAGTATTGGACAGACAGCTCAAAGTCTTATGCATAAGAAAGGAGCCTAATTGTTCTCCAAGGAAGAGAACGGGAGGCTGAGTCTAATATAGAAGATGCCAAAGTAATACACAGTTTGGCAGTTTCACCAATTTGGGGGCCTTTAGTCTCACAAATGGCTCATTCTGGTTCAAACACGTAAAAACTAACCAGATATTCTGAATTACCATACAAATGAATGCTCTGGGCTCCTATCTTTGCTGAGAGGCAATGGGGGCAGTATGAGCCATGCCACAAACTAATACTGGCCTACACAAGGCCCCAGACAGACACTGTGCCCATATCTCCACGAACTTCACTTAGTTCTAAGAATTGCTCAAAGTTCACCTTCATCATGAAGAAATACTAAATAAGCAACTAAAAGAGATGTATAGCAAGACATGGAAAAAAGAGGGTGGTGGGAGTAGAATGGCAGCAGGAGATTGCTGGGTGAGCTTCTAGGGATCAACTCCATTATAAATGGAGCTTAGACCCCTGGGAGTTAGAGGGACTTAAGGGAAAGAAAGAAACCACGAATGCAGCTCAGATGCAGACCCCTATAACTGCTGGTTCCCACAGCTTTGCTATCTGCTATCCTGCTTATTAACATCCACGGGTGGTCATGAAAGACCTAGAGCCAATTGGTAAAAATCCTCTACACAAACAGGAAAACACTGTTATCAACCCACATTTCTCCTTGGCAGGGACATTGACCATATGCTTCCCTCTTGATACAAGACAAAAGAAAATTTGACAATTGTTGATTATTCAGGATAACCAATGAGTTACACAAGATGAGTCTGTGAATTTTCCAAACTTTTGGATTCATTTTCATGTCTCAGTCCTTCTGGGAAGAAGGTTTGGTATGCGTGAAAACATCAGCTATTAAGCTCTCTCTAAAATGCAAAGAGGTGAAATGCTTCTCTGCAAGACAGGGAAATTTAGCTACACAGGTAACATCCCTATTCCATAAGAGAGACTTTGGTACAAAGGAGAAAAAATGATCCCAGGCATCTTGTAATTCCCAGAGCTCCAGAAGAGGAAGGGACTTGGCAAAGCTATCTCATTGATTGACAGCCTGCGGCTTAGAAAATCACAAGTCTGGTTGGTGGCAGATGGGAAGTTGAAACCTATCCTTCCAAGTACACTTTCCACTATTATATGGTGACCTCATGACTCAGCTGCAGGTAGCACCTGACCAGATTCTGTCTAAATATTCAGTCTCAGCAGGGCATGGTGGCTCATGCCTATAATCCCTGCACTTTGGGAGGCTGAAGCGGGTGGATCACCTGAGGTCAAGAGTTTGAGACCAGCCTGGGCAACAAGGTGAAACCCCATCTCTATTAAAACTACAAAAAAATCAGCCACACATGGTGGTGCACACCTGTAGTCCCAGCTACTCGGGAGGTTGAGGCAGGTGGGAGGATCACTTGAGTCCAGGAAGTGGAGGTTGCAGTGAGCCAAGACTGCACCACTGCACTCCAGCCTGGGCAACAGAGAGAGAGAGACCCTGTCTCAAAACAAAACAAACAAACAAATCAATCCCATGCCTTCCCCCTTTTCTTACCAACAATGGCTCTTCCAGATTTTTTCAGCAAAAGCTGAGTGACTGTGACCTGCCTGGCAAAAAGCTAAAACCTGCAAGTGCAAGAAAGGGGAAGGAGGATGGGAAGAGAGAATAAGGAAAAGCGAGGCAGAAACCCGAAAGACCAACTCTCAAGGGCGTGTCTCATAAGAGTTCACTACATTGCCAACACCATCCATCCCTTTACAGAAGGCCCTCACATCTGTCTCTATTTAAACTAAGAGTAAGGCCTCAATGGACACTCACCTCTGTATAAGACCTGAACATCTGCTCATGCCAACTGATGCTGTAGCTTTGCCATGACCAGACTGTGTGTGTTCAACTCTGGGACAACCACTAAACCAAGCAAGGAAGTGATTACTCCAGGTAAAAGACCTGCGGGCCCCAGGTGAGCTTGCATGCTTTGGAAGCAAACAGCTCCGTGTCATCAACGGGGAATGCTCTTGTCATCTGTGATCCAAGACAACTCCACCTTGTCTCCTTAAGTGGTTATTCAGGCTCAGTGGTACACATGCCCCCACTGATATGTGACCCAGCCCATTGAGAAACGGATGCAGGTTGCCCAGCCCCAGCCCTTATTCAGTCATGAAACTTGGGATGTCCCAAATTCCCAGAAGTCCATTCTCCAGCATTGCTGGAAAGGGTGATGACCCAGCCAGAGGTGCTACTCAACACCGCTCTTTCTTTCCTTCATTGTGTTGCAAACTTACTTAGTGGTCATCTTTCAGAGGGGCTCCTGCTACTACCCACCTGAGAATCCTGATCCTCCCCCTATCCCAGAAGCACCTGTAAACCTCCCCAGTCTTCCCAGCAGTGAGGAATACAGAAGACTGACACCACGGAATAGTCCCAGGGGAGCCTCAGCAGTTTTTGTAGCAACTGCAAGGTAGGTTACCTCTTAGAGTCAAATACTAAATTTTAATCAAAAAAGGCAGAGGACATCAAGGGAGATGGTAAGATCCTGGCTAGACAGAGAAATAATTCTAAACATGGTTCATGATCTAGCTGAGACTTCCAGAAAACAGCTCAAAATAAACTCTCCATGTTAGAACCACTCCGTTGAAGAGATTTCCGATCATGAACAACATTCACAGGGCCGAGAGGCTCTTCAATCCTGTTCTCCCAGGACAAATTCTCTGAAGCCAGATTTTCAGGGCACTCACCAGTTGCCATTCCACTGGCAGCTTCCCCAAAAAATGAATGTATGCACAAGTGGCCAGCTGTAGCCTAATACATACAACAGCTGTGGGCAAGAGTTTTCTTAGCATTTGAGCTGGGCAACAAATGCTTAAATGAGCTCCCAGGCTAAAATGAGGGAGGCAAGAGGCAAATTCAAAGCCTGTTTTCACTGCCTTGAAAACTGGAGGGTCACGCAGCATGAATGTAGACTAATGACACATTGTGGTAAGGCTCCAGTTGTTTTGACAGGAGACTTCAAATACTACCAAAGGGAGAGGTTTTCTGTGCTAATGATGTGCGAACACAATTTTGAAAATGCAATTAGCCAGAAAGTGCAAAGGCTCTGGGACAATTCCAGGACCAGTAGAATCAATTGGCCACTTGTAGTTAAGTTATAAGTCGAATGCAATTAGATACTGTTTCCTTTGTCACTTGAATTTCCCTGATAGATCCAGCTTGAATACACCTGTGTTAAGATGCTAACTACAATGCAGAATTCACTGAATTCCAGGGGGTAAAGAAATGTGGACCTACAGAAACCCTGAATTAGAACTGTTTCTGGCTTGTTAAATTCTAACATGTCCTTCCTCTGATTTATCATCTTCTTCCTAACCCCAAAATATTAAGTACCCCTCACTACACACACACACACACACACACACACACACACACACACACGTATATTATCTTTGGCTCTCAGTATTATCTCCTTGGTATTCTCAGTATACTCTCCTTTGATAATCTCAGTACAGCAAGTATCAATTCTAGGTAAATGACTCTGAACCAATCCATGCCTCAATTTCTTGATATGTATAATGGGGAGAGCAACACATCTACTTTGTAAGACACTGTATAAGACACTGTGAGATTGAGTTAACCCAGGAAAAGTGTCTTAAACTGAGCCCAGCACATAGTACCTGCTCAAAAATGTTAACTATAATTACGGTCATCTCTACCTTCAGCCCTACTTACATCTTGGCCCAAGGAGAGAAGGCATTGCCTGAACTCAGTTGCTAACTTCCTGCACCAACATGGAAGAAAGGTCTCTGAGAAACCTGGGAAAAACACAGGCATACCAAGGCTGGTGCCAGCCTAATACTAATTAGGCTTGTTAATTGTTCTCACGTTCACAAAACAGCACACTAAACTAGGAAAATGGTGACGTTCTCTACATTATAAATTAGTAACTACTGGTCACTATTATGAAATACTAATAATTGCCATCCCTGATTTGCCAGAATAGGAAATCAACTCTATTTTCCCTCCCCTTCCTTTCTTAGGGCAAAATCTCTATGCCTTTCTTTTTATGTTTCCAACAACCCATTCCTTTTCTTCTAACGATTTCCAATGGGAGTGACTCACAATTTCAGCTACAAGCATTGGAACCAAAATTCCTACTGTTACTAAAAAGGGATTCCAAAGTAAGTTGGCAAAAGCTTGAAATGTTCCTTCAGGTAACTCCTGATTGGAGAAGCTTTATGTCTAAGTTAAATGAATCATTGCCTCTCCTTTCATCTGCTTTTCTATGTATGTGCTTATACCTTACAGTCATCCCTCCCCTCCCTCCTCACTATCCATAATATATCAGAGACTCAGTTTTTTCTCTTCCCCTCCGAGTGCCACATCACTGGTTGAGCAATAAGCTCTCTCTTCTAACCCATCTTCCTTCCATCAATCCATCCGGCACACCACTGCCAGGTAAATGTTCCAGGAGCAATGTGGAGGACTCCTCAGACTGCTGTTCAAGACCCTCCCCCGGTGTCCCGCGTTAAAACTTGAGCTTCGATGTCCCCACCCACTAGTGAAATTGAAGAACTCATTCCAGGGCATACTCCCAACCTTTCTCACTCCCAAGAATACTCACGTCCCCCCTTTTACTACAACCAGAAGGCTTCTCTGTGCTTCCTCCAACTACCATGCCAACCTCTCCACAGCATCTCCTCTCCCACCTCCACCCCACCCCAGCCACCCTGAGCTCCTCCTCCTTGCTCGAATGTGCTGGGCACCCTCCCACATTGCAACTCAGGAGCCAGCTCCCTCCTCCCCTCCTCTCCTTCCAAGTCCCTATCCAGGTCTGCCCTCACCCTGACCACCCTGTCAGAAATTGCCCCCCACATCCCCCACACCCCATCTTCCTCAACATGCCCTGTCTTTCTTCCACAGCACATCGCTTCCTTATTATGCTAACTGTTTTCTGCCACACACACACCCACTTCACCCCAACGAGCTCCACGAGCTTGTGGATCTTTCCTTGTTGACGCATCCCAAGTGCCAAGAATAAAGCCTGGCATGGGGAAGGCACTTCAAAAATAATTGCTGAATGAACTCACTGCTGCTCATTTTCCACCACAATCTCAAAACAAGGAAAACAGTTTCTCATGGAATGCACTGCAGCTGGAGTTAAAGGTTTTGTCATTTCTAAACTCAGCTCATGCTCAACTAAAGTTGAGGTGACAAATGAGTCCTAGCTATAAAGCTTACATTTATAGGCTTTAAGCAGCCTAGTTGGATTATGTCTTGTGTGGATGCAATCGGAGTTCACTTAAATTTTTGTTCTTTAACTCTTTTAAAAAATTGAGGAAGTAAGAAAGATATATTAGGCTGGACGCAGTGGCTCATGCCTGTAATCCCAGCACTTTGGGAGGCCAAGGCGGGTGGATCACGAAGTCAAGAGATCTAGACCATCCTGGCCAACACAGTGAAACCCCGTCTCTACTAAAAATACAAATATTAATGCACCTGTAGTCCCAGCTACTCCGGAGGCTGAGGCAGGAGAATCACTTGAACCCGGGAGGCGGAGGTTGCAGTGAGCTGAGATTGCACCACTGCACTCCAGCCTGGCGACAGAGTGAGACTCCGTCTCAAAAAAAAAAAAAAAACCAGAAAGATATATTGAACTATCTTATGGCCCAAGCTAGATACTCGGTCAACTGGTGGTCCAAAGCCAACTGGGCCCAAATGACAATGTGACAGGCTGGTCAGGTGTTTCCTAAGTTCTCCATTGGGATCCATGGAGACCCTGTCAGGCCTTTAGGGCAGGCTGGCTTTATGGCCACATCCAACAGTCACACATTTACAGTTATGCTGTAAAAAAACAATGATTACACATTGTTATGACACAATTTGAGTCAAGGGGCTCAACTTTCCTCTATTCTTATACTAGGAATGTGATCTTCTTTTTTTTTTTCCTTTTTCTTTTTTGAGACAGGGTCTCATTCTGTCATGCAGGCTGGTGGAATACAGTGACATGATCATAGCTTGCTGCAGCCTCAACCTCCCAGGCTGAAGCATCCTCTCACCTCAGCCCACTACGAAACTGAGACTACAGGCACACACCACCACACCTGGCTAATTTTTTTGAAATTTGGTAGAGACAAGGTCTCACTATGTTGGCCGGGCTGGTCTTGAACTCCTGAGCTCAAGCGATCCTCCCACCTCGGCCTCCCAAAATGCTGGGATTATAGGCATGAGCCAATGCACCCGACCTAAGAATGTGATCCTCAAAAGCTGAACTGGTGGGCATAGTGGTCCATGCCTGTAGTCCCAGCTACCCAAGAGGCTGAGGCAGGAGGATCACTTGAGCCCAGGAGTTCAAGGCCGCAGTGCACTATGATAATATCTGTAAATAGCCACTGCACTCCAGCCTGGGAAACACAGCAAGACCTGTCTAAAAAAATAAAATAATAATAATAATAATAATAATAATCCTGAATGTTCCCAACCTGTATTAGCATAAATGACCAGCTCTCAAAGTATGGACTAGGGTTCCCTAAAATACTTCCAGGGAGTCAGTGAGGCTCCTCCTTTTCCAACTACCCTGTGCAAGTCCAGGTTCTGCTCATAGGGTCCAACCAAACAGTATATTGCAAGAGAGTGAATGCAAAAGTAGGTATGAGACGCTAGTGTCTTCTGTTAAGCTAGAAATCATAGAGATCTGCAAAAATGGAAAACAATGCCTCTGTCCCACATCTTTTATTTTAGAGAATAAAATATTGTATTACTTTAGAGATAGGGTTCTCATTCTGTCACCCAGGCTGGAGTGCAGTGGTGTGATCTAGCTCATGAAAGCCTCAAATTCCTAGGTTGAAGCCATCTTCCCATCTCAGTCTTGCAAGTAGCTGGGACAACAGGTACTCACCATGGCCAGCTAATTTTTCCTTTTTTTTTTTTTTTAGAGGCGAGGTCTCACTATGTTTCCTAGGCTGGTCAAAAAATATATTTTTAATATAAATAAATAAATAAATATTTTTATATAAATATATATTAATAAAATATATATATACACATATATACTTTTTTTTTTTTGAGACGGAGTCTCACTCTGTCGCCCAGGCTGGAATGCAGTGGTGCAATCTCGGCTCACTGCAACCTCCACCTCCTGGGTTCAAATGATTCTGGTGCCTCAGCCTCTCGAGTAGTTGGGATTACAGGCACCCGCCACCACGCCTGGCTAATTTTTGTATTTTTAGTAGAGACGGGGGTTTCACCATGTAGGCAAGGCTGGTCTCGAACTCCTGACCTGAAATGACCTGCCCACCTCGGCCTCCTGAATTACTTTTTAAGAGTATAAAAAGGTCTAAGAATGGCTAACATAAGCTATCTCTCAACTACCTACCCACCTTCCAACTTCCCAAAAACAGATCTTGGCAAAGAAGATATATATTCTTGTTGAAAATGCATGGGTTTGTTTGCAAAATAAATATCTCATTGCTTAACTTACGTGCCAGAAAAAGAAAGATAAAGAGAAAAGAAAAAAAAAAAAGCATCAAACAGAAGATAGAGGAGAACAGAAAAAAAAAAGGGTGTTTTAAAAATCGATTTTACATGAAAAAATTTGTTTTATAAAAACCTGAGGTTCTTAACCAGAAAGAAGCCTCTAGATGGACTTTAGGGGACCTATGGATCCCTTGAAATGATATGCAGAAGGGTGGTCCCTGTCTTTATCTAAGGAAAACGTCCACATTTTTCATCTGATTCTCAAGAGTCTGTGACCAAAGGTCAAGAATCATATGGTTGTTGATGTGCATTTTCAGCCCAGGAAACAAACTTATCTCTGAGTCATTGAAGCTCAGTTGCAAAATAAAACAAAACTTTAAACATCAAGACAATTTTTCTAGGAACTCAAGCTCCTCCTCTGACAATGCTGCACTCTTTACCTTGTTATTAATGAAATCATCAACGCGACTACTTGCTTATCAAAGAAAGCAGCCGTGAGGGATGGCTCTGCTACAGTTATCCTGGCCATCTCTCTCCGTAATCAGTGTTTTAGGTGACAAAAGTGGGCAGTAATAATTTTCTTTTCAGCCAAGTCCTTTTTTTTTTTTTTTGTATCTGTACCAAAATTGAGGGTTTTGATCTTAAAATCTGAGGATATTGAGCTGAAACCTTTTCAAGCACGGGGAGGTAGTCAGTGTGGGTGTGTGCTTTGGAAGAAAAGGCCCTCCTTGATTAGCAAGTCAGAAAGAAGACTTGGATTTTTGGCCGGGTGCGGTGGCTCACGCCTGTAATCCTAGCATTTTGGGAGGCTGAGGCGGGAAGATCACCGGAGATCAGGAATTCAAGACCAGCCTGGCCAACATGGTGAAACCCTGTTTCTACTAAAAATACAAAAAATTAGCCAGGCGCCGTGGTGCATGCCTGTAATTCCAGCTACTCAGGAGGCTGAGGCATGAGAATCGCTTGAACCTGGGAGGCAGAGGTTGCAGTGAGCTGAGACCGTGCCACTGCACTCCATCCTGGGCAACAGAGTGAGACTCCGTCTCAAAAAAAAGAATACCTGGGTTTTCATCCAGTTGTGACACCTCATCTCCTAATCTCTTTATTTTCTAGGGATGCTGCTGTGTCTGAAACTGGCCAGTGAAACCCACAAATCTATTCACCAGCACCACACCTGGCTAGGGACGCTCCGAGAGCCGGGCTCCTTGCTGGTCTCCTGAGGCTGAGGTTCCCAGAGACATGCTCAGTACAACCTGGCCGTGTTCCTTCATCTCCCAAGTGGATGAATGAAGCTCTCCTCACAAGCATGCACAACGGCTCCACGCCAAAGCTTCCCACAGAACACAGAACCTGGCTATAAGGCTCCATCAAACGGCAGGTTTCTCTCTCTCTCCAACTCACCCACTGAAAGTTTCAGAGACACGGGAGAGCAGAACCCTAGAACAATGAGGCAATCTTCAACATCACAACTAACAACTCCTATTTATTAAGCATTTGTATGTGTAAAACTGTGCCATGAGTTTTCCATTCATTCCCTTGCAGAATCTCCAGCCTCATTTAAGAGGCACTGAGATCCATGGAAGTCAAATAACCAAGAGGTAACAACCTCAAAGTTGCAAGCTCAGATATGCTGCTAACTTCCTTGTCTGACACTAGGCAGCCCCCTCCTCTGTCTGTAACCAAAGAAATTCATAAAGTTCAGGCCCAAAGACGAACTAGCCATCAACTAAATCTAAGGAGTAACCTATTAAGTACTTTTACAGAAACCAACAGAAATAAATTCTGCTTCAAATAGCATGAGGCTTTACTCATACTGACTCCCAAGACAAACTTTTCTGCACAGCGCACATGTGGATGCACAACAAACATGCTCATAAAATACACGAATTAAACCAAAAATTGCCAGCAGACCCTGTAGCACATATGTGCCACCATTCAAGACTTAAATGTGAACTCCTGTGACTTCACATTACAATAATCCATCCAACTACTGAAAAAATCCAAAAACAGGAAAAAGGGCCAAAAACCCATTTTTGATCATTTTCAAATCAAATGAAGTTGTTCACATTATTTCAGATAAAATGTGTTTTCTTCCAGGCTTAGAGGTCATGCTCTTGGGTCAAATGTCTGCCAGGAACTCTTTTCTGGGGAGTAAAATTGCTGACAGGATGATCACAGATTCAACTACATCATCAGGGCAGCCAAGGAGACTTTAATATCTATGATTCAAGCTCACTGGAGAGGTCCCCTGGGTCAAAAACTTTTACCAAAAAAAAAGAAAAAAATTTTTTTTTAAAAAAGCATTCTTTTCAAGGAAGCTTCCACACCCACTGCCTCTTAAAATACACTGTTTGGAACATAGTGGGCTCTCAAGAAATAGCGTTGGATGAACACGCCAAACTTAGACTAGGAAATGTGGGCGGGTGGATAGTGTTGTGCATAATTCCGGGGTTTGTTTCAAGTCATTAAAGATCCTCACTCAACATATAAAGTCAATACAAAAATAATACTTCCGTGCATTTTATACGCTCCACAAGAGGTTTCCATGCATGGTATCCTATTTGGTTCTCCCAATGGCCCTGTGGGAGGCTGGTGTCACTCAGACTGGACAGCAACAGATCCTGGGGCACAGAAGATGGAGTGACTGGCCCAAGGTCACCACTGGGTAAGCACACATGCCAGGATGCAAATGCACTTCTTAGGATTCCTGGCCAATGGCACTTCCCATTACATTAAGCTGCCTAAGCAGTGATTTTATGAGACACCACCTTTAGATGATCTCACTTCCATATATTCACAATTTTAGAAGGTGACAAGCCAAAGAATAGAAATTTCGTATAATAATGACACATGAGAGCTTTCAGTGGTACCAGACCTAGAGGGGAGAACTGTCCTTTGCTTTGCCCATTTTCTGGGGGTAGCCGTAACTCAAAGGCTCAAATCCCCATCAGCCATCGAGTATAGGGGAGAGCCATCCCTAGTGTCAGAACCACAGAGAGCCAAAATACAACAGGGCACCCTTCTCAAATCTTACATAGCATATGCACTAACTGAGCACTGTTCAGGTAGAAATGAAAGTCCAAGGTGATGTTCTGTTTTTAACAGTCTGCGTCACTGTATCCTTCTCTAAGCTCCGAAGGCCCCATAGATCATCTCTTTGAATCAGCCTTGCAGTGCCAATCTGATAATGCCTTCAAGACAGCCCTTCAATCCCTTTCAGGTGACTCTTTAATAGGTCACATATCTCCATGATCTGTCCAATTGACAGTGCAGAAGTAGCCCTCGCAGGGTAGACAGAGGGGCTGCAGGTGGGTTATCTGGTCATTTGTGTCATTACAATCTCAATTCAGAAGAGATGGGTTTAAAATTCAGGGAGTGCATCTGGAGGCAAGCTTCAGGCTTACGTTCTCAGACCACAGATGCAGCCTTGGTAGCAACTTGGTTTCTAGGACACAAGTGTTTTTTTTTCTTTCCTTAGAGTCAAGGGGTACACGTGCATGTTTGTTACATGGATATATTATGCAATACTGAGATTTGGGCTTCTATTGAACCCATCACCCAAACAATGAACACAGTACCCAATAATTCGTTTTTCAACTCTTGCTCCCCTCCCTCCCAGCTTTTGGAGTCCCCAGTGTCTACTGTTTCCACCTTTATGAGGTACTCAAGATATTGATCCAAACAACTACCCCGAGTCCTCAACCCATATGCCTCCACTAACAATGATGAAAATTACAACAGCTAACAAAGTTGCCCTTACTGGCTGCTTCCTAAGAACCAGGCACTATGCTTCACATATTATTTCATTCTACTTTCTCAAAAAACCTTATTACCCCCATTTGACAGATGAAGAAATTAAGGCTACAAGAATGTGAACAACTTACCCAAAGTCACTCAGGTAAGAAGACGTGGAGCCAAAATATCCGGCTTGGACACCATCAGCAAAACCTGTCCTCAGGCAGGAACACAGACAGTCTAATGCCGATTTTCTTTTTCTCGGCTTCCCCTACATCCTCCATCCTATGCCCATTATATTTAGACCCCCTTTCCAGCAGAACATACCCTTGAAATGCCCATTTGACTTGCACTGGAGCAAGGCTGGAAGGTGCAGTACCACCTCCTACTGGGCAATCAGAGTGCTGACTGCAGGGAAGTCTGCTGGTCAACCTTGAGGCTGCTCCGCCATTCAAGGCAAACGGACCCAGTCTGGAATTTTAACCTGAAGCACCATCTACAAACCACCTCCACATCCTCAGCAAAAGCCAAGACTCCCTGAACTCTGCCTCAGAGAACAGAAGTACCAGAAAAGGCCCAATGCATGCAGGATTACTCCACATTTCTTTCTTTCTTTCTTTTATTGACACAGAGTCTCACTATGTTGCCCAGGTGGGACTTAAACTCCTAGGCTCAAAGCATCCCCCTGCGTCAGCCACCAAGCCGGCTCAACTGCCCAACATTTTATTATCCTAATCTTAATTATCATTGCCAGCTAAGGTAATGGTGCCTCCATTCACTAGGAAAACACTTTCAAAATCTTTTTTTTTTTTTTTTTTTTTTGAGATGGAGTCTCGCTTTTGTTGCCCAGGCTGGAGCGAAGTCTCTTAGTTTCCTCCCCACGGTTTCGTGCACTAGACCCCGAAGCAGGCAAGCTGAGCATCTTTATCCCCATTTTTCAGAGGAATGACTAGAAGTCAGGGTTTGCCCAAGGTCAAACAACTAGCTGGTTGCAAAGTAAGAATTGGAAGCCACCCATGTTATTCCTTCCGCTACACCTCCCTCCAGAGACAGGGCTGGCCAGCATCGCACGGAACAGGAAATTGAAATGGCTCCCGGTAAGGCAGCGAGCCTGCCAACCACCGAGAGAAGCTGACAAGTGACCCAAACCCGCCCAGAATTTAAAATGCCTCCTCAGAGGAGTTGCCGACTAACCTCCTCCCACCTGCTGCAGTGAAGAAATAAGTTCCAAGAGTCTGCAACCCACCATGCCTGTTTTTCCACGGGAAGGACCAAGTTAGAAAGGAAGCTTGAATAAGTGGGATGCTGTTGAAGAACTAAGATGTAGAAGCAGTTTCCCAATATGAACTTACTAGCTTTTTTCCCACTCCTATCACATCGCCACTCCCCCCACACACTTCCCTTAATCCCCACCCCTTAACCACAGAACTCTAAGAGGGGCAAAGCAGAAGAGAGAGAAATCCTCCCAAAACAGCACCAGCTGCAGCAACTACCAGGCAAACAGGGTAAAACCCGATTAAAAGATGGAAATCTTCTAAGAGCAAAGTCATGCACTTAAAGAGTCATGCACCATTCCCAAAATATTGAAACAAATTTCAATCACTTTACCTGAGTTGTTTTAGCTCTTCTGCCTTGCATGCTGTTGCTATGGCTAATTTGTGGGTTGGTGGCACCTTCAGAGAGACAGTGAGATTTCCTACAGGGAAGTGTGTTATAATTACTGTACGGAGGAGTCTCTTCAGCAGCAGCTGGTGGCATCTTATGGTTTGCAAGATTGGGAATATCAGACACCAAATTCCGACAGTAGCCTGCAAATTTGCTCCCCGGCCCCCCGTTTGCTGTCACTCCAGAGTTTTTCTGAGCATACAAGTCACCCAAGGAATTGGCTCTCTGACAGGTGCTGAGCTGCCGCGGACTCGCCCGCGTTTCCATCCCCCGAGCCTCCTCGCAGTCCTTCTCTTCGGCGGAACCCAAGATTTCTTCGTTGCTTGTTAAATGTTCTTGGCTCAGATCAGAGAGTGAGAATTCCAGGCTGTCCTCCCGCCAGATGTCTGCAGATTTGGAGCGTTTCTTCTTAAAGCTCGCCGTCTCCATGAAAGTGGGCCCATTGGATGTATAGGAATGCTGCCTCCTGCCTCCCTCAGCCAAATATGTAGCGTCATCCCCGTAAAGCCTGCTCTCCTCAGTGTCTGGCATGCTCTGCACAGAGGCTGCTGTGAGGACGATGCTGCTGTCTACGCTGGGAGTGACAGAAGAGTCAGTGTAAGACACAGGTCTCAAGCCCATGTCCACTCGGTCCACCCAGATGGGGCTCCCGAAGTCTTCTAGGGTACCATCTTGGGAGAAGGGCTCCAGGCCATTTTCAGCCAGGGACTGGGGGATGCTGGGGGTGCTGCTGGATCGGGTGCTCACTTCGGAGTTCCTGTGGATCACCTTCCCCGAGGAAGCGTGCCTGGTCCTCCGCGTCTTGTGCGAGAGGCGCAGGGAGCGGGAAGTGTGCTTGCGCCCCAGGCTGGCATGCTTTTCTCCATAAAACTCGTGCTCTACATGTTGACTTTCTGCGTTTCCCATGGTTTTATGGTCTGCAGCAAAGCGGGGGGAAAGGGGAGAATTGAGTCACTATTAGTACAGGTATAGGCATCTTAGAGAAAGCGCTCAGCCTGCAGGGAGGGCAGAACACCTTGGCTCACAGGGGTTGTTAGGTAAGTAACAGCACAACTTCCTATATGCACCTGGTAGGTTCTCGGACTCTTACCTGGGAGCAGGTGAACAGTAACATCATCTACTGAGACTGCCCCCTGAGATGTGAAATGAGCTCATAAATATGAGCATCAGAGAGTTAGACTTGTCTCTGCCCAGAGAGAAGATGGCCACAGGCCATAGCTGAGAGCGCTGCTTTTGGACAGCCAGAAACTCTGCTGACCTTGTCTTCCTTACTAAACATTTGAAGTTCTGCTCCTATCTATACATTGAAAACTCTGAAAGTACAAACCAAAATGTTCACCAAGGGAGTAATTTCTGTTTGAAATGATACACATATTTCAAAAAACAAAACTTAGAGGTGCATTTGGTAACCTCCTTCCCTCCCTGACAATGGGTACGTTTCGTTTTTTCATTTTTTTTTTTTTTTTGGCTCTATTTGAGCTCTAATGATACTTCAAAATCAATCAAAAATGGAAAACCTCAAGGTGTAAGTCTGATCAACTTTTCCTAGTAAATCAAAGTCAAAAATTAAAAAAAAAAAGCTTTGACCTTTAATGTCACAGCCTTCTGAGAACCTGGATTTTGGGGCATTTGGGGAGGGCTATGGAGGGGTGGTGGGGATGGGCAAAACAAAATAGAAAAAAATAGAAACTCCGCTCTCTGCTTAGCAGTAGATTAATGGGTTTATTTCTGGGAGCAAATCCAACCTGTGAACATTAATCTGGTACAGCATGCCCTGCAAACAGAAATTCACATTGTGAAACCACTAAGTGTGATTCCGCCTTCTGGGGCCCCCCAGGTTAATTCAAGTCCCTCCTTAATATTTTTACAGTCTCTCTCACTGACCCGATGACACAATTCTGTTACCCACAGTGGGAAAGAGAAAAATCTTCAAAGCTCGACAACTGTGACTCTACTTAGCCTATTCTTGTTCCATGAAGTCTCTCTAGCGCACTTCAAATTGTATGCACTTAAGATAACGCACATGAAAATAGCTGGAAAGGAAAGAAGAAAAACAGAGTAACTGGGCATATCTCTGAGGTGGTTCTTTTAACCACCTATAGAGCCATTCATTCAGAAAATACACATTGAGCACCTACCATGTTCTAGAAGCCAGAGATACAGCAGTGAACAAAAGGGACACATCCCCTACTCTCATGAAGCTAATTTCTAGCCAGGGAAGGCACGTGATAGACAAGAAAGTAAAAGCATCGTGGTGAAGCAGGAAGTGATATTACCGTGATCATTGCAAAGAGATCGAAAGAGCCTGGAACACAATATACCTTCACATTGATCCCAGACTTACTCTATAATTCCACTGTTCAGGCTAAAACGTTGCTGAAACTCTCACCAGCACATCTTCACTGAAATAAAATTTGTGGCAACACAAAGGGAAACCCTCCATTGAATGTTCCAGTGAGTTCAGGGGTAACTCATACAGACACCAGATGTTAAGCTGTTCCCAGGCTGGAATATTCCCCACCAGGTCACACATCACAGGAATCTCAGAGGGAATTTTCCAATAAAGACAATCTCTTTTTTACTAGGAGCAAGTAGATTTCAAAGCAATATGTTCACGCTTCTCTGGTATCTTTAAGAAGCAAGAAAAAAGATAAAAACGAAAAGATCAACGGTCTGTGCACAACCATTTATATTATCTAAATTCCTAAGAATGGTACATGCTACATTTCTTACAAGTAAAATAAATAAATATGCATTTCAATAACACTAAAGGCTTTGACCAATGCCTTGGAGTTCTTTATTTTTTTAAAGTACATATTAAGATACCTGGATGTGCCTATGTAACTATATGTTTTGCCAATAAATAAAGACTTAGAACCAATGTTAGTCACAGCCCCATTTTAAGACTCACATAGGTTTAAATTTAAAAGAGGAAAGAACTATGAGGAAATAAATTGAGTAAAAGGCAAAACTGTCGCCTCAAATATGCTAAGATTTACCCTCCTCTAGCACATATATCAAAAGTTTGCAAACATAAATTGACACATATATTTTCAACAACAGCTTTCTGGTAAGGCTTGTTTCTGCCAACAGAAAACTCATCAAGTTAAAAGCCTCAGGAGAGGTTTCCTGAAGGAAATGGCCCCAACCTTCAAGAATTACCGCACTACATGCATCACGCTGATGGGTCTGTTATATTAATAGCATTTTTAGTAGCAAGATTCTTTTCAGCTGGCCAAGGTAGGAAAGAAGCCACTTTTATCTTCAGAACTAGAATGTAGAGAGGAATGCCAAATCTCCTAAATCCTACTAAGAGAAACTCTCAGGGGATGGCCTAAGGAGAGTGAGCAGGAAGTTTGAAGCAACTGAAGTTAAGAAAAATAAGTTTCTAGGGATTGCTGAAACACCCTTCAATTTGAAAGCTGTTCCTGAGAGGTTAATAAGAACGATGAAAGCCCATGTGGGATCAGCGGAGGACTCTGAAATAACATCAGCGTGAAAAGTTGAAATTGCTCATTGCATACAGGAGACACAATCTCCACTTCAGGGACAACCCCTGCCCCACTGGCAACCCCCAGAAAGTTGGTGAACTTTAAGTTTGTTTGTTTTTTTTTTTTTTTTTTGAGACGGAGTCTTGCTCTGTCGCCCCGGCTGGAGTGCAGTGGCACGATCTTGGCTCACTGCAAGCTCCACCTCCCAGGTTCACGCCATTCTCCTGCCTCAGCCTCCCGAGTAGCTGGGACTACAGGCGCCCGCCACCACGCCTGGCTAATTTTTTGTATTTTTATTAGAGACAGGGTTTCACTATGTTAGCCAGGATGGTCTCAATCTCCTGACCTTGTGATCTGCCCACCTAGGCCTCCCAAAGTGCTGGGATTACAGGCGTGAGCCACCACGCCCGGCCGATGAATTTTAAGTTTTACCCTTTCCATGTACAAATGTAAAATGCCAGCTACTTCCATCATCTTAATTTCTTCCTATTCAATCTTACTTAACCCTTTTTATTTTTATCTTCAACAAACAAAACCTGATTTGCATTTTATATTTGTGTGGGTTTTGTTGTTCCTGTAGCCCAAAGAAAGCAAATTCAGAGCAGAAATTAACTTTTACTTTTTTTACGGCTTCCACAAGACTAGAAATATTCCACGCACGATAAAGCATCAGTAAATATCGGTGCATTTTAGTAACAAAAGCAAAAAGTGAAGGACCAGCACCTCACTAACATCATCACACAGTCACTAGGTAGGAGAGAGAATATTTGGGACAAGGAGGACAGGCTGAAATGCAAAAATTGGGATTGACATTGAAAAGGTGGATGCCAGAAAACTGGTACTAGATCTCAAGCTTGGAAACACTACCAGTTTTAAATTCATTAAACTCTTAATTTCAGACTATGATTTACTTATATAGAATGTTAGTGGTCCCACATAGCTCTCATGTTTAGGGACTAGGTAGGAGGGAGGGAGGACAAGCTTTTAGCCTAAGAACAACTCTCCATATTCAAACCTCAAGTCTGGCTTCTCGTGCTTTTCTTTCTTTCCAATCTTCTAAGTCAAGCTTGTCCAACCCATAGCCCACAGGCCACATGGATGGCTTTGAATGCAGCCCAACACAAATTCATACACTTTCTTAAAACACTATGAGATTTTTTTGCAATTTTGGTTTTTTTGGCTCATCCGTTATCGTTAGTGTTAGTGTATCTTATGTGTGGCCCAAGACAATTCTTCTTCTTCCAATGTGGCCCAGGGAAGCCAAAAGATTGGACATCCCTGTTCTAAGTTCTGGCTTCCTTAGCCTGCCTCAGGGCCTGTGCCTGTCCCTCTGCCTAGAACGCTCTGCCTTTCCGCCTACTCCACCAAGTTCCTTCAGACCTTCAATCAAATGTCCCCTGGTCAAGGAGGCCTTTCCTGACCCCTCCTCCATCTAAAATGACAACCAGTGCTGCAGCACTCAACATTTCTTACCCCTCTTCTTTTGCTTTGCCTTCACATTGATCATAATTGTAACCAACATATATTTCACTTACTGGTCTTTCTTATTCTCTATCCTTTCCCACTAGAGCCTAAGCTTCAGGAGGGCTGGAAGTGTCTTGTTTCCTGCTGTATCCTCATTGCCTAGAACCCAGCCTGAAAGGTTGTAGGTGGTCCATTAAAAAAAACACCAAAAACCCAAAAGAAAAAAAAAAATACTGGAATGAATGAATGACAAAGACACTTTAATCTAAGATGTGAAAACTCATACAACTACAATGCAACATAGGTGAGAACATGACCACAATGCTAATGAGACACAGCACACATCAGTCTTAAATACGCTAGCCTCTTCTCTCAGGATGCCTGGAAGAAACTTCCCAATCAGCTCTCTGCTCTCTGGGTCCCTTCCACCTGCAGGTCTGTGTCAGTCCCTTACTCTGGACCACTGGGTTGAAGGTCATCCTGATCCATGAACTTAGGGGTGAGGGTGTTCAGCTTGTGCTCCAGTGTGTTCCCCTCCCCACCCCCAATTCTTCCTGGGGAAAGAATTAAGGGCTTGCACCTGTCTAATTCCACTGAATTCTTGCCTCCAGTTCCTATCTTCCTCTTCCTTTTGGAGCTGCAGTGCAGAGGTTCAGGAATGAGGTTAAGAGTTGAGAGGGCAAGTGTAGAACTGCTCAGGCCTAGGACGATCCAGAGAAAGTGAGAGCAAAGGAGTCTTAGTGGCATGATGGGCAAGAGTGTCATCTGAAAGTGGTATGGGGTCAAAGCATCAGGAGTTCCTGGGGGAGTGCTCAGGGCCAGGGATCAAAGACAATAGGATGAGTGTGATTTTTCTTTTCTTACCAACACCATGATCCCTCTCTTAAAGTGATAAGTTAAACTTTTCAATAAGTAATCACCTTAAGGGCCTTTAAATCCCACCAAATTAAATGCAGATGCTCCTCCATTTATGATGGGGTCATGTCCTCATAAACCCATTGTAAGGTGAAAATATCCTAAGTCAAAAATTCATTTAATACACCTAACCTACCAAACATCATAGCTCAGCACAGCTTACCCTAAATGGCTCAGAACACTTACATTAGCCTACAGCTGAGCAAAATCATCTGACACAAAGCGTATTTTAAGTATTGAATGTTTGTTGAATATTTATTTATAATAAGTGTTGAATATTTCATGTAACTTACTGAATACTGTGCTGAAAGTGAAAAACAAAATGATTGTATGTGTACCACCGTAAAGTTAAAAAAACACAAGTCAAACCACCCTAAGTTGGGGACTGTCTATACATAGTAAAGGAATTAAAAGGTATTTTAAGAAACTTTATCAATATACACAAATACTTATTAGTTAGGGTGGTTCATATATATATATCAGGTAGGTGGTCATTTCTCAGGGGCTGCTTTTATAGATTTATTAGGCTACTAAGCCTTTTGTAAAAAAAAAAAAAAAAGATATAGAACTATACACATATATTGAAACAATGTCAAATTCCTGGCTTTAGTATTTTACTATAATCATGTAAGATGCAACCATTAGAAAAAACTAGGTGATGGTTACATTTCCTGCATACAATTTCCTGTGAATCATAATTATTTTGAAATAAAAAGTTGAACAAACAAAACGAGCCTTAACTAACTAACTGAATATTCTAATGAAACTGTAGTTTAAAGTAAGGGTTCTTCCAAAAGAAATATAGTTGAATCCCCTTTTATTTTTAGCTGAAAAGCATCTAGAATATTCTAACATAATTTCAATGAATTAGGCAACAACAACAACAAAAAAGCAAGCATTTAGCATCATCTGGCAAAATGTGATCAGAAAGTACAAAGCAAACAGAACAGTGGTCCAAAATGAGGTTAAATAAAGAGGTGATGTTGATTATAGGATAAAGCTTCTGTCTTAATAAACTAGTGAAAAAAAAATAAGTTGTTAATATCTGGTGCCAGCAAGTTGGAGTAAACCAACTAAGGCCTATCTTGCCCCAGCTAATGACAACTAAAAACTCTGGACCAAAAAGTAAACAAAAGCAAACAAATAAAAAAATAAAATAAAAAAAGATCAAAACCTGAGGATGCCACCCATTTAAGGGTGAGTTTCCTATTTTGTTTTTGTTGTCCTAATTTCTCACCCAGCCTTATACCAAGGGTGAGTACGGCTCCAGTGAAGCTATGGCACAGGCAACAAAAACTCTGGATCAGACCTTGTTGTTCCACCCAGAGGAATCAAGAATGGTCCCTGTAAGCCAGAGAGAGTGTGGAGATCTTAGAGAAAAGAGAACTGGAAAAGAACATCCCATAATGGTGTGTATAAATCTGCACAAGTGACAGGCTCACTCCTCAGATGCACATGCCTAGGACTGACCCAAAGCAAGATAGCAAAAGCTTTGAGAACTGAATCATGACATAAACCACAGCCCAACCCTCAGACTAACCCCTGAGTGGCACAAAAACGGGACAAACTCAAAGCAGTATACCAAAGGCTTTGAAAACTGAACTGACATTAGAGCCTCCACCCACGGAGGTGAGACAGCACTTACAATCTGAACCAAGTCAGGTTGACTGCCTGCAAAATAACAACAAGGAAAAATCAATATTCTCCAGATGATGTAACAATACCTGGAGTATCACAACATAATATTCAAAATGCCCACAATGCATTCCAAAGAACCAGGAAAATTTAATTAGCTCTCAGGGGTAAGTACAATCAATAGATGCCAATCCCAAGGTTGCCCAGATGTTGGAATTATCACACAAAGACTTTTAAAGCAACTATTACAAGTGTGCTTCCTGAGTAAATGTAAACACCCTTGAAATTAATGAGAAACTTAACTGCTTGCAATGCCTGTGCAAGATCATTATGAACATCAATGATGATATTAATACATGAGTAAATGCTGGGCATGGTGGCTCATGCCTGATCCCAGCACTCTGGGGGGCCGAGGTAGTTGGATCACTTGAGGTCAGGAGTTCGAGACCAGCCTGGCCAACATGGCAAAAACCCATCTCTACAAAAATACAAAAATTAGCCAGGCATGGTACACACCTGTAATCCCAGCTCTACTTGGGAGGCTGGGGCAGGAGAATCACTTGAACCCAGGAGGCAGAGGCTGCAGTGAGCCAAGATCGTGCCACTGCACTCCAGCCTGGGAAATAGTGCGAGACTCCTTCTCAAAAAAAAAAGTACATGAGTAAACAAACAGAACACACATAAAAAAGAAAGGTCAACCCTATATGACCCAAGATACAGCACGTACCTTGCATTTTTAAACCACCTGTACTGCATAAGAAAATATTCCAGTTAATAGAAAGCCACCCTGTGTTCAAAGTCCTGGGCATAAAGAACATAGAAAAATATTTCCACAACCACAGATTGTTGAGGGAAAACAGGAAAGAAAAAGACACAAAGGAATCTGGAAACAACTTCATCACCTTGAGAACTAAGGAGGTTATAATAATATTTTTATGGTTTAGGATGTCTAATGCCCTCAATTACACCAGCGGTTCCAGTGGTGCTCCTAGCAGACAGCAGGACAGGATGCCTCACCCCCTAGCTGAAGAACAGGAAACTTCCACATGAACAATGCCCAGCCCTGTGGGTCAGCTGGCCAGGGCTTGCCCCGTGTGGGAGTAAATAATCCAAAAGGTGATTCTACCACTGGGGTCAAACATCTCTAGTGCAAAATTCTTCTCATCTTCCAGAATTAAAATCTGAGATTTGAGATGCACGTTCAACATACAGACCTTGAGACAGCTAAAAATTTTCTCCAAGAATATTAAGATGTGGCTGGGGGCGGTGGCTCACACCTGTAATCCCAGCACTTTGAGAGGCTGAGGCAGGTGGATCACTTGAGGTCACGAGTTTGAGACTAGTCTGGCCAGTATGGTGAAACCCTATCTCTACTAAAAACTACAAAAATCAGCTGGGTGTGGTGGGGGCGGGGGGCAGGGGTGCCTGTAATCCCAGCTACTCGGGAGGCTGAGGCACGAGAATCTCTTGAACCCTGGAGGCGGAGACTGCAGTGAGCCGAGATTGCACCATTGCACTCCAGCCTGGGTGACAGAGCAAAATGCTGTCTCAAGTTAAAAAAAAAAAAAAAGAATATTAATATGTAAATATTTCACATGCATATACACATGATAAATCTGCGTAAGAATTTTAAAAAGCAATTATTCCGGATGGATTGCTTGTAGGGCGTTTTAATTTTCACAATTATACCTTTTTTTGGTATTTTCTAATGTTTTTATAGTAAATACGTAATTCACTTTAAGGAAAGTAAAATAAATAGAACATGCCAACAGGTTTTTAAGTCACCGAATTTTTTTTTACAGTTGAAGAGAGTAAGGATGTGGGCACTATGCTGACAGCTACAACAAAACGGCATCAAACCCAAACTCTAAAACAGATGGCCTGGAAAAATTACCTAAGATGAAGAAAATACTACCTAGCTTGGACTTATTCTACTTTTTCGCTATATTTCAATGGCACACTGACCTCCTCTCATTGTATCTATGGCAGCGTTATTTGTACACTGGCACATTTGTCTTGTTTTTAAGTACCCTCTTCTCATTTTATTATAAAATCTCAATGGCAGAAACCATCTCTTACTTGTGATGGTAACCTAAATATACGGAAGTTTTCGTCTAGCTCTTCTGAGTGGGAATGTTCAACACCGACATTGCCTTATAACAAGGGCACTTCAAATACATAAAACCTTAGATCTCACTGGTGGGTCCATGATCATCCAATTCATATCATATTCAAGTTAACTGTGAAAGCAAGGTTTCTCTGTCGTTGGGAAGGACATTGTGAAATCTGACCATAAGGCATTTAATGATGTAAGTTATAATGATTAATAATATAAATTTTCACTCCCCTGAGGTATTTAAAAACTTATTAAAATAAACGTAATCATTACCCTTCTATGACTTGAAAACAGGCCTCCAAAACTGCAGGAGAAAGGATGAAATGTATTTATTTCTAAGTTAAATTTGAAGCGAAATCACAAGACAACAGATTGCAAATGTAAAATTAGATTCTAGTGGGAGGTCTTGGTTTCAAGCCTGTTTTTTCCCTACTGGAGGCTGAGCTTGAAGACGGTGTTGGGGGGTGGGGGTGAGGGAGAGCTAAGATTAAATTGAGACGAAGTTCTGAAAGTTTTCGCTAAATCGTTACAACCCATGAAAAGAGTTTTGCCAAGTCACACACAAATACCCTGAACACCAGAGACTAAGCAGGAAAGTTTTGCAACAAATATAAGATGATCTTTGATTTTGAAAAGATTATTATTTTGACTGTGTTTATTTTTACTTTTCAAAGATTATCCAAAGCAGAAACAAAACATATCATTGTTTTCAAGTCAGATTTTGAAGCTCGGGTTTGCCTTTTTCAAACATAATCCGATATAAAGATGGTGAAGCCCAGGGATAAATTTACGAGATCCTGAGGGCAATTCACAGCGGAGAAAGGATTTCATAGGCACCTACTTTGTCTTTTCTGTTTTGTTTTAACGCTAATGCTTTCGAATTGTCAGATAGGTGTAACCCTAATCCAAGGAAGTGATTCCAAATTCTTTTTCCCACGAGCTACACACAACAATGATAGTAAAACGTATCTGTCCCACCACCTTTGAAGCATTTCCATTAATTCATACAAACATATAGGCTCAAATATACATATGCAAACCTACCTTAAAAGGCAACAGTGGTCCCCAGCCCAACTTGCTCCAAGAGCACTGTGGCATTTAGATATTGAGGTTGGAAATGATGTCCGGATGAACAGCCACAGGGCTGGGGACGATGTCAGCACCTGCCCCCTGCGGTGGCCATCACAGTTTCATCTAAGTCTGTGAGAATGCGCCAAAAACCTGGAGAGGAGCAGGTCAGAGGAGATAGAAAAACAGAAAGAAAAGGATGAGGCAGAAGGAAGGAAATGGGCATTTTCTGTCAAACCCATTTCGTCAATTCCATGACGTCAACTTTTTGTGAAATACTGTCAGAGACGTTTGAACCACAGCAACTCCATCTTAAATAGGAGCTGGGTACAATGAGGCTGAAACCTACTGGTCTGCATTCCCAGATGCTTAAGGCATTCTAACTCACGGGATGAGGCAGGAGGTCAGCACAAGATACAGGTCATAAAGACTTTGCTGATAAAACAGATTGCAGTAAAGAAGTCCGCTAAAACCCACCAAAACCAAGATCGTGACAAGAGTGACCTCTGGTCATCCTCACTGCTACACTCCCACCAGCACCATGATAGTTTACAATGCCATGGCAATGTCAGGAAATTACCTTATATGGTCTAGAAAGGGGAGGCATGGGCTGGGCGTGGTGGCTCATGCCTGTAATCCCAGCACTTTGGGAGGCCAAGGCAGGCGGATCACCTGAGGTCAGGAGTTCAAGACCAGCCTGGCCAACATGGTGAAACCCCATCTTTACTAAAATACAAAAATTACCCAGGCATGATGGTAGGTGCTTGTAATCCCAGATACTCAGGAGGCTGTGGCGGGAGAATCGCTGGAACCCGGGAGGTGGAGGTTGCAGTGAGCCAAGATCACACCTTTGCACTCCAGCCTGGGAGGCATGAATAATCCACCCCGTTTAGCATATCATCAAGAAATAACCATGAAAATGGGCAACCAGCAACCCTCGGGGCTGCTCTGTCTATGGAGTAGCCATTCTTTTATTCCTTCACTTTCTTAATAAACTTGCTTTCACTTTATAGACTCTCCCTGAATTCTTTCTTGTGCGAGATCCAAGAACCCTCTCTTAGAGTCTGGATCGGGACCTCTTTCCTGTAACAATATGACATCCCAAATCAAATGATGCAACATTTGGATACAGGCATAAAATGACAGGCTTAAATCAGATAAATAAATAAATACACACCAGCCTATTTACATTTAGGGTAATACATAGCCCTACAGACTAAGTTATCTTATTATTTTAATCTATCTGTGTATATTAAGGTGTTGGACAACAGAAACAGGTTACTACAGAATGATTCCCATGTCCCACTCAATCTTCAGAGTCTCAAGAAACAGAAATGAAAGGAAACCAGCAACCCTCAGTTATTCTCAAAGTAGTGCTGTATTTATAACAAACATTGAAGAAAATGCTGAAAGAGAGTAAAACAGAAGCCCAAATCACTTACATAGAACTTTCCATTGTATACACGTTTTCTTACGAAGGCAAACATCAAATTCAGAGAAAATGCATGAAGAATATGCACAGGAAAAAATTTAGGTAAAAGATCCAAACTGCAATTTAACATGGAAAATCAATGGACAAGAGCTCCAGGAACACGTGGGGTTAATGGGGTTGTTTTATTTCCTTCATCTTTTTAAAGCCTGCTGGTAGAGGTGAAATTACAAATACTAAGGCAAGCAAAAGAAAGGCCTGAAGGGCCTCTTTGGGTGGCTTCATTTTGGTACTTTCTTCCCAGACATTCCCCTGGGGCTGCCCGCTGCTGGTGGTTTCAGCAGGTGGGAACCTGAGATGACAAACACTTTGAGCAGGAATATGAAGAAAACTGCCTATTTTGTGGAAAGGAGCCACATACAGGCAGTAAATAAATATATACGTCTATCCAGAATGGAACAATAAGCAAAGACAGTTCTTCCTTATCTTGGAAAATATGCTATTTAACCATGAAGTTAGTGACTCATGCTTGCAGGGAAAGGAGCACGAGTTCTCAGCAATACCCCATTATTACCCCACAATATATTCCCTTTCCACAATTCCCCCATTGCTACCCGGTTGGCTCCCTTTCCCTGGGCATCCTCCTTAAACGGCTCTCTGCGAATTTCCGAATTTCCAAAGCAGTTCCTGAATTGCTTAGGAACTGGCAGAAATTAATAAGCAATAGCCCATTTATGCTGAAATGGACTCATTACGGTGCCAGCTGCCAATAATTTGCAAGGCTGGATTCTTCCTGGCAAAGGAGGCCGGCAGGCGGCTGTCCTTCCACCTGCACAACGGAGGCTGATAATGCATTTTCTATACTTTAAAAAAATTACGTATTCAGATAGAATAAAATTTTTTCTCTATCTATATTCTTCTAGTCCCTGAACAAAAAAATATATAAATAAATAAATAAACAAAAAAAAACTATACAGAGAGAAAGGGCATTATTTGAAAAACACGAAGGAAAGCAAAACGGAGTCGATTTGGTATAACTTCTTTCTGACTTTCGTGGGGAAAAAATTTGCCTATGACCCTGGTTGCGGAACTGATCCATGACATGGACTAATGAAGAGCTCCACAATCAGCAGATATGCTAAGGTCACAATGTGCCAACAAGTACGTATCCATTTCCCTTACAGCAGGTTAATTGTCTCATGGCCTTGTGAATGGATGCCACCATGGCAATTTGGGAACTATCAGTACTCTGGGTTTTCTCCAAGAGCTGCAAAGAACTCAGTTTCACTGGGAGACAGCTACGTACCAAGCTCAGTGTTGGGAGTCCAAGCTGGGAGTCGGGCTGCACGCATCCGGTCATATCTTGGCTTTGCAAGTCAAATCTTTACTTTCAGCGTGACTTGGGGCAAACTCTAAATGTCCTATCCCTCTAACAGGTGGGGATGATAAGATTCCTAAATCATTGGGTTGTCATGAGCATTAAATGAGATCATCTATGTTACAGAATTTGCCTCGTGCCTATCCCATTATCGTTTCTCAATAAATGTTACCCTATCTCAGGATCGGTTCTCAATAAACATTAGCTATTATTTCCACTACTATTTAAAATGTTTAAACCATAAAGAATGTGCTACAGAATGGGCCAGTATTATGCAGGCTTCCTTAGCAAAATGATACCTAATTCATTGAAACTGAATCATATGTTATAAATTGAATGACATCAGTCACCTTAAATTTGCTGTGGAACAAGGAGAGTTAACTAATCCAGCTAGAAGATGCATGCGGTCTACTCAATCGGCTACAGCTCACACAGACACACAGACACACACAGACACACACGCGTGCGCGCACACACACACACACAGCCATACTGATGAAATCCAGCAGTACCAGTAGGCCTGCTTACATTATGTTAAGATGACTCCTAGGGAAGCGAATGCTGAAATTACCAAGTTTTTCAGTCTCACTCTGAGGCATCCTTGATATGGTTTGGCAGTGCCCCCACCCAAATCTCATCTTGAATTGTAACTCCCACATTCCCACGTGTCATGGGAGGGACCCAGTGAAACGTAGTTGAATCATGGAGGTGGGTCTTTCTTGTGCTGTTCTCCCAATTGGTGAGTAAGTCTCATGAGAGCTGATGGTTTTAAAAAGAGGAGTTTCCCTGCACGAGCTCTCTCTTTGCCTACGGCCATCCAGGTAAGATGTGACTTTCTCCTCCCTGCCTTCCTCCTTGATTGTGAGGCATCCCCAGCCACGTGGAACTGTGAGTCCAATTAAACCTCTTTCTTTTGTAAATTGCCCAGTCTGGGGTATGTGTTTATCAGCAGGATGAAAATGGACTAATACAATCCTCAATTCATATGGCCAATTTCTGTGTCATGTGTCAAATAAGCAGTTTTCACAGGAAAATGTGTGTACTGGAAGTATTACCAAAACTAATCTCAGGCTTCAAATACCCGCAAAAATTGATGGGGCTGAGAAGTCCCACTGCTCCACTCCTGTAATATTATTTAAGATGAAAATACGGTGTCAGAAATACTGTGTCCACAGCATTTAATCCTTGGCTTTTCCAAAAATGTCTGCCAAACCAGAACTTTCTTTTTCACCTTCAAAGTGTCAAAGACACTTGGGGGTGGGGGGGCAGGGGACAGACACAGTGGCTCATGCCTGTAACCATAGTGCTTTGGGAGGTTGAGGTGGGAGGATGGCTTGAGGACAGGAGTTCAAGACCAGCCTGGGCAAAACAGTGAGACACCCACCTCTACAAAAAATAAAAAAAATTAGCTGGGTGTGGTGGCGTATGTGTACTCCCAGCTACTTGGGAGGCTGAGGTCAGAGGATCCCTTGAGCCCAGGAGTTTGAGGTTATAGCCTGGGCAACAAAGTGAGACCCTAACTCAAAAAAAAAAAAAAAAAAAAAAACAACGACAAAAAAACACACTCATAAGGGAAATTCTGTCATTTTTAAGTCCTTGCAAGTTCCAGGCATCAGTGTGTAGAGAAAAGGATACTGTATTGTATTTGCCCTCAAAATACCCAGGTTCAATTCAGGTGCTATTACTTCATAAATAAAGTGACTTTTGGATAGTAAATTACCCATTCTGAAAACCATCAGAAAAAATGAGGACGTAAATATTATTTGTCTTATCAATACTTACCTCTAATACCTTTTCTTATAGGAAAGAAATTAGATAATCAACATGTAACACTATAAACTATAAAATTTATGTAAGTATGGAAATTCTTACTGTGTTTACTACGATTTAGTGTCCCCAAATTTTCCATAACCAGTAGTTTAATGACAATCAGGAGGTTTTCCTTTACATTGAGCTTAAACAGTGGGGGCAGAAGTCTTGGATCAAAATCCTAAACATGTATTTCATATGCAATAAGCACCAACAGCCTTTAGCTTTTAACAGTCATACTTAGACCCCAAATCAGTACTGACAGATAAATAGGTGGATGGTAGATGGGTAGATGAATGGACAGATAAGTGGATGGATGGATGGATGGATGGATGGATAGATGGACAGACGGTGATGGATAATAGATATATGGATGAATGGTAGATGGATGGATGGGTGGTGGATGGAGATAGAGATATGGATGAATGGTAGATGGGTGGATGGATGGATAGAGTGATAGTGGATGGTGAATGGATAATTGATGGGTGGTAGGTGGATAGATGGATGGTAGATGGGCAGATGGATGGATGTAGATGGATGGATCTAGCACATTAGAAAATTTTAAGTGGCTCAGAAATTAAAGAAGTTTCATCACTTTTTAAACTGTTACTTAAGAAAAAACTTGGGAATGACTTCTAAGGATACACAATTTAAAAAGTAATAGGAGGAATGAGGGTAACCATGAATATCCTGTTGAGCTACACATCTAGCTCCATTTAACAGTAAGCTTTATAACAGCCAAGTCAAATAGGAAAAACATGGCAGTTGTAAATTTCACAATGTCCAAATCGATGGCTCAAAGGAAGCACAAAAGTTCTTGGTTCTTGGTACTCGGATCAAACAGGCATCTCCACTGGTGTTCCTCTGAGGCCACTGTGATATGATGAGCAATGCTCTAGACCTCATCCTTCCACGGAGGCTCAGTGACAAATTTCATAGGAATGTTTCTTGTCTTGAAAATTATTTTTTTAAAAACCGCAATTCAGCAGCAAGCAGCCGTCTTGAAGACGCAGGATACTGCTGCAGAGTGGACAGACAGTGTTCCTTCCAGGAAATTCTTCTTGAGCACTGCCTGCCCTCCACGGAGTGCAGAAGCATGACTGAGTGGGGGTGACCTTGAGATGGACTCTCTGGCTCACAGCTGATTGTAGCTGGGACATGCTGACAGATGACCACACCCCATCTGGTGTAAAGCCACTGTTTTCACCAAGGGTGTGTCTGTCTGGCTTCTGTGAAAGCTGAGATAGCAATAAGGATTCATGCACAAAGCTTCCTACCTTCCCACTGACGGCCCTGGGGCAGGGCCAGGACTCCCAGTGAAAAACCAATCCCTCCGAACAGATGAATGAGCCATGATAAGGGCCCCAAGTTCCTACTCCATAAAGCATGAATGAAATAGTTTTAGCCCCACCATATTTCAAAGGCAGGTATAAAAAGACACCCAAATCAGAAAATTATTAAAAAGTCCCCAGAACTTTCCATATCCACAGACTGCCCTAGTTTTGGGCAATGTTACTTCCTAATGTATCCAAATATATCCTAAATAAACTAAGCAAGAGAACAGATTCATACAATCAATATGTTTAAGTCAACCACAAGTTGGGAACTATCTAAAATCATAACTTTAATTTTAGAGCGGTAAATCTTTGACAATACTTAATCAACAGGTTCAGCCAGGACAGACATTACCATATTTCTTAGAAGTAAAGTCGGTACATTTCAAAGTGAAGTTACTATGTATGTCAACTTAGGGCGAGCTACCATTTATGGAAAGCTTACTATCTGGCTGGCACTGTGTTCATGGCATCAGGCCAAAGTGCTCTTTAGACTTCCCCTAAGTTCTTGGTGTTTATCACCTTGCAACTACACCTTTGACTGACAGCTGCCAACATACTGCAACACTGACACCACATCACTTCCTGCAAAGCTTCCTCCCAACAGGGTTTAGAAGCCACCAGACCCCCAAGGGCTGTGTTACATGGCCAGTGTCCAAATCTCCCAAATATTCATACAGCCTGACTCTAGGAATGGTTCAAATGAGGCCCCAGCTCGCTGAAATGGATGTAATAACTTTCTCAGGACACACCATGAGAATCATGTGCTTTCTCCAAAATCCAAGCAGCATCTCTTTTCCCATTTCTTTCTTTCTTTCTTTTCTTTCCCTTTTTTATTTATTTATTTATTTATTTTTGAGATGAAGTGTTGCTCTGTCGCCCAGGCTGGAGTGCAGTGGCATGATCTCTGCTCACTGCAACCTCTGCCTCCGGGATTCAAGCAATTCTCCTGCCTCAGCCTCCCAAGTAGTTGGGACTACAAGCGCACATCATGCCCAGTTAATTTTTGTATTTTTAGTAGAAACGGAGTTTCATCATATTGGTCAGGCTGGTCTCAAACTCCTGACCTCAGGTGATCCACCCTCCTTGGCTTCCCAAAGTGCTGAGATTACAGGCATGAGTCACCGCGCCCATCCCCTTTTCCCATTTCTTAAAGCCGCAAAGCTACTGAACACTTGGGAATTCCACCCAACACTCCAAGAGTAGTTTCCATGGAATGCTAGAACACAGCTTTGGGCTCGCTCTTGGCTCCTAAATTCCAAGTTTCAGTCACATCAAAAAAGCACGCTTACATCGTAAGGCAGGGTAGAACATTTGATCCCCAAAGAAAATAGAAATGGAGCTGAATGTCATTAACTTCTAATGCTTAGATCTGTCCTTTGCTATTTCACCACACTGTGGCTTAACGTACAGGGTGTTCCCTGTGAGAGAACTAGGTAATCTAAGCTCGTGCAAGAAGACAGTGGGAGAGGACAGTATTCATTCTCAGTGTTTTCATACCTCCTATGAAACATAAGAGAGTAATAATCCTTAAACCGCACACCAAAATAATCGCCTCAAGAACATATCAACACCTTGGTTTAGAAGAGATGTCAAAATCAAATCACTTTATCCAACAACTCATTTTCCAAAATTGAGCCACCCTTAGGTCTCTTCCCTTGGACAGAGCTGCCTCCCACTCCCATGTAAGTTGTAGAAGCTGCAACAGGCACAGGAGGAAGCCACACTTCCTAGGACACACAGCAGGGGGGGTGGAGGGTAAACAGAGCTCCTCTTTCACTGTCAAAGACTGAAGTTCCAGGAAAGGAATTTTTTTATTTTTTATTTTTTTGAGATGGAGTCTCGCTCTGTCACCCAGGCTGGAGTGCAGTGGTGCGATCTTGGCTCACCGCAACCTCCACCTCTCAAGTTCAAGTGATTCTCTTGCCTCAACCTCCCGAGTAGCTGGGACTACAGGCATGTGCCACCACACCCGGCTAATTTTTTTTTGTATTTTTTTTAGTAGTGATGGGGTTTCACCAAGTTAGCCAGGCTGGTCTTGAACTCCTGACCTCAAGTGATCAGCCCACTTTGGCTTCCCAAAGTGAGGAATTTGGTTCTAATTCTCTGTTTTCCAAGCCTGAAGTTCAGCCTTGAGCCAGCCTGGAGACAAGGGAGTCTCCATTCCAAGGGACATGGCCCAACATGGGAAGTCAGGGAAAAAGGCACCGCAAGGGACTCTCAGACTCAGCAGCTTCTGTCTACCTCCAAGACATTCTCCAGACCTGCCCCAGTGACCCAAAAGCACGAAAGTGCAACCTGCAATTTCCCTGATGGCCTCTGACCCCTACAGCCTGGCTTCCCCTAACCTGTTCCCTTACCATGCAGCCAAGAGGAAAGTCTTTCAGCCAAAAATACAGTCAGGATATCAAGAGGTCCCCTTCCTTCATCAGGAAGCAGAACAGGATGTGGTCATCAGCTATGATTTCATTCCCCAAGCCACCCCCCCAAGCCAATTCCCAACCCATAGCTGCCTTCGCACACAGAGGGGTGTGGCCACTCTGGAATCAGGGAAGAGCTTGTGGGGGGGGCGGTGAGGCCATGAACTCAAGAGGCCAGGGTGGCAACTAAGCCTGTTGGCAACAAGGGCTGGGACTGCCTGCATCCAGACAACAGAGAAGATAATCCCAAGCACTGCTGGAAAGGTCACGGGGATGGGGTGTGAAAATCTGCCTTGTTGTCCCTGGATGCTTTGAGCCTAAAGGGCCCATCCAAAAAGAATCACTCCCCCCATGGACTTGCTGCTTTCACCTTGGGGCTGTCTCTGCTGCTGTTGCACTTGTGTTGACGGCATGAAATTCTTTTAACAGAACATGGTTAAAGAGAGATTTCACGCCAGGCATGGTGGCTCACATCTGTAATCCCAGCACTTTGGGGGGCCAAGGTGGGTGGATAACTTGAGGTCAGGAGTTAAGAGTCCAGCCTGTCCAACATGGTGAAACCCTGTCTCTACTAAAAATACAAAAATTAGCTGAGTGTGGTGGCCCACACCTGTAATCTCAGCTACTCGGGAGGCTGAGGCAGGAGAATCGCTTGAACCCAGGAGGTGGAGGCTGCAGTGAGCGAAGATCACACCATTGCACTCCAGCCTGGGCACAGAGTGAGATTCCGTCTCAACAAATAAATTAATTAATTAATCAATTAATTAAAATAAAAGAGAGAGTTCAGTCTTCCAGATAATGAGAAAGCTTTTAAGGCTATGACATTGTAAGTGGAGAGGAAGAAAGAGAATCTAGAAATATTAAGTATGTAAGTGTGTGTATATCATTGATCAGCAACTTAATTTAATAACTAAAAGGTATTGGGCAAGTATGATAGTTGGGAAATAAGAGTTTCCATATGTAAAAAGTGAAATTGTAATAGGATCCTGTGTTGCACCATTGCTAGGGGGATATTATGAATATCATCAACCTTGATATGTGTTTAGGTAGCATAACCTAACAGAAGGATTTTAATCAAAGACTAAATAAACATCGCAGTGCAGCAAAGAATATTGCATTTTAAAGTTAATGATTTAAAAAAATATTTAAAGGGTCCAGGCACAGTGAGTGGCTCATGCCTGTAATCCTAGCATGTTGGGAGGCTGAGGCAGGAGGACGACTTGGGCCCAGGAGTTCGAGACCAGTCTGGGCAACATGGTAAGACCTCATGTCTATTTCTTTAAAATAAAAATATTTAAAGGACTGGGCTTGGTGGCTCATGCCTGCAATCTTAGCACTTTGGGAAGCCGAAACAGGAAGATCACTTGAGCTCAGAAGTTCAAGACCAGCCTGGGAAACACAGTAAGACATCATCTGTAAAAGCAATTAAAAAAAAAAATTAGTCAGGTGTGGTGGCATGCACCTGTAGTCCCAGCTACTGGGATGGCTTGCCCGGGAGGATCACTTAAGCCCAGGAGATCAAGGCTGCAATGAGCTGTGGCTGTGCCATGGTACTCCACCCTAGGCAACAGAGAGAGATCCTGTCTCAACAAATTGTGTGTGTGTGTGCATTTATTTATTTAAAGAAATTCTTCCCACAGATTTTCAAAATACAGATGATTCTTTTGAAAGAGAAGAACTGAGGTTGAAACTTGAGGACTTTGTCAGAGGTACCACAAGACAGAGTGACGTAACCATGGTCAAAAGGCCTTGAGTCCCAAGTCACTCCCTGGGCACTTGGTCCCAAATTCTCCTTTAGTCACTCCTCATTTTAAAATGGAAAAAAAAAATGACCTTAAGTTTTTATTTGCAAATCATTTCAAGTTGTTTCACAGTTATACAATTAAGACTACAAGCTCTAACATGTAAAAACATAATTCTTTATTTCATTGATTTTAAGAAACACTATTTTTGACTCTTAACATCTTTGAAATTGAATATATCTTACAATCACAATGGTGTATTGGGGTTTAGTGGTGCCATTTTCTCTGCTTCTTAGTGGTATGCAAAATAGTGGTGCATTTTACAAATGACAGCATCTTATGAAAAAGAGTATATAAAAATAGGCTTCTAAATAGCTACGCTTAGGGCTATCTAAAAACTGCTTATGAATTGTTTGGGTAAGACAGAGTATCTATGTAGAATTTTACTGATGATCACACATTCAGTTCAACTCAACCAACATTTTACTGGGCACCTGTTATATGTTTGGAATGAGGAAATAGACCATTTCTTTATGATGCATATAATCTGGGAAGACAGTGGGCATCTACCCACTCAGACAGGGCTGTAACAGCTAGTCTGGCATTATTAATAGTGAAGGATGTGAAGAAATAGACTAATTCTGCTAGGAGAGGCTCTCGGTTGAACCTGGTCCTGACAGGTTAATAGGATTTGGCTTAGCTTAGGAGGATGAGAGGAAATGAACAGGGATAGGAGAGAGTTTACACAAAGAGAAGGACAGAAATTTCCAGTAAAAGAGAAGGGTATAAGCAAAGACTCTGAGGAATGAAAGTATCATTAGCCCAATGTTGCAGTGAGGCGAGTGCATGGGAAAAAGCTGGAGATGATGAAGCTAAAAAGATGGGCTGGGGCTATGGATGCTACACAAAGGAACTGAACATGATTGTATTTGATGGGATTACACGATGAGATTTTATTATGGGAGTTACATGATCAAACATAGTTTTCCCACCTGGGTAGCTTGGAAGAGAAGGGAAAGACTTATTGCAAGCCATCAATAAGTTGGGATGGCCCAACGGGGACAGTGAGTGCCTTGGAGTAGTGAGAATGACAGGTAGGATCACCAGGACTCGGTGGCCACATACATCCTTTGAGGAAAGAAGGAGGAAGAACAAGGAGGCATAGACTTCTCTGAAGTTCCTGGCTTGGTAACTGAAATGGAAGGTGACAATAACACCTTCCACTCTGAGGTATAATCAAGCACCAGATTCAAATGTTATCCCTGAGGGGCCACAATTCACTCACAGTGATCTTACTGGAAATTTGGTGTCCATTCCACAAAGGACCTCAAAAACAAAGGACTGGAACCCACTAGAACAGCAATACAGTTAAAAAACAAAAACAAACAAACAAAAAAAACAACCTTCCTGCCTTAGTATGTTTGGGCTGCTATAACAAAATACCTTAGACTGAGTAATTTATAAACAACAGAAATTTCTTGCTCACAGTTCTAGGGGCTGGGAAGTCCAAGTTCAGGTTGCCAGCAGATTCAGCATCTGATGAGGGCCTGTTCCTCACAGATGGCACCTTCCTGATACATCCTCTCCTGATAGAAAGGGCAAACAGGCTCCTTCAAGTCTCTTTCATAAGGGCACGAATCCCATTTATGAGGGCAGAGCACTCATGACCTAATCACGTCCTAAAGGCCCCACCGCATGATACTATCACATTCAGGTATTAGGTTCCAACATATGAATTTATACCAACATTCAGAGCATAGCAACTCCCAAAAAACTTAGATCAGGGAGGATATTGGAATGGAGACACAAATAATGGCCAATTCCAATGCAGATTTATGGAACTTAAAACACACACAAAAACAAAACCAAACCCTCTAATTATCCATGAGAGGCCAGAAGTTTCAAACATTATCTCAACCACACTTTGTATGGACTAAATCAATACCTGTAATAATAAATGGATTTAACAGCTTCAATAATTTAATGCAAAAATAAAAATAGGATGCCTCAGCCTTGGCATCATAAAGTTAAAAAGTAAATCAGATTTGGGTTCAGTCTCCAAAATATTCTCAGGCTGCAGGAAACCCACCATGCTGTTGACTCACATCTTGAACTCACTCTTATTATTTAAATAAGATCACTGAATGCAGGCAATGATCAAAGCTGTACAAATCACAGTGCAATATATCTGCAATGCATAAATAAGCATGCCCAAGTGCCACTTAAACACATGTAGCATTTAAGAACAATCATTTAACTTTTCTGTGAGTGTATAAAATAAGAAGTCAATAGCTTTGCAACACCATGCAGATCTCAGGCAATGCCCTGGTTTATGTGAGTGACCAGACCAGCAAAGGATGAGAGTGGAGCACATGGTGATGGGCACAGAGGGATGGCAAGAAAGACATGGGTTAACTATGGGACACAAGTGACTTGGCCCAACTCTCCTAAGCACCCATTCTTTTTAAAGTTAGGTGGATGGTCTGGAAGTTTTTGTGCTCCCTACGCCTGGAAAGAAGTCCATATTTCTTTAACTTTCTCAAGTCAAAACCCACGGGCATCACAATGGTAACCACCATGAGATTTTTCTCTACTGGGTATTCTTTTTTCAGTATAGGTGATTCAATTAAGGCAAAAGTACCACTGAGCTGGACCCCAGAAAAGTGACCTAAGCTCATTTAAAAGCCGGTGCAAGATATTTTGGCTGTACAACAATTACTGTTCATCCTAGCCAAATGACAAATTGGGAGAGAATAAAAAGCATATGAAGTCATTGCGAATCAGATTTGTTATGTAGAAGAAAACAAAAATCAAACAGAGCCCATATTCCCCTCCCTAAAAATCATAAGAGGATAATCAGCCTCTTTTAATATAAAGGCAATTCCTGGGGAGTCATGGGAACGTTTCTCAAACAGTGATACATCAGTCCCCATGCAGAAAACCGATACATAAAATCACAAAGCAAATCTGTTTCTAGTATGACAGCAACAGGCTTTAAAAGCCTGACATTCACTGCCAAGTAATATCTATGGGACCACACACAAGGGAAGTGAAACAGACACTAGGCTTGCCCTCTACGAATCAATGAGTATACTCCTGTCCAGGGCACTATGATGCAAATGGTTTTATTGGCATCACCATTCAAAAAAATAGTTCTAAGCATGCCCACCCCGAAGAGTATGCCTACCACTGCTGATTTATTTAATGTATATATACTTGAAGTACTGTTCAAATACATTATGCACATTTCAATTTTCTGTATGTATTTATATAGCACATAATTTATTTGAACCAACAGAAATCTAAAGGCAAAAGATGAAACATAAATTTTGAAATTTCCTTTCATGCCCTGATGAATTCATCTTGCACATTCATCTGATATTGAAGGCCAGTGCTCAAGGAAATACAGGGCCGATCTGGGACCTACCAAAAAAAAATCAGGAAAGGCAACTTGTGGAGAACTCAGGCTCAAAAAACAAACATTGGCTGGGCATGGTGACTCACGCCTATAATTCTATCACTTTGAGAGGCCACAGCAGGCAGATCACTTGAGGTCCGGAGTTCAAGACCAGCCTGGCCAACATGGTGAAACCTCATCTCTACTAAAAAAAAGAAAAAAATATATAAAAATTATCCAGGAATGACGGCGCGTGCCTGTAATCCCAGCTACTCTGGAGGCTGAGGCAGGAGAATCGCTTGAACCCAGAAGGCAGAGGTTGCAGTGAGCCAAGGTTGCCCCACTGCACTCCGGCCCCGGTAACAGAGCAAGACTCTATCTCAAAAAAAAAAAAAAAAAAAAAAAAAAAAAAAATTAGCAACAGATTATGGAATAGCTTTTTACCAAAGAGGATCTGTTTTCTGCTGATGGCGACTGCTTTTGCAACTAGCAAACCCCACCTGTGTTTCCTCAGTTTCCCCATCTGTACAGTCAAAATATTATCTACATTTTAGCCTTATTACGAAGTCATATCATGTGCGAGGGCCAAAATCTCCCAGAATCTTCAGGAAGGTAGCACATCACCATTAAGGAGACATGTGCTGATATCCTCTGGCTCCTCTGAAATCATCTGGTGATAGCACTAGCGCTCACTAGGGACCACTAAATTCAGCTGTGCTTTTGCAACAACGATAATAACAAATTATCCCTTCACCAGTAGTTAATAAAACCGCACCATATGTAGAAGAAGAAAATTATAAGACAGAAGGGCTCATCTCCACCCACCACAAGTCAAGACAATACTGTGTATTGTGATTCACCAAGATGCAGTAAACAAAAAAACACCTTTCCAACCATAACTGCATTTCTCAGTGTGGGTGATTTCAGACACAGCCAGGGTAAGAAGCCAAGAAATTTCAGTTCTACAGTCTGGAAGAATAAAGGCTAACAACAACAGGCAATGAAAAATTATTTTTAAAAAAGTTATACAAAACTTTTCTCCTCATAGATAGAAACAACAACAACAACAAAAAAGCTTAATCTTCCAGAAACCTGTCTCTGGCCAGCTTCCAATCCAGAAAGTCTGCTGATGATGGAAGGAGCTCTCCTTAGGAACTCATATGGCTATGACCTCCCATCTGCATCTGATCCTGCTGATCTGCACCCCCTCCAAAATACACACCCTTCCCTCAAATTCCATGCCTTTATTTATTTATTTGTTTATTTATTTATTTATTGAGATGGAGTCTCGCTCTGTCGCCCAGGCGACAACACAATGGCGTGATCTCGGCTCACTGCAACCTCCACTCCCAGGTTCAAGTGATTCTCCTGCCTCAGCCTCCTGAGTAGCTGGGACTGCAGGCATGCGCTACAACACCTGGCTAATTTTTGTATTTTTAGTTGAGAAAGAGTTTCGCCATGTTGGCCAGGCTGGTCTTGAACTCCTGACCTCAGGTGATCTGCCCGCCTTGGCCTCCCAAAGTGCTGGAATTACAGGCATGAGCCACCGTGCCCAGCCGAATTCCATGCCTGTATAACCCTCAGATATTCCTCTTGCCCCAACTGTAGGTTCTGCCCACAGCCTTCTACATGGCTCCATCTAGTTCCTTCCAGACTCTCCTTCTTCAGCACAAATCCCTCTTTCTCACCTCCTGGGATTATCCTACTGATGATCCACCACTTAGGGTCAAAACCTTTCACCCTTATGAGGGCAGCGTGATTGGTAAATGTAACATAGGCTTAGGATCTGAGAGACCTGATCCTAACCTGCCATTCACTGCATCTGTGACCTTAAGCCAGCCACTTAATATCCCTACGAATCACTTTCTCCATCTGCAAAACAGGATACCTGCCTGCAGGTTTGTGCTGGGAATTAAGTGAGGCAATGTATGTAAACACACTTTTTCTTGGTATTTAGTTGGAGCTTCATGAATATTCATTTCTTTCTTTCCTCTTGTGTCCTTCTTCCCCTTGTTCTTCCCCGAAGGTCCCTGAAGTATCTTCTACATCTTGTCTCTTCTATTCCTACCCTTCTAATCCAGGTCAGGTCACCTTGCTTTCAATTTCCTTTTTTTTTTTTTTTTGAGACAGAGTCTTGCTCTGTGGCCTAGGCTGGAGTGCAGTGATGCGATCTCGGCTCACTGCAGCCTCTGCCTCCCGGGTTCAAGTGATTCTCATGCCTCAGCCTCCCGAGTAGCTGGGATTACAAGCATGCGCCACCAGGCCAGGACAATTTTTGTATTTTTAGTAGAGACGGAGTTTCACTATGTTGGCTAGGCTGGTCTCAAACTCCTGGCCTCAAGTGATCCACCCGCCTCAGCCTCCCAAAGTGCTGGGATTACAGGCATGAGCCACCGTGCCTGGCACTTTTTTTTTTTTTTTTAAGACAAGGTCTCACTTTGTTACCCAGGCTGGAGTGCAACGCGGTGATCTCAGCTCACTGCAACCTCCACCTCCTGGGTTCAAGTGATTCTCATGCCTCAGCCCTCCAGGTAGCTGGGATGACAGGTGCGCACCACCACGCCTGGCTAATTTTTGTATTTTTAGTAGAGACATGGTTTCACCATGTTGGCCAGGCTGGTCTCGAACTCCTGACCTGAAATGATCTGCCCTGACCTCAGGTGATCCACCTACCTCAGCTTCCCAAAGTGCTGGGATTACAGGCGCCCGCCACCATGCGCAGCTCATTTTTGTATTTGTAGTAGAGACGGAGTTTCGCCATGTTGGCCAGGATGGTCTTGAGCTACTGACCTCAAGTGATTTGCCCTTCTGGGCCTCCCAAAGTGTTGGGACTACAGGTGTGAGCCACCGTGCCCAGCCAAGATTTACTTTAAAGAATTGGCTCATGCATTTGCGGGGGCTGCCAAGTTTGAAATCTGCAAGGTAGGGTTGGAGACCCAGGGAAAAAATGATGCTGCAGTTTGAGTCCAAGGGCATCTGGAGGCAGAACTTCTTCCTTCTCGGGGACCTCAGTCTTCTGTCTTAAGATCTTTGACTGATTGGATGAGGCCTACCAATGTTATGAAGGGTCATTTGCTTTACTCAACCCCTACTGATGTAGATGTTAATTACATCCAAACATAACTGACAGCAACATCTAGACATCTAGACTGGTATTTGACCAAACGACTAGGCACCACAACCTACCAAGTTGACAGATCAAATGAACCATCATTCCCCACACAACAGACTTTTTCTCCAGTGCCTAGTAATGCCATCAATATTAGCCAAAGGAAGAAAGAGAATAAAATGTATTCCCACAGAATGTCTACAATGCAATATCCAACAGGTGCTCCTGACAGACTCTCTTCCATCCCACAAGGCCACCTGTCCTGTGCTCTGAAGGGAGGTCAGCTCAGGTGTTCCAGGTA
Source organism: Homo sapiens (assembly GCF_000001405.40). Classification (NCBI taxonomy): domain Eukaryota; kingdom Metazoa; phylum Chordata; class Mammalia; order Primates; family Hominidae; genus Homo; species Homo sapiens. The sequence continues at coordinate 31,293,675 of NC_000021.9, forward strand.
GCCACAGTCTCCGGGGCATGAAGAGGTCGCTGCGAAGAGCGGCAAGTCTTGCAGAATGTCTTCCTTTCCATATATTTCAAGACAATTGCAACCATCCAAGCTTTTGTCTCTTGGTAGCCAACATCATCAAGAGTGGTGACTACCTTTTATTTCAACATGGAAAACTGCATTAAAATATATTTACAGATTGGAAAACACACATATCCAGGAACAATGTGGTAGTTTATACCACAGCTTCTGATTCTTGAAACAGCCGCTACTTTTAACCACCCTCCCTCCCCTCCCAACAAACATAAATTATGGAGGTCCTGGGTACATAAGCTACCCTGTTGGTGTTATTTCTGCTCTAGTCTTGGATCTGAAATCATCACCCTCTCCCACCTCTAAGCCAAGACTTCAAGCACACAGCATGGTGAGGGTGGGGGGTGTCCCCAGCAAGTCCTCAATTCCAATGCAGCTGGGCTTAAAGTTCAGCATGAAAGGCCAGCAGTGGGGAGGGAGGTTGGAATGATTGTTCAACAGCCTCCCACTCCCTGCTCATGACTAATGCATCATACTGGCAGAGCATTTCCTCCCAGCTAGTAAGAACTGACAAGTCACATTTAAACCAAACCAATGCCAAGAAGGCTCAGGAGGCACTCAGCCCCTCCAAGCCCTAACTATACCCCTTTCTGAAAATACCCATCTAGAGAGAAAGCAAGCTGAGAGTGTTGGCTTAGGAGTCCTTTCTAACTCTGCTTCTCCACCACAGAGCAGGGAGTTTGAATTTTCAAGGGTCAAAACAAAGAACATACATAGTGGGTAAGCAATTGGTATTCCATTTTGAGCACCAGGGTAACCTGTTAACTTCGGGAAAATCAGTTAATTTCTCTGTGGTTTCAGGTTCTTCCTCAGTAAAATTTAGCACCTAGTAAGGGCTTTAAAAATGTTGGGCTTCACAGAAAAGAGAGCCGTTGGGTATGGTATGTAAAGAGAAAAAACATGATTGTGGGCATCATTAATGTAGAGATTTATTTTTCCAGTAGTGATTTTCCATTCAAAATAGCATCCATGAGAAGAAGGAGGGAAATTAATCAAGTGTATTCACTAAATAGAGCTTGGTGATCAAAATAACATCAGCCTTCTGGTTCTGCGGCTGCCTCACTCGCACAAGCACGGGGAAGGGGGCCCCGCACACGGCCTGAACGCATGTTGGCACCAGGGTGGCAGCTCTTGAGCCACCTGTTTGGTTCTGTTTCTCTCACTCCGTCCCCACACTCACAGGAACAGCCTGCCATCTGCGCTGCGCCACCCAGCACAGCTCGGTTTTCCATAAAGGTAAATAAGATCCTGACGCTAGTTTTCATCTAAAAATTTCCCTTCAATTTATGGCTTCCAGACCTCCATCTCAATTCAACTCAACCCCATTCACTGTCACCATATGCTTAGCACCCACCTTGTGGATGGCATGGTTCAAGATTCCACACAGCATGGTAGGACAAGGAAGGTTTAAGACTTCTTAAAGGGTCTTAAAGGGCCAGGTGCGGTGGCTTACGCCTGCAATCCCAGCACTTTGGGAGGCCAAGGCGGGCGGATCATGAAGTCAGGAAATCGAGACCATCCCGGCTAACACGGTGAAACCCCGTCTCTACTAAAAATACAAAAAATTAGTTGGGCGTGGTGGCAGGCACCTGTAGTCCCAACTACTCAGGAGGCTGAGGCAGGAGAATGGCGTGAACCCAGGAGGCGGAGCTTGCAGTGCGCCGAGATCACGCCACTGCATTCCAGCCTGGGTGACAGAGTGAGACTCCATCACAAAAAAAAAAAAAAAAAAAAGGTCTTAAAGATTATTTGGGTGGGTAGCAATGAAGACATGAGATGGGGACCCCAAAAATGTAATCTAAGGCTCAAAAGTTAGGTGCCATACGATAAACTCAGAGGCTATGAAGAGGGAGGCATGCAACTTAATGAAATTCTTTATGATGAACAGTTAACAGGTTATCCTAGTACTCAAAAGGAATACCAATTGCCACAGGATGGTAATAGAGCTGAGAGTCTCTACAATTCAATAGATGCCCTTAACAGGACAAAGGTAAAGAATACACGTACCTTTTGAGAATATGCACATTAGGATTCTCAGGTTCTTGACTCTGATTATTTTTGTTTGTTTGTTTTTTGAGACGGATTGGGCTGGAGTGCAGTGGAGCGATGTTGGCTCACTGCAAGCTCCGCCTCCCGAGTTCAAGCGATTCTCCTGCCTCAGCCTCCTGAGTAGCTAGGATTACAGGCATACAACACCGCTCCTGGCTAATTTTTTGTATGTTTACTAGAGACGGGTTTTCGCCATGTTGGGCAGACTGGTCTCGAACTCCTGACCTCAGGTGACCCGCCTGCCTCAGCCTCCCAAAGTATTGGGATTACAGGCGTGAGCCACCGCACCCGGCCAACTCCGAATTTTTAACCTGGATTTGATGATTATTCAGGAAAATAGTATGATCATTTTGGTATACTATTTAATGTATAATCAGAATACTATTGAAATCCTTGGGAAAGGAAACATTTCTATTTCTGGGGGTAATAAGGAGTATTTGGATATACTTTTACCCTAAAATCCTGGTATAGAAGAGAATACTCATTCCAAAAAAAAATATGCACACCTCAAAAGGTTTAAACTTTATTTAAATGAACAAAAACAGATAATTTCAAATTTTCGACTATTTATATGTGAAGTGGATGATCTTCACCTAAAAGTGACAGAGGACTTCCCCAACGGAGCCCCAAATCAAAAACAACCATTTTAAGACAGGCAGAAATGACAAAATACATAATTTTTAAAACTCCTGCTTATGCATGAATCATCTGCAAGATAATCCACAAGAGAAAAAGATAATACTTAGGTGCTGACACTCATGTCTCTTCTATTTCAAATCCCTGGCTGAAGAAGAAACAAAATGAGTCTTCTTATCAGGGGAGTCCAGGGTCCTTTTAGTTTCAATTTGAGATTGGACTGGAATTTTTTTTTTTTCTTGAGACAGAGTCTCGCTCTGTCACCCAGGCTGGAGTGCAGTGGTGCGATCTCAGCTTACTGCAACCTCTGCCTCCTGGGTTCAAGCAATTCTCCTGCCTCAGCCTCCAGAGTAGCTGGGACTACAGGCATGTGCCACCACGCCCAGCTAATTTTTTGTATTTTTAGTAGAGATGGGGTTTCATCGTGTTAGCCAGGATGGTCTTGATTTCCTGACCTCATAATCCGCCCGCCTTGGCCTCCCAAAATGCTGGGATTACGGGCATGAGCCACTGCATCTGGCCTGGACTGGATTTCTGATCTGCATTTCTCAAAGGCATATCCTTGACATCCCTTCTCCTAAACTCATGCTACTAACTCTTCAGGGCTGTTCTAGAGGAACGTTCTAGGGATACATGCACCCTTCCAACTTCATGCTATGTAAAAGAATGGCACTAGCGGTGAGTAAATTAAGAAAATGAATAAAACTCAATTACAATTTCACATTATATAAAATTAGAGGGTATACTTGAAAACATTATGCTAATTGAATAAACCAGACAAAAGAGGACAAATACTGTATGATTCCACTAATGCGGGGTACCTAGAACAGTCAAACTCATTGAGGCAGAAATAGAAAGGTGGATGGCAAGCTGTTGGTGAATGGGTACACAGTTTTGGTTCTGCAAGACGAAAAGAGTTCTGGAGATGGATGGTGGTGATGGCCACATAACAGTGTGAACGTACTTTCCTTTGAGACGGAGTCTCGCTCTGTCACCCAGGCTGGAGTGCAATGGCGAGATCTCGGCTCACTGCAATCTCCGTCTCTTGGGTTCAGGAGATTCTCCCGCCTCAGCCTCCTGAGTAGCTGGGATTACAGGCACCTGCCACAACGCACGGCTAATTTTTGTATTTTAGGTATCACCATGTTGGCCAGGCTGGTTTCGAACTCCCGACCTCAGGTGATCCACCCGCCTTGGCCTCCCAAAGTGCTGGGATTACAGGCATGAGCCACCGTGCCCGGCCAATGGGAATGTACTTAATGCCACTGAGCTGTTCACCTGAAAACAGTTACAATGGCCAATTTTGTGTTTTACGTTAGGGTTTTGAGACCCCAAAAATATGATATAATGCTCAGAGTTAAGTGCCATACGATGAACTCAGAGGGCTATGAAGAGGGAGGGGTGCAACTTAATGAAATTCTTTATGATGAACAGTTAACAGGTTATCCTAGTGCTCAAAAGGAATACCAATTGCCCGAGTATGACGATACATATATTATGGCAATAAAAACATTAGAGGGTGTAATAATAACTGCTATTTGCAGGGTGCTTCATAATTTGAAAAACGTTTCTATGTACATTAGATAATCTAATCATCACAGCCACCTGGGTGGGGGAGGGCACATGACTTACTCTTACACCCATTTCTGTGTAAGTGGCCTGTCCACAGCTGAGCGGATGGAGTGGCTTGACTGTCATGAGAACCCAGGTGGGCTTCCTTCCAAACCTGCAGTGCCCACTTCACTCCGCCACCCTGCCTTCCAATAACTATGCATATTTCTGTAGAAATACAGGAATGTTACCAGGTGCTCCAAGAAATATGCATTCTATGGCCAAAGTTGGGCACTCCAACTCCAACAGTAACGAAATGGATTTCACTTTATTTAACCTAGTGTTTTCTAAACTTTCTTAATCATGAAAACTGATTTTGTAAACTGTCTATTGAAAACCTGTGAAAGAGTTAGTGTGTCATGGTGACTACCGCGGGAAATAATCTTAATGAAATGTGCTCAGTTCTACTCCTACAGATTCCATCTACTTGTAATAATCAAGTGATCAAGGTGTTTACTTAATTGGCATTTCCAAATATCAGTGTCATGGCTGGCCAGCTCTACTCTCATCTGGTATTCTTCCCTCTCTAATTGTCTGTCTTCCCTCATCTAAAACTTTCCATCAACCATAAAAGTACCACACATAATAGACCATGAAGAAGGTAATCACTAACGTGACAGACGTCATCCTTGGCTCCTGTACTTCTTACTCACCAAGCATGGATCAGATCAGATCCAATTGAGGGTGTGTGTGTGTGTGTGTGTGTGTGTGTGTGTGAGAAACAGAGAGAGAGAGAAAAAAAAACAATGAGAGAGAGAGAGAGAGAGAGAGAGAAAAACAGATGGAGAGAGAACTGGGCCATGAGAAGTATAATGGTATATATCCTCCCCACCTCAAATCCCTTTTCACAGGCCTGCTACAAATGAGTCAGAGAAAGAAGCAAATATATCACTCCGTGTTAAATAAATGTTATCGGAGGAGGGAGGCGTAGGGCGAACAGGAACACAGGTTCAACAACAATACTTAGATTTGGAGTTTAATATACCTCATTAGCAGTTTCTTCACACTAATGGAAACAAAAACATCAGCAACCACAGACCAAAATTTCTAATCATGGGTTTCTTGTCTTGTTTTGTTATGAACACAGTGCATCCAAAAACCTTTAAGACAAAGCAACAATTTGTTCAAAAATAATTTATAATATGATAGGCATATTTAATTATTGAAAAGACTTCAATAGCTCCTTCTGGGATTCAATTAAAAATAAATGCCCCTCCCCTATGCCTTTCGCAGCCCTCCTTTTTAAGTTGTAAACCTGGCCATGCTACCACGTCACCACCTTCTCCCTTCCATGACATTTCTGAGAAGGCATTAACTGCTGACACTGGCCCAGGCTTCAGTGGAGAAAACACTAAACCTATCAACTGTTATTTCTTGTTGGGACTTGCACTGTTTGTTACGTATGTTCAATTTATAATGGAGTTTGTCAGCTTATTTTGTTTGAACTTGACACAATGGGAAAAGCCCTTACGGGTTAATTATTAATCTTGAAATCTGAAACAGATAATGAACAGGTCTTGAGCAACTGTGAAAGAGACCCAACAGCATTAGTCAAAATAGGGACTGTTCCTAGACGACAGCAGTCTCAAGCCCCAAGGCACGACGTTACCCATTATGTGGTAGGGAGTAAGGGATTCATGCTTGGGGAATGGGCTTCAGAGCCAGACAGAATCGGCGGGGATTTTGCCTCTGCTGCTTGAGGCCCAAATGACAGTGGAAAGTCATTTCACATCACCAAGCCTCGGTTTCCTCACTGGTAAAATGGGAATAATAAGAGTACATGGAACAATCTGTTGGAAATCACAGTCCGCTGCCTGAGCCACAGAAGTGATCAATAAATGGCAGCCTGGAAAAACCAAAGGTCGGATCTTTCCTTACGTCTGCATGTTGATTGGTCATCATAATCTCCAGTCTCCTGAGCTGACAGAGCTTGGATGTTGTCCTTGCCCAAATCTCATATTGAAATGTCATTCCCAGTGTTGGAGGTGGGGCCTGGTGAAGGTGACTGGATCACGGGGGAGGATTTCTCATGAATGGGTTAGTACCAGCCCCCCTTGGTACTGTCTTTGCGACAGTGGGTGAGTTCTCGTGAGATCTATTCATTTAAAAATGTGTAGCACCTCCCCACTCGGTATCTTGCTCCTGCTCCCCTGACTCCACACTCTGGCATGAATGGAAGTTTCCTAAGGTCTCCCCAGAAGCAGATGCCAGCATCATGCTTCCTGTACAGAACGGTGAGCCAATTAAACCTCTTTTCTTTATAAATTACCCAGTCTCAGGTATTTCTTTATAGCAATGCAAGAATGGCATGAGCCATAATAACTGGAATTTTTCAAAAAAAATAAACAAGTATGGGAAATGCTCTCTGAAATTAGTGCCTGAATTCACAGAATCTCATTCCTTATTGATTACAATGAAAATACACAAACTCTTTCATGGCCAGAGGAAGGCACAACATAGAACAGAGATGGGGGCATCCTGAACCCCTCGTCAATGATAAACGTCAAGGATAAGAAGTGTCAATGCAAAGGACCACTGACTTGTAAAGTAATAATACATCAATTCTCTAGCTTCTTCACATCTTTACTACAAGTTTTTGCAAAAGATTATTGTTGCTAAAGATTAAAGTCACAGACAGTTCATCTTCTAAACGTAAGTAACTATTGTTGACTAAAGATGAAAAGAAGCAAAAATGTAAGGATCTTGGAAAGAACATTGCCAATGGCAAACATTATTTATTGCTCCAGAACTTATCAGAAAGGCACAAAGCAAATCAGAGTTACCAAATAGAGATACGGTAAAATGCTAATTCTATAATACTTAGATTTTAAAAGTCACACTTTTGAGGCATAATCAAATTCCAGCTATCTCATGGTAGGAGGTGCCAGTAGTAAAATGTATTTGCTGCTAAGTTGACTCAAGAAAGGCAGCACCAAAAACATGGCTTATAGTAGACAACCCCCAGTTATGTATGAAAGTAACAGTAAGGATGAAACTGCATTGTGAATTTTGGAGCCGAGTGAGATTATAAGATGTGATCACTTTTTGTTAACAACCATACACAACAGCTATTATGAATATTCCCAGTGCTTAGGACAGGGGCGAGAATGGAAGTTGTATCAGCTCGAATGCAGATGTGCTATCCTCACGAGTTCTCCTGGAAGGATCCAGACCACAACAAGGCCAGGAAGCCAGTGGCCTGTTTCTAGAAGGCCTAATTCCTAAGAACTAGATTAATACAGTGGAATTTAAAATTCTACAATAAAAACCCTGGGTTCAATTTCTCATTCTTCTCTAGATTCTCTTAATAACAGCCCGTAACTATGGAACACAGATGAGGGTATTAAAACAAGACACCATTGGGATTCTACAGCACAAAAGACCAGACAGGAATTACATTCTAGGTAAATTAATCAAAACATAGAATAAATAGGTAGTTATCCATCCATGCTATCTAGGTGGGATTTTGGCTTAGAGAATGAAAACATTATTCAACATAGAATGGAAGCCAGGCACAGTGGCTCACGCCTGTAATCCCAACACTTTGGGAGGCAGAAGAGAGTGGATCACCTGAGGTCAGGAGTTCGAGACAAGCCTGGCCAACATGGCGAAACCCCCTCTTTACTAAAAATATAAAAATTAGCTGGGCATGGTGGCACACAACTGTAATCCCAGCTACTCAGGAGGCTAAGGCAGGAGAATTGCTTGAACCCAGGAGGCAGAGGTTGCAGTGAGCTGAGATTGCGTCATTGCACTCCAGTCTGGGCAACAAGAGTGAAACTCCATCTCAAAATAAATAGATAAATAGATAAATAAATAAATAAAATATATATAATATATATAAAATGTGTGTGTATATATACGTGTAATAAATAAAATATATATGTAACATATATAAAATGTGTGTGTATATATGTGTGCGTATATATATATGTGCATATATAAAACATATATAAAATGGAGATGTAAATAGCCTGCAATGCTATCCAGAGTCAATTTTAAGTTACTTTTTGTTTCTCTAAAATTGTATTTTAATTTAAATTACAGGGCCAGCCTGAATTCTGATAAGAAATTCACTTTTCCTCAGGAGAAAGAAAATGTTTTCATGGCATTGTTAAAAAATGTATATATCTCCACTTTTTTAAGGGTTAAAAATCACTTTAAGTAACTGTCTTATATAAAATTAAACCTTTACAACACAAAAAGAAACCACTTCCAGTATATTAGTCTTGGTAATATGAATATATTTAACTATCATAACTTCAAATGCAACATTTCAACCTTGAATGTTTTCACATTGTTTTGTTTAAAAACAAAACCCAAAAAGTCTTAAGGACCTTCAGATTCCAACGCAAGAGCAACACATTAATGCTGTATTAATGAATGCTGTCTTTGACATACCGCAACCCCTCATTCTCTTCCACGTAAAAGGCTCTAGTGCTACAACATAATTGCCAAAGTAGAAGCTGTTGTGTTGTTTAAGTTCTAAGAATGAGCTGGGCAAGAAGACATTTCTTCCACTTAATGTAATCCATGTTTTCACACTAACTCCAAACGCACAACACTACACCACAAAAGCCAGGATGCTGCATAACGGCCAAGTCTGCCTTCCTAAACATCTAAGAGATTTTCTTTTCAAGGAGACTACACTGCTTGCACTGCTTTCTGTAGAAAAAGATGAATTATTTCACACAGATTCTGGTAAAGACAGTCTCAGGAAAAGATCATTATGATGTAGACTGCCATTTTAATAAAATTAAAATCTATCTATATTTTCTGGAGCTATTTTCCTAATTGATGTTGCTTGAAGATTTTAAAATCTCCTGAAACAGCAATTGGGAGGCCCATTTTACTGGCCAATATATAATTCCATTAGTAAGGCAGACTAGCAAAGAATAATCATATCAATTTCCTAATCAGCTGCAACCATGCTGAATTTGAACTGGCAAACTCTGATGTGTAAGTTGCTAGCTGTGATCTTCATATCACTAAAACGAACAAGATACCATTCTAACAACTTTACACAGACATAGTCTAGGAGACATTGTTCTGCCATGGTCACAGTAACAAAAAAGTGGTATAAAATCAGTTACTTTATAAATACTGATAATTTGCAGCAATAAGGAACAGGACATTAAAAAAAGTAAATTTTCCCATAGGACACCTATGACTAGGAACTCTTCCTAAGAGAAGCCAAAGTTTTAATTATTCAGTTTCACAACTACTGTACTGGGTTACCTACTCTAAGAAAGAAAAGGTGCTCTACAGAGGTTTCCCCCACACACAAAGAATCAGCATTAATTGAGCATGATCTCTGTCATTCACAGATCTGGCAGATTCATTAACTCATTTTAAATGAATAAGGCCAACAGGATGCGGGAAGGTGTGGCTGATTGAGTTCCAGGGCTGTATCTCAGCTTATTGATGGCACCCCATTAGGAAATTGAATACAAAGAATTGGTTTTTTTTTCTTGTAATGTTGTCATATTTAAATAACTTTTGAACTTAAACCTTCTGGCTTACAGGGCAGCATTGTCTTCATTTAATTAGCATCAAAATGATTTATAATTTTCAAAACAAAAAAGAACTAGACCTTTAAAAAAACACCCTCAGGGAAAAAAATCACCAAAAGAAAACAAAAAGTGGTCGGGCATGGTGGCTTACCCTTGTAATCCCAGCACTTTGGGAGGCTGAGGCGGGTGGATCACCTGAGGTCAGGAGTTCGAGACCAGCCTAGCCAACATAGTGAAACCTTGTCTCTACTAAAAATACAAAAATTAGCCAGGCGTAGCGGCATGCACCTGTAATCCCAGCTACTCAGGAGGCTGAGGCAGGAGAATTGCTTGAACCCTGGAGGCGGAGGTTGCAGTGAGCCGAGATCGCACTACTGCACTCCAGCCTGGGCAACAGAGTGAGACGCCATCTCAAAAAAAAGAAAAGAAAAGAGAAAGAAAAAGCAAATGAGATAGTGAATATGACATAGCTCTGTCCCAGGGTTCTACTTTCAAAAGCAACGAAATAGAAGATGCTGGCTTGGTGGGGCTTCTGAGGGCTCTGGCCTTCATTTGGCTGTGAGAGCTACACACATGTTCATATACTTCACTTACTCCTCTAGCAAAGAAAAAGTTCTTTTTCCAATTTCCTCAGAAACTCCAGGCCAACGTAAAGGTTTCCTATCTAAGTTAGTATCAGAGGCATAAGAAATGGTAAATATAGCAACCATGCAAATAATGTGTAGCTAGAGGGAAGGAAAACGAAGAGAAGGAAGAAAATAAAATTAAAAAGTAAACGACAAAATAATCTTGGAAGCTTTTGTGAAAAGGGAATCAGGATACACAGATTAAATCCCAGTCTGAAGTTTTGAAATGCTCTTTATTCATTGGAAGCTATCAGGAAAAGCTGCTTTTAAGAAATCCATCTTACAGCCTCAAAATTAGGGGCCCAGTTCAATTCCACTCAGCCAAACAAGTACCGTATGCCACAGGTAAGAGCACCGTGCTAAAATATCAACGTGGTTAAGATTCTTTTTAAAATGTGGTTGTGGTTGCTGAAAATTCAATAAGACAAAAAGAATTTTTCAGTCTTAGTAAATCCTGACAACAGATTAGAATATTGTATCATTGGTATGTCTTGAATTTTTTATTTTTGAGACCGAGTCTCACTCTATCGCCCAGGCTGGAGTGCAGTGACACACCCAGTGGCATGATCTCAGCTCACTGCAACCTCCGCCTCCTGGGTTTAAGCGATTCTCGTGCCGCAGCCTCCCAAGTAGCTGGGAGTACAGGTGCCCACCACCATGCCCGGCTAGTTTTTGTATTTTTAGTAGAGATGGGTTTTCACCATGTTGGCCAAGCTGGTCTCAAACTCCTGACCTCAAAAGATCCACCCGCCTCGGCCTCCCAAAGTGCTGGGATTATAGGCGTGAGCCCACCACACCCAGCCCATTGAATTTCTAAATTCACGGAACTCCTGTCTCCAATAAATATCTTTCATCACACTGCTCTGTAGTAACTTTATATGTGTACAAGAGACAGACAGACAACATTTATAAAATAAATGGTAAAAATTTAAAATATTTTGCTCAACAAAGATGTGCAACTAGAAGTGTTCATTAGGCCCTCACTCCACTAAAATGCTGACTTTTAAAAAATCTACCTATAAACAATGTTTTAAATTAAATTTGGAGCCAACAGTTTTCACTGATTACTTTCAATGTGGTAAATGAGAATAAACCATATAGAAAATTAGATGATACCGAATAAGCGATTGGTTCTACAACTGGCCAAAAAGGCTGGATCTCAGGACTCAGCAGCAAGGGGGTAGCAAATAGATTAGGGAAGGAGCGATGGGCATTAACTCTGAAATAAAAATAAAAAAAAAAAAAAAACAGTTCTTAGCCTTTTTCCTTCTTTACAGGACCTTGGATGAGAATTTTAAAACAATCTCCAAAGGTTCCACTGATAGCTGCCCCTCACGGGGGCTCACCTCCTTCTCTCTCACCCACACCTCTCTTTAAAAAGCTGCCCTCCTAGCTCCCTGGAAATTTTATCAACGGCCAGTTGCTGAGAGAAAAGTGATTACGACATTTTCAAACTGGGGTTTTAACATGACTGAACCCCTCCTGAGTCTTTTAATAATTTGTATGAGAATTTGCCTGGAGGCGCAGAGCTACCCTTCTGTGCCAGTTTATGAATTCTAAACAGGCCTCATTTTTTCAATTTAGGCACAAAAACAATTCTCCCTAAAACCTCCAGGAAAAAAAAATGTCTATGGCTTATTTAACCCAATCTAACTACAAGATATACTTTTTTTAAAAACGTGGTGACTGGAGCCAGAAGGTGTCTGCTCACGGGGGTGACTGCCATGGTGGTGTCAGAAGCCCCAAAGGGCAAGTCCCCCAGGGGAGGAACCGCCAGTGTCCTCACAATCCAGGCAGAGCACAGGATGGTGGCACACAACGAGACAGAGGAGCACACTTGAAGGGGTGCCTGCAGGCCAAATCAGGGACAATTTGAGTACCAAAATAAATAACAGAATGGCCTGGCAACCCACCAAGACCTCATCTCTACAAAAAATTTAAAAATAAGCCAGGCATGGTGACATGCACCTGTAGTCCCAGCTATTTAAGAGGCTGAAGGAGGAGGATTGCTCGAGCCCAGGAGTTTGAGGCTGTGGTGAGTTCTGATTGCACCACTGCACTCTGGCTTGGATGAAAGAGCAAGACCCTGTCTCTAAAAAAAAAAATCAATAAATAATACTACTAGCAGATTATAACCCACTGAATAAAATAGGAAACTACAAGTCCATATAGAGAGAAATAAAATTGGAAATCTGATGAGAAAGAAGAGACTTATATAATTTCAAAGTATCCCCCCACAAAACATTTACTAACATTTCTTTCCTTCACAAAGAGGAAAATAATAACTTCACAACTGGGAAGGCTGGCAATGCTGTCTTAACCAAGTGGCCAAGGTGAGTAGACAGCATCAGAAGTAGGACAGGCCAACTTCGGGAGCACTCAGAGAACACACAGGAGGAGGACACCCTACATCGTGGCCTGTGATGTGTCTGCCAGTGATGCAACGATCCAATGTGGAGTGAATCGTGAGAAAACATCTGGGCAAACCAAACTGAGGGGCATTCTACACAACAACTTGCCTGGACTCTTCCAAAGTATCAACGTTGTAAGTCCAGGAAAGACTGTGCAACTGTTCCTGACTGAAGGAGTCTAAAGACACGAGACAATCACGGGCAAGGCATGATCCTCCACTGGAAACCTTCGCCGTTTTCCAGCGCCCCGATTGACTGGCAGGAATGGGTCAGCTCATGCTGTGACTCTGACCCCTGTATGGTGGCTGTATAGAACAGTTGCCTTGAAAAACACTAATGTCTTTGGTAAGAGCCAAAGACATTTGGTACTCTCGAATGATTTAGAGAAAATAAAATTCTTCATACTGCATTGCATCGCCAACTTTTCTAGAAGTTTGTGTCAATTTCAAAACAAAAACAAAATCTCAAACCCGACGGCTGATTTATTCTTAGTTATGTATACAGGTGAAAACAGATATGGATAACTGATATAATGGAATGAGGCACAAATTACCACATCACTTATTCTACTAATGTGAGAATTAATGACAATGTATAAAATTTGCTAATTTTGTATTAGAAAAAACAAAAGGCCCTTTAGCCACATGGGTTAATGTGCTCTTCTTGTCCTCACCAGAGTATCCACACCCTCAGCCAGCAGGTTGTGCAAATTCAGGGCTTTGCTCTGTCTTTTCATGCCAAGCCACTCTTATGACCATTACCAACCCTCTGAGTACACGGAGGGCTAAGAAACACCTCCTGCATCCAAGAGTCCCAGGACACCATCCAGAACACGGCCAGAACTAAGGAACCAAATAGGAATCCTTGTCAGGTCTTCTGCTTTCAAAGGCCATGCTGTCACAGACTGAACAAACACATGGGTTCTAGTCCCGGATCTACCCCGGAGAACTCTGTGGCAGTATCACACTGGGCCTTGGTTTTGCTATCTGGAAATTGGGGAGGTGGGTGCGATCATCTAATTCTGATCAACCCCACCAGCATTTAATAAAGGTCTCCCCTTTTGCCAGGTCCTGGTTCTGTCTTCAAGGAGCTCAAGTCTAGCAAGGAGGGGCTTGCAAACAGATGCCTCTGGACAAGTGAGGGGTAAGGGGAGAGGGGCCATTATCTCATTAGACGGTACAGGCTCCATCCTGTTCAGGAAGAAGACACTGGAGAGGAGGGAAGGTTACAGGAAGATGGAGAATCTCAGTTGAATTTACAAGATAAAAAATAGAGGTTTCCCTAAGTGAAATAAAAGGATGGGGAGAAGAGAGCCAAGTTAATTCAATCAGAGTCAATACTATACAATGGGCTGGGTGCGGCAGCTCACACCTGTAATCCTAGCATTTTGGGAGGCCAAGGCAGGCAGATCACTTGAGAAACGAAATCGGAATCCCTGTCAGGGTTCAAGACCAGCCTGGGTAACATGGCAAAACCTCATCTCTACAAAAACTACAAAAATTAGTTGGGCGTGGTGGTGTGCACCTGTAGACCCAGCTATTCGGGAGGCTAAAGTAGGAGGACTGATTGAGCCTAGGAGGTGGAAGTTGCAGTGAGCTAAGATCGCGCCACTGCACTCCAGCCTGGGAGATGGAGTGAAATGTCATCTCAAAACAAAAAACTAAAAGCTGCACAATGGTTCGTCTGCATGACCTTAGGCAAGGTAGGTAACCTCCGTCTCATTTCCTCGTTTGTATAAGGAAGATAATGGCATTATCTAACTCATCCTTGGGAGGAGGGTTAAATGTTTTCATATATTCTATATGCCTATATATTTTATATATTTAATATTTAACCTGTAATTATTAAATCACTAATATATGGTTTATATTATATATTAATTACATATAATTATTTTAAACATTTCATAATTTAATCTACATTTACTATATTCTAAATGCTTCAGTCGCCAGGAATGTTTACTATAGTATACTCTATAAAAGGACCTGGCACATTGTATGCACGCAATAAACGCGTGTTGTAATTTGTTATGATGATATTGATAATATCCATTATAATTTGGTGTGATTCGGGAAGGGGATGCAATGTGTGTGTGATGGAGGTGGGAGGGTTGCAGCAACTCGTGCAACCAGCTAATGCCAGATGAGCCAGCTGCCAGAGGCCAACAGACGCCAGGACAAGGAGTTTGAACTTGATTCTGTCAATAATGAGCGTCATTCTGTTGTAGTCCCTATGTACAGCCTATTGATTCTCAATTTAACAAGTTTGGTTATCTGGTTTGACAGCCTACAGCAAACTAAAGGCTGGGAGTTGGGGGGGTTAGTGCTGATGCAGAGGAGGAAACAGGGATGAAAAATGAAGCAACTATAGGAAGCAAATGCAATTAGCTTGAAAACTTCACCATTCTGGGCCTTACAAGCTCAATGACCTCCACCTCACCAAATCTCTGCACGATATACCGATCAATTCTGTGGGAGGGGGAAAAAACTGACTAAAGATCAATTTAGAGTAATTTAACATATTCTGTCAAAGACGACTAGTAACAGATGAAAGGTTTAAAGGTCTTCCAAAATTAAGCTGGGTGCGGTGGCACAACCTGTAATCCCAGCACTTTGGGAGGCTGAGGTGGACAAATCACCTGTGGTCAAGAGTCCAAGACCAGCGTGGCCAACATGGTAAAACCCTGTCTCTACTAAAAATACAAAAATTAGCCGGGCACGGTGGCATGCACCTGTAATCTCAGCCACTCAGGAGGCTGAGGCAGGAGAATCACTTGAACCTCCAAGGCTGAGGTTGCAGGGAGCCAAGATTGCACCACTGCATTCCATCCTGGGCGACAGAGTGAGACTCCGTCTCAAAACTAAATAAATAAATGAATAAAAAAATAAAACGAAACTCTTGCAAAATTATTTGAAAGGTGAAAAGCTTTTAAACTTATTGGGAAAAAAATCTTTCAGCAGGAAGAGTCATGTGCCTAGAATTCTAGAGTCCTAGACCGGAGAGTCTGGCTGGCGTCCTTCTGAAAAGTCATGAGAATGCTTCACAAATGAAAAAAATGAAGATGTGGCCTACAAGCCCTGGAGAGCTAGGATCAGTGAGAAACTCAGGACAAACTTAAGGGCATCTCTGAAGTCAGCATAGATCCCTATAAGAAACTATATGAAAAACCCAAATCTGATTTCAACTAAAATCCATCATGCGTGACCAGACATTCATTCTGGCTCTCTGAGCTGGATATAAAGACATCATCAGGCAAAGAAGAAAAGTCTCCAGCATTTTAAAAAGTAAAAAACCCAAATCCCCTTCTTTCCCATCTGTGAGAAGCTCATAACCACCTAACGCAAAAATAAGTCCAGAAATGCAAATCAAATACCCAGCTACCAAGTGAAGTAAATTGCACAGCTAATGTCTTCCTAATAGATACACTTCACCTTAAGATTAAGTTTAAATACCCAACAGTGGCAGAGATGCTAAATCAATTCCTTTTTCACCTGGGAAGTAAGGAAATGTACATTTCCAGGCCCATCACAGCTATGTGGGGGCCACACGCCTGAGTTCAGGCCAGTGAAATGTGGGTGCAAGGAATGATGGCCACTTCCAGACCCTGCCCCAGTCACGTCCCTGGAAGGCCTCCAAGCTCTATCTCTAGTATTCCCTGCACACCAAATGCAGAGAAGCCAGGTGAGGATTCTGAGAGCTTAGAACCAACTAGATAGAGGAAGCTTGGGTCCTTGTATGACCACATGGCGAGAGAGAAAGCAGTCCCCTCCCACAGCCAGCCAGCTTTGGCCTGTGACATAGGCAGTAAGTAAACCTATAAATCCATGAAGCCACTGAAATTCCGGGTTGTGCGTTACAAGAGTCAGCCACCCTGGGTGAAAAATGGCCTTGGGTTAACGAACTTCTGTGAGAATCTTCTAGGTAGTCACAAAGCTACCAAAACCACTCCAATAAAGTCTGGGAAATTTACCCCCATGGAGGTTAAACTAATTTCACAGACTTACAACCGGGACACACCTGATTCCTAAAAATCCAGGTCACTCGCTGCCTTTCAGACGCAGAAGGTAACCACTCCCTGATGGAAAACGCTACCTACTGCATTTCCTTCTACTACCAATTTGGTGACCCCAAAATGACAAAGCAGACAAGTTAGAAAAGTGCTCTTGTTAGCGTAGCCAAAAACCCTAAAGGAAAGGTTACACAATGCAGGATGAGAGAAGAAGGATGGCACTAACAACCGTCATTGAGGAAAATCATGTAAGGCAGGATGTCAAAATGTTTATTTCTACAGCAAAGCATACTTTGCATTTTCGGATATTTACATTTAGCTCAGTGACTCGTGCAATGCAATCCTCTGACAAAGGGCCGCATTCCAATTTTTCTTAAGAGAAAATAGAGTGCAAACTTGTCTTAGCAAGTCAGCAACACCTGCATTGGCTTGGCAGGACTCTCTCACGATATGTAAATAATGAACTGCCAATAAGCTCGTTCCAGAACAAAGGAGAAGAAATTTGATTCCTCTCCCTGATGTCTCTGCCATCAGGAAATGGTTTTTTTGTTTGTTTGTTTTGTTTTTTTTTTTGTCAAATTTGGAGGAATATTGTCAAAATTGCTAACTCAAGGAGGAACAAAGACCCTCCAAAGGGGAGCAGGAGGGCCTGGATTGGGCTGCCAGTTTCCTAAAAAGGGGATGGACTTCAGTTTGGGAACAATTCATATTACTAAGAAATTGTCTTCTCTAAGACATTACCCAATGAAAGACTAAAGCTTTAAACATTTAAGTCAAATCATTTCAAATATGCCCACCATGGGTTCCAGGGATTATGGCCCAAACAGAATGGAAGGTGATTTATCATCACCCTTGTCCAAATAATTTCCTGAAGACCATCTGACACCTGGGTCTAAGCAAAAATGCCAAAACAGCTCCATTTCTGCCACATTGGAATGTATCAAGTGTGTGATGAGCAGTCCATGAATTGAGGGGGAGAAGAGGATTCTCTACATCTCCTCACTAGCCTATTTATGCCTGGTACTTACTTCTACAAAAGTCTCTAGTACCCACTTCTTCACATGGACTGAGCAGTGATTGAGAATTTAACCTCTGCGGCCAGAAAGACAATGAGAGGTGTGATAGTTAATACTGAGTGTCAACTTGATTGGATTGAGGGATGCAAAATATTGTTCTGGGTGCGTCTGTGAGGGTGTTGCCAAAGGAGATTAACATTTGAGTCAGTGGACTGGGAGAGGCAGACCCACCCTCAATCTGGGTGGGCATCATCTAATCAGCTGCCAGCACGGCCAGAATAAAAGCAGGCAGAAGAACATGGAGGGGACTAGACTGGCTAAGTCTTCTGGCCTCCATCTTTCTCCCATGCTGGATGCTTCCTGCCCTTGAACATCAGACTCCAAGTTCCTCAGCTTTTGGACTCTTGGACTTACACCAGTGATTTGCCAGGGGCTCTTGGGCCTTCGGCCACAGACTGAAGGATGCACTGTTGGCTTCCCTGCTTTTGAGGCTTGGGGACTCGAACTGGCTTCCTGGCTCCTCAGCTTGCAGAAAGCCTGTTGAGGGACTTCACCTTGTGACAGTGTGAGTCAATTCTCCCAATAAACTCCCCTTCATATATACATCTATTCTATTATTTCTGTCCCTCTAGAGAACCCTAATATAAGGGAGTTAACCACATTAAACATCAGTTTTTCATCCATATATGAGGTTCCTAATAATGACCCCCTCCCAGGTGAGCCATGAGAGTTAAGCACATAATACTGGTCTTGGAAGGGAAACAATATAACAGGTGAGTTAGCGTCATTAGTATACGCAGCATGTAGTGGCAGATCCCTTACAGATCATGGGAACATGAGGAATAATGAGATTTCAGGAGTTCTAAAAAAGACCCTCCTTGTTCACAAAACACTTTCCCTAACCAAAAATTTCACTGTTTGATTTTTAAATTATTTCTCTTCTTAAGAAACATACATACACCCAAAAGGAAAAAAATCTGAGCCTTATCCGTATGAAGGTGTTTTCACTGAATCCATCCATAATAATAGGGTCACTTTACAATGAGCAAACTGAGGCTTGGAGAGGTCAACTATATGGCCCAAGTTCTCGAAAGTAGCTGAGTAGAAATTCCAACGCAGGTCCACTTGCTCTTAAGTTCATGCTCCTTTCCCGGAGGATTCTGCTAGATACAGTAACTGCATTCTCCCTAAGGGAAGGTTTTTATAGCCAGACAGAATGACGGGAAGAAAAGAAAAAAGAATATGAAAATAGGAAAAAAGGCGAATGAAAGAGGTTAGGTTATGATACAGAAATGTGTGCCAGGGGGCATCCTTTTAACAAAGGTCAAGCCCTCTGAGACATAGCTCAGCAATCTTCTCCAGCCCACATCACACACAACCCTTAAATTACGGCAGCTACTCACCTGCCTGGTGCAAAAAGAATGTTTCTGTGCATAGTGTGTCCAATATATTATTTAATAAGATACGACAAGCCCAAACATTCTTCTTGCAAATTGTTCAGAGTGGTGCAGAAGCCAAGTTTTCATGCGTAATTTTCTTTTCTAAGAATGTGAATACATTTATTTGCAGCAGACATTTGCTTTTAGTATACTTAATAATCCTGGAAATTCAGTATGTTTCTTTCCTTAAAAATCAACATGATACCTACAAAAAGTACTTCCGGAGGGGGATGGGGGTGAGGAGGAGTACACCAGGAAAATTGTTTAGCTCTTTGTGTGTTTTTTTTCCACTACATTTACTTTAATAACAAATCCTTGCAGTTGAGTTTCAATGTTATTCTGAGTCTTCTGGGAGGCTCCCATCTGGGTTCCAAATAATCACCATTTGCAACATTTGTAGGTGAACAGACTGTTGGTTCACAATATAGAGAAAAGAAAGATTGTTCTTTTAATGTCATTCATGATATGTGGGGGCAAAATAATTTATTAAAAAATTCAGGAGTTCAATAGAGCACACTTTATTTTTTTTGAGACAGTCTTGCTCTGTTGCTCAGGCTGCCATCCAGTGGCGCAATCTTGGCTCACCGCAACCTCCACCTCCCAGGTTCAACCGATTCTCCTGCCTCAGCCTCCCAAGTAACTGGGATTTGCAAGCATGCACCTCCACACCCAGCTAATTTTTTGTACTTTCAGTAGAGACGCGGTTTCACCATGTTGGCCAGGCTGATCTCAAACTCCTGACCTCAAGTAATCTGTCCGCCTCGGCCTCCCAAAGTGCTGGGATTACAGGCATGAGCCACTGTGCTCAGCACACTTTTTTAAAAAAGATTAAACAGATGCTTTTGAAACAAGGCCAGAGTGCCCATTCACTTAGTTAATGCAGTCAGAATGGACAACTTAACAGATTCTCAGAAATCCTAATGGGAGTGTAAGATGTGATTCCTGCATGGTAGACAAACAGTACAACTGCTACTAAGAAGAACAATGTTTATGGAAGAATTACGCTATGAATTTTACATATAAAAGCTCATTCAGTCTTCCCAACAATCCAGAGAGAAAAATATCATTATTATCAGGACCATTTCTCACTTACAAATGAGAAAAGTGAGGCCAAGGAGGAGAAGTCTCCCACATGAAATGGTTAACTAGTGGCCAATCACACTGACCCTTGGCAAGGATATATTTTTTTTAAGTTTTACTATCACAGAAAATCAGAACATTCAGCAGATTTAAGCTCACTGATATTAGAGGTATCCTGAGAATAACTGTGGATAAATGATGATTGGCAGTAGGATATATTATATAAAATGTTAGTAAGCCCACTAAACTCTTTGACCCTACCTATGAAGAAGAAAAAGGGCCAACATAGTCAAAGCATTTAATGAAAAGAAAGCAAATATTTCTTTAAATTGCTCCCACTGCCCTAAATATATAGTAAAACAAGCTGCACATACATCAGTTTTTCTTAAACAGGGACCCATATTTTTATTTCTCAACCCCAGTACACACACATAATAGCTTGGTTTACTTTTTATCCTATTCCAATATATTTTTTTAGAAATATTGGCTGCAAACCACTAAAATTATTTTATAAACTCCCAAAAGGTTTCAACCCTCAGTTGAAAAGCGCTACCCAGACGGAAATTACAATTTTGCACACGGAGCTATTTGTATTTTTAAAACGTGCATGCTTGTAAAGGGTAGGGGTCACACAGACTTGCTAATTTCAGCGCTTCTGCATAGGCCCTGGGAATGGACCCAGGACAAGGATGCTTAGCACACGATCCCTGGAGGACTTTCAAAGGTATCTGAACCTTCTGGAATTGAGTGTAAAAATTATGTGCAGGGACGTACCTGCATTTGTATAAAGAGCAGTTCCATGGCTTCTACCAGCTTTATAAAGGTGGGGTCCATCCAAGTTTCACGTATTTATTTATTTAACTACTTTAATTTTTTGGTGAGAGTCGCCAAACCTCGCACCAAAACCACATTTTGGTTAAATATAAATAAAATCAACATGCAATGAGGCTGGGCGTGGTGGCTCACTGTAATCCCAGCACTTTGGAAGGCCATGGCGGATGGATCACCTGAAGTCAAGAGTTGGAGACCAGACTGACCAACATGGTGAAACTCCATCTCTACTAAATACAAAAAAGTAGCTGCGCATGGCCGGGCGCAGTGGCTCACGCCTGTAATCCCAGCACTTTGGGAGGCCGAAGCGGGCAGATCACGAGGTCAGGAGATCGAGACCATCCTGGCTAACACGGTGAAACCCCTTCTCTACTAAAAATACAAAAAAATTATCCAGGCATGGTGGCGGGCGCCTGTAGTCCCAGCTACTCGGGAGGCTGAGGCAGGAGAATGGCGTGAACCCGGGAGGCGGAGCTTGCAGTGAGCCAAGATCACGCCACCGCACTCTAGCCTGGGCAACAGAGCAAGACTCCCTCTCAAAAAAAAAAAGTAGCCGGGTGTGGTGGCGCATACCTGTAATCCCAACTACTTGGGAGACTGAGGCAGGAGAATCACTTGAACCAGGGAGGCGGAGGTTGTAAGTGAGCCAACATAGCGCCCCTGCACTCCTCCAGCCTGGGCAACAAGAGCAAAACTCCATCTCAAAAAAAAAAAAAAAAAAAAGGACAGGCGCAGTGGCTCACTACTGTAATCCCAGCACTTTGGGAGGCCGAGGCAGGCGGATCATGAGGTCAGGAGATTGAGGCCATCCTGGCCAACAGGGTGAAACCCCGTCTCTACTAAAAATACAAAAAGGCGGGTGTGGTGGTGCACGCCTGTAATCCCAGCTATTCAGGAGGCTGAGGCAGGAGAATCACTTGAACCTGGGAGGCGGACGTTGCAGTGAGCCGAGATCGCGCCACTGCACTCCAGTCTGGGAGACAGAGCGAGACTCGGTCTCAAAAAATAAACCTGCGATGAAAGGAGATCATCAACCATGATGACCCTGAAATTGTGTCACAAAAATACGGCCGACTGTCAATAACCTTCACTCATTTCTTCTACATATTGAGTGCCTACCAAGGGTGATCCACTGTATTAAGATTCTGGGTTAAACTGGAAAAGGAGGAAGTTAAATGAGAGGTACCCTGATGTCCTCTGCAGTGTTCTAGTATAATTACACTACAATTCTGAAATCCACAAAATTGAAGATTGTCACCTAGCTGTTTCCTGCCTCCCACAGAGAAGCTGCCAGAATGCTCTGAAAGAGGATGAGTTTAAACCAAAAATCGTATCGTTTTATCACTGCTTGTTCCCAATTAACAGCCAAAATATTTCAAGGAAAGGTTTATACCGATTGAGACAATGGTGACATGTAGCCACCCTCAGATGAAAAGGCATGAGCATTTTTCATAAAGGAGAGTATTTTGTGAGGGCTAAATCAAAAACTGCATTCCCACTTGAAAGACCATTAAAACACTAACAGTGCATTCTTCTCCTCACCCTATGGCTGGGAAACAATAAGCTCTGTCGCTAAGAAGTAATCAGGACTGTGTGGTTTGACCCTTATCGGATCTAAGGTGTTCTGAGCCAAGATAGGATTGTGTGATGGGCATGCCTATGCCTCTTGTTTCCTTCCACATCAAGGATTCGCAACTACAGCAAACTTCCTGGCCTCTCTGAGCCCTCAGGATGGCTCTGGGAAGGTGAGTCATTGATGTCAACAGAGGAGAGAGTTTGGGAGAATGACCCACACATGCCTAGATAAAACCCTTCTATTTCACTTGCTTAGGAATCCAGGCCTCTGGGGAAGTCAAGGTTGGACCACCGTGGATCGTGAGGTAACTGGAAAGATCCTGCCCCCCAGGGAGGGAGGCCTGTTATCCAGTGCCAGGTCTGCCTAGGTGGGTAAGTCTACCTAACTCAAATGGCCAGGGATGTCCAGGAAACCTACGTTGCTGTACCTCTGAGTCACAACCTCAAATCCTATATTTACCGATAATAAAGCTGAGCTTTTGGTCTCCACTTGCTGAACCCTTTGTTTGTCTCAGTTGGTCCAGAAATTAAGCAGGAAAAAGAGCTTCTCAAATCCCCGTAAGCTCTGTCCTCTCCATCTTCTCAATTTCAAGTGGATTGACGACACTTAAAACACTGCTTGGCCGGGCATGGTGGCTCAAGCCTGTACTCCCAGCACTTTGGGAGGCCGAAGAGGGTGGATCACCTGAGGTCAGGAGTTTGAGACCAGCCTGACCAACATGGAAAAACACCGTCTCTACTAAAAATACAAAATTAGCCGGGCGTGGTGGCACATGCTTGTCATCCCAGCTACGCGGGAGGCTGAGGAGGAGAATTGCTTGAACTCGGGAGGCGGAGGTTGTGGTGAGCCAAGATCGCGCCATTGTACTCCAGCCTGGGTAACAAGAGTGAAACTCCATCTCAAAAAAACAAAAAACAAAAACCAAACAAACATAAAACACTGCTTGGTCGGGCACGGCGGCTCACGCCTGTAATCCCAGCACTTTGGGAGGCCGAAGTGGGTGGATGACCTGAGGTCAAGAGTTTGAGACTACCCTGGCCAACACAGTGAAACCCAGTCTCTACTATAAACACGAAAATCAGCCAGGCATGGCAGCACGCACTTATAGTCCCAGCTACTTGGGAAGCTGAGGCAGAAGAATCCCTAGAACCCAGGAGGCAGAGGGTGTAGTGAGCCGACATCACACCACTACATTCCAACCTGGGCAACAGAGTGAGACTCTGCCTCAAAAAAAACCCCAAAAAACAAACAAACAAGAAAAACCCCACCACTGCTTAACTCATCTGTGACTTTCCAATTTTAGGACAAAAGTACATGTGCCTACTTGATGAGACAACTATAGGTCTTATTCATATTCTCAGGCAGCCCCAACACAGCAGAGAAGTTCCTAGAAATCAAAACATAACTAATGACCCAGCTCAACAGGATTTCAAAATGAAGATATTTTTCTTTAGGTTACTGCACAATCACAGAGTAACAGCAGCTTTGCAGAGTGAGTTAAACAGTAATTTGGGTACAGCTCCCAGGTCTTTGCAGAAAGAGGATCAAATTCTTTTTTATTTTTTGAGACGGTCTCAGTCTGTCACCCAGGTGGGAATGCAGTGGCACCATCTCAGCTCACTGCAACTTCTGCCTCCCAGGCTCAAGTGATTCTCCCACCCAAGGTTCCTGAGTAGCTGGGACCACAGGCACATGCCACCACACCCGGCTATGTTTTGTATTTTTCATAGAGACAGGAGAAAGGGTTTCACCATGTTGGCCACGCTGGTTTCGAACTCCTGAGCTCAAGTGATCTGCCTGCCTCAGCCTCCCAAAGTGCTGGGATTACAGGCGTGAGCCACCGTGCCCAGCCACAGGATAAAATTCTGTCATTCAAAGTGAATTTCCAAAATAACAAATATCAAGGGTGAGTGTCCCAAGACATTCCCACAGCCTAATAAAATCCAGGATGAATTATCAACAATTTGGTAGTTAGTCAAGAGACTCTACTCTGTATATAGAGCATCCAAGAACCCAAAACCTACTGGTTCCTACTTAGATTTTCTATTTATGCATCTGATTAGCAAAATCTGTCAATTTTATCATGGTAAAGCCAACAAAATTTACTACTTTGGAAATAGTTCTTTTTGGCTTTGAGTCTGGGAGGGGAAAAAATGGAAAGAGTTCTGCATATAAATCTTCCTGATGTTATTTTGTCTTTATCTTGATAATGTTACTAGAAAGATAAAATCTGATTCAGCCTGGTTTCTCATTCAGGATGCTTCCTCCATAACACAACATTACAAGATGCCCTTCGAGTTGGTGGTTTTTGTTTTTGTTGTTTTATACAAAGACAGGGTCTCGCTCTGTCCCTCAGGCTGGAGTGCAGTAGCGCAATCACAGCTCACTGCAACCTCGAACTCCTACACTCCTGAGACCCTCCTGCTCCAGCCTCCCAGCTGGCTACAATTACAGGCCTATACCACCATGCCCAGCTAAACCTCTGAGTTTTGAATCAAATTTTTTTGTGTCTCCAGCACATCACAATTGGGCCTCAGTTTCTACTCATTTGGCTTCCCATCATGAAGTACAGCATAAAGGTTGCCAGGCCTTTTGTTTCTGGAGCTTTACTTTCTGCTGTGCAACAAGCTAAACACCCAGACAGTGACTAACCAGCCTTGAGAAGGGTGAACTGATAAAAAAAAAAATACATGTTCCAAAGCTGCTCAACTGGTGTACAAGTGCATAGTTGAGTCCCCGTTTTCAATTCTTTTGGGCATATACGTGGAAGTGGAATTGTGGGGTCACATAGTAATTCTATGTTTAACATTTGGAGGAAGCAGTAAATTCTTTTTCACAGTAGCTGTGCTATTTTATGTTCCCACCAACAATGCACAAGGGTTCGAATTTCTCCACATTCCTTCCAATACTTTATTATTTTCCATTAAAAAAATTACTATAACCTGGCCGGGCACGGTGGCTCATACCTGTAATCCCAGCACTTTGGGAGGCCAAGACGGGTGGATCATGAGGTCAGGAGATCGAGACCATTCTGGCTAACACAGTGAAACCCCGTCTGTACTAAAAATACAAAAAAAAGTAGTCGGGCATGGTGGCGGGCACCTGTGGTCCCAGCTACTCGGGAGGCTGAGGCAGGAGAATGGCATGAACCCGGGAGGCGGAGCTTGCAGTGAGCCGAGATCGCACCACCACACTCCAGCCTGGGTGACAGAGTGAGACTCTATCTCAAAAAAAAAAAAAAAAAAAAAAATTACTATAACCTTTCTAGTGAGCATAAGGTGGTACCTCACCATGGTTTTGATTTGCAATCCCCTACAGATATTGAGCATCTTTTCATGTGCTAATTTGGCTATGTGTATATTTTCTTTGGAGAAGTGTCTATCCAAGTCCTATGCTTATTTTTTAAATTACATGTTTTGTTGTTGTTGCTGAGTTGTTTCATCACTGTTTATAGCAGCATTATTCACAATAGCCAAAAAACTGAAACAACCCAAATGCTCATTTACAGAGGAATAAACAAAACATATGTATATATACACCTATGCTTACATGTATATAAACATATATATAAAAGATACATATATATATCATCAACCCAAAACAGGAATGAAATTCTGACACATACTACAACATGAATGAACCTTAAAAACACGATGCTAAGTATGATGTATGATTCCACTTAGACGAGGTACCTGGAATAGGCAAATTCATAAACAGAAAGTAGAATGGAGGTTACCGGGGCAGGGAGGTGGAGGATGAGAAATGGGAGCTATTGCTTGCTGGGTACATATTCTGTTTGGGATGATGAAAAAGTTCTAGAATTAGATCATGGTAATGGTTGTGCAATTGTTCACTTAAAAATGGCTACAGTGGTAAATTTTATTATAGATATTTTATCAAATGCAAAAAATTCACTTTACACTTCTGAATATCATTAGTCAAAAAAAATCCACAACATTACAAAAAATAATGGCTTTGGTCAATGATGGTTGAGTCTGAGGTCTCCAAGGCAGGAATGAGCCAGAAAATGGCATTCAGGGTATGTGGTATCAGAAGCTTAGGTCAACCCCAGCTGCACACTGACCAGTGAGCAATGGTAGGTGACTCCCTCTACCTCTCAGAGCCTCGCTAAATGTGGAATTGAAAAAAAGGAGAGTTGGGCTGGGCGCGGCGGCTCACGCCTGTAATCCCAGCACTTTGGGAGGCCGAAGCAGGCGGATCACTTGATGCCACAAGTTTGAGACCAGCCTGGCCAACATGGTGAAACCCATCTCCACTAAAAACACAATAATTAGCCAGCGTGGTGGCACACACCTGTAATCCCAGCTACTTGAGAGGCTGAGGCTGCAAAATTGCTTGAACCTGGGAGGTGGAGGCTGCAGTGAGCTGAGATCACACCATTGCACTCCAGCCTGGGTGACAGAGTGACTCTGTCTCAAAAAAAAAAAAGAGATCTGGGTACAGTGGTGTGCACCTGTTGTCCCAGCTACTTGGGAGGCTGAGGCAAGAGGATCACCTGAGTCCAGGAGTTTGAGGCTACAGTGAGCTATGATTGTGCTACCGCGCTCCAGCCTGGGCCACAGAAAGAAGGGGGCGGGGGGGGATGACCTGAGAGTTATAGGACAGGTAGAGGAAATTCCCTATGTGCTCAGTGCAGGGACTGGCCGAAGAAGCCATTCAGCATCGGCAGGCCTGCACCTCTGCCTCGGACTCAGGCTCCTCCACATAATCTGAGGCCGGTCCACACTGCCTTCTCAGAGTACGTTATTTCCCATGCTCTACTGTTTGTTTGTTTGTTTGTTTGTTTGTTTGTTTTTGAGACGGAGTTTCGCTCTTGTTGCCCAGGCTGGAGTGCAATGGCGCGATCTTGGCTCACTGCAACCTCCGCCTCCTGGGCTCAAGCGATTCTCCTTCCTCAGCCTCCAGGGTAGCTGGGATTATAGGCACGTGCCACCATACCCAGCTAATATTGTATTTTTAGTAGAGATGGGGTTTTGTCATGTTGGCCAGCTGGTCTCAAACTCCTGACCTCAGGTGATCCACCTGCCTCGGCCTCCCAAAGTGTTGGGATTACAGGCGTGAGCCACCACACCCAGCCTCTTCTGTGTTTTAAAAATAGTTCAGGACAGAATTTTAAAAGCAAGTAAAAATTGCTCCTTATAACATAAGAAGCCAAACTGATTGAAACTTTAACCCTTCTTGACAGCCTTCAAAAACCATCTCAGGCCGGGCACGGTGGCTCACACCTGTAATCCCAGCACTTTGGGAGGTGGACAGATCACCTGAGGTCAGGAGTTCAAGACCAGCCTGGCCAAAATGGTGAAACCCCATCTCTACTAAAAATACAAAAATTAGCCAGGTACGGTGGTGGGCACCTGTAATCCCAGCTACTCGGGAGGCTGAGGCACAAGAATCACTTGAACTTGGGAGGCAGAAGTGGCAGTGAGCCAAGATCGTGCCACCTGCATGAGACTCCATATCAAAACAAACAAACAAACAAAAAAACAAAAAAACCAACTCAGCAGAGAAAGAAATAAAAATCTAGAAAGAAATCATCTAAATAGGAATAGTGAATACCTTTGATAGTTTTGATTGCCATCTTTTTGCTTAGCCATATATTCTAGTGTTCCTATAATGAATATGCATGATTATCTAAGAATATCATATGCAAAAAGGAAAGAAAATACTAGCTTGGAGTCCAGCTTCTCCCAAGTCTCCTTGCTCCTTCTTCTCCTCCTGGACCACAGTCTTCCCTCTCACTCTGTGTGTTGCATCTGCCTCATAATGATGGGGAGGACAATTCTAGCTCGTATTCACAAAGGTGTACCTGTGGAGAGCACTCCTCTAAGTCATGACACACGTAAATTCATGTCCTACTCACGATACCTCTATGGGTGGGGGGGGGTGCCATCATCTGCCATCTTATAGGGGAAGGAACTGAAGCCTGGAGAATGACAGCAACTTGCCCCCTGGGCACCCTGCTCGCCTGTGACAGCCCTGGCTTCAAACCCACACTGAATCCTGAACCCAGTCTCTTGGCCTCAACAACCTGGCCCCTCCTGTGGGTGTTTCTACTTTTGCCACTGCCTGTCTCTGTGTCACGATGCATTGACTTTTCTGTCACCTCCGCCACACTGTGAAGCAGGGGCTGTGGCCCTACCCGAAACAGCTAACCCACAGTCTGTCCACTGAATTGAGTTATGGCTGAATATTAGGTCCCAAACGCAATGACATTTTAAACCTATCTACACATGCAATTGTATTTCTATTTCCACAAGGGGGTCAAGCAACCACTGGTCACTTCAGCCAGGCGGGGCCCACTTCATGGTTTTCCCACAGAACTCCCGCAGGTGAGACAAAGCGCCCCTCAGGGAACTCGGTTCCTTGGTGGAGTCCATGGTAGAACGCTGTAGGTGCACTTCAGGGCTCCACAGCCAAAGTAAAGAAAGATGAGAGGCCGGGCGCAGTGGCTCACGCCTGTAATCCCAGCATTTTGGGAGGCTGAGGCATGTGGATCATGAGGTCAAGAGATCGAGACCATCCTGGCCAACATGGTGAAACCCTGTCTCTACTAAAAATACAAAAATTAGCAGGTCATGGTGGTGCCCGCCTGTAGTCCCAGCTACTCGGGAGGCTGAGGCAGGAGAATTGCTTGAACCCGGGAGGCGGAGCTTGCAGTGAGCCAAGATCACGCCACTGTACTCCAGCCTGGGCAACAGAGCGAGACTTTGATTCAAAAAAAAAAAAAAGAAAGAAAGTGCATGAAGCCATAAAAAAAGTGGTGCTAAACCAGTCTGAAAAGACTACACATTGTAGGATTCCAAGTATATGACGTTCCAGAAAAAACAAAACTATTTAGAGACATCAGTGGTAGGCCAGGCGCAGTGGCTCATGCCTGTAATCCCAGCCACTTTGGGAGGCCAACGTGGGCGAATCACTTCAGCCCTGGAGTTCAAGACCAACCTGGCACCATCTCTATAAAAAATTTAAAAATTAGGCTGGGTGTGATGGCTCATGCCTGTAACCCCAGCACTTTGGGAGGCCGAGGCGGGTGGATCACCTGAGGTCAGGAGTTTGAGACCAGCCTGGCCAACATGACAAAACCCCGTCTCTACTAAAAATAAAAAAATTAGCTGGGTATGGTGGTGCGGGCCTGTAATCCCAGCTACTTGGGAGGCTAAGGCAGGAGAATCGCTAGAGCCCGGGAGGCAGAGGTTGCAGTGAGCCGGGATCGCGCCATTGCACTCCAGTCTGGGTGACAGAGTGGGACTCTGTCTCCAAAAAGAAACACACAAAAATTTAAAAATTAGCTGGGTGTGGTGGTGTGTGCTTGTAGTCCCAGCTACTCAGGTGGCTGAGGTGGGAGGATCACTGGAACCCAGGAGTTCAAGGCTACAGTGAGCTATGATCACACCACTTCATTCCAGCCTGGGCAACGGAGCAAGACCCTGTCTCAAAAAAAAAAAAAAAAATCAGTGACTTCCTGGAATTAGCAAGAAAAGGGAAGAATTGGTGGAGCACAGAGGATTTTAGGGCAGTGAAACTATTCTGAATGATACTGTAATGGTGGGTACAGTAATGGCCGCTTGACCCCCTTAAAAACAGAACAATGACTGCGTGCGTGGAAAAGTTTAATTCATTGCGTTTGGGACCCAACATTCAACAATAACTCAATTCAGTGGACAGACTGTGGGTGGATACTGTAAAGGAGAATCACTTGAACCTGGGAGGCGGAGGTTGCAGTGAGCTTAGATGGCACCACTGCACTCCAGCCTGGGCGACGGAGAGAAACTCTGTCTCAAAAAAAAAATTTTATTTGGTGCCTGCTTATGGGCAGAGGGATGCTGTCCATGATGGTGATAACAACAGTAATAGTAATTGACACTTGTAGAGGACCTACTGTAAGTCAGACGCTGAAGAAGTTTCTTAATTTTCTGACAATTCTATCAGGAAAGTACTTGTCCCCATTTATAAATGAAGAATCCAAAGCACAGAGAACTCAGGCAACTTATCCAAGGCCACACAGCCTGTAAGTGATGGAGCTAGTGATTTTTATTCCCACAGTGCTGCTCTCAGCCATCTTTTCTGCCTGTAACCTTTCAGACAGCTGCCTCTAGCCTACCTCTGAATTCTAGGATTCCATCCACAGGGCCCCTAACATTGCCAAAAGCAAAGAGATTAACTGCCCAACTAGAATATGTGACATTCAGGCTGGAGACAAAGATTTTGGCTTGATTTGGTTTCCAAACAACAAAATCATTTCTTTAAGTATTTCAAAAATGTTTAAGAAATATTTTGGTAATGTTTCCCTGTACTGCCCCCAAAGTACAGGGAAATGGTGAATACCTACTCCATACCAGCATCCCTCAGTAGGACCACAAGGGTAAACAATGAGTACACCAACACTGTAATAACCAAAGGAAAGAACAGAAGTATTTTTTTACAGGCCAGGCACGGTGGCTCACACCTGTAATCCCAGCACTTTGGGAGGCCGAGGCAGGCAGATCACTTGAGCCCAGGAGTTCGAGACCAGCCTGGACAACATGGCAAGACCCCATCTCTACAAAAAAAAAATACAAAAATTAGCCAGGAATGGTGGTGTGCAGCCGTAGTCCCACCTACTCAGGAGGCAGAGGTAGGAAGACCACTTGAGCCTAGGAGGTGGAGGTGCGGTAAGCTGTGATCAATCATGCCACTGCACTCTAGCCTGGGTGACAGAGGGAGGCCCTGTCTCAAAAAAAAAAAAAAATTAGTTTTTAGTTTCATACTACTAGAGAAGAATCATGGAAAGATACATTCTCATAGAGTATGTTTTTAGAATTTACTCAGAAGGGGCCAGGTGCAGTGGCTCATGCCTATAATCCCAGCACTTTGGGATGCCGAGGCAGGTGGATCACTTGAGGTCAGGAGTTCGAGACCAGCCTGGCCAACACGGCAAAACCCTGTCTTTACTAAAAATAAAATAATTAGCCAGGTGTAGTGGCGCTCACCTGTAATCCCAGCTACTCGGGAAGCTGAGGCATGAGAAACACTTGAACCCGGGATGCAGAGGTTGCAGTGAGCCAAGATGGCACCACTGCACTCCAGCCTGGGCGACAGAGCAAGACTCTGACTCAAAAAAAAAAAAAAAGAATGTATACAGAAGAAGGTTCATCTAAAATAACATAAATATTCATCATGTATCTGGGGAAATATAGATACATTTCTACCTTTTAAGTCAAAAAGCTGGAAAGAAACCAGCCATCAGTGAGTTAAGAGGTGTCACACGGAGGGGGCATTGAAGAACCCACACTTTTCAATATTTTTCCCCTTTACTGTTTACTTTCACATGCAACTGCGAATAAAAGCAGTAGATATACTACACACTGGCATTTAGAAATTGTTTAAAATGGAGCTAAAGACATTACATTTAAAATTGAAGAAGAGCATCCCTTTGCAAACCAACCGTGTTTCTCACGCCCTCCAGACCCTCCAGACCCTGCTGAGGCCTCTGCTTTTCCACTGTCAGGCAGAGTCCCCCTGGAGCAAAACTGCTGTGCATCTGAACA
The DNA here is from genome assembly GCF_000001405.40 of Homo sapiens. Taxonomy (NCBI): domain Eukaryota; kingdom Metazoa; phylum Chordata; class Mammalia; order Primates; family Hominidae; genus Homo; species Homo sapiens. The sequence goes on from NC_000021.9 coordinate 31,326,101, forward strand.
CCCTGACCCCAGCGAGACCCCAACTCCCCTCCCGCAGGTGAGCCACTGAATTCCTCACCTATTAATGACATGTCCTGATTTTGTTTGGTTTTGTTCTGTTCCATTTTTCTTATAGAATGCCCCATTCTCTAGGAATGGAGTTGAGCAGCTGCCACTCTGTCCTCTGATCAAAGTTATGGTCCTCTCCTGTCTTCCTGTTGTCCCAGCTCACCTGAGAGACTTTCTGGGAAGAGACTCTTAGAGGGAAGGGGAGTACTATGGCATTCATGGAGAATCCCCAGTGACCAGCTTGGAAGGCAGCTGAAATTTTCAAAGGAACTTCCTGCCTATCTGTATCCCAAACTAAAAAGATAGAAAGAAAACCAAACAGCTTTACCAGTTAACAATACCATCCTTCAGTGCACACCATCAGACTCCAAATAATCCATATTAAGTGGTAAAAGCCCATGAACTGGAAAGAAAGAAGGCTTCTGCAATGACAACAACAAAAAGATAGGGCAAGTCCCTAGTATCTCAGGGTATTCCCCACGCCCTGCAGATGTGCGTGATCATACACTTCCCACCAGGTAATACTCGGGAAGTATTTAAGATGCTAGATGAAAGGCATTTGTTACCCAGGGGCAATCCCCCTAAGTTTCTTGCAGTGGTGATTAAAGCGATTGCCCTCCATCCCTTCCCTACCTTCCAGTGATGTGAGGTTTAACTAATGTGCACTTGGGGTTTTAAGATCCCTAGATGAAAAGAGGACCAGATGTGAAAGTTATTATTATTTTGTTCAAAGTAGACGGGTATACTAACATCTGTGGGCAAGTTTACCACACGCCACTTAAAACAGGCTAACAGGGTCATATGCCAAAACGTTCAGGTTTGCATTTTTGAAAAGCTCAGAGATCTGACAGATGTGTTCCGGCCGCGATTTAACATGCGGCTCCAGTGAGAAGGAAGCAGATATGACAAATGGTTCACTTATTTCAGAACTAAAACCCCAGAGGAGCAGCCTGAGCCAAAAAGGGAAGTGATCAATGGAAAAGACGGTCGAATCTGCTCACAGGCAAGGCAAGGGGGCAACACAGAGCATGTGCAGGGAGGAGGAGCTTTCTGTTTGGAAGGTAAATGAAACACTGGGCTGCAGAGAACCCGAAATTATCTTCAAGCATTTTTTAGCCACGCTTGAACTCATTCTAGAATTCATCAGCTAAGTACCCTTATAGGATAAAAAGTCCCTTTCTTCATCTTCTATAAAGAAAGAGATCTGTGGGCTGGGCGCAGTGGCTCATGCCTGTAATCTCAACACTTTGGGAGGCTGAGGTGGGCAGATCATTTGAGGTCAGGAGTTCGAGACCAATCTGGCCAACATAGCAAAACCCATCTCTACTAAAAATAGAAAAAATTAGCCTGGTGTGGTGATGCACACCTGTGATCCCAGCTACTTGGGAGGCTGAGGCATGAGAATCGCTTGAACCCAGGAGAGGCAGAGGTTGCAGTGAGCTGAGATGTGCCACTGCACTCCAGCCTGGGCAACAGAGTGAAACGCCGCCATCTCAAAAAAAAAAAAAAAAAAAGGAAAGAAAAGAAAACAGAAAAGAAGAAAAAAGATTTGTGCCTAGAGAAATTGCAAAAATAAAGACCACCCCACCATCACCCTGCACCAGTAGGATCCAGACTGTGTGAGCAATAAGAAAGTCTAATCGATGCCCAAACACAGGCTTACTGAGAACCATGGTCCACATGAAATGGTGCGTAGTCTCCTCCCAACGCAGCTGTCAGGGAGAACCTATGGACCTAAACCAGATCGTGTCTCCCTAGTCCTATCCACAACCCTCAAAGGCTTCCCATCTCACCAGCAGTCCCGCAGACCCTGCCCTGACGACCCTCCTCTGTCTTCATCTCCTTGGCTCTCCCACTTTGCTCTTTCCACCCAAACTTCCAACATGCCCAGCCCAGCCCTCTGCCCTCTGCCTCGATGCTCCCTCTGTCAGCACAGGGCTCGCTTCCTCAACCCCTTGCCATCTTGGCTCCAATGTCACCCATGCAGTGGGGCCTTCCTAACTCCCCTATGTTCAAAAGCTCAAACACCCAACACTTCCTTGCTTCAAGGGCCTCCACTGTAACAATCACCTTCCCACATGGTACATGTTGTAACTACAGTCGCCATTCCCTATCCACGGGTTCAGTATCCATGGCTTCCATATCTGTGGACTCAACCAACCGTAGATCAAAAATATTCAAAATAAATCAAGAAATGATTGTGCCTGTACTTAACACGTACATATTTTATTTTATTTTTTGAGACAAGGTGTCACTCTGTCGCCCAGGCTGGAAAGCAGCAGCACAATCACGGCTCACTGCAGCCTCAGCTTCCTAGGCTCACATGATCCTCCCACCTCAGCCTCCTGAGTAGCTGGGAACACAGGCACACGGCACCACGACTGGCTTATTATTATTTTTTTTTTTTATTTTGCTCTAAGTTCTGGGATACATGTGCAGAACGTGCAGGTTGGTTACACAGGTATACATGTGCCATGGTGGTTTGCTGCACCGATCAACCCGTCATCTAGGTTTTAAGGCCCGCATGCATTAGGTATTTGTCCTAATGCTCTCCCTCCCCTTGACCCCCACCCCCCGACAGGCCCAGGTGTGTGATGCTCCCCTCCCTGTGTCCATGTGTTCTCATTGATCAGCTCCCACTTATGAGTGATAACCTGTGGTGAATTTTTCTATTTTTTGTAGAGATGGGGTCTCGCTATGTTGCTCAGACTGGTCTCGAACTCCCAGGCTCAAGTGATATTCCTGCCTTGGCCTCCCAAAGTGCTGGAATTACAGGTGTGAGCTACCATACCCAGCCCAGACATTTTTTCTTGTCATCATTCCCTAAACAATACAGTATAACAACTATTACCTAGCATTTATTTTGTTTTAGGTATCCGGAGATGATTTCAAATGTGTGGAAGGATGTGCCTAAATTATATGCAAATGCTATGCCATTTTCCAAAAGAGATTAAGCATCTATGGATTTTGGTGTCCTCAGGGCAGGGAGGGGATGTCCTGGAACGAACCCCCCACAAATACGCAGGGACAACATCTCTTGATATTGTCTGTATCCAGAATGTCAGTTCCCTGAGGGTAAGGATGCTTCCCAGCCTTCTGCCCTATTGTCTCCTTACTACCTGCAACTGAGCACGTGAACGCAGTGAACACACAGATGCTGACTTCAAAAGTCAAAGACAACCCGCAAGAAGAAACGCTGAGGTCGGCTCCCAGAAAAATCCTCGTAACTGCTCACTTTCGTGCTAAGGTGCCTGTGCACACAGTCCTGACGACTCCTTGTGGGAAGGGTGATAAGACTGAGGCAGGATTTGAGCATTTCTGGTCCCCAGGTCACAGTACATTCAAATACGACCAAATCCCTGCTGTCCGTAACCACCCTTGATGCAGGAAAGTGTGGCTAACACGGCATCTACCATATGAATCAGCTCACCAGAAAATGCATCCTTAGTGTCCACAGCGCAGCACATGGCCAGAAGGAAGAAAACAGGAACATGAAGTCAGTGCTTTCACAGCTATGAAGCCGCCAGGGAAAATCCCATTCTTAGAGTATCAGAGCCTCCTGCTTGATGAGGGATTCTCCCCTGCTGCCCAGTGACTGCTGCCCAAGCCGACAGGCTGCAAAGAACTTCAAGAAGTACTATAGGTCAAAAGACACTTTACTAGATGTCATGAGTAGAATGCAGTGCTGTGTCTCCTCAATTTGGTTTGAATGTTGTTGCTGTTTCATAATACCATTTTATAGAGCAGTTTAAGGTTCACAGCAAAATTACGCAGAAAGCACAGAGATTTCCCATATACCTCCTGCCCCACACGCACAGCCTCCCGACTACCAAGATCTTTCAACAGAATGGTCTGTTTGTTGCAATCAATAAACATATATTGACACATCATTATTACCCAAAGTCCATAGTTCACATTAGGGTTCAGTCTTGGAGCTGTAGATTCCATGGCTTTGGATGAATGTATAATGACATGTATCTACCATCACAGTCTCATACAGAGTAGTTTCACCACCCTGGGAGCACCAGTCCTGTGTGCCCTGCCTGTTCATCCCTCTCTCCTCCCTAGCCCCTGGCAACCACCTTGATGGTTCTTCCATGTTCTTTCATGACTAGCTCATTTCTTTTCAGTGCTGAATAATATTCCATTATCTGGATGTACCACAGTTTATACATTCACTTACTGAAGGGCATCTTGGTCGTTTCCAAGTTTCCAATAAACCTGCCATAAACATCCGTGTGCAGAGTTGTTTTTGGTTTTTTGCATGGTTCTTTGTATTTTTTGTTTGTTTTTGTTTTTCTTTTTTGGGGGACAGAGTTTCCCTCTGTAGCCCAGGCTGGAGTACAGTGGTGCAATCTCAGCTCACTGCAACCTCCCCATCCCAGGCTCAAGTGATTCTCATGCCTTAGCCTCCCAAGTAGCTGGGATTACAGGCATGCGCCACCACGCCTGGCTAATTTTTGTATTTTTGTGGAGTTGGGGTTTCACCATGTTGGCCAGGCTGGTCTCGAACTCCTGACCTCAAGTGATCTACCTGCCTCAGCCTCCCAAGGTTCTCTGTATGTTTTTAATAGCAGTTTGGTGTGGGGAGACACACCGAAAGAGAAATGCAAAGAATGACCTTAGTGAGTTAGAGACAAAATAGACTTCATACTCTCCAAGAAAGTCCCTCTTTCTAAGAACACTTTTGAGAAGTTAAATTTGGCAAAGAATTCTAGTGTTAGTTTTATATACACATGCATCCATTTCTAATACTATGATTTTTTTTCAAGCACTTCAGATGGATTTATAAACTCGGAAAGGTAAAATGTGATTTGAACATTTTCTTTTGTCCCTATTAAATAAACATGTCCGTGGAACTTCGCTGTAGATTCCATTATACTTAGGCTATGTTTTCCCAACTGGTACTACCAGCCCACGTGTTCTCTGAGGGATCCACTGTTGTGACATACAGAGCCAGTGCTAAAAAAAACAAAAATGCTGGGTTGAATGCATTTCAAAGATTCAACCAAGTAGTCAACGAAGATGATGACAAACTGTAAAACAAAGATGCCTACAAATTTCTGGACACAGGAGTAGAAATGAATTATGAAAGTAAGCATCCATCCCACCAATTATGTCTCAAAATCCATATATAATTATTAAACTGAAGTTGCAAAACTGTAGGCATCTCAAGGCAGATAGGTTCATCCTTTGGAAAAGGGGAGCTCACCACATCAAACACAGCCTGCAGGCCCATAGGCCCAACCAGCCACAATGACTCCCAGGGGAAAAATGAGGAAGGAGGATGTCCCAGAACCCAAACGTGTCTTAAATGTTATTCCAAAAGAAACTACTTCTCAACTATCTCTAAAATCCAAATGCATTCCTGGTAGGACAGAGCCTACCCTACCACACTCCTGAGGACTGGGAATCTCCGGCTATGCCACACCAGCTTGAAACATCCAACCAAAAGGCATTTGACCAGGCCTTCCATTGGACAGCACTACTTTCCTACTGAGGGCTGACATTCTGCAGATAAATTTCCCAAATCCTGTATTTACCACTCTAAGTATTCCTGGGCACTCACACCCACTGCCATTTGTGAGTCAGAAAGAGGGCTGGCAAGGAAGCCTGGTGGATACACAGACAGAGGTCACAGAATGAGGGTCCCACATGCAGGATTTCAGTCTGATTTCAAACGATGGAAATAAGAGGCAGGCAACTCACATTTCAATACCAACTTCATGTGCTCTTGAGAAAAGGGAAATATTGAACATTCAGATCAGCTTTTTGCTTTCTTTTAACTACAAGGTCCCAGCGAAAACATAATCCGTGTCTAACATATCCAATTACTGAGAAAAAGCACGTACATGCTCCTGTGTTCTCTTCACCTGGCTAGTAACAAAATGGTATATTTTCCCATTTTATTTAATTTTTCTGCTCTCAAAATTACTTCCAGATCCTATTTTTTCTTTAGTTTTCATTTTCATCCTACATGAAACCCCCTACTCCTGGAGTAAAAAGGAAAGAAAGAAAAGGAAACAACCACAAGTTAACACGGTATTTTAAAATACAACACCAAAAATATAAAATCCAGCCACGGCATCTGAGACTGAAAGAAACAAATAAATAATGTGTAAATAAATAATGCAGCACTATCAAGCTAAAAGTTGAGTCTTGGTACATAATATCCATATTACAGGCTTTGCCAACTATACAGAGAGAAATTTCTATACACTCAAGGAACCTAAGGATGCAACTCACAGCCCTGAGCAACAGGCTCAACTAAGGTTGAAGAGTCAGGAAGAGCCCAGGATAAGAACTTTGGTCTCCTGACCTCTTTCTAGCCCAGTGCTCACCTTCTCATATTTCATATTAATGAAATACTAACTAGCAAATAATGATAATCATTTTGTTTAAACATACATGACTGAGCTTACCAGAAATACCCTCACTCACCTCACTCAAAAAAACTTTTTTTTTTTTCACCAAAAGAGAAAAACCACTGTGCCCTGAGCAGGAACCATTTCTAGCAGTATCAACACTGCCACTGGAACCACCCAGAGAAAATGCTCAAACCACCACCAGGGAACTCGCGATAAAACACCCACACTCACATTCACACTATGTATGTGATCATTAAAATCACCCTCCAATGATCTACAAAAAAAAAAAAAGTCTGTTGGTTAGAGCTCTTCATGACTAAATGGCTCATCAGACATCTGCCCAAACTAGATTCCTCTAAATATTGAGAAAGGTGAAGCAGAAACACTAAGAGTCCACATTGGTTTTCTGTCCCAACTCTTAAAAAGAACTAAATAAACCAGGCATGGTGATGTATGACTGCAGTCCCAGCCACTCAGGAGGCTGAGGCAGGAGGATTGCTTGAGGTCAGGATTTCAAGGCCAGCCTGGGCAACATGGCAAGACCCCATCTCTCAAAAGCAATTTTTATTTTAAATAAATAAATGAATTAAAGATTGTAGATGCACTGTTCACTACTTGAGCTACCAACACAGGGAAATCAGGACCACAGAGGCTAGGGTTTCTCAGCTGCCCCGAGGGCTGAGGATCTGGGTAGGTGTGGTTTGTCCGCCTGGGGGCTGCTGAGCCTAGTCCAGGCACTTTACTTCTCTCCAACTCCGTTTTTTTCAGCAGTAAAACTGGAATATTAACAGCTCATTGGATTACTTTGAAGATTAAATGTCCTGACTCTTCAAATTTATCAAACTTCTAGTTTATACCTCTCATTTGAACCCTTCTAAACTTCTAGTTTATACCTCTCATTTGAACCCTTCTATGAACTCTCTTTTTGTTTTTTCTTTTGCGACAGGGTCTGGCTCCGTCTCCCAGGCCGGAGTGCAGTGGCGCAAACATGGCTCACTGCAGCCTCAACCTTCTGGGCTCAAGCAATCCTCCCGCCTCAGCTTCCTGCGTAGCTGGGACCACAGACATGCACCACCACACCCTGGCTAAGTTTTTTATTTTCTTGTAAAGATGAGCCCTCACTTTATTGCCCAGGCTGGTCTCGAATCTCTAGGCTCAAGTGATCTTCCCACTTCAGCCTCCCAAAGTGCTGGGACTATGGGCATGGGCCATCACGCCTGGCCTGAACACTTATGAATTCTTGATGGTATATCTTTTCTTCCCTTCTACACTGTAAGCTACGCTGTACCCCAAAGATGATATTCTACACTGTATCCCAAAGATGATATTCATAGCTACCCAACAAATGATTTGTTGAAAGAATGAATAAATGAGCTAACCATACCACCCTCCCCCCCAAAAAATTAATATGAAGCATAGTAACTAGATGTCACTCTCCTAACCTGAATACATTACCTTACCTTGGCTTGTTGAGACTTCTGCAAATACATTAGAAAGATAAATAGCAACAGTTACTACGTAGAGGTGAAAATCGGAAACGCTTCCAATCAACGCTTATGGCTATAGGCTTTTCCACTTCGATTCAACCCCACGCTTGGTTTGCATGCAGGCAATTGCAACAGCCCCTAGTGTTCCATTCTAAAGCTGAAACCACGAAAAATCCATTTTATTTTCACTTAATGTCAACTCTTGTGCTTTCTTTGAAGAGGGATTCTGCTGCCTCCAGCCCTCCCCACCTGGGTGCTGTTTCTTTATTATCCCCACCTCCCCGCCTTTTTTTTTTTTTGACTTGGGATCTCACTCTGTTGCCCAGGCTTGAGTGCAATGGCGTGGTTCTGACTCACTGCAGCCTCAAAGTCCTTGGCTCAAGGGATTCTCCCCCTGCTCAGCCTCCGGAATCGATGGGATTTTATGCAGGAAACACTGCACTCGGCTGTTCTTCATCAATGCTTCAGTCCTCATTACACATATTGATGCTGTTTGATCAGCAAAAAAATCCCACTGATAAGGGCACCTAACTGCGCTATCTTGACTCTCCGGGGATTTCAGATACCCTCACCTGCGCCTCCAGTAAAGCTAACCCAGGCCTCTGGAAAGAATTTTTTTCTAGCTCTGAAAGTAGTTATCTGCAGCCCATCCCTCCCTTCACAGCCCCCACATGGTTCATTCCCATCCCCATAAGCAAACCGAACTCTGCTGAGCATCAGTTCGGAGCAGAGAGAAAAGGCTGTGTGCTTTGAGCAGACTGGCTCCTTCCCAAGCTAAACACACTTATGTGCATCTGACTCCATTACCGCCCCAGCCTGCACATGTACCAGGGCGCCCAGCCTTTCCGGAGGTGAGCTTGTGTTTACCCACTGCCATGGGAGTATTTCCCAGTCAGCCTCTCCTCCCCACAGTGGAGACTGGCTGCAACCACCCGACCCCCAACCCAGGCAACCAAATGTGACATCCAAGGAGTTCCCGGAGTGGCCATCTGTCCCTGCCATGCCAATGTTTACGCGACATGGGCAGGAGAAGGACAGGCCAGGGAAGCCTCCAGGGTATCTTGCATCAGACCCAAGGCATCCACATCCCAGGCCGTTTGTGCCACAAAACAAAAACAGTGAAAGAAGAGTCCTCTGTCTAACCAGAGAGGTTCCCGGTTCCTAAAGAGAAGCATCCATCTCTTTAACTTTCCTGAGGGTGTTCAAAGAACCAGCCTGATACGTTTCACCTGTGGACCAACATCTAAAAATAAAATGAGATCCCTAATTTTGCAGTTTTTAAAATATTACCTCACCCTCCCCACCCTCCACAAAGTGAAACCTAAACATGGTATTTCAGACAATAATGACTTCAACAAGCTCATGAACAGTGAAATGCTAGGAGGAATTGGCTAATGTAGAAAAGATTTAGATCAGAAATAAACTCAAGCCAGGTGCGGTGGCTCATGCTTGTAATCCCGGGAGGCCAAGGCAGGTGGATCACCTGAGGTCAGGAGTTCAAGACCATCCTGGCCAACACGGTGAAACCCTGTCTCTATTAAAAATACAAAAATTAGCTGGGCATGGTGGTGCACACCTGTAATCCCAGCTACTTGGGAGGCTGAGGTGGGAGAATTGCTTGAACCTGGGAGGCGGAGGTTGCAGTGAGCCGAGATCACACCACTGCACTCCAGCCTGGGTGACAGAGCGAGACTCTGTCTCCAAAAAAAAAGAAAAAAGAAAGAAACTCAAGAGTCTCCAAATTCTAGAGTTAATATGACCATTAGACATGCTCATCTAAATGTCTCTGTTTATATTCACAACCGGAGGTCAAGATGTGTGGGAACAGTCACGAGTTTAGAAATCAGATAACACACAGTTCAACTCCAGGGTCACTGCCACAATAGAGTGATTTTAGTCAAGCTACCTAGGTTCCACCAAGTAGACTTGGAGATGAGAATACGCACAGGCTCAGAGGGGCTGTGAGGTGCAATCATGTATTCTGTTAGAGATCACAAAGCAGAAGTATGCCAGGCACACAGTAGGTGCTCAATGTTTGCATCTTCCTTTCCAGCCCTAGCCCTCCTTCCATAGCCTTACAATGTCGGGGGCGCACCCAGGAGGCAGAAGATGTCCAAGACAGAATAAGTGAAGACAGACGCCACTGGGGAGCGTTCGGCCGGCCATCAGCTAAGACTCAGCGCACTGACTCTGCTGGGACATATTTCTGTTATCTTTCGAATGGGGACAAAAGATGCTTGACATGTTTCACCTACCATTTGCATGAAATCTGTTGAACTACATCTGAAGTACTGGGGGAGAATCCACATTATTCATCACATAAATGTGCTTAAACTCCCTCCGGGGGGAAGATGGGCTAGCCACTGTGCCTGAAGCCAAGAGATGACACATCCATTCTATGACTCAACTTGAGCAGCTGCAGTGTGAAAATACACACACAGGCTCACACAGAAATGGGCTAACAATTTTTAGAATTGCCCCTTGCTTTTTTTTTTTTTTTTTTTTTAGTTTTGCTCTTTAACCTCATTACTTTCCTTTGCTCACAGAACCTGGAAGCAACGTTGACATTTCTTTGGACAGCTCTGACCGGGTTTTAATCCCAAAAAGAATCCCTTAACACTGTGGCACATGAGGCACAGGGCACAGTCACAGGTCTCAGGGACTCATGATCCTACTTCAGGGAGAGCTCAGAAGGGTAACATCATCTGAGAAGGAACACTGGTTCCGAGGGGCAAAAATCACAGTGGCTGGGGCAGTCCAGAAAGACAGCCGGGAGGAGGTGGACTTGAACTGACTCTGAAGGAGAGGTAAAATCTGAATCGGCAGAGAGCAGGCAGGAGGCCAATGGGGGTAACCAACAAGGACAGGTGCCCTGAGACAGGACTCAGGAAAGCTGACTCTGGCGGGCTGTGTGGCCACTCGTTCAGCTAACATTTACTAGGCACGCCATGGCAGTCACTATAGCCATGCTGGGGCAAGTATAAAGAGAATCCAAGCAACCCACCCTGGAGGAACACACAATAGCACGGTGATCAAGAGACTAGACTCCATAGGCCAGGCTGCCTGGTTCAAATCCTGGTACCTCACTTTCCAATGCTATTGCTTTGAATAGGTTACTTAGGCCAGAGGTGAGAAGTCATGTATACGTTTTTGATTAGGAAGTGTTTTCAGAGAAAACCAGAAAGTAGGTAGGGGAGATCTTGAAGGGAAGGAAGCCCTGGGGGCACTCTAGACCCAGGGCAAGATAAGACCTCAGCCTTGGCCTGGAATATGTGCACCCTTCTCAGGGTTAGCCCTTGCTAGGGATGCCCTGGGGGTATAGAGACTACCAGGTAGTTGGCCAAAGGGAATCCAGCCCCTAAAGGCACCCTCCACCAAAGACAGCAGGAGCGAAAGCACTCAGGGAGAGGGAATTTACTAGACAGGTGAAGGGGACCCAAAGGGATAGGGGCTGAACATGGACAGCCGGTGCTCCAAAGGGTTAATAATTGTTGTTTTTATTATTATTATTGTTGTTATTATTATTATTATTATTATTATTATTTTGAGACAGAGTCTTGCTCTATTGCCCAGGCTGGAGTGCGGTAGTGTGATCTCAGTTCACTGCAACCTCCACCTCCTGGGTTCAAGCAATTCTCCCGCCTCAGCCTCCCGCGTAGCTGAGATTACAGGTATGTGCCACCACACCGGGCTAATTTTTGTATTTTAGTAGAGACAGGGTTTCACCATGTTGGCTAGACTGGCTCGGACTCTTGACCTCAAGTAATCCGCCCACCTCGGCCTCCCTAACTGCTGGGATTACGGGTGTGAGCCACCACACCCGGCCTATTATTATTTATATGATTATTTTTACCCCTTGAAAAAGGCATGTAGCCTAATTATGATAATACAATGTGTCTGTATTATCACAGGGAAAGTGAGTGCTTTGGCTCCGCTCTCTGTTGGAGGGTGCCCTTAGGGACTGGATTCCCTTTAACCAACTACCTGGGAGTCCCTGTACCCCCAGGGCATCCCTAGCAAGGGCTAACCCTGAGGAGGGTGCACATATTCCAGGTCAACCCGGAGGTTTTATCTGCTCCGTGTCCAGACAGCCCTTGAAAGAAAGGTTTCTCCAAGCCACTGTGTACATGCGGAGAAAGGAGTGGCTACGCTGCTGTGCGTCTGGATGCAGGCAGAGCGGAGCAGCAGGTAAGACTGGAGGAACAAGTCACGGCAAGATCTGCAAAGCAGGACCCGGAATGCAGGGTGGGAAACTCTAAAAGTTACAGGAATCATGCATTCCTCAGGAAGCACCTGTGATTCTTGCCCTCTCTCAAGTCCACAGTCTCCTATTGTGTTCAATTTCTGGACCAACCAACATAGGAGCCCAACCTGGTAAAGGTTAAATAATGCATCCCGATGTCACCTGCTAACAAGGTCGAGGTGCGTTTGTCCACGAGAGGAAGGCAAAGTTGAAAAGAACAAGAGCAACTTCACATAGCTAGAAAGCCCCTTTTGGTCTACGTCATTCTCCTCCTAGGAAGTAAACGGGGACTGCATGGGCTAACGTGACCGTTCCCACTTAGAAGGGAAACTGAAGTACCCACAGCCCTTTCTGCTGGAATTCCCTAGAAGGGGTCTGTGCCACATACAGGAAGTAGGGAGGGTGTCTTTGCAGCATATTTCTTCTCTTGGAGTTAACTGCGAACGTTGCACGGCGACCTCTTGATCCATTCTGTGAAAGCCCCAAGCCTGTCATGCAATAAAGACGTCCAGTTTCACCGCAGCAGGGAGGCCGCATGAAATATTCCACTTGAACAAAACCACTTAGCAGTTTACATCAATGCTTACCCTGTCGCATTGAAAGTGATGTGAACCCACACCCAAGAGCCCCCAAACCAGCACGTTGATACCAAGTTTCCCCAGCTGCATCCAAATCAATTCCTTCTTCCCCTTTCCTAGTATCATGGGGGCAGACAAAAGAGAAGTCAGAAAGACAGAGGATTACCCGCAGCCAACTCCAAAATAAAATAACCATGGGAACCACCCAGGAAGAATGGGAAAGGTTCCCAGGAAACCCATTTCAAAGCCTCAGATTGCAAGTGGGGAGACTCAGCAACCCTTTAACCACCAAAACAATCGTCACAAACAATGAACTTTCTATTGTCCCAAAAAAGGTGGATTTGGGCAGGATCAAGATAATAAAGACTTTAAAAGCTTCAATCCTCATTCCCCAGCCTTTTGCAAACGCCACACTTACCCCATTGGAAACAGAAGAGGCTTTGTCAAGATCTCCAAATGGGCCATCTGCAGGGACTGCTCACATACTAGGTGAGAGACTAGGATTCAGAGCATTATGCCCATGGTACCAACCAGCCTCCTCTTCCTCCTCCTGGGCTTCAGGTCTAGAAAGGTGGGTCTCAGTCCACAGTGATTCTACCTATAAGAGCAACATAAGAAAATAATGGGTTTTGTGCTTCGTTTTTACATACCTCTAGAGATTGCAAGATTATCCTCAGAAACATTAACGTGATAACACAGGAAAAGTACCTTACATGTTGTAGACACTCAATACATTAGAGTATGGATATTTTGATAAGCAGTTCGTATTTTAATAAAGAAGCATTTACCAGGCTTAGTTATCTATAGCTTTGTAGAAAGCACCTTGACTGTAGAGATTCTTGCCCACCAAAATCTCATAGTTAATGGAAACACTGAAGCATGTGGCTGCAAGGTACTAGAGGAAGCTCTACGATTCAGTACAAGAGCTCACAAATCAATCCACCCTGAATCATTCAAGAAACAAAACTTTCCAAAAGTGATGATCTCTTCCCTAAAAGTGTTACCAATGAAAGCCATGCTAACACTTGTTTTCAAGCAACGGCATCAAAATAAACTGGAGAAGTGGGTGTTGCAAAATACTCATGAAAACGACGCCTCCTTGTTCTCCATTCTCATGAAAGCATTGGCTAGAACAAAATAGCACCACTGGGTCATAGTGGGCAGGCCAGACCAGGTGCAGCTAGTCAATCTGTCTTCATTGAAAATAACTCCACACTTGAAGCTGATTCACTACCCAAAATGTAAACCAAGACTCACTCCTTGAGCAAAGCAGAACTTTAGCATAGCACCATAAAGCAAATGAAGCCTTTTCCCAGCTCACAATCCCTTTCCATCCCCAGTCCAGTCCCTTGCAATACTAGATGCATAAATAAATGCTAAGTAATTATGCCATTACATAGGACAAGGTCCTTATACCCTAGGACCTTGTCAACTGAGAGACCCTAAGAAGAACCAATGGCTCAGGGTTGGGCAAACTCAATAACGCTACATTCCCTTGTCGGGGAATATTAACCAGCCAAGCTCCTCTGTCCTATGCTCTTATTGTCCCTTTTTGGTTACAGCATCAACCATAATATCAAACAATCAACACTTCCCCCAAAAGTGCTTAGAAACTCCAAGGTCTGAAAAAGTACTCCAAGGTCTGTGGCACGAAACTGCTATGGCAGTCACCAGCATCGTCTATCTTCACGTTTAATTCTTTTCCTGTTTTAATTTAATTTTTAGAGAGGGGGTCTCACTATGTTGCCCAGGACAGCCTCAAACTCCTGGGCTCAAGCAACCCTCCCGTCTCAGCCTCCTGAGTAGCCGGGACTACAGGCACACACCGCCATGACCAGCTTCCAAGTTAAATTCTTGAGTAACTAAATTTAACACACTTTGCCTTCATAGAAGCAACCCACTAACTTACATCTCAGTCGCTGCCAAGTTTCGGGCTTTGTACTCATTTCATTTTTACACTAAAGGCAGGCAAAAAAAAAGGAAAGAAAAAAACAACAGAGCAGAGCAGTGGGTAAGATCCTTAGGAGATGAGACAAACTGAGAGGAAAAAAAAAAACCAACACTGGGAAAGTAAGATAAAAATTGGAGGGAAGAAATGGTAAGATAATCAACTAGGAAAACAAGATAAAAATACTGAAAATATGGAACTTGCCCATAATGAAGAGAGAACAAATGGGGGAAGTGGTTTTTGTTTTATTCTACGGCAGTAACTTCACCTTCCTTCACCTTCCATTGAGAGAAGTGGAAAGGTTGGAGGTAGGACAAGAAAGGGTAGGAGGCAGAAAATACTAATCGTTACACTGAAAACACTAAGTGTCACTATTAAATGCCTACTTTGTGCCAAACAAAGGATAGAAACCTTACACGAATATTCATAATGAAATCTCATTATACGCTGAATTCACAGTGCAATTTCACAATCAGTTTCCAGATCACATTTGGGGAAATACAAGTTCAGAGAGGTTAGGCAATTTTCCTGAGGCCACACAGTCAAAAGGGGCAGAGCAAGAATTCAAAGCCAGGTCTTTCTGACTCCAGCATCCTTTCTGATATACTTAGAAAGAATCTGTTCTGAGAAAACTTTAAAATGCTCAGACTCATGCATTAAATATGAACCAAAATGAAGTGTCTTCTCCAGTCATTACAGCAAATTTGTTCTGCTGTCGTACAAGGTAAATCTGTATTGTCAAGTGGGTTGAAAGTACCTACAATTCACTTTAAATTACCAGTAAGTCTTATGTAAATTCTAGTTACATTTTTCCAGAACAATATCACAGGGTGTGCCTCAATTAATACACAAAACCCACCTTGGAACAATTTGGTCCACTGTGTGTGGTGTTCACAAACAGAAAGTATATTTTAATAAAACTGAAAAAACATAATCTATGTCAAACATACAAAGACAAATACATGGTGTCCTCCTACTTGCAGCTAACGAACTCAGTTGCTAATTTTCAAAGGCTGTTTAAGGCCTTTTTCGACAGAGTTCCACTGGGCAGAATTTTAAAAATGAATATAAACTCAAGAAAGGAGGTGGCCTTTGTTTGTGTTCCAATTAAGATACCATCAAAAATCGAAGTTGGTTCTTCCAAAAGACCAATAAAATTGATAATACATTAGCAAGACTGATGGGGAAAAGGTACAAATAACGCCATGAATGAAAAAGGAAACATATCTACAGATACTACAGTCTTTAAAAATATTATGAGGACAGCATGTTCAATATTATACCAATTTTAAATTGTACATAAAATGGGAAAATTTCTGTAAAAATTAGGTATTAAAACAAACAATTTTAATGATCTAGTATCTATTAAACAAATTTACAATTTAAAAACAGTCAGATAAGGTGGCACATGCCTATAGTCCTAGCTATACAGGAGGTTGGGGCGGGAGGATCACTTGAGCCCAGGAGCTCCAGTCCAGCCTGGGCAACAGAGCAAGACTCCATCTCTAAAAAGAAGAAATAAGTGAATAAAATTTAAAAATATAACCAACCAGAGACAAACCAGCTTATTTACTGGGAGAGGTGGGGAGACAATATGAAAAGATAATGATACAGAAATTGCCACTTTCTCTCACATCTACACGGTCATATACTAGCATTAACCCCAATTTCAAATGTCCTCATGATGGTATCTTCCAACAGTCACATGTGACAATATCTAAAAACCTTTGCTCTATGAACAATGCAGTTCCCCTTTTTGTAGCTAAGAATTATTGTTCCATAAAACTCCGTCTATTAGTCAGTTTCACCAGCATTATCATGAGATCCAATTTGGTTGTCTTTCCTGTTGAGTGAGTTACTAAAGGTTCCTTGTGGGGTGGAGGGGCGTGAGGGAGTAGATCACAGACCTCATGTCAGCATCAATTTCACATCTACCTGCTGCTGGGTCCTTTCTTGAGCTCAAAATGAGCTAGAACTCAGGGCTCTAGCCCTGGATCATGCAACCTGTTGTTCTTCCCTAAGCCATGTCTGATTTGGTTTAAAAGTAATTTCCTCTCCATCTGTATCTTTAACTTCAAGGAAGTGGGAGAGTCAGAGCAAGCTAAGCAAACTGCGGCCCCAGCAACCTGCCTCCCGACCCCCAAAGTTCAAGGGAAGGTATGCTGAGAGAGTCTGCCAATTCCGCTTCGATATAAGAAAAATGATAAAATCAGCTACTGACATTTTCCTGATTGTACCCACCCCAGACCTGGGAAAGAACATTTGGCTTGCTATAAATACAACAGGAGCCACACATTTTTCACCTTCATTTCTTCCCCTCAAAGTAAGATGATTCTGTAAACATTCTCATGAAGGATTCGCTTACAAAAAAACAAAAACCAGCTCCAGCTGCTGGTGTACTATTAAGTTGTTGATCAGGTATGAAACAAGTGCAACAGGTAACAGTTAACCCAATAGCCTCCCTCTGACCCCTACACACTGAGCAAAAGCTACACAGGCCAAATGGAAGCCCAGTGACCAGCTCCAGACTTGAAATAAAACCTAAATCCTGTCTGTGAGAAGCCTCATTTGAGCTAAGTTTATCCTTTGCTGGGACATACTGCCACTTGCAATGATCCCAGCCCCCAGCACCACCTTCCACCCAAACTTCCTCTCACAAAATTGACTTAGGCAATCGATCCAAAGGTAAGCTAGCTTTCACAGAAAGACAGACATTTAAAAAAATGATCCAGATAAACAAATCACACCTCCACAGCCAGGAACCTAGAGTCGAACTAATTTAATCAGATGTAAAATTAATGAGAACCCCGAGACTTCCGACGTCCCACTCCAGAACTCCCATCCAGGTGCGGTCGGGAGCCACAGCTTCTGAATATTCCTTCGGAACTTTTTTCTCACTTGATTCCCAAGCCTGTCATGGGGTTCTTTTTCAATGGCACTGACCTGCAATTACCCAACGAGCAGCGGGACAGCCCCGGGCAGGACGCATCCTGGGTGGGTGACGTGATCCCGCAGTCTCCTCCCCGACCCCATATCCCATACAATGATCCTCGCTTACAGAAGTCAAGGGGGAAAGATGACGCTTTCAAAGCCCGAATCTCTTTACCCTGGAGCCAGAACCAGCGTCGCCGCCGTCCCCTGCAGCTCAGCCGGCAACGCGCGCCGAGCCTCGGGGCGCAGCTTGGAGACGCGCTTGCTCGTTCTGGGAAGGGGCACGGGACGCACGGTTCCCCGGCCCCAGCTGCACAGCTCAGCTCGGGGCTCTCACCTATCCTCGTTCAGAGCCACATTCGGCTGCCTCCCCTGACCACCCGACACAAAGAGATTCGCCGGTGGAAAGAATCGATTTCAAAATTCAAGCTCACCGCTGCTCAACAAGGCGCGCACGTTTCTCCCCGTCTGGCTTCACATGTCCCAAACTTCCAGTAACAGAAATGAGGAAGCAGCAGCCTTCCCCGGCTGCTGGCGGAGGCAGTGGGTGTAACTTGTGAAGTTTCGTGCTATGATGAATCTGGTCACTTGGGTGTGTTGGAGAGGGTTGGTCGCTCCTCCCTTCCTCCTCCCACCATCACCTCCCTCCTCTCCGCCTCCCTCTCCAATTTAATTCTTCCCTCTGGCATTCGCCGGCTGTCACTCAGAATCCCAGCACCCTCCCCACCACATCCTTGGGGGCAATGTATTTCGAAAAGGTCTTA
This sequence comes from Homo sapiens, assembly GCF_000001405.40. Lineage (NCBI taxonomy): Eukaryota > Metazoa > Chordata > Mammalia > Primates > Hominidae > Homo > Homo sapiens. The sequence goes on from NC_000021.9 coordinate 31,344,468, forward strand.
ACCATTTTACGGATGAACCTGGTCACCCTGCACAAAGCGTGAGTGCTTGTCAAATAATTTTCTACAGCACGTGGCAAAAAAGCAGCGCCTCTTAAAAGATATAAAAGGCCAGCAATGTTACATAAGCGCCCCCCACCAGCCCTTCAAGGACAGAAACGTGGGTAGTTCATTCAGTGGAGACCTAACTCCCAAACATCTATTGAAAAGGAGTGAAGGGCAGAAAAACAGAAACCAAACTTTCAGTTGGCTGCCTTTTCTTTCATATGTACTAGAAAGTATTTCCAATATACAACATATATTTGAAAAGAATATAATGAACACCCACGTGCCCACCATGTAGCATAAAAAAATTAAAATTACTCACATAGTGGAAACTATCTGTCAACCTCTTCCTCGCTGAAATACATCCCTCTTTCCTTCCCCCTGGAAAGAAAACTGCCCCAAATTTGATTTCCCATGAGCAATTTTTATATCAGTTTCTAAAAATGTGAAAGGGAACATGCTAACTTAAAGTTTACCAGAAAGCCATGCAATGAACATCCCTCTGCTGTGCTTGACCTTGGTTTCCAAACAGAAGTTTCTTTAAATAAAACTTTAAATGACCTCAGGTTAAATGATGCCTCAGGTGGCTGGTTAAAGAGAATGAAAGAAATCACAAAAGAAGAAAACGGTAAATCTGAAGTGACAAGTGAGAGGCTATATCTGAAAGGGTTGAAGCATTCATGGATGAAATTGATAGATTAATAGAGTATTATCATTTTATAAGGTTAAAAGCTGTGCCAAAAACTAAGGATACTCATCCATACTGCAAGGGACTTTCCTCAAAGACACAGGCTACAAAAATAAAAACCCAACATTCATTAAAGAAGTCATAATGACTCAAATGCCAGCCAGGGATGCAGCCTGGAAACAGTACTCTAAAAAGGGAACTTTCAGAAACATTTAAACTTGACTCAAATATATATGTATATATATCCATATATATATTTTATATATATTCATATATATCCACACGGATTCACACATATATATATTCATATGTATATGAACATGAAGAAAGAGATGGCTGGTTCATCTTTACATTCTTGGTAAAGAATATAGGCTGGTATAAAGGCTGGTATAGCAGAAAATTTAATAACCACCTGATAAATGAATTAAGCAAATAAACAAAAGAGTACCCACAAACACATCTAAAGGAACAGAATGGGCACGGTGGCTCACGCCTATAATCCCAGCACTTCGGAAGGCTGAGGCAGGTGGATCACCTGAGGTCAGAAGTTTGAGACCAGGCTGGAAACACGGTGAAACCCCGTCTCTACTAAAAATACAAAAATTAGCCAGGCACGGTGGTGTGTGCCTGTAATTCCAGCTACTCAGGAGGCTGAGGCATGAGAATTGCTTGAACCTGGGAGGTGGAGGTTGCAGTGAGCCAAGATCACACCACTGCACTTCCAGCCTGGGTGACGGAGTGAGACTCTGTCTTGAAAATAAATAAATAAACAGAATGAAGAAAGAGAAGAATGTTTGGATACAGCAATGGTCCTTAGTTGGAGGTGAATTTGCCTCCGGGGAACATTTGGCAATATCTGGAGGCATTTTTGGTTGTCACAGCTGGGGGTTGCTACTGATATCTAGTAGGTAGAGTCCAGAGATGCTGCTCTACATCCTATCATGCATATAACAGGCCCCCACGACAAAGAATTATCCAGCCACAAATGCCAATAGTGCTGCTGCTGCTGAGAAACCCTGATTTAGAAGTTTCACTATCACCTGTCATTTAATTAATGTATTCCATCTATTCCATATAGCATCATCAATTTGAAGAGACTCTCCAGGGACTTAGAAAAACATGAAACAACACTTCTCCTTTTCCACTGTGCAGCATTCAATCGCTGAGAACCATACATATGGGCTCAGAAGAAAGCAGACACTGAGATCAGAGGCAGGAAAGCATCCCGTGGTTTTGGGTGCAGCCTTGGCATCCATGCACTCACCAAGCTACTGACTTACGCTGAATCTGGATGAAAACAATCATGAAGGGGATGGGAGAAGGATGATGTAAAGCCAGGCGGGACTGTCTTGAGAATCAGAGATCGCGTACTTCGGGGAAGCCGACATGGTGTGCAGCGAGAGATGTGACAGATACTGAGACAAAGCAGCCCCATCGAGGCCCATCAGTCATTTCTCCATTGACAATTATGAGTCTCCGCTGGAACTACTCCACACACAACAGGAAGGCGCTTCATCTCATTACAGCATATAGAAAAGAATGTTACAAATCACTCGTGGGAAGAGGAAGGCAAGCACCATGAAGTCAGTGGTCAGAGCATCAGAGCAGTGGGCTTACACGGGGAGCACATCTTGCCTACAGGTTTTCTGGTCTCATGATTACCTAAGAAGGTTTCTTTTAGCTCTGGGTGGGTGGGGGGCATATACTTTTTTTTCACCTTCTTTCTGATATTATTATTTAATTTTGCATGGAGGGGGAGAAGAGCTTTTTGTTGTTACTTAGTGTTTCTCTAAAGGGGACGTGGGGGAACAGTAGGTTTGCTCATCTTGAATTTTCTTAAAGCCACATATATGGTGGGGACGCAATACATACATGTTGGATTAAACCAAATAGTCCCCACCTTCTTCCCTATCTCTCAGGCCTAAAAATAAAGGGTCCCCTGTAGATGCTTCTAGAGAAGAATAACTTGAGATCAAGAGTCTGAGCAACATGTGAACACGTTACATAAACCCTGCTGGCTCCATACAGTGGCGGGCAGGTTTTCACAGATCTGAACAGAACGGCTTACCTGATAGTGATGAAAATACAGCAATATCAGAACTGGAGAGGCCCCAGGCATTGGCCTTGGGCCTCGGAGGGAAGCAGGACTTAGCATCCAAGAATTTACTGCTATAGCAGAAGGGCTGTGTCCTCCTGCCCAGGAAGATTCCCCCACAACACTAGTAGACAAGTGGGCAGTAAGGAAGACGCCTATCCCTCTAAAGGTACCAGTTTCTTAACCTGCAGTTCTGAAAGCCACTCGTTTTGCTTTTTAAGTCATGCGAATTTCGGAAAAGAAAATGTGAACGCAGGTCCGAGCCCCATCAGCAGCAATGAACTTATACACAAATGTACAGTATTTCTGCTCCAAAGAAATGCAACCAGTAGAGGGAGCACAGCTGACTTTTGTTGTTAATTTCTCAAGATCGGGATGAACCTGGGAATGACGCTAAATGATACAAAAATAACACACATCACCGCAAAAGAAAAGATGCATGCACGGACGTTCAGAGAAACTGCAAACCCTGACACCCTTATGCACGAACGTTCAGAGAAACTGCAAACCCTGACAACTTTATGCACGAACGTTCAGAGAAACTGCAAACCCTGACACCCTTAGGAGGTATGTGAATTGTTAGTGGATATTTGCACAAGAGCTGGCTAAACAGACAGAAGAGGACTACATAAAAAATAAATTCATGTTGGAAAACAATATGTGGCATGTGGAGAAAAGGTCACAAAGGGTTAAACTTCTTTTTCCCTTTGTCAAGTGGATTTACACTCAGAAATGAAAACGTATGGAGAGTTTATTTAAGCATATTCTCTCCAAAAATTTTAACTCAAGTGTTTAGCTTGCTCACTCTCTCTCTCTATATATTAGATCTACAATAGCTGGGCTTTAAAATTCCTTTCAAATTGCATTCTCAGTGACAGAGATGACTTCCAAAAGCAAGCATTTTCTGGATTGCTCTTCAGGGGTCTCCAGAACCAACTTGGTCAGGAATCAAGGTGTCTTCAAGATCTGCGAATTTGAAGCCATCAGCCACAATGGAGCTTACCTCCACCTTTTCAAGCCTTCATAGAACAAAAACAAGGTAAGAAGTGCTGGCACCAACGCGTCCTCACCTATGTCACCTAGCAACAATGTTATCAGCAGCAAGGCCAGGGAAGAGTCTCCTCCTCCTCCTCGTGTTAGGTGATACGCAACAGGGGTGTCAACACCGTCAAATTACCTGAATCCAAACACGATTTCCCAGCATAACTGCAGTTCCAAATATGCATCCTGTTAATGGAATCCATATTTGGACTGCTATGGAAATGCAGAAGGTTTTTCATAACTACATTTTGTGGTTGACTACCAACGGATTGCCAAAATCAATTTTTTATATTTGAAACTGATGAAAGGTCTAAATATGGATCCATCCCACACACTCCCATGCTAGGTAATCTGAGGGTCTGCTTGGGAATACGGACATGTTTGAAAACACTGCAAACACTTGTTTCAGCCCTGGATGGGGTCTTTCTATTCTCTGAGAGACAAACAAGGTTCACCTTTCTAGGCAAAGTTTTAAAACACAGTCTTCATTAAATTTGATTTGATACAAGAATGTTTTACAACTTCAAAGTAAACCTTATGCCAACCAAACTTAGAGACTCTTTACATAGTTTTCTCTATCTGAAAACAGAATACCTAACAAATACATAGAGATATTCTTAAAAAATACAGGGCCAGCCAAAAAGAGGCCAGGAAACTCTAATAGCTTTTAAACACCACCTCCAGAATGCATTGCAGGGACTGTGTGGCAAATTCCCTAAAATCCAAGGGCTTCAATTTCCTTTACTATAAAATGATGAATGTTCGATTTAATTTTCTCTGCCTTCTGAGCTCTATCTTCCAATTATAAGTTTCCATGATTTTAAAGCCCCCATTGTTTTCATTACCCCAAATTAGATTTCCTTACAGAAGAACAACTTTCATCTAACAAGTCAAAGTCAACAGGGTCAGGACTCCTTGGTAGCCCACATTCTTCTAAGTGAAGCCAGGTTTGTAACTGAAAGGGTGAAGGGAAAAGGGAGGAAGTGCAACCAGAGTTAGATAAAGATAACAAAGAAGGCCAAGGAAACATCCGTGAGCTCTTAGCTCCCACCAGCAATAAACCATATGGGGCCAGATGCTGTCCCACCCACACACACAGTAAGGCTTTTGATTTCAAGGGCCCTGGGTGCCTTGCACAAATGGTGCATGTGTTCACGGGGGGTAAAAGCATCGAAGTTTTTCCTAGTTTGGGACCTTTCAGATACCTCCCTGCTCGGCAGCAATAAACAATAATAATTGTTATTGGCACTAGAAGTAAGATAATATAGAATAACTAAGAAGACAAAAAGTCAAGTTCTAATTTCAGTCCTGCCATTTCTTCAAAGAATGCCAGGATAGCTTTATAATCCCCAGTATAGCCTCTTGAAAAAGCTGGGTCAGGGAGTATCCCATCGGGGAGGCCTCATTGGGTCATGAGAGAAGCAAGGATACAAAATGAGAAGAGCCGGTTCAAGTCCAGGGTCCAGCGACAACCAGAAGAGTAACTCAGAGCAAGTCCCTCTGCCTACCCTTCGGTAAAGTGGGAACTTAAAATAATAGATGCCTATTGGCAATGGAATGCATGGGTTAACAGGCTTTGGACTGGGCACATGCCCAACACTGTCTCTAAATGGGCGAATGGGCACTAAACATGTCAAGACAATTTTCAATCAGGAAATAAGCCAACCCTGTTTCTTAAACGATCTTAGCATTTATAATGTTCTCAATGTTTTCACATTGACGGTGCTATTTTGGCAAAAAGTACAGTTCTGGCACTAGTTACGTGTCAGATAACAGAATGGAGGTCCTTCCCAATGGGGTCACAGAGGGCTCACCCTCTTGAGCCCTAAGCCTTCCCCAGAGAGTCCCTACTGTGGGGAAGTAGCAGGCCACCCTTGTGAGGGTGGACGCAGTGAGCCACAAAGGCCCGACACTAACCAGGTCCAACCAATTTAATGGTATTTAATGGTATTCATGGGTGGGAATCATTTTGATTTTTATTTTATACTAAGATACAGTAACTGTCACTTTAAAATTTTGGGGGGCCAAAACATACTGGGGCAGGGAGTGGAGAATGACGCTGGCTAAGAAGGTGATATAGTTTGGATATCTGTACCCACCCAAATCTCATGCTGAATTGTAATTTTTGGTGTTGCAGATGGGGCCTGGTGGGAGGTGATTAGATCATGGGGGTGGATTTCTCATGTAGAGTTGAGCACCATCCCCTTGGTGCTGTTCTCGTGATAGTGAGTCAGTTCTCGCAAGATCTGGTTGTATAAAAGTTTGTGGCATCTCCCCGCATCTCTCTTTTGCTCCTGCTCTGGCACGTGACATGTCTGCTCCTGCTTCTCTTTCTGCCATAACTGTAAGTTTTCTGAGGTCTCCCCAGAAGCCAAGCAGATGCCAGCATCATGCTTCCTGTACAGCCTGCAGAACCATGAGCCAATTAAACCTCTTTTCTTTATAAATTACCCAGTGTCAGGTATTTCTTTATAGCAATGCAAGAATGGCCCAATACACGATGAGACATCTAGCACAGGGGTAGGATGGTGAAGTGAAAAGGACCCCACCTATAGACCTGCTTGTAACACATGACACCTTACAGAGTTTTGTACTAACCACAGGCACAAAATCAATTAAAATTAGGTGACTTGTAATGAATAATGGCTAGGGAAACGTGTTGATGAGAATCCACTTGTCTTGTGTTCCCTTCCACTAACATAGGCATTTGATTTCACTCTAGGAATACTTGCTGCCATCTTCCCTAATGTAAATGAAAACCAAACATGTACAAGTTACTTTCAATCAGAGAATACGACAAACCTGTATCTCAAAATATTAAAGGGTCTAACATAGGGGTGACACATTTAGGGTCATAGACCTCTATATGTAAGAGAAGAAAGGAGGTCTTATAAATCACTCATTCATCTGAAGTCAGAAGGAGTAAGTGACTTGTTCAAGCTCACATAATAAAACCATGACAGCTTCAGCCCAGTACCCAGGTCAACAGAAATAAACTTGCTGTATGTTCCACTCAATTATTACCTCCTTTAAAAAATATGTCCATAAAATGAACATTCAATGCAGTGTATGCACATATAATTTGGGGGCTCCAACCTAGTACAAAAGGCACATACAAATAAAAAACAATATAAATTGAGCCCATCTAGAATTAATAAGCAAACCATAAAAAGTGGGTACATGAGAAATTCTTGGCTAAGCTCCAGACAAGCAAGCAAGGGGCCCAGAGACCTGGGAGGGAGGACGCAGTCAAACCCGGATGGCTGGAGGCAGTCTGACTCACCAGCAGCCAGCGTCCTCCCAAACAAATTACAGAGGCAGGCTCAGCAAGAATGCAGGGGAAAGATCCACATGTGCCCAAGGGGTTAAGATAGCAACCTGGTCAAAGATACAGACTTCCTCAGTTAGGAAAGCTCTACCCCTGGAATACCAAGAAATTAAAGTTCATCTCTGGCAGGGCGTGGTGGCTCATGCCTATAATCCTAGCACTTTGGGAGGCCGAGGAGGGCAGATCACCTGAGGTCAGGAGTTCAAGGCCAGCCTGGCCAACACGGCGAAACCCCATCTCTACTAAAAACACAAAAATTAGCCGGGTGTGGTGGTGTGTGCCTGTACTCCCAGCTACTTAGGAGGCTGAGGCAGGAGAATCGCTTGAACCCAGGAGGCAGAGGTTGCAGTAAGCCAGGATCACACCACTGTACTCCAACCTAGGCAACAGAGCAAGAGTCTGTCTCAAAAAAAAAAAAAAAGTGCATCTTTGCTAACGCCACAAAATACCGTCATTTTCACTTGTCTGTGAATATTCATTGCAGCATTACTCACAATAGCCAAGAGGTGAAAACAATCTATGTGCCCATCAGATGAATGAATAAACAAAATGTGGTATATCTCTGCAATGGAATATTACTCAGCCATTTAAATATTGAAGTTCTGATCTGTGCTGCTACATGGATGAACCTTCAAAATATTATGCTAAGTGAAAGAAGTCAGACACAAAAGGACAAATATTGCATAATTCCACTTACACCCAAGTTTTGGACATAGATAGTGGTGATGGTTGTACAACATTGTGAATGTAATTAATGCCAATGAAGTGTGTACTTAAAAATAGTTAAAATGCCAACTTTTATGTTATATATATCTTACCACAACTTTTAAAAAAGATTCCAAAAATATCATTTTCAACGTTTTGGCTCACATATATGTAGCTTTAAAAAAAAAAAAAAAAAAGCTGCTGGCCTGGTACAGTGGCTCATGCCTAAAATCCCAGCACTTTGGGAAGCCGAGGTGGGCGGATCACTTGAGGTCAGGAGTTCAAGACCAGCCTGGCCAACACAATGAAACCTCATCTCTACTTAAAAATAAATAGATAAATAAATAAATAAATAAATATTAGCCAGGGATGGTAACGCACACCTGTAATCTCAGCTATTTGGGTGGCTGAGGCACAAGAATAGCTTGAACCTGGGAGGCGAAGGTTGCAGTGAGCTGTAATCATGCCACTGCACTGTAGCCTGGGCAAAAGATTAAGACTCTGTCTCAAAAAAAAAAAAAAAAGTTGCTGCTAAAAACAAAAGTAATCAAAACTTTACACACATTAACCAAGCCTTCCAATAAGCCAACTCTTCCTGTCATATCACCATGATCTTCACACGCCCAGATAAGTGATTTTCTCTGATTGTAAGAGATAAAATGACATTGCCTCACCTATCAAGGTAAATCTTTCACAATTATGAAGATAAAACAAGGCACACCCTTGCACAGTATGCTGGAGGCACAGCAGTAGGGAACAGCTGCTTCCACCAACCCATCCCAACCCCAAATTTCAACGCATATCAAGAAACCAAAAAGGGTCAGATATGAGTCCAAAACCCTAACAGTGGGGGAAATGAATCAAACCCAAATTCTTAATTGTAAATATTAAATGTTACACATGTTAACTGACCACATTCAGGTGTACCCTCAACTCGCAGTAATTTCAGCAGTTAAGACGTAAGCAGGGGTGCCAGGCAGTCTAAGTGAGAATTGCGGGTCAGCCAGGAATTCCTCTTCCAGTCACAGGCCTATCCCTTAATCTTCATAAAGCCTCAGTCCCTCATCTGTAAAATGGGAATAAGAGCATTTCCCTCATAAAACTATGTGAAGACAACTTTGATGACAATGAGTTGCTGACATTTCCTGAGCACTTTCTCTGTGAAAGCCACTAGGCTAGGGGCTGCTCATTCAATTTTCTACCTGGTCCTCATGACAGCTCAGCAAGGTACTACTTATTACTAGACCCATTTAACAGATAAAGAAAACTGAGGCACGGAGAGGTTAAATGAACTGCCCAAAGCCACTCAACAAGTAAGAGGCAGGTCTAAAATTCTAACCTAGTCTCTGTGAGGCTGGGACCCCAGCTCTCTCCAACCTCACTACTGCATTTGGGCTACAATCTTGTCATTAACAACCTTGACATCCTTACATTTGATTTATTTGTTTTTATTTATTTATTTATTTATCTTTTTTTTTTTTTTTTTTTTTGAGACAGAGTCTCACTCTGTTGCCCAGGCTGGAGTGCAGTGGAGTGATTTCAGCTCACTGCAACCTCTGCCTCCTGGGTTCAAGCGATTCTGTGTCTCAGACTCCCAAGTAGCTGGAATTACAGGTGCCCGCCAACAAGCCCAGCTAATTTGTGTATTTTTAGTAGAGATGGGATTTCACCATGTTGGCCAGGCTGGTCTCGAACACCCGACCTCACACAATCTGCCCACCTCGGCCTCCCAAAGTGCTGGATTATAGGTGTGAGCCACCATGCCCGGCCTTATTATTACTAATATTACCCTTTGTATCATGAATCTCAGTTTCTGGGTTCACAAAGTCAGAGGGCTGAGTGTGATTCCCAAAGCCTACACTTACTCATGGAGAACCTCATGCCCTCTTAAGGACAAATGTGGCAGGCAAGCAACATATTTTAGGGTTTGTCATGAAGCTCCTGGAAGTTAATTGTCACTCCGTCTGAGAAAGGTGAGTGAACAAGGTATCTAACGTGAGCCAGCTCAATTGCACAAGAGGCAAATAATATGCATAATGCATGTGTGGGAGATTCCTAAATGTATTCCTGGGGCCCTTTCACAGAACCAAGGACCCCCCCTCCACACCCCCACCACACGAAGAGGCAAGTTCAAACTCTGGACTGAGATAATTAACGGCTGGTGGATATTTTACACTGACCTATTTATAATACCTCCCTGAAGTACTAATGTTGGTTCACAATCAAAAGAAATACATACTGAACAGAATCTTGCTCGCAGCTGAACCACCCAACTTCCCGGTAAAACATGCATGACAGGTGACTCACAAGGATGACACAGTTCCTGGCACAGGCACCAAGAGTTACTACCGGTGTGGAGGAGGCTCAGCCAGCAAGTTGACAAACACTTCACCACATCACCTAAAACACCAAAGTTCAACCCTATGCTCTCAGATGCCTGGTTTCTGAGAAAGGGAATTTCTCAGAATGGGACCACAACGCTGACAACCTGCCCAGCTGACAATCCTTGCTGTGGGCTGGCAGACGCCAAGATAAGTCATCTCTGACTTTTATTTTTCTCAGCCTCAACAACTTCACACACCTTGCTTAGGCTCAGGCTTATGATTCAGACTTCTCACCCCTCCCAAAGCCCTGTACCCTGGGAGCCTTTGTTCTTTTTCTGGCCACAGATGAACTCAGCCCATTAAAGAAGAGCTGTAATCCCTTACACATATAACTTTCCATTGGCAAAAATTAGTCAGGTCGGCTGGGTCTGAGGTCAGCAGTCTCCTGCAGAAACACCCACCAGACACTGTTCCCCCACCACCAAAAAAAAAAAAAAAAGGTAGCGGCTAATGAACTGCCCATTAACCGTCTGGTAGAAACACACACACAGATACTACTGACTCATTCCATTTCAATAACCAAAAACAATATTCTTGGCCTTTGGCATGAATATGGGTTTTTGTTTTCTTAAGGATAGTGGCCACCTTGGTCTATTTGCTCCCGTGCAAACTTGTTCATCTTCCGCTTATGAAGGTAACCTTAGACTTGAGGTCTTTGTTCAACATCACCTTCTCAATGAAGGTGTCCTCCTGGCCAGTGGCCCCACCCCACCACCTCCACCCCTCATCCCTGGCACATTTCCTTTCTTACTTCCCTGATTTATTTTTCTCTCCTTTATTATTTATTTATTTATTTATTTATTTATTTATTTATTTATTGAGAAAGAGTCTCGCCCTGTTGCTCAGGCTGGAGTGCAGTGATGTGATCTCGGCTCACTGCAACCTCCACATCCCAGGTTCAAGCAATGCTCTTGCCTCCGCCTCCTGAGTAGCTGGGACTACAGGCGCGTGCCACCACACTGGGCTAATTTTTGTATTTTTAGTAGAGACAGGGTTTTGTCATGTTGGCCAGGCTGGTCTCAAACTGCTGGACTCAAGTGATCTGCCCGCCTCGGCTTCCCAAAGTGCTGGGATTCAGGCGTGAGCACTGCGCGCCCGGCTATTTTTCTCTCCTTTGTACACATGCTGAATATTTTCTTATTTTACTCTTTTTCTTGTTTCTCTCCTCCACTAGAACATAAGCCCCACAAGAGCAGGCACTTTTATCCATTTTGCTCACAGTTCTATTGCAAGTGCCTAGAAGAGGGCTTCATACGTGGTAGACTCTCAACAAATATTGCATGATTTGAATAACGGTCATTCATTACCCCGAGATGATAATTCAAGACAAGAAGCATGATCAAAACCACCCAGGTCTGAGGTCTCTTCTTTAACCATAGAAAAAAAGTCCTTTTAACCAATTCCTTCTGAATCCTTAACAGCAAAGAAAGAAATAAGGAACAATAGGAGAAATAGACATTTATGTCAATAATACACAAACACTTGGAGTTTTCAACTTATACATTCACTAAGGATGTTCAAGACACTGCATGCCAAATCTCTGAAATACACAGATTATTAATAATAAAGGGTAAAGATACCAATTGCCCGTATGCCATCATTGTCATGCATCCCCCCCACAGCTCACACCTCCCATCTTTTCAGACCACTCAATCTCATACTCTGTTAGGGTCTGAATGTTTGTGTCCCCTCAAAATTCATATGTTGAAATCCTAACCCCCAAAGTGATGGTATTCTAAGGTGGGGGCCTTTGGGAGAGGATTAGATCATGAGATCGGAGCCCCCAGGATTGGGATTAGTGCTCTTTTAAAAAGAGGTCTCGGAGTTCATTCATCTCTTTCACTGTGTAAGGACATAGCCACAAGGCGCTGTCCAGAGGAAGCAGCCCCTCACTAAACACTCAATCTGCTGTTGCCTAGATCTTAGACTTCTCAGCCTCCAGACTGTGAAATACATTTCTGTTGTTTATAAATTATCCAGTCTGTGGTATTCTGTTATAGCAGCACCAATGGAATAAGACACACTCCAAGAATCCCTTCATAGCTTCGATATTTCATGCTCCTCCTTAAGAAATGTAGATTCCATCTGGGCGCAGTGGCTCAGGCCTGTAATCTTAGCACTTTGGGACACTGAGACAGGAGGATGGGGCTTGAGCCCATGGGTTCGAGACCAGGCTGGGCAACACAGCAAGAGCCCATCTTTAAAAAATAAATGAATGAATAAACATTTTTAAAATTTTTAAAAGAGAAGTGTAGATTCCATCATCTGTCATTAATTTCCCTCCCTCAACTCCCTGGCCCATCTTTTACTTGGTCATATCCTTTTGGCAAAAACATCTGGTTAAATCCATCAGACTGCCCAGTTCACACCTGTACCCAGACAGCTGACTGTGGCTAGAGAAAACAGAAGAAAGCATGCAAACATGTTGGCTGGTCTCACTTTAAATTCCTGACCCCTAATGTCAAGTGTCCCCTTAAATGCCACTGGCAATCACACCAAAATTCTCTGTCTATTCCCTCACCCACACTCACGAAGTTTATGTCTTCTGCTTTCCTTCCAGATTCCCAACAATTTCTTCCCATCTGATGACCTTTTGTTCTACTTCTCTGAGAAAAATGAAGCAATCAGAGAGGACTACCACAAACTTCTAAGACTATATATATTCTCTGGTGATCTATCTGCATGCAGGTATATACACTCTACCTTTCTGCCTGTTGATGTAGACAACTATCCATACTCCTCTCTAAAGCCAACCCCTCCACTTGTGATGAGGTCCAATCTCCACCCCTTGCTCACTCAAGGGCAATGTTTTAGCAATTTTCCTCTCTCTCCTCCACATCATCAAATTATAACTATGAAAATTTGCTGCTTTCTCCCTCTCCTTTGCAGAAATATTAAAAGAGGCATCTGTATTTGCCATGTTCCCTTATTTTCCCCATTCTCTCTTAAACCCACTCCAGTGCATCTTCCATCCAACCACGTGCTGTTCTCAAGGGCACTAATGATCTCCCGGTTTATAAAGCCAATGTTTCTCTCTTGTCTTCATTGTACTTGACCTATTCTATCAGCAGCATTTGACACCACTGATTACTCATTCTGCTCTGGTGTACTTTCTTCAATTGCTTCCAAGACACCATAAATTCTTCTGCCTTGCTGGCTGCCTTTGCTGGTTCCTCCTCTTCTCCCTGACCTCTTAATGTTGGAGAACCACAGGGCTTAGTCCTTGGTCCTCTTCTCTCTTTTCTTTACACTGTGGTCCTCAGTGAGGGAGATAGGTAGATCCACTGTCCCGATCTTAACCCAAAGAAAGACTTGCTGTCCAGCTACGGGGGCTGTGGTCAGAAGGCAGCCTCGAGCCTTCAGTTCCTGCAGGACCTGTCTCAGGGCAGAGGGCGGCATCCCAGGGTAGGCCATATCTGGTGACTGAATGAGGCAGGGATAAAGGACTGGTCATATCAGCCTCTGCAGGACAAGGATGATGGGCAGTATTAATTCCAGAGCTTCCAGCCAGGTTGTTCTACACCACTGTTTGACTTCTCCACGCGGTCCTGCTTGCTTCCTCTTTCTTTTGCAGTTCATCTAAATGCCGTCTTCTTGCCTGTTTCTGGAGAAATCAACCTACAACTCTTGGAGATCCCCTCCGGTCTCATGACTGCGAATACTTTCCACATGCTAACAACTCCCAATGCATGTCTCTAGCCAGTGCTTTTTCCCCTAGACTCCACAATCGAATACCGCACTGTGCACGTACACCCTCTGGGTATCTTCCAGGTGCCTTTCCCAGCTGAGCTAAGGGCAATTGAACCCTCCCAACTATTCAGACCAAAATACTTGGTGCCATACTTGCCTTCCCTTTCCTTTCACATCCCACATCGAATCAGTCGGAAAATTCTGTTGCATCCACTCTCCAAATATGTGCCAATCCAAATCTCTTCTCACCCCTTCCTGCTGCTGCCACTATAATCCGAGCCACCATTCTCTACTAGATTACGACAAAACCTCTGAACAAGTCTCCCTGTTTCCACTCTTGTCCTTCTACAATCCATCCTCATCCAGGACCATGGGGATCCTTTTAAAGTATAAATTAGATCACAGCATTCCTCCGCTCAAGGGGTAAAAGCCAAACTCCCTAGAGGGACCCACAAAGCATATCACCCCTCTGGCCTCGTTATTACTTCTCTGTCCTCATCTCCTGCTGCTTCTCCCCTTGTTCATGCCACTGAAGCCACACTTGGCCTCCTCGATGTTCCCTGAACTTTCCAGACACACTCCCTCTTTCTGGAACATTCCAGGTAGGCTGCTAATTTCTTTATATTCTTTTAGTCTTCATTCAAATGGTACCATCTCATCACTATACCCTAATCTACCCCGCTTACCTCCCAGAACTGCCCACCCACCCAAAGCAGGTCTACTTTGCTTTTTTAAAATATCATTTCCCACTTCCAACACACTGAATCATTAAGTTAAACTTAATTAATTCATTTAAAATGAAGACGTAACTCATTACAATTAATAAACAATTATTTATTTTTTAATAGTAATTCACAAAGACAAGGGTCTTTGCCTCTTTTGATCACCAAAGTATCCCAAGTACCTAGGACACTGCCTAGCACACAGTAGGACCTAAAAATAAATACATTTGTTGAGTGAACAAATAGTATTTGCTCTTCACAAGATTAGGTTGGCAGAATGAAGCATAAAGGGACAAAAATAAAACAAAGAAAGAAAGAGAAGGTAGGAGACATAGAAAATACAGTGAAAGGGCCGGGCATGGTGGCTCACGCTTGTAATCCCAGCACTTTGGGAGGCCGAGGCAGGAGGATCACAAAGTCAAGAGTTTGAGACCAGCCAACATAGTGAAATCCTGTCTCTACTAAAAATACAAAAATTTAGCAGGGCATGGTGGCGGGTGCCTGTAATCCTAGCTATTCAGGAGGCTGAGGCAGGAGAATTGCTTGAACCCGGGAGGCAGAGGTTGCAACAAGTCGAGATCACACCATTGCACACCACCTGGGAGACAGTCCACAACTCTGTCAAAAGAGAAAAAGAAAGAAAAAGGAAGGAAGGAAGGAAGGAAGGAAGGAAGGAAGGAAGGAAGGAAGGAAGGAAGGAAGGGAGGGAGGGAGGAAAGACAATGAAAGGATGTAATATGAAGAAAAAAGAGAACTGGACTGAAGAGATACAGGTTGGAAATTTCCCAAAATGCAAAAAAGATACCAACCCATAGATTCAAGAAGTCCTACAAACCCTGAACAGAATAAATAAAAATATATTTACACCTAGACATGTCATAGTGGAACTGGAAAGCCAAAGGCAGAGAGAAAAACCATAAAAGCAACAAGAAGGAGACTGATGAGCTATTGTACTAAGAAGCAACAATTAGGCAGAGAGCCGACTTCTCAGCAAGAACAGATGCCAGAAGATAATGAACTGGTATCTTCTAAGTGTTTGAAGAAAATCACCGCCAACTGAGAATTCTATATGCAGCAGAAATAAAGATAATTTAAGACGGACAGAAGTATAATAATAATAATAATAATTAACAATAATGTCTTAGATGTTTAGAATAGTATGAAAGAAAAAAATTTACTATATATTATAATCCAGTAGAGAATAAAAGGAGTTAATATACTCTAATGTCCTTGTATTATCTAGGAAGGCTAATGTCCTTGTATTATCTAGGAAGGCTTCAAAGTACTAATTTATATTAGACTTTGCAATCCAAGGTAGCTATGGGTAATCCTGAGGTTTTTTTAATAGGATAGACATTAAAAAGCCAGTAACTGATCATTCTGACTACATTCCAGGTAAAAACTTAGTTGTTTACTTAAAAAATAAACAAGACAATAAAATGCAAGCCACACGGTGAGACAATGTTTGCGACTCATGCAACTGACAAGGAGATATTATGCAGAATAATTTAAAACACACACATGCACACAACTGTACAAATCAATAAGAAAAACATCAACTACCAAATAAAAAATGACAAGTGACATTTGTCAGGCAGTTCACAAAAGAAAATATTCCAATGACCAATAAACCTATGAATAGGAGCTTGGCCATGCTGGTTTTTCAATTTACAAAATGTAAATTCAAACCAGGAAATCCACTTATTACCAGAAGAGCTAGAATTGAAATGACTAATAACACCAAGGTTTTCTGAGGGCATAATGCAAGAGGAACTCCCTTATCCTACTAGGGAGAGTGTAATTGGGTCAGGCACTTTAGTAAAGATGAAAAATCAGCAATTTCAATTCTAGAAATACACCCCAAGAAACACATGGACATGAGTGCTGGGGAAGGTATCTCCAAAAAAAGTCCATTGTAGCACTATTCACAATAGTCAAACATTGGAACTAATCCAAATGATCACCAGCAGTAGAATGGATTATGAAGTTATAGCCTATTTATACCATGAAATTGTATAATAATTAAAGTGTACAAACTAGAGCTACACCCAAGAGAAAAGTTGAGGAAATAAAGCCAGACCCAGAATACTTAATAAAGTATGATTCCACTGATATACAGTTCAAAAACAAGCAAAATTAAACTACAGTGCTTAAGAATCTACACTCAAGCACTAAATGTGAGACAAGAAGCAAAAATATGATTCCATAAAAATCAAGCCTGGTTGTTATCTTTAGGAGGCAGGGAGAAAATTGTGATTGAGGATGGGAGGGGAGGCTTTCTTGGGGGCTGCCAATGTTGCATTTCTCGAGCTGGTGATGGCCACATTACCCAGTAGGCTGTACAGTCACGTGTTGTGCACTGTTCTGAATGTGTGGCATGTTTCACAATTTAAGAAGAGTTATAAAATCCACATAAACTATCCTGTAGACGAATATTTCCCACTGAATAGTAACCCCTTCCCAAATAAGAAAGCCTTTTAGATTTTGGCTATAGATATAAAATCTTGTATAAATATCACTGCTTCATTAAACCACTCAAAAGCCCAATGAGTAACACATTTAATGACAGATAAGACAACTAAAGGTGATACTTAGTTCATTAAGACATTCTCCTCTTCCAACTATTAAACTAATAGCAGATGATATTATCATAGATTCCTTTGAGGAAGAAAGATTAGATAGATAGATAGATAGATAGATAGATAGATAGATAGATAGACAGACATGTGTATACATTTGGTATGTATACATATACACATATATACATATACATGCATGTAAGTGTATATACACATACACATATATGTGCATGCAAGTATACATATATGACTGACATAAAAACATGTTCCTTGGCTGGGCACAGTGGCTCATGCTTATAGTCCCAGCTACCAGGGAGGCTAGACAGAGAGATTGCTTGAGCCCAGGAATCCAAGGTTACAGTGAGGTATGATTGTGCCACTGTACTACAGCTTGGGTGACGGAGCTGTCACCCTATCCCTTTTAAAAAAAAAAAGATATACTCTTTACTGTGACTTTATTTGAAAATGAAGGCAGCATAAGAGTGAGTTCAGTGCATCCACCCTCTTCCTTCACTCTCTCTCTGGTGTCACTGGACTGGATGAGTTATGGACATGACAATTCCAGCCCAAGGGCACTAGAAAGTAAGTGAGAAGGGAAGAGCTGACTTATCCCACACTGAGCCCAGAGATTCAAACCAGCCACCCAAGGTTCGCCTTTCTCTTCATGACGAGTCATAGATCCATTACCCATTAATGCAGTGACAATTATTATTATTATTATTATTATTATTATTATTATATTTGAGAAAAGGTCTCGCTTTGTCACCCAGGCTGGAGGGCAGTGGTGCAATCTTGGCTCACTGCAACATCTAGCTCCCGGGTTCAAGCGATTCTCCTGCCTCAGCCTCCCGAGCAGCTGTGACTACAGGCGCCCACTACCACACCCGGCTAATTTTTGTATTTTTAGTAGAGATGGGGTTTCACCATGTTGGCCAGGCTGGTCACGAACTCTTGACCTCAAGTGATCCACCTACCTCAGCCTCCCAAAGTGCTTGTATTACAGGCATGAGCCACTGTGCTCAGCCAACAATTATTTTTAAAGCAATGCTAGTCCATCACCCCTTAGGGCAGGGAGCGCTCACTCTCATTCTTACTTACACTGTAAGGGGGTTTATCATTGTATTTTCTGATTAGGATGCCCTACAGAACAGGACATCGAGTTCTCTGATGGGTATTTTTTTTGCATAGGATTGGTGGAAGAGACTATTCCTTTCCCCCTTTATTTGTAATGTTTTCCTCTGTACTGCACCTCCATACTTCTTCCACCATCCTTAACCACAAGATGGGCACAGGATCCAGCTGGGATCATTGTTGAACCTCAAGCCCTGTACACAGTGATTGGTCCAGGGGTGGGTTCACGATCGATATTAGCTAATCAGAGAAATTCCTTGGGAATTTTTTTATTTTAAAACTGCGGACGTCAGCCTAAAACTGCTGGCAGCCATGCTTCTGTTTGGTTCAAGCTGGCCTGAGAAGAACTAATCTGATCCAGGGAAAACAGGGATGAAAGACAGAGAGCATTTGATCGTGTTAACTTCCCTGGGTCCAGCTGTCCCCTAACCCCAGCCTTACCCTGACTGGTACACAGACAAACGTATTCCCACTTTGGCCCTAAATCAACTTAGGTTTCTGATCCTTACAACCCAACATTCTAACAGGACCGGGATTTTGTTTTTTTTTCTGGGTTTTTTAAATGGTTTTACTGCTGATGTTGTTTTGCAGGGGTAAGAAGCAGAGAAGATCTGCTCCTGTGATCCACAACACTCCTCCATACCACATATTTGTGCAAAAACATCTTGTTAGTCCCTAAGCTTCCTCTAATGATGTCTTTTAAAACTGCACCTTACATGTCTTCTCCTTGATTAACACCCTTGTTTATTACCTCATTCAATCCTCCTTTTCCCTTTTCCAAATGCTGAATGATCACACGATGAATGTCTTAGATTTTTCTCTCTTCTGTGAAACTGCTGATCACTCCCAAATTAAGAATTAAAAATGGAGCAGCTGCAGACGCTTTGCTAGCATCCAGATTACAATCTTAGAGTTCTTCCAGAAGAAAGCTCTCTGTTTCTGAGGAAACTCTGGTTGGTTGGGGGGCAACCCAAGGAAGTATCTCTGAAACCACACAACATGCAATGAAACCACAGGAAAAAAAGGGGGAGGGGGTTCTTCCTGTGTATTTGCTGAAGTATTTTGCTTTAAGAGAGATCAGTGGTGTTCAATTTCAAGAAAGAAACACCCATGAGGAAAAGTGCAGAGCAAAACAGCCCCAGGACATCTCTACCCAACACACAGGCCTGCTGGTGTCACTTGCATTGAACTTATACATTTCTTCATTATCCTAGTAATAAAGTCTGTGATTTCAGCATTTTACAGGAAGGTAAAAACACATTCACAATAGCACTAGCCGATAGCTTTCTTAAGTAACTGCATGGTGAGCTTCATAGTATCCCCCGTTCCTAAAGACAGATTAGAGGCCCCAGCACTGCACTGTTTCAGATTTCTGTGGGCCACCAAAAATAAAAAGCATCCCAGGTGGAGTAAACTTGTTAACCAAAGGGCTACTTAAAAATAAAATTGCTTGTAGAGAGCTCTCTTACAGCTTAATGAATGAGGCACCATTTCTCAAACTAAGATTGTGATCAAATGAGAAACCCTCCAAAGACCTCTGCTGAATACCTCACTTACACTCAAGCCTCCGCAGAGGGAGCCAATGAATGAGCCCCCAGCAACTGAAGTGGGTGTGGGGGAGTGGAGAAGGTTATATTTGAGCATGTGATGGTAGAATTGAGAAAGCACTGAGACATCAGCCACAGATGGAGAGGAAAGAGCAGCTCTACCTATAGGAATTGTTAATAAGAGTTCTGTACTCTCTATTAACAAATCTTGGAACAGCTGACACCATGATGGCCAGGGACCATGGATGGACGGATGGATGGATGGGTGGATGGATGGATGGCTGCATGGATTGATTGATGGATGGATGGACGAATGGACAGACTGAGTAAAGAATGGTGGCAGTTACAGCTGAGTGGGTGTGTGTTGATGGGGGAGGAAGGACAGAGGACAGGCCAACCACACCATAATTGTTGAGTAATGGCACAGTCCAGAGTGGGCAAAGTTTTTCTTTAAAGAATCAGATAAATATTTCAATCTTTGCGAGCCATATACTCTCTATTGAGCTCTGCCCTTGTTATGTAAAAGCAACCAAAGACAGTAAGTAAATGAAAATGACTTTGTTCCAATAAAACTTTATTCATGAATGCTGAAATCTGAATTTCATGATTTTTACATGACACCAATTATTCTTCTTTTCCCCCCAGCCGCTTAAAAATGTAAAAGACATTTTTAGTTCAAGGATCTTACAAGAATCAGTGGAATTTGGCCCTCAGGCCAGAATTCAACGACCCCAGATCTAGTCTCCAAACACGCCAGTCACTCAGGATAGTGATCAGGAAAGAAGATCTCCCCAGCAGATCCTGGGAAGAGATCTAACACAACGCACATTTTCTATTCTGTGCTCTGTATATACTTCTCCTTCTGTCTTTATTGCATAATTCTCCATGGATGTGCTGATGTTTCCGTCTTGTCCAATGGGATATAGGAAGCACCTGCTGGCAGGGTCTGTGTCTCACTTATTTCTTTCTTTTTTTTTTTTTTTTTTTGAGAGGGAGTCTCGCTCTGTCGCCCAGGCTGGAGTGCAGGGGCATGATCTCGGCTCACTGCAAGCTCTGCCTCCCGGGTTCACGCCATTCTCCTGCCTCAGCCTCCCAAGTAGCTGGGACTACAGGCACCCGCCACCACGCCTGGCTAATTTTTTGTATTTTTTAGTAGAGATGGGGTTTCACACCATGTTAGCCAGGATGGTCTCGATCTCCTGACCTCGTGATCCACCTGCCTCGGCCTCCCAAAGTGCGGGATTACAGGCGTGAGCCACTGTGCCCAGCCTGTGTCACATATTTCTAAATCTTCAGCACTTGGCATAGTACCTGGAACATAACAGGTGCTTGAGAGATATTCCCTGAATCAAACCATATTCCCCAACAACTGCAAGATTTCACTGTCAAAGTATGACATAAGGCCGGGCACGGAGGCTTATGCCTGTAATCCCGGCACTTTGGAAGGCTCAGGCAGGTGGATCACGAAGTCAAGAGATTGAGACCATCCTGGCCAACATGGTGAAACCCCGTCTGTACTAAAATATACAAAAATTAGCTGCACCTATAGTCCCAGCTACTCAGGAGGCTGAGGCAGGAGAATCACTTAACCCGGGAGGTGGAGGTTGCAGTGAGCCGAGGTAGCTCCACTGCACTCCAGCCTGGAGACAGAGCAAGACTCTGTCTCAAAAAAAAAAAAAAAAAAAAAAAAGTGTGACTTGAAAGGCAATCCACCTTGATACCAGGCATCCCCTATCTGATGTCACAGCCATGAATACTATGCCCTTGGCCCTTGGGATGGTTGACAGAGGTCATAGGAAGTAAACCGTACTCATAACCTTGAAGCTGGATTTCACCCTTTGCCAAAAGCAACTCTTAGTTTGTCACATTGTAAAAGGCAGGAAACCAGTTACCTTATTCTTGCCATGACCACACAGATGTTACTTAACTTACGCATGTCCCAAATGGAAAGAAACATATCCATCCGTTAGCAGAGAATGAAAAACATGTCACCCTTTGGCTCCTCAGTTTGGGAATTGATGGGCAATGAACACACTCCTGGTTCCTTTTCTTTCCCATCCATCTCTCCCTCCAGGCCATCCATCAGGAGAAAGCTCAATGTCATCTTCATGGTGAGCACTATGTAGCCATATCCTACAGGCTTTCTTTGCAATACTTAAGTTTCCAAGGAAGGCAGAGACTATTAAAAAGAGGATGCTCAGGGGCTTTCTTTTTTCAGACAGAGTCTTGCTCTGTCACCCAGGCTGGAGTGCAGTGGTGCCATCTTGGCTCACTGCAACCTCCACATCCCAGGTTCAAGCGATTCTCCTGCCTCAACCTCCCGAGTAGCTGGGAATTACAGGCATGTGCCATCATGCCTGGCCAATTTTTCTATTTTTAACGGAGACGGGGTTTCGCCATGTTGGCCAGGCTGGTCTTGAACTCTTAACCTCATGTGATCCACCCGCCTCAGCCTACCAAAGTGCTGGGATTATAGGCGTGAGTCACCATGCCCAGCCTCTTTTTAACACTTTACTGGAAATCTTGACTAGAAGTATGCCAGGGTCAAATCTGTATACAAAGGGAATACAAAGAACCACAGGAGAATCTGTAAGGAAATGACTCATGAGTATTCAGATTTGGATGGGTCCCAGAAAATAGCTCCAGAAACATAATTGCAATCCCAGGCAGGAAGCCAGGCAGGCAGGTAAGCAGGCAAGAAGTAAGGAGAGAAGGAAGGAGGGAGGGAGGGAGGGAGAGAGGAAAGGAGGAAGTGAAGAAGAGAAGAAGGGCACAAACAGAGCAACTCACCTGGTTCATCCTCAACCCCCACCTGCCCCAGCAGTCTTTCAGTTGCAAGCCCTATGAACAGCAAAGGGGACACAGAGCTGGAAGAACGCCACTATTGCCTTTCTCTAGGTAGGTCTGTCAGTAACTCTTTGCTTGATTTGCACCAAGACTTAGTTTCCCAGTCAACAGAATGGGACTAGAAGTACCCAGACCAACAGGCCGAAATAACCTCATTCTGTACATTTTTGAAATTCACTAGTTATCCATTTTAAATGGCATTTGGATTCTTTTTTTCTTTGTGAAGAAGTCTCCATAGCAACTGAACTTGAATACCTTGGTATTCAACCCAAACTTACCTACCTAATAAGTTTGGCAAGAATGTTTTTATTCTTTTCTTACCAAAGGCCACATTTAAGAGGATCCAGAAATTCTGACAGGCCTCATGCATTCTATCTGAGACCAAAGAGCAGACAACCAAGAGACCTGTTTATCAGCAAAAGCAGCAACATTCCGTTTCTTCGCCATTTGGGTAACTCTGTCCTTTATCAATTACAGTCCTTGACAGACTCATTCCTATTCGTTACCTATTTGTTCTTGTGTGTTGGTATTATATTTTCCACATCCTCATGGGCCACTAAATTATAATATTTTAACTTCAAATGACGTCTAACTTGGAATCACGTAATCAATATTACTTTACTGAGTGTTTATCTTCCCTAAACTGCTTCATGGACCACAAAAGAAGACCTAAAAAACAACATCTGATGCTCAGTTTCAATGGATCAATGAGCTGAACCCAAAAATAGCCACTCTAGAATATTCATGAGAGGCCTCTCAGTATAACTGGAAACTTCATACCAAGTTTCACTTTCAAAGAATTCATTTTAAAACATGTTCTCTGATTTTAAACTCAGTTATTTATATGATATTAAAGAGACTTTAACCAACTTGATGGCAAACCTAACAAAAGATGTCTACCAATTATTTTAACTTCATCAAAGGTTTTAAGGGAAACTATTTAAGACATATTAACAACTTCCTATTTTGTTCCATAGGCCCCATTCTTAAAAGGCTCCTCAGGGCTTTAATATTCCATAATATTAAAAGGGCTTTAATATTCCATAATAATTTATTTTACGCTTTCTTAATAACCTTTTCTCAAACTCCAGGTGAATCATTTCTGCAATTTGTTACTGTTTGTAGCTCAACAAATTATTCATTTGAGCTGGCTGAGCCACACGCATAACATTTTTAATTAGAGTGCCACAGTTGACTTCAAATCCAAAATATCCCAATCCAAAATTATTCTGTAGGCTTCGGATTTGCTGCCAGGAGTCTAAAAAGCTAAAAATAGCGACCAAACTTTCACATCACAAGGCAGAAAAAAGCATTTCAAGAAAGCGTACAGGCTTCAAATAGATGCGTGAACAGATCCCAAAAGGCAGGCATAGGCTGACAAGACTTCAGATTTGACCGTCCCCAGTATACTTATATTTGTAAGAAGAAAAGGACGGGAGAAAAACTCAGTAAAACAGCAGCTCATAATGATAAGCTACATAGAGTAGCAGCAGGGGGAAATATGGCAAAACTGGTAAAATACAAGCGTCTAGACTCTCTTTAGTATAAAACTAAAGATATTAAATTAGCATGTCAATTTTGAACAAATCTATAATAATGCAATCAGCAAACTTCAGAATGTAAGATACTTTACAAAGCAAAGGACTTGGACTCTTAAGTAAAGAGAAAAGAGAAGAAAGAAAGGGATGATAGGTCGGGCGTGGTGGCTCACGCCTGTAATCCCAGCACTTTGGGAGGCCGAGGCGGGCGGATCACGAGGTCGGGAGATAGAGACATGGTGAAACCCCATCTCTACTAAAAACACAGAAAATTAGCCGGCCGTGGTGGCGGGAGCCTGTAGTCTCAGCTTCTTGGGAGGCTGAGGCAGGAGAACAGCGTGAACCCGGGAGGCGGAGCTTGCAGTGAGCCGAGATTGTGCCACTGCACTCCAGCCTGGGTGACAGAGCGAGAATCCATCTCAAAAAAAAAGAAAGAAAGAAAGAAAGGGATGATAATGAGGAAGCTACATGAGACTGAAGGTACACATGCATCAGTTGCAAGGTGCTTTGGTCTCAATGTCTGTGTGCCCTTCAGATTCATATGCTGAAATCCCAACCTCCAAGGCAATGGTATTAGAAGGTGAAATATTAGATGGTGGGAAGGGTAGGAGGGAAGGGAGGATAAGGAAAGGTTGCTTAACAGATACCAAATTACAGCTAAATGGCAGGAATAAGTTCTAGAGATCTATACCACTATAGGGTGACTACAGTTAACAATAATTTATTGTACATTTTCAAAAAGCTAGAAGAAAGGATTCTGAATGTTCCCAACGTAAAAAAATAATAAATGTTTGAAATGATGGATATGGTAATTACTTTGATTTGATCATCACACATTGTATACTTGTATCAAAATATCACTCTGTGTCCCATAAATATGTACAATTATTACATGTCAACTAAAAATAAAAGGAAAAATACATTTAAAAGAAGAAGAAGGGTTAGGAGGCTGAGGCGGGTGGATCACAAGGTCAGGAGTTCGAGACCAGCCTGATCAACATGGTGAAACCCCGTCTCTACTAATACAAAAATTAGCTGGGCGTGGTGGCACGTGCCTGTAATCCCATCTACTCAGGAGGCTGAGGCAGGAGACTCGCTTGAACCCGGGAGGCAGAGGTTGCAATGAGCCAAGATCGCGCCACTGCACTCCAGCCTGGGGTAGGACTTTTGGGAAATAATTGGTGTCCTTATAAAGGGGGCCTAAGAGAGACCCCTTTCCCTTCCACCACATGAGGACACAGTGAAAAGACAGTAGTCTATGAACCAGGAAGCAGGCCCTCACCAGGCACTGAATCTGCCTTGGTTTTGGACTTCCAATACCCAAGAACCATGAGAAATAAATTTCTGTTCTATCTAAGTTACCCAGATTAGGGTGCTTTGTTATAGGAGCCGAATGGACTGAGACACAATGTATGGGTGTTATTTGGATCACGATTCAAAAAGATGAGCTGTTAAAAAATTATGAGACAGAGGTTAAGTTTGAAAAGTGACCATATGCCTGATAATATTGAGATACACAGGCAATATGGCTTTTCTTTTTATTTTTTGAACCCAGACAGAGGCTGGAACAATATGGCTTTTTTATGTTCTTATCTTTAGCAGTATATACAGATGAAATGAGAGCATATCTGTGATTCATATACAGACAACCCAGTATGGGTATGTGGGTGTGTTTTTGTGTGTGCACGCGCATGTGTGTGTAGTGACTGCAGGCCAAAGTAGATTGGCCACAGGTTGATATTCCCTGAAGGTGGGTGATGAGTATGTGAGAGTTTCTGTGGGGGTTTATATACTATCCTCTCAATGTGTAAATGTTTGAAATTACCCACAATAAAAAGGTTTTCAAAAAACAATATGTACAAGACATACTGCGGTCTATATGCCCAGACTATACCTCTGGGTGGCCTGAGGGTGTGTGTGGCCTGCAGACATATTTTGTTTGGACAGTGGACTGTTTAAAAAAATGTTGTTTCCTTTTTGATCCAATATTTAAAAATAAGAAGACTTCACATAAAAATTAGGATTTCCAACTAATCTTGAAAAAATAGAAAGATCTGGCAGCAGTAGGCTATAGCAACAAGCCCCGGTATGCAGCCTGTGCCGCCCTCTCTCAGACCCAGCACCCACACATTTCTGGGGCCTCCCTGGTCTGTGGCCATTTGAGTTTGGCCCCCAGTGTCCCAGGCTTTTCAGAGCAGCAACTCAGTGCCAACCTCCAGGGACAAACTTTCCAGAATGACTGTGTTCTTCTCTCAGCCCAGACTCCTAGAGCTTTGTTTTCTGACCAGTCATCAAAAGTTCCTGACAACAACTTCAATTCAAGCACTTGAAGAGTTTTAGTTTATATTACACAAAGCGGTGATTCAAAACATATGGGTAGTCAACAGACTGGAAAAGAAAACCCCAGAGTTTCTGAAGTTTATTTGGCTTGAGGACCTCTGGCCGGTTCTGCCGACTCTCCTTATCATTCAGGCAACAGGACTGGCTCCTGTCTTGCTCCACAGACTCCCAGAATGCAAAGGCAGGAAGGGGGCTAAGAGCTCATTTAGTACCTTCCTCCTCATTTTACGATGAGACTCAAGCCAAGGGAGGTTGAGTAATTCATCCAATCACTTTCCAAGGGGTCTCTGGAGGAAGGGATGGGAAAGAAAATGTAATGTAAGATGGAGTGCTGACAGCTCCTATACACATGCCAGAGTTACTGGATGACAATTTGTTCCTGCATGTTTTTACTCCCTGCAAAGTACTTTTCCAGTATGATTATGGAACAAGAGCAACGTTTCTCTAGAAAAAGATAGATTTTCAACCTTAAAAAGAACTAAGGGTTGAACCACTTGGGTCATGATATTCCTGTTTAATGGACCACTCTAAGAGGAATGACCGTTGATGAGGTCTCCTGGCACCTAACTGATGTTCCTCACTTGTACAATTACTTGTCATCAGGCAAGAAGACAAATAAGAGGAAGGACAGGAAAGTCCTTCTAACTCCTCAGGTTCTCTGAAGACTCTTTTAGATCCTAGACTCTTCATAACGGCTCTCAGACTCATTCACCCCTTCAGCCCGGCTGAGTCAAAGGAAATTCTCAAGGTCATGCAGTGGCCACCATATTTGCAGAGCCCACCCTCGGTGAACTTGGGTTCTTCCCAAAGTGAACTCACCCAGTTAACAATAGACTATTCTTGAAATTTAATTAATTCAATGGCAGACAAGCCAAAAGAAGAGAAATTAAAGCAACCCTGAGGCAATATGAGTTTGCACAGTGGAGTACATGTAATACTCCCAGCTCCCCAACGCGGAAGGCTCATTTTCCTCTAGTTCCACCTCATGGGCTGGCACATCCCATCAGCTTTCTTATCACTTCTGATGGGCTTTAAGTTAGCAACTCTTTTCTCCCATTAAAAATGTAGGAAAACATCATCAGATTTTGTCATCCAAGGTCTATAGGCACCATAGCAATCACTTAGCTGGGGTTCCCCGGCTTTCTGGGCATCAAAAACTGGGCTTGAGGAGCTCCTTCTGGGCCAGTGGTCACAGGTTATATCACATTAATTAGTCTGACTCATAATTGCTCACCACCACTGTTAAGCTGAAAAGGTTTGAACTGAGTGCCCAGTAGGAAATATGGAGGCTTTGGAGCCTTAGGGGGGCATCTGTGACCAACCCCTGCTCAGCCGGAACCTAAGAACCACGAGAGCAGTGGGAGAGGAGCCACAGAAATCAGTCTGGCAAGAGAGGGCCAAAGTTGAAACTGAGACAGTGGCCACAGAGGTGAAGAGAAGATGTGGACAGGAAGGGGCAGGCGAGGGTAGGGGTGGGGGCAGGGTTTGAAAAACTAGGTAGCTAGAGAGGCTATGTACCAACATGACATAAAAGATACAAAACTGGCTGGGTAGGTGGCTTACACCTGTAATCCCCCAGCACATTGGAAGGCCAAGGCAGGAGGATCACTTGAGACCAGCCTGGGCAACTCAGTGGTGCGGTGGCTCACACCTGTAATCCCGGCACTTTGGGAGGCCAAGGCAGGCAGATTTCCTGAGGTTGGGAGTTCGAGACCAGCTTGACCAACATGAAGAAACCCCATCTCTACTAAAAATACAAAATTAGCCAGGCGTGGTGGCGCATGCCTGTAATAGCAGCTACTCGGGAGGGTGAGGCAGGAGAATCACTTGAACCCGGGAGGCAGAGGTTTCGGTGAGCCGAGATTGCACCATTGCACTCCAGCCTGGGCAACAAGAGCAAAACTCTGTCTCAAAAAAAAAAAAAGAAAAGAAAAGAAAAGAAAAAGAAAGAAAAGAAATTCCTTCTCTACCAAAAACAAAAACAAACACAAAAATTAGCTGGGCATGGTGGCACGTGCCTGTGGTCCCCCAGCTACTCAGGAGGCTGAAGCAGGAGGATCATTTGAGCCCGAGAGGCAGAGGTTGCAGTAAGGTGAGACTATACCACTGCACTCCAGCTTGGGATACAGGATGAGACCCTGTCATAAAATTCCTTTCTTTTGCTCTGCATTAGTCTCTTTTCACACTGCTGATAAAGACATACCCGAAACTGGGAACAAAGAGAGGTTTAATTGCACTTACAGTTCCACATGGCTGGGGAGGCCTCAGAATCATGGCAGGAAGCGAAAGGCACTTCTTTCGTGGTGGTGGCAAGAGAAAAATGAGAGACAAGCAAAAGCAGAAACCCCTGATAAACCCATCGGATCTCGTGAGACTTATTTATAAGCCAAACCATATCATGCTCATATAACAAATATGCCTTGAGCACCTAACATATGGCAGGTACTGTGCAAAGCACTAAGATACAAGAGACAGCAGAAAAGAACAGGGAAGAAACAGAAAGAGAGGCAGGAGGGTGTCTGGAATTTTTTTCTTTCAGGGGAGTACTAGAGATGAGAGAAGAGTAATAAGCCCATTCAGAGAGATGCTGAGTTAAAGAGAAAGCTGATGAGCAGAAGAAACTAGAGAAAACTAATTCAAGAAAATGATCAAATCTAGCCATGCGTCTACATAAATATACTTCCTTTTCCCCCATCGTTTAAATCAAAATCCCTCTTACCTGGTCGTTCCCTCTTCCTCTCCCCACTCCTCCCATATCCTCAAAGCTGCCATCACCTACAACAGCTCCCTCTGGAAGCAGCAGCATCCTCTCTTCTCACTCAAGCACAGCCCCAACCAAGGTCACCAGAAGCCCCACCCCCACCACATCTGTCACTCTAAATGGCCTTTCCCCTCCTTGGTATCTGGGTAGCCCCTGAAACCACCAGCCATGCCCTTGTTGGGGAAGCCTCTCATTTAAATTCTGTACCAATTACAGAAAATTCCATGTAAGTTCCAGACCCAACTCGCTCAGTGCTTGGCGCTGTGAAGAATGCCAACACCGAGTATGGAACCCATTCCTCCCAAATGGCACAGCTGGTGTGCAGCGGGCAGGGGGCGATCCCATAAAACAGATACTGGGTGCTGGTAAGAAGAGGATGGGAAGCAACCACTGGGCAAACGATCAAAAACTATCCACTACAGCATCCAAGTTTCCTTCCTGTAGCTTTGACAATTTCTTCCCAAACTTCCTCCGGCTCCCTTTCCTTCTCCCACCTCATATACCTACATATACGGAATATTCTGCATCTGTCCCTCCAAATGCCCATTGGAACTCTCAGCAACTTCACACATCTACTGGAATCCAGCACTCAGGACTAAAGGATCGGATATCCTCCCTCCCTGACTCCTCAAATTGACCTGAATCTCAAGGTGGAAGGAAGAGATGGACAGGAACAGGAGGGGCTGTGAAACTCAAGACTCCCTGGGACAAGCTGACACTTGCTCTGGGTTCCCACCCATCACGCTGCTCCTGCAAAGAAGTTCATCCCATCAAACTGAAGGAAAACATCAGGTTCCCAGCAGGGGGACAGATTGTTCCAAGGCAATATGGGATAAGACTTGGTTCCCAGAATTTATTTATTCAGCTTCTAGGACCAAAGCGACAACTAGCCAACTGATAATTTTGGAATATATTTATAAAAGAAAAACAAATATTCGTTATTCCTCTGGGCCATTAAATTATTTTAAACAGATAATACCCTCCTTTAAAAAAAGATTAAATTTCTATTTTCAACCACTAAAAATGAAGTTTGGCATAGATTCAGTGATGAGGGGAAGCAGAGAGAAATTTAGCAAGAAATGGCAGAGAAAGGGTGAAATTTCTGGTCTTTACATTAGACACAGTGACTCAGATTCTTTAGTTTTTCACCTTGTACTAGAATTCTCTGTATGTTTTTTACACACAGCAGAGAAATATACCCACTTTTGAACTCTTAATTTTGGCTCTTTATTCTTTACTACTAAATAATATTCTAAGAAACATCCAGTATGCGGTTGGCTTTCACAAACATTTCAGATAAATAAAACATCAGAAAGTCACTGTTTAATAGAAAAAAAAGTGATTTCCAATTACCACCAACATTCTAACAAACACAAACAGAGCAAAGCCATCTACCTCCAGGCAAATGTGGTGTTTGGGTACAAAAATGTACATGCATTTGTGCATGAATATGTATATATCTCCGTGTAGTATACACATATACATGTGTATGTTCAAGTAATAAAGACTAAACAATGGGCAAAATACCAGAATTATCAGAATCACTTTCAGTGGTAAGTAAATAACAATTATTTTCCCCTTCGTCCACCTTTCTGTTTTTTCAACTTCCCACCATGTTCATTCATATATAGAAAAGGAAAAATCAACAACTTTATTTTTTATCACACATATGAAGATGTATGTTCTTATAAGGTATGCTCATCTTCTTATATCAAAAAAGCCAGGCACTAAATAGAAACCTATACATCCTGTGCCACCAAAAAAACCCATAAATTGCAAAGTGAAGCTGAGTTTCTCTTTTTTTTACTATATGCAAACCTGTTTATTAAGAGTAGAAAAAAGGCCAGGTGTGGTGGCTCACGCCTGTAATCCCAGCACTTTGGGAGGCTGAGGCAGGAGGATCACAAGGTCAGGAGTTCGAGACCAGCCTGACCAACATGGTGAAACACCATCTCTACTAAAAATACAAAAATTAGCCGGGCATGATGGTGGGCGCCTGTAATCCCAGCTACTCGGGAGGCTGAGGCAGGAGAATCACTGGAATCCAGGAGGCAGAGGTTGCAGTGAGCTGAGATTGTGCCACTGCACTCCGGCCTAGGTGACACAGTGAGACTCCACCTCAAAAAAAATTTAAAAAAAAAAGAGTAGAAAAAAATAGAGTCCTTTGTGTCAAATTGCTATGTATATGCTTAAGGGCAAGCATTTCGTAAACGATACTGCCACATCCTACCCTTTGTTTTTTGAGATCTCTGGTTCTCTATTTCCTTAATTGTGCTTCCCCACATAGAGCTAAAATGAGTAGCATGAACAGATGTATACATTCACACACGCATGTACACATGTGCACACTCACACACCATCCCTGATAAATGCATCTCAGTCTCTGACCATAACACCAATCACCAAGAACATGATTCTCCCCAAACCATAGGTGCTATCTCAGGCTCCTGGGCTCACTGTCTCGCACTCCACGGTATGCAGGGCACCCAGGTTTCCGTCTGCACCCTCTCCATTTCATGTTTCCACAGGGAAAGACATACAGTGTTTAAAGCAAACTCCTGATTATGCGTGCTAATGAAGGCAAACATTGGCACAGATGCGTGTTTGGCACGAGATTTCCCTAATTGCATTTTGCTTAGGCTACCATCAAAATTAGTTAGTGCTCCCCCAAACACACGCACAGCAGAGGGAGGAGGAGATGCCCACTGAAAGGACTTGTGGGTGATGGAGGGATGGCTAAACTGTGACATCGGCCTCAAATAAAAGAACCTTTTCCATACTCAGTGCCTACATGCTGACTAATGTCATGTTCAACTGGTCTTTAAAGTGCAGAGGAAATCTAGAATGCCTTCTGTAATATCCTGGATGAATGGTAAGTGATGGAGCTCCAATCTAGAAAGCACAAAATTTTAGGCAACTCCTTGCTCTGCTTCTGAGATAGGAATTTTTACTTTATTTTATTTTATTTTTTGAATCAGAGTCTCACTCTGTCACCCGGGCTGGGGTGCAGTGGCACGATCTCAGCTCACTGCAACCTCTGCCTCCCGGGTTCAAGCAATTCTCCTGCCTTAGCCTCACGAGCAGCTGGGATAACAGGCGGACGCCACCATGCCTGGCTCATTTTTGTCTTTTTTTTTTTTTTTTTTTTTTTTTAGTAGACACAGGGTTTTACCATGTTGGGCAAGCTGGTCTTGAACTCCTGACCTCAAGTGATCTGCCCACCTCAGCTTCCCAAAGTGCTACGATTACAGGTGTGAGCCACTGCACCTGGCTGAAACTTTTTTTTTTTTTTTTTTTAAGATAGATTTAAGAGATGCCTTTCTGCAACTCCCACCTGCTGGAGAAACTCAGACCAATTCTCTATCATTTCTGTATGGTAAGCCTTCAAATAACAGAAGAAAGTGGTCCTGTCTTCCCTTACTGCTTCTTCCTCCGGGTAAGCTGCTACCCTTGGCAGGGTTTCCTGTCACCATTTTGGTTCTGCTCGTCTGACTACTCAACTCACTCAAGGTCTTCCTTAAAACACTGACCATGGAGCTGGCTCTAGTCCTCAAGGGCTGGAGTGCCCTCCTGAAAATTCAGTGGGATCAGGACACTATGCTCCCCTTAGCCCAAGAGTGGGCTCATTCATCTGCAGTGACTACATCACGCCTCTGACAGACACTGATGCCAAGCCAAACCCTTCTGTATATGTACAACAATTTATTCTTTTTGTCTCATTGTCCTCAAACTGTACAGGACATCACATTCCTGCTTTTTAAAGGTTATCTAGCAGGTTTCTGTCTGCCATCCTAGGCTACTAAGGGTATTTAGACTTTGTACTGAAGATCCCGCAGGGGTCTTCTTGGATACCACATCTCCCATCCAGATGCGATATCCAGTTCAGAAACAGTCAGCAGCTACATTTTTCACTGTGTCCATTGAGGAATAAGAAAAAAAAAAAAAAGTGGGCCAGGTGCGGTGGCTCACACCTGTAATCCCAGCACTTTGGGAGGCCGAGGTGGGCAGATCACTTGAAGATGGGAGTTCAAGACCTGCCTGACCAACATGAAGAAACCCCGTCTCTACTAAAAATACAAAATTAGTCGAGCATGGTGGTACATGCCTGTAATCCCAGCTATTCAGGAGGCTGAGGCAGGAGAATCACTTGAACCTGGGAGGTGGAGGTTGCAGTGAGCTGAGGTCATGCCATTGCACTCCAGCCTGGGTAACAAGAGCGAAACTCTGTCTCAAAAAAAAAAAAAAAAAAAAAGTCATTAAAAGCTGCAGGAGAGAGAATGACATAAATAAGAAGAAACAAGATAAGCCAAAAGAGCCACAGAGCCCAGAATCCTGGGGGCCTCACCATCCAGCACAATCCCTAGATAGGTAACATTACTGTTCATGTTAGCCAGGAGGCACCTTATGTCTTCAAAAAAAATTAACACCAACCTCCTTTAAAAAAAATTCACATGATCTTGGCTTGATGTATGTTATTTGCAAACAGGAGTCCTATCTAACATAGAAACTATTCTGGTAGAAAAAGTCAGTGTCCCACATAAAGTACCTTGCCAATTTCTATTAAGGTATTGGGCAGTCTGTCCTACCAGTGTGATTCACTAATTAACTTTCTTTGGTACGTTCCAGCCTGCTTCAAATCCGCAAGGATCCCTGCTCTCCAAAGGGCATTTTAGTATCTTAACCCTCAAGGCTTTTAACCATTTTACTCCCATTTCTACTTGGCTTCCCTGATTCCCTGAAGACAATCTTTTTCCCACTCATACTCGCTGCCACACAATTTGGCCAAGAGAGTTGGTCTTCGGTATCCGTAGGTTCTGCACCCCTGGGTTCCACCAACTGCAGATCCAAAATATTTTAAAAAAGGAAAAATAGATGGTTGCACTGCATCCGTACTGCATATGTACAGGCTTGTTTTGCTTGTCACTATTCCCTAAATAATGCAGTATAACAACAATTTACATAGCATTTACATTGCATTAGGTATTATAAGTAATCTAGAGATTGCTTATAATATATTGGAGAATGTGCATAGGTTTTGTGCAAATACTAAACTATTTTATTTGTTTTATTTTGTTTTTTCAATTGAGATGGAGTCTCGCTCTGTCGCCCAGTTGACAATGCAATGGCGCAATCTCGGCTCACTGCAACCTCCATTGCCCGGGTTCAAGCGATTCTCCTGCCTCAGCCTCCCAAGTAGCTAAGATTACAGGCACCCGCCACCACACCCGGCTAATTTTTGTATTTTCAGTAAAGACAAGGCTTTGCCATGTTGGCTAGGCTGGTCTTGAACTCCTGACCTCAGGTGATCTGCCCACCTCAGCCTCCCAAAGTGCTGATATTACAGGCATGAGCCACCTCGCCTGGCCTACACTATTTTATATAAGGAACTTGAGCAGCCATGGATTTTAGTATCTGTGGGGGAGCAGAGGTCTGGATCCAATTCCCCACGAATACCAAGGGATGACTATACAGTGACATTAATGAAATAACATCAATGAATAATTTCTGCTTCCAAAAACACTGCACTATGCCCTAGCCAAAGAATCACCCAAGGTTGGACTCTAGGCAAGTTATAAGTAACTCTAGACTCCAAATGGATAATAGAAGACCCAGTCCTTAAGAAAAAAAAAAAAATGTGAAAACGTATGTCCACACAAAAGCTTGTACACAAGTTTCGTAGCAGCATTAGCTGTTATGGCCAAAAAGAAAAATAACCCAAATGTCCATCAATTAATGAGTGGATAAATAAAATATGGTACAGCCATACAATAGAGTATTACACAGCAATAAAAAGAAATGAAGTACTGAGACACAATACAACAAAGATCAACCTCAAAAACATGCCAAGTGAAAGAAGCCAGTCAAAAAAGACTCCATACTGCATAATTCCTTTCATATAAAATGTCCAGAACAGGAAATCTATGGAGACAAATTAAATGGTTGGGGTTGGGGATTGGGTGAGAAGAGCTGGAGGGAAATACGGATGGCTGGTAATGGGTACAGAGTTTCTTCTGTCCTAAGAACAATTTTGAGGATGGTGGCAAAACTTTATAAATGTACTAAAATTATGGAACTGGCAGGGTATGTTGGTTCATGCCTGTAATCCCAGCACTTTTGGGAGGCTAAGGCAGGCGGATCATTTGACTCAGGAGTTCAAGATCAGCATGACCAACATGGTGAAACCCTGTCTCTACTAAAAATACAAAAAATTGGCCAGGCATGGTGGTGCACACCTGTAATCTCAGCTACTCGGGAGGCTGGGCATGAGAATCGCTTGAACCTGAGAGGTGGAGGTTGCAGTTGGAGCACGCCACCGCACTCTAGCCTGAGCGAAATAGTGAGACTTTGTCTCAAACAATAAATGTTAAGTGGCTCACGCTGTAATCCCAGCACTTTGGGAGGCCGAGGTGGGTGGATCACTTGAGGTCAGGAGTTCGAGACCAGCCTGTCCAACATGGTGAAACCCTGTCTCTACTAAAAATACAAAGTTAGCTGGGTGTGGTGGCACATGCCGGTAATCTCAGTTACTTGGGAGGCTGAGGCAGGAGAATCACTTGAATCCAGGAGGCGGAGGATGCAGTGAGCTGAGATCACACCATTGCACTCCAGCCTGGGCAACAAGAGCGAAATTCCATCTCAAAAAAATAAAGTAATATAATATAAAGTAAAGTAAATATAAAAATAAAAAAATTATGGAAGTGTACATTTTAAATGGATGATTCGAAAGGGGTATGAATTATAGTTCAATAAAGCTGTTTTTTAAAAAATCCATCAGAGGATAATTAATCTATTACCACAGTATAAAGAAAAGGAATAGACTCAATACCCTACTTTTTTTAGTTCATTAAAATGTGGGTCAAAATCCTAAATTTAACATATCCACAATGTTCATAAAGCAGTTTATATAGTTAATTCCATATAATTTGCATTGTACCGGATCGGTTAGGGACAGGGGCTTTAGAATAAAACTAGGTTTAAGTCCCAACCCCTTCACTCACATGTTGAATGACCTGGGATCCTCCCCCAAGCCCCAGCTTCTCTATAGGTAAAATGAGGAAAATAATAGTGCTTCTTTCACCGATGAGTGAGTACCTGACACAGTGCAGCACTCAAACAGTAACTTTATAAGTAAATAAATAACAACAACAAAACCAAGTACTTGTGTGCAATATACTAAACCTTGCTAGAAGACACAGATAATACAGTCCCTTTCTTCTATTAGATTATGACACCAAGCTGACTGTTTAGTGCTGCAATAATAAGAATGCTATGGACTGAACATCTGTGTCCCCGCAAAATCCGTATGTTGAAATTCTAATCCCTAAGGTGATGGTATTTGGAGGTGGGGC
Source organism: Homo sapiens (assembly GCF_000001405.40). Classification (NCBI taxonomy): domain Eukaryota; kingdom Metazoa; phylum Chordata; class Mammalia; order Primates; family Hominidae; genus Homo; species Homo sapiens. The sequence goes on from NC_000021.9 coordinate 31,381,255, forward strand.
CTTTGCGGGGTGATTAGACATGAGTGGAGCCCTCATGAATGGTATTAGTGCTCTTATAAGAAGAGACACTACCAGCCTAGACAACATGCTGAAACCCCACCTCTACAAAAAATAGACAAAATTAGCCAGGCAGCCGGGCACAGTGGCTCACACCTGTAATCCTGGCACTTTGGGAGGCCGTGGCAGGTGGATCACTTGAGGCCAGGAGTTCGGGACCAGCCTGGCCAACATGGTGAATCCCTGTCTCTACTAAAAATACAAAAATTAGCTGGGCATGATGGTACACGCCTGTACTCCCAGCTACTCGAGAGGCTGAGGAACAGGAATCACTTGAACATGGGAGGCGGAGGTTGCAGTGAGCTGAGATCACGCCACTGCACTCCAGCCTGGGCAACAGAGTGAGACTCTGTCTCAAAGAAAACAAAAAAATAGCCAGACATGGTGGTGTACACCTGTAGTCCCAGCTATTTGGGAGGCTGTGGTGGGAGCATCACCTGAGGCTGGGAGGTCGAGGCTGCAGTGAGCCATGATCACACCATTGCACTCCAGTCTGGGTGACAGAGTAAGACCCTGTCTCAAAAATAAAAAACAAAAAGAACAGACACTAGAGACATCCTCTCTCTCTGCCATGTCAGGATATATATAGAGAGAGGCTGTCTTCAAACCAGGAACCCAATCATCAGGGACCTTGGTCTTGGACTTCCTCACCTTCAGAACTGTGAGAAATAAATGTTTGTTGATTAAGCTGCCCAGTTTGTGGTATTTCACTATAGCAGTTCAAACTGCCTAAGACAAAGACCAATAAAGCATTATGAGGAGAGACTTGTGCAGAAGACATTTAAACTGGGTCAAGCAGAAATTCTTGAATTAGAGAATGAAAAGAGGGAAGGAAAGGAACAAAATGATAAGCACATCTCCCATGCAATATGCTTTTGCTAACTCTTATCCAAACACCAGAGACCTCTGGGGCTAGATGTTTGAACGCTTATCAGCGCACTGTATATCCGTATGAAAAACCACAAGGTAACTAGAAACCATTGGCTAAAATCATAGGTGACAAAAGGCATGACTTGAGATTTACGCCGTGTCTAGAACATAAGGGCAGAAGAAAATAAAAAGCAGACAGATTAATTGTGTATTTTGACCAAGGTACAAGGATCAAATAGATACATTTCAATTTCCAATTTCCACATTTCTGATCATTAGCTACCACACTCCTATGTATCTCATGAAAGAAAGCAAGAAATGAATTATCTCAGAGCCAAACAACCTCCTGACAACTCTTTGATCTGTTTTTTTCCGAAAGACTGACTACCTCCAATGACACTGCTCTCTGAAAAGGCAATTAATGAGACGGATGTAGCACACTGAATGAGAGGATTGAAGTACCTATGCTTTTTCTTTTGACAGTTTATAAAACAGATTTTTTTAACATGTCAGTCAATTGGTGATATTTTAAATGAGATCACAAAAGTCAAGGTCTTTGCTACAAAAAACACGGCAAACAAACTAAAAAAATTAATGAAAGCATGTGATTCTAGTGTGAAACAACGACCCATGTGTCATTATTGGTTCAAGAAGTATGCTTTTATGCCTTCAATATGGAAAAGTAATCAATTTCACCTTGGCGAATTACCATTATGCACTTAGGTTTAAACTAGATGTCTCAATATTATCAATATCTTTTAGAAGTGTAAAACATAGGCCAGGCGTGGTGGCTCACACCTGTAACCCCAGCACTTTGGGAGGCCAAGGCGGGAAGATCACCTGAGGTCAGGAGTTCAAGACCAACCTGGCCAACATGGTGAAACCCCGTCTCTACTAAAACTATGAAAATTAGCCTGGCGTGGTGGTGGGCACCTGTAATCCCAGCTACTCGGGAGACTGAGGCAGGAGAATCACTTGAACCCAACAGGCAGAGGTTGCAGTGAGCAGAGATCGTGCCATTGCAGTCTACCCTGGGCAACAGAGCAAGACTCCCTCTCAAAAAAAAAAGTGTAAAACATAATAGTTCCATAAATTCAGAATACTTAAAAGAGTAAAGCTTTTAATCCCAGCCCTGTCATGATCTAAACATACAGTGATTCTCTGAGTGCCAGGGGCCACTAAGCATTACAAGGATTGTGCAAAATGATGTTCATTGAATACCTATTATGTACCCGACCCTAGGCTATATCCCACTCCCCAGGAACTCAAAAGTTGGTAGGATGAGTCCTTTCCCAGGCACCTCTTCACACTTCAACAGTTCTTTCACTCAACCTTACAAACAGGCTCAAAATGGGCTTTCAGAGATTCGCCAAACTGATACTGGCTTGTCCACCAACACTGTACACCTATCTCTTTCAGGCTGTCATTTCCACGGACAATTCCTGACATGCCTTGGGAAAGAAAACCTCCTGTATCTACATGGGACTACAGGTATCACATCGTATATATGTATCTCCATACCTTGTATCTATCTACTACATAAGGTTACACACCAACAGGACGTGTCCATGTAAACAAGGTAGGCATGAGAAATGAAAAGCGAGCTCATTACAGTATGTGGGGCACTCGATTTCTTTAAGACCAGCTTCATTTGCTGTGATTTTCCACTTTCCAGAGTGAAAACCTGGAACGGAAAATGAAACGATGTTTCCAAGGTTATGCTGCAAATCATCAGAACAATCTGGGCCAATGGACAGGTTTCTAGATCTGACAGCTGCTCCTCTATCTGCTGGGACCTGCTGTTTCCAAATTATCATATGCAATCGAGCACCTCAGGAGCAATGCAAATTGCTAAAATCTAAGTAGAGCAGGTGAAGACATTTGCTGGCTGACGACCATATTCTTGTAACGCACTCTGGGGCCACATATCCTGTGGTGTTCATAGATGCACTTCCAGTCTCAAGCAGGGGACTGGGCACCTCGTAAGTTTAATGAACAAATAAGGCAATTAAGATACTCAAGGAAATATATAACATCTGAAGAGGATGGAAATAGAAGTAATCAAGCAAACACATCATCAAATGAAAAAAAAAATGTCAAAGATCAAGGGGGAAGATACCCAAATTAAAAATGTTTTCCCTGGGAGGCCAAAGCAGAAGAACTGCTTGCAGCCAAGAGTTCAAGACCAGCCTGAGCAACATGGCAAGACCCCATCTCTACAAAAAAAAAAAAAAAAAAAATTTAATTAGCTGGCATGGTGGCACGCATTAGTAGTCCCAGCTACTCAGTAGGCTGAGGTGGGAGGATTGTTTGAGCACAGCAGCTTGAGGCTGCAGTGAGCTATGATCACACCACTGCACTCCAGCCCGGGTGACAAAGCAAGACCCTGTCTCTAAAAAACAAAAGAAAGAAAGCTTTCCCAACCTCCTTGAATTATTCTGTATCGTCTCTTGTACTTCAGGATCATACAGCTTGAGTTTGCTTTAAATTTAAAAACCAGAATCTACAAAATATCTTACCTTAAGTCCCACAAATAGGTCAAGAGCTGTCAGTGGAGACCCAAGAGGGTTGCACAGAAGGGCTACACATACCACTAATGGAACAGGAAACCATTTTTAGTGGTACATGGAAAACCATGTTTCATCTTTACAGTTATAACTATTTTTCAATGTGTATTAAAAAATGTATTAGTAGCACATTAAGCCCATGACATCAGGACTAGGTAAAGTAACCTCACACCCACACAAGCACACACACACACTGATATGATTTGAATGCTGTCCCCTCTAAATCCTTTGTTGAAATGGAATCCCCACTGTTGGAGGTGGGGGCTAGTGGGAGGTGTTTGGGTCATAGGAGATGCCACATGGCTTCATGCTGTCTTTTTTTGTGTGTGTGAAACATGGTTTCGCTCTTATTGTTCAGGCTGGAGTGCAATGGCGCGATCCAGGTTCACTGCAACCTCCGCCTCCCAGGTTCAAGCGATTCTTCTGCCTCAGCCTCACAAGCAGCTGGGATTACAGGCACCTGCCACCATGCCTGGCTAATTTTTAGTATTTTTAGTAGAGACGGGGTTTCACCATTTGACCAGGCAATGCTGTCCTTTCAATAGTGTGTTCTTTATAGATAGATAGATATAGATTTTTAAAAAACAGACTTTATGAGGTTAATGACTATTATCAACCATCATAAAATAGAATGGGACTTTCAAAATCATACAAGCCACAAGGCTGTGGGCTGCTACGAAAGAAGGGTGGGGTCAAGGGTCCCAAGGCATTTTGGGGTGCGAGATGCAGGGAGAGCCTGAGAGTCACCCAGTGTCTGTAGGGACGGTTGGGTCAAGGCAATAAGCTAGGATCTGTACAAGTGAAACATTCATCAGAATGTGACCCACCCTGAAATAGGAGGGAGGAAAATCTTTAAGAGTTTCACAGGTAAGGTCCCAAAACTACAAAATAATAAGGGGGTAATGTATATTCCTCACCCAGTCTTGGCATCAATTTGTGCTTTAAAAAATATACTGCACTGGAAGATTTAAAAAAAAAAAAAAATGTACCCTACACCAGCTGTTTAAAACGTAAATCTTATGAACAAATATGTATATATAATAAATTTTAATAATATTTAATTTAAAATTAAAATGTTTAATATATTATATATTTATATATAATACATATTGATTATATATTAATTATATTAGTTAATATAATTATATTAGTTAATATAATTAATATATTAATTGATAATATATTAATGTTATTTATACTGGTATTAATATATTATATATAATATATATAATAAACATTTTAAACAAATAACTGTATTGTGCCTATGCAGAAATGAACCAAAATTAAACTCTAAGAGAATTAACTTCAAGGTCAAAGCAAGGACGAAGGTGGTGGCAGATGCTGGGGTATGCTATGTGGAGGGGCTGCCAGGGACAGGGCATCCCTCTCCTGCCAGCAGCCTGCGCCAGCTATCTCGAGGCTCTGAGAGGGGCTGTGATGAAATGGGGCTGTTTCCCTGGGCCCGCAGCCCTGGCACGGGTGCTGAGCAGAGACTTGTGTTGGCTTCTGTGAGGCTCAACTCTGCTCCTGGTCTCCCCTATCCTGCCCTGCCCCTGGCTTCTCAGGGAATGGAGACCCACTCACCCTCCCTTCTTGGTTCTGGGGGTCCCCTGGCATGCCCAGAGCTTCTGAGGATGCACTTGGGAAATCTCACCTAGAAAAGCAAAAGCAAAATCAAACCCACACCAAAAGACCCATAGAAGATTAAAGAAATGCAACCACGTGCAAAGGTGTCTAAGCCCAAGAGGTAAGTGGCTACCTGGAGACATGGAGGAACTGCCGCAGCCCTTCCAGATGGGCCGCTAAGACACCCATATTGCATGTGAGGCTATTTCTCCCTGAGGGGACTACTTGGGAACTCGGAGCAGAGACCCCTGCAAACTGCAGGGCAAGGGACCCAAAGACATCCTTGTGCCTGTGCAAGTGTCCAACATGTGCCACAGGTATGGCCCAGGGAGGACAGGCCAGGTACATACATCTTAGGGAGGGCACGGGTGGAAGGAAAGTAACAGCCAGAGAGAGGTGACTGAAACAAGGTTTTGCTTCAAGAGGGAATCCATAAATGGCTTTTGCTATTGTTAAAAGAATAACTACAGGATACAGGGGCACTGACAGCCGGAATGGATGCTGGGAGCTTATTTGCCTGCGGAAGGTCCTTGGTTTCTGCCTTGGTGTCCAGGGTGTTTTTGACGTCCTGAGCTTTATCTGCTCCGGCATGGCCCCGCTGGGCTGGGCACCCATGGCCTGGCACCAGCCCTTGTCTAAGCACCTCTTAGAACTTCTGGTATCTGCTCTCTTAGCTGTGGCACCACCTGCCAGACCCACCACCCTGGGCCCCCCAGGTGGCTACAGCCTTCTCTTTTCCCAGAGATGTGGGGAGCCCCCGTCCCACCCCGAGAGCAGACTGAAGCTCAATACAGGGCTTTTGTTTGTAGAAGCTTATTCTCTTTTTTTTTTTTTTTTTTTTTTTTTGGAGGTGGGGGGCACAGTTGAGACAGGGTCTCGCTCGTGTCGTCCAGGCTGGAGTGCAGTGGTGCCATCTCAATTCACTGCAACCTCTGCCTCCCAGGTTCAACCAATTCTCCTGACTCAGCCTCCCGAGTAGCTGGGATTATAGGCACCCACTACCACACCCGGCTAATTTTTATATCATGGGGTTTCGCCATGTTGACCAGGCTGGTCTCGAACTCCTGACCTGAAATGATCTGCCCACCTTGGCCTCCCAAAGTGCTGGGATTACAGGCATGAGCCACCGAGCCTGGCCTGTCTTTTTTCAAGGAGAGGCTGTATATGGATGGTGTGCAGGGACACTGTCTTCTGACGATGTTGGGAAGGGGAAAAGAGGAATCAGTCCTTGTCCCACGGAGGTAGCCAGCAAGGATGAAGGGGAAGACCAAGGACTTCTCTCTACGGCTGCGGACGCTGGTCCAAGGCACAGGGTGCCAGCCCCAGTGGTGGGCGGCTCTGTAAGTTGGTGCCAGGTGGCCGTGCATAGTGGCCCGTGGTGAGCGTCACTTGGGGAGGAGGTGGGCCTGGAGGGAAGCCGGCAGCAGCAGTGTGTGGGTCTCTCCCAGGCGCACCTTCCCCAGGGGCAGGTGCATGGAGTGAAGTCGCCTCCTCCCAGTGGCCCTGATGAGGAGGCCTAGAGCCTGGTTCCTGCTGCAAGCACGCAGGCTGCCCGAGCACGACTTCTGTGACACAATGGTGAGTTCTCATGAGATCTGGTTGTTTAAAAGTGTGTGGCACCTTCTCTCACTCTGTTGCTCAGGCTTTCACCATGTGACATGCCTGTTCCCGCTTCACTCTCCGTCACAATTATAGGTTTCCTGAGGCCTCCCTAGAAGCCTAGCAGACGCCGCAAAAAGCTTCTTGTGCTGTCTGCAAAACAACGAGCCAATTAAAGCCCTTTTCTTAATAAATTACCCAGTCTTAGGTATTTCTTTATCCAACGCAAGAAGACCCTAACACACACACACACACACACACACACACACACACACACACACACACAACCTCTTACGTGAATACGGTGAATCTGATAAAGAAGGGTACAAATGCCAGAAGTTGATCTCCAAGATGCAGGGGACAGGGTGGTCAAGAGAAAGTGCAGAGCCGGGCATGGTGGCTCACACCTATAAGCCCAACACTTTGGGAGGCTGAGGCAGGAGGATCACTTAAGACCAGGAGTTCAAGACCAGCCTGGGCAATAAAGCAACACCCCATCTCTACAAAAAATAAATGAAATAAAATAAAATAAAATAAAGCCAAGCATGGTGATGCACACCTATAGTCCCAGCTCCTCAAGAGGCTGAGGCAGGAGGATCATTTGAGCCTAGGACTTGGAGGCTACAGTAAGCCATGATCATGCCACTGCATTCCAGCCTGGGTGACTGAGCAAAACCTTGTCTCTTAAAAAATAAAAAAAAAAACAGAGAAAGTGGAGGGAGCCAGGAGGCTGGATGTTAAGCCCTGCTGCTTATGTTTTTATGCCTCAATTTCTTCATCTGTAAAATGGGGATAATAATTGAATCTACATCACAGAGTTCATATGAGAATTGAAGAAATTAAAATAGTAAGCACTCAGCAAAAGCATTACCTATCACTATAATTTAACACAAATTTAAGGTAAAAGCAAGAAGACAAGGGGAAAGAAGGGGCAACCACGGGCTGCCAGCAGCAAGAAGCACTGGCTCTGCTAAGCCAGGGTTCAGAAAACTTTCTCTGCAAAGGGCCGGATGGTAAATATTTCAGGCCTTCCTGGCCATAAGGTCTGTGTCACACGCACTCAACTCCACCACTGGCACATGAAACGAGCCACGGGTAATACATACGTGAATGGGTGTGGCTACATTCCAATAAAATTTTATTCGTGGATGCTGACATTTGAATTTCATATAACTTTCCCATATCACAAAGTATTCTTCTTATGATGTTTTTCCCAACCATTTATTTTATTATTTTTATTTTATTTTATTTTATTTTATTGAGATGGAGGCTCTCTGTGTCACCCAGGCTGGAGTGCAGTGGCACGATCTCAGCTTACTGCAACCTCCGCCTCCCGGGTCCAAGCAATTCTCAGCCTCCCGAGTAGCTGTGATTACAGGTGCCTTCCACCACACCCAGCTAATTTTAGTATTTTTAGTAGAGACAGGGTTTCGCCATGTTGGCCAGGCTGGTCTGGAACTCCTGACCCCAGGTGATCTGCCTGCCTCGGCCTCCCAAAGTGCTAGGATTACAGGCGAGAGCCACCGCCCCCAGGCTTCCCAACCATTTAAAACCATAAAGTCTATTCTTAGCCTAAGCAACAAAACAAGGCAGTGGCCGGCTAGGTTGCTGAGCCACATGCTACAACACACTAGGCATACACAGGCTGCCCAACTACATTTATATTCATTTGAACAGACTGGTCGGCTAGACAATCAAAGTCCCATGCGTTGGATACTACCATTTAATCTCTTATTTTCAACCTCTAGAGAGAGAAAGATTTTAACCAATATTTGATGAACTGTCTAACCTACTTAGTGAGAACAAGCTTCAATTTATCTATCTTAGCCCTGGTATTTTTCTATATAAATCAATTCCTAAAGCACATATTTATAACTATAAATGTCAAGCCTCCACTCTGAGTTTTGGGCTCTTCATTCTGCACTCCACCACACATTATGTCCAACATGACAAATTTATTTCATTACATTCAGTAATCAGGAATATTTCCAGTGGTGGGAAAAAGCCTTGGAACATATCACTTTTCAGTATGGCTTCCTCATTTTAAAGATATATTTTTAAAAAATCTATTAAGAGGAATTTTTTAGAAAGCACAAAGACTTTCTTAAGCAAGAATGAGGGAACGTGAGAGATTTTTGGAGAATTTATACTTACTCATTCCTCAGTACCCACTTTGTGGATGCAGTATTATGGACATAATGTTTTCAGTTTTGATTAAATAATTAATGATGTAAAAACAAGGTATTATTTAGATTCTCTCCAATCACCAGGAGAACAGAACCTCAGGACTCCAACTTTCTTGTTTTTCTATATTCTCTAAAGCAATTTGAGAATCTCACTAATGGACAAGTTGTAAAACTTTTGTATTACTGTTATCAAAAATGACAAGTGATTTACCAGTATACACGTTCACTTCACTATTGTACCCTTTAAGATAATATCTTCCAATTTAAACTTGATCTTGGCTTTGCCTTTTCCTATGTATTGAAATTACATTAGCTCTTCTCATCAGCATCCCCCCGAAAGTAAGAATTAAGAATGCAGGAGCACCTATACAATCACAGATGTTATGAGCAGGAAGAAGGTCATCAGACAAGATTCCAGGAGGTGAAACATTGTATCAGCTCAGAAGAGAACCATGATCCGTGCAACCAAAGACTGAAATTTTTAAGCAAAACTTCATTATGGTTCTTGAAAAGTAAAGTCTAAAAACAACAACAAACCACCTTGTATAAATGTATATTTTGCTGTTTGATCGAGCCCAGAGCTTTTTAAATGAACCTATGCCAGGAAACACTGATGTTCACCCATTAAAAACAACTTTTTAATTGCATGCTGCTGAATTCTAATACATTCCAAATGGAGGCTCCTCATTCTCCTTTCTTCATGCAGAAAGTGACGACTAGCTTTTCCAGGATCAAAACCAGACCAGTATTCAAAGATTCGTAGTAGGACCTGGGCACGCACATCAAAGGGACTTCTCTGGCCTTCTACCAGCCACGCCTCTTCTTAAAGGCAGACAGGCAGATACCTTTCTAGATGATACCAGGGCACCCTGGACCCAATGCCCACGTCCAGGCCTTCTAGGGGCTCTTTCTTAGTTCTGACCTGGCAAGGTAGAGGACGATGCTACGTGTGCACTCATAGGCCCGAGGGCAGCTCTTGGTGGGGATTTTAAAGGGGGCTTCTTTGTGTACGCTGTTGTGTCCATAAAACCTTTCATTGTCCAAGATGGAGCCAGGGGTGGGAGGATAAGGAAAGGTCATGGCTGGGGCTGGCTTTTCCCTACCTTACGTTCCCACATGGTATTCCAAGGAGTCTGACAATTGTAACTCTGAATCCAGCTTTCCAAGTCGTTATGAAAGTCTAGGCCGGGCGCAATGGCTCACCCCTGTAATCCTAGCACTTTGGGAGGCCGAGACAGGCAGATCACCTGAGGTCAGGAGTTCGAGACCAGCCTGGCCAACACGGCAAAACCCCGGCTCTACTAAAAATACAAAAATTAGCTGGGCGTGGTGGCAGGCGCCTATAATCCCAGCTACTCGGGAGGCTGAGGCAGGAGAATCGCTTGAACCCAGGACGTGGAGGTTGCAGTGAGCTAAGATCGCACCATTGCACTCCAGCCTGGGTGACAGAGCAAGACTCTGTCTTAAAAAAAACAAAACAAAACAACGGAAAGTCTATTTGTCAAGGTGGGAGAATATATTTTATTTTACAATTTGTTACCTGGACTTACAACTTTTACATATCCAGACAAAGGTTATATGTGCCTCCATTTGTATTCTTGCCCGCAGGCCTGCTTCCTTCCACCAAAAAGAGACCATGAATACCTAACTTTTTTTAAAATTAAAAGCTGCTAGACATATAAAGAGAGTCCCTGATTTAGGACGGTTAGACTTACAGTTTTTGACTTGACAATGGCACAAAAGCAATAAGCATTCAGTAGAAATCATACTTTAAGTACCCATACGCCCATGCTGTTTTTCACTTTCAGTACAGTACTTAATACATTACATGAGATATTCAACACTTTATTATAAAATAGGCTTTGTGTTAGATAATTCTGCCTAACTGTAGGCTAATGTAAGTGTTTTGAGCACATTTAAGGTAGGCTAGGCTAAGCTAGGATGTTCGGTAGATTAGGTGTATTAAATGTATTTTCAACTTAAGGTATTTTCAACTTACGATGGGTTTACTGAGTCATATTCTCATTGTAAGTTGATGAGCATCTGTACTCCCATTCTCAGAAGCCATGAAAACACGGTATTTTAAGGTTAACTTGGTATTGTCTGCCTTGTTAAAAAGTCGAAAATGAGGCTGGGCGCGGTGGCTCACGCCTGTAATCCCAGCACTTTGGGAGGCAGAGGCGGGTAGATCACCTGAGGTCAGGAGTTCAAGACCAGCCTGACCAACGTGATGAAACCCCGTCTCTACTAAAAATTCAAAATTAGCCGGGCATGGTGGCAGGCGCCTGTAATCTCAGCTACTCAAGAGGCTGAGGCAGGAGAATCGCTTGAACCCGGGAGGCAAAGGTTGTGGTGAGCTGAGATCGCGCCATCGCACTCCAGCCTGGGCAACAAGAGCAAAACTCTGTCTCAAAAAAAAAAAAAAAAAAAAAAAGTCGAAAATGATCTTCAATACCTGATATAGTGTTGTCATTTGTCCCCTCCAAATCCCATACTGAAATGTGACCTCCAATATTGGAGGTGGGGCCAGGTAGGAGGTGTTCTGGTCAAGGCAAGGGCAGATCCCTTGGCTTGGTGCCATCCTTGCAGTCATGAGTGAGTTCTTGCTCTGTTAGTTCAAGTGAGAGTGGGTTAAGAGAGACTGGCACCGCCTACTCTCTCTCTTGTTCCCTTTCGCCATGTGACATGCTTGCCCCTTCATCTTCTGCCATGAGTAAAAGCTTCTTGCAGCCTCACAGAAGCCAAGCAGATGCTGGTGCCTTGCTTATACAGAACCGTGAGCCAAATAAACCTGTCTTCTTTTTTTTTTTTTTTGAGACTGAGTCTCACTCTGTTGCCCGGGCTAGAGTGCAGTGGTGCGATGTCAGCTCACAGCAACTTCCCCCTCCTGGGCGCAAGCAATTCTCATGCCTCAGCCTCCCAAGTAGCTGGGACTACAGGTGCCCACCACCATGTCCGGCTAATTTTTGTATTTTTAGTTAGGACAGGGTTTCACCATGCTGGCCAGGCTGGTCTCGAACTCCTGACCTCAAGTGATCCGCCCACTTTGGCCTCCCAAAGTTCTGGGATTACAGGCATGAGTTACTGTGCCCAGCCCTCGCTTTAAAAATTACCAAGCCTCAGGTATTGCTTTACAGCAATGAAAAACCGATTAACACAGTACTTTGCCAGAATTATTAAAAATGAAAAACGAATGCAACAGGCTGTCCACTGACGTCCACTTCTGAGGCTGCTTTTGAGGCATTACTATTCCATGAGCTCAACACCACCCTGTCCTCCCCAGCAGCATCCTCTGCCTCTGCACCCAGAACACGCCCAAGAGACATGGAGGCTCCCAGAGCTGAATGCAGTCACATCGAGCCTTATAAAACCTGTGTGTGTCCAAACTGCTGGATTCCACATGAATGTCGGGAATCCTCTCCACCACCACTGAGAACCATGGCTAAAGTATATCTGAATTTTTTAAGAGAAGAATTTCAGTACCTCCTTGGACTTCAGTTGTTTGTGAGGACTGCTAAATAGCCATTTTCTAAAGCTGAGAGTGTCTGTTTGAATGTGGAGTATCATAAAAAGTCACTTAAGGAGTGGTTTTAATGGAAACAGAACCAGCACTCAGAATGCCCTAAATCTTTCCTGTCTTTACCACTGACTGTTATACTATATAATAACCATATGGCCTGCATTTCCAGGAGAGTTCCAATTTCATGTATCTTATTACATTAAATTAATAAATAGGCTTATACTGATTCTTAAAGATTTTCTTTTTTTAATATTTTCCAAATGTTATACAATAAAGCACGTTTTTTCATAATCAGAAACAAATAAATTTCATTTATATATTATGTGAATATACATTTATATTTATATTCTGTGCATACAAAAACCCGCATGTGAATGCTTATAGCAATTTTATTCATAATTGCTAAAACTAGGAAGCAGCCACAATGTCCTTCAGCAGGTGAAGGGATAAATAATCAATGGTATATCACACAAAGGAATATTATCCGGCACTGAGAAGAAATGAGCTAGCAAGCCACAGAAAAATATGGAAGAACCTTGAAGACATATTACTAAGTGAAAGAAGCCCATCTGAAAAAGCTACACACTGTATGACTCCAACTACACGACATCCTGGAAAAGGTGAAGCTATAGAGACAGTAACAAGAGCAGTGGCTGCCAGGAGATGGGGGAAAGGAGGGATGAACAGGCAGAGCACAAAAGATTTTTAGGGCAGTGAAACTAATTCTGTGGGATACTATGTGGTGAACACACGTAATTATACATTGGTCCAAACGCACAGAAGGTACAACACTGAGAGTGAAGCCTGGTGTAAACTATGAACTCTGGGTGGTGATGACAGTTGAATGTTGGTTTTCTGTTTGTAAGAAATGCACCAGTCTGGGGCAGGATGTTGGTGGTGGGAGAGGTGGGCCAGGAGTGAGAGAGGAAGGGGCGTACAGGAACTCTGCGCTTTCCACCCAATTTGGCTGGCAACCTAAAACTCCTCTAAAAATGAAAATCTACTCATTCTCTCTCTCTCTCTCTCTCGCTCTCTCTCTCTCTCTCTCTCACACACACACACACACACACACACACACACACACACACACACACACTGCCAGAGGAGCCAGGGCAAACACACAGGGCTCCTGTTTATGGCCACTTGCCTGAAGCAGTGGGCAATCATTCCCTCCACCTCCTTGCCCACAGCCTTGGTTTCTTCTTCCTTCCATAGTATAAAGTGATTCTAGTTGCTACCCATGAGCTACAGGCATTATTATAAAACTAGTAAGTGGGGCCAGGCATGATGGCTCATACCTGTAACCCCAGCACTTTGGGAGGCCAAGGTGGGTGGATCACTTGAGGTCAGAAGTTCAAGACCAGCCTGGCCAACACAGTGAAACCCCGTATCTACCAAAAATACAAACATTAGCCAGGCATGGTGGCGCGTGCCTGTAGTCCCAGCTACTTGGGAGGCTGCGGCACCAGAATTGCTTGAGCCTGGGAGGCAGAGGTTGCAGTAAGCTGAGATCGCGCCACCACACTCCAGCCTGGGCAACAGAGTGAGACTCTGTCTCAAAAAAAAAAAAGAGGAGGTGGGGGGAGAACAAAACTAGTAATTGGAGCTCTCTGGAGATGTCACTACGTCTCAGGGGGCTACTTCTAGAGAAGTGACAAATGGCCCCACACACAGATCACTGCTTGCCTCCAGAGAGAAGCAGTCCACTGGGGACACGGTGCCGCTGCAGCCATGTGACAATAAGGATGGCTTTCACACCAGAGCAGCAGGGAAAATTGGACAAGAGGGGCCCTCGGAGACCGAGGTCATCTAAACACAGCCAATCACCAGATACGCCACAGAGGCGAAGAGAAGGGCCAACCCTGCATTTTCTGCCACAGGAGAATGTATTGTTCTCTCCAACTGAGAAAGCAGATTGCGTTACATTTCTCCACATAAATGAACTTACACAGAGGGCATGGGGGTAGTAAAAGGTGCTGGACGAGAGAATAAATATTGACTAAAACATCTATCTTGGGGAGGGGGCGCATGCGTTCCCCTGGCTGTCGCGTGAAAATTTTTGCTTTATAAATTGGGGAGGTTATTAAAAGGACGTGAGATGCATGGAATTAATGAACAACTATCTGTGAAAATCTATCCTAATTAGGAAACAACATGTACATGCCTGAAACAGCAGGCCAGTAGGGAGGGCCTGAACAGAAAGAAAACAAGGAGCGAAAACAAAATAAGGCTGTCTAGCAAATGAGGGCATCATTCTTCCTCTAGATTTAAAATTCAACAGGAACATGGCTTTTTTCCTCCGTAATGGCTGTGAAATTGATTGGGATATAGGCTAACAGAGGTCCCCAGAGTGCTAAACTAAATTAGAGGAAGTCTTATAATTACAGCTAGCAGTTAATTATTATATGATGGGAATTGTAATCAAAGTAACAGATACACTATTATTTTCCATCTTCTCTGCAAAACACATCTAACAAAGTCTCTTAAGAGGAGTAGAGGGGCTTGTTTGTGGTTCAACTTATGCCGATTCCTACTGCCCAAAATCCAAACAAGAACCTCGCTCCTGCAGGTGACTTGGGCTGTGACCTCGGCGCCTGCCCCATTCCTGCCTTTCCCACGCATGCCTCCTGCCAATCTTCAATACATTCGCGGGTCCCTCTGCCTGGAATGCTCTTTCTCTAGATTTCCACGGGGTCTCTCCCTCCACGCAGACCTCAGGATCACACCTCCTGGGAGAAGTATCCACTGACCACCCTGTCTAAAATAGATACCTATCACCCCCTCCATGTTTATTCTCCTACCTGCCCCACTGTAGCTCCCGAAACACTGTCTGGCTCTGAGTTGGTCCTCAATAAATATAAAAAATAATAATAATAAATGTAAAATGTTTAAAATTAATATAATAATATGAAATATTATATAATATCAATTATATTATCAATTATAACAATATTATATTTAATAATATTAATATAAAACAAAATATTGGGCCAGGCGCGGTGGCTCATGCCTGTAATGCCAGCACTTTGGGAGGCCAAGGTGGGCGGATCACTTGAGGTCAGGAGCTCAAGACCAGCCTGGCTTCACATGGTGAAACCCCACCTTTACTAAAAATACAAAAATTAGCCGGGCCTGGTAGCAGATGCCTGTAATCCGAGCTACTCAGGAGGCTGAGACAGGAGAATCACTTGAACCTGGGGTGGAGGTTGCAGTGAACCGAGATCGCGCCACTGCACTCCAGCCTGGGCGACAGAGTGAGACTCCGTCACACACACAAAAAAAATTTAAATAATATTTTATGCCCTTCCACTTTTCTAATAGTGGAAAGAAACCAAAGCAAAGGGATCCTTCGATCGCTGTGATATGATTGTATTTAAGCGAACAACATTCTAGCAAGACCTATATTCAGACCAGCCTGGAAGTGATAAAGTCTGTGTTCAACTTAGCAGCAGATCTTTAGATGTAACATCAAAGAGGTAATGAAAGGGAATTAGGATTTTTTAGGTATCTTTTATATTCTAAGCACTATGTTTGGCTCTGAAGAGATATGATCTCTTAACAAAGAACTATCATGCCCGTTTGTAAGTGTCATTTTATAAACAGCAAAAAACTGAGGCAGAGAAGTTGTTCAAAGTCACATATACAGCAAGTGCCAAATTCCTATACAGATCTTTTTGCATCCAAAAGCTCTAAGGGTCCATGTTTCAAACCGCTTCCTTCCTCTTTTCCTTTCTCTCCTCTTTTCCTCCCATTTTAATTCCTTTGAAAAAAATTCAGAAGTAGAAACCAATATACAAAAATCTTGATACCTGCCACCCAAAATGAACATTTCTAATTTAAATCATGAAAATCACATTGACCAAATCAGCTCCTGGTTTAAGTTGCCCAATATCCCCGCGCCAGAAATGAGATAACAGGACAAAGAGCTGGTGAAACCTCATTCAAATTACAATTTATGGCCATCCTTCCTGGCTTGGTGCCAACACGTTATGATCCAAATCTGTTAGGGGGAGTCTTCCCAGTCAAAGGCAGCTCTGTGTAAAACAAACCTCTCTATACAGAAAGAAACGCTTTCATTCCATTCCAGAAGTCAGAATGTGAAGATGCTGGGCTGCTTTCTGCCAGGGCAAAACGAAAGACATGGAAAACAGGGAAATGAGAAGGGACAGAGGCAACAGGTCTCACACTAACCATTTACAGATAACAAAGGAACTTCAGAATTCTTCCCTGCTACCTTGTAGAATGGATGAACCATGGAATACCTGATAAACTTCTAAGCAAGCTTCAGCCTGCCCCTGTGCAGATCTGCACAGACTCCAAGTACCTCCCACTGCCATGGGATGTACATGGACCAATGTGTTGGCTTCCCTTTGACCTCCCCCCTACAACCTCCCCCAACCTCCCCTCTGCACCAGCAGAATGGGACCCAGGGGCACAGGAAGTGCCTAATCTCTGCAAGCAAATGTCAATCTTCAGGGCAAAAAAAAAAAAAAAAAAAAAAGCTTTGTTCTTTAGAACCAGAGTTGAAACTAGGTTGAAATGACCACATCAATTCACTAACTTGAATTCACAAAGGAAGCACCTGTTTTCAGAAAGGCGTGTAAAATTGTAAAACAATCTTACTTTTTATGCCATCCTTCTGAATGAAGAACTGTGGATAAGCTGGGCCTGGGGGAGACCTGGTCAGTTTTCCCACACAGTGGTAATGGTTTGTGTTACTGAAGAAAATGTCAAAAATTTTTTCTTAAATAAACCACCACATAATTTTACTCCACTAAAAATGAGAAATAACATAGCCATGGGAAGTAGCCCACATCTTTTGTATTCTCCATCACACTTCAAATATCTAAACACCTGACCAAGCACATAAAGAAATGGTGGATGTGCTATCACTGCAAAATTCCAACTGTAGGCAGAAGTTTGCCATCCTCATAGCACAGTACACAGTTCCCAGACAGGAAAATTCTTTGTGCTCCCTCAGTAAAGGAGAAAAATTATGACCAATTACAATAACAAGGGCATTAGCCACTTTGATAAATATCTAAGCAGGCTTCCGTCTGTGCCTGGGCAGATATGGAGAACGATTTAGTGTGATATGAGAATACAGAGTTGATCACTTATCTTGTGAAACTGAAGAAGAAAGAGAAATGTAAACGTCAGCATCTCTTATCACCCAGGCTCTGACTCTTCTCAAACTATTAAAAATAGCCTTTGGGATGGGCCCGGTGGCTCACGCCTATAATCCCAGCACTTTGGGAGGCTGAGGCTGGCAGCTCACCTGAGGCCAGGAGTTCGAGACCAGCTTAGCCAACATGGAGAAACCCCATCTCCACTAAAAACATAAAATAAATAGATAAATAAAATAAAATAAAAATAGCCTTTGCCAGAAACTAAAAAGAAACAGCAAAGCCAAAATTAATTCCACAAGGCGGAATTGGTTGCTTTACTCATTTATACTATGTATAATAAAGAGTAATAAATTTCTATTATTATAAATCTTACTTTGACATTTTAGATATAACATCAATGCCCCCTGAGATATACTAAAATTTGTCTATAAAGCAAGGAAATTATTTTTTTTTAATATTGGCTTGGATAAGTTCTCTCTTTAAAATTTATATGAGAATATCCTTAAATACTTCGTGCCATTTCAAACCGATTTTGATTTAAGATATATTACAATCTATTAAAGTTTTAAAAATAATAAATTAACGTTTAGGTCAACTAAATTAAATAATTATATACAATACATTATTGCTTTAAATCCCAAGGCAAAGAAAGGAAATTGCTTCTTCAGGCTGACAGAATGAATTGTATGCATCCACTGTGGGGGGAAATACCTTCTTCATCTAAAAGAGCTTGCCCCAAAAGTTTCTATTGCTCACAGCAAAGGTTGCAAAATGTGAACATTTCTAAAATGGAGGATTTTGTGTCTTGAGATATATGTTATAGCCCAAGAGATGAGTAAACCATAGCTGTTACAAAGAGGTGTTATCTGAAATTTTCCAAGCTTAAATTCAATATGACATTTAGCATTATTAAAACCCATTAAGATTTTTGACTTTGAGTTGATACAAGCGAAATGAGTGGCCCCCTGCACAAATAGACATGCCTTTCCCTGGATCATCAAAGCCAATATACCAGCTCATAAATGTCTCTCACAAGTTTTCTTTATTCCCCTAACTCAAATAAAGCTAACTTCATGGTTGCCTTGGAAAACAGACCTTTTTCAGAGAATGTTGACACTTTCATTGATTTCTAAGGGCTCCTGATAGCGTATGGGCACACACATACACTCACTCACACATATAAGTCAGAGAAGCCTGACTGTCAGCTGTATATGATCCTATCTACCAAAAAAAACAAACAAAAAAACAAAAGCTAAACCAGAATTTTAAAGAATTGGAAGGAAATATAAGGGGAAATATAAGGACAACACTCTTTTTTTTTTTCCTTTTCTTTTTTTGAGACGGAGTCTAGCTCTGCCACCCAGGCTAGAGTGCAGTGGCGTGATCTTGGCTCACTGCAACCTCCACCCCCTGGGTTCAAGCAATTCTCCTACCTCAGCTCCCGAGTAGCTGGGACTACAGGCACCCACCACCACACCCGGCAAATTATTTTTGTATTTTTAGTAGAGACAGGATTTCACCATGTTAGCCAAGCTGGTCTCAAACTCCTGACCTCAGGTGATCTGCCCACCTCAGCCTCTCAAAGTGCTGGGATTGCAGGCATGAGCCACCGCACCCGGCCAGACACCACACTTTCTGATTTATAAATTAGAGCAGTGGCAGCACATGCTGAAATATACACTCCAGGAGAGCAAGATCTTTGTGGATTTTCTGCACTCCTATATCCCAACTGCCTAGTAAAGTGCCTTTGAATGGATTTTAGCTCATGGAATCCTCTCAACGACATGATGAGACAGGTACTATTCCTACCCCATTTTACAGATAAGGAACTGAAATTCAAAGAACTTCGTTACCAAAGTGACACAGCTGGTTAGTGGGGCATAGAAGCCTTTAGGTCTTGCCCAGTCCTCTTCTCTGTCTTTACCATTTGGTTACTGTATTCCTGTCATCCAGTGACTTCAACACACATCAGAAGTCCTTGACTATTAAAGTGGAATCCCGGCCGGGCACAGTGGCTCATGCCTGTAATCCCAGCACTTTGGGAGGCCGAGGTGGGTGGATCACCTGAGGTCGGCAGTTCGAGACCAGCCTGACCAACATGGAGAAACCCCGGCTCTACTAAAAATACAAAAATTAGCTGGGCATGGTGGCAGGCTCCTGTAATCCCAGCTACTCAGGAGGCTGGGCAACAAGAGCAAAACTACTCTTGCCTGGGCTACTCCAGCCTGGGCAACAAGAGCAAACTTCATCTCAAAATAAATAAATAAATGAATAAATAAATAAATAAAGTGGAATCACTGCAGGGTGAGTCTGCATTTTTTAAGTCGAAGTTAGGAACTCAAAAAGTAAACAAGTGCATATGAAAAGATGAATTCATATGCACTAAGTTAATTCAAAAGCATGAATGAAAGTATTTTTTAAACTAAATATTCATTGGTGATGTCATGTATCCAATGACCTCTGCCCCTAGTCAGTGTTAGTAACCAGCTCTTCATCAGCTACAGATAGACTCCAGCACTTCTGTACCTCTTCCTCATTCTACTGTCTAGACCTGAAATTTTAACTGGGAAAAGCTGGAAGCTAACACTAGGCAAGAAAAAATGGGCCCTGCCCTCCTATTGTAGCCTAGAGCCGAATATAAACAATGGTAAACTGTTCCTCTATTGGGATATGGCAGCCATGTCAATCATTGCTTCCCAACAATCCCACCTTTTGGAGAGCCTGCCTGGGCAAGTCTGAGACCACCCATCATACATACACCCTTGCATCCCAGCAGAAGCTAAGTGAATACATGACTCAGTATTGGCCAAACAGACTCTCACTTAAAAATTTGGAATTAAGATTGGGCTCATGCCTGTAATCCCAGCACTTTGAAAGGCTGAGGCTAAAGGATCGCTTGAGCCCAGGAGTTCGAGACCAGCGAGACCCCATCTCTACAAAAAATATAAAAATTAGCTGGTCATGGTGGTATGCACGCCTGGAACCCTAGCTACTCAGGGGGCTGAGGCAAGAGGATTGCTTGAACCCAGAAGTTCGAGGTTGCAGTTAGCTAGAACCGCACTACTGCCCTCCAGCCTGGGAAACAAGGCAAGACTCTATCTCTTAAAAAAAAAAAAAAATTGGAGCCCGGGCATGGTGGCTCACACCTGTAATCCCAGCACTTTGGGAGGCCGATGCGGGTGGATCAGGAAGTCAGGAGATCGACATCATCCTGGCCAACATGGTGAAACCCCGTCTCTACTAAAATACAAAAAATTAGCCGGGCGTGGTGGTGCGCACCTGCAATTCCAGCTACTTGGGAGGCTGAGGCAGGAGAATCGCTTGAACCCAGGAGGCGGAGATTGCAGTGAGCCGAGATTGAGCCACTGCACTGCAGCCTGGCGACAGAGTGAGACTCTGTCTCAAAAAAAACAACAACAACAAAAAATTGGAATTGAGACACTGTGAGACTAAGACAGTTACCTAGAGGAAAGGTCAGGTAGTATTGGACTAGAGCAACATTGCACCAAATCAAAGCCATTTGGTAAGCAGTAAATCTGAGATGTCGTCAGAGACCAACCAAGAAAGTCAGTCTGCAAGTAGGAACAAGAAAATGGCAAAACCTTGCAGAGAAAAGCAAAAATTGACACTATGGGGGCCTCTGAGAGATGCAGGACCAACGTCTCTTCCTGATTTTCCTGCTTTACAAGGCCCGCACAACCCTGGCCGTCCACGACATTTCCCATATCCCTTCAGTAACACCATTTTTGCATGAGTTCACTTGAGAGAGCTTCTTCACATTTCATCATAACCAAAAGATCCCAAGAACATAGTATTTCCCCCCTCAGTTTCTCCCCGTTAGAAAAACTGACTAAAGGCCGGGCGTGGTGGCTCACGCCTGTAATCCCAGCAGCACTTTTGAGAGGCCGAGGCGGGGGTATCATGAGGTCAGGAGAGCGAGACCATCCTGGCTACCATGGTGAAACCCCGTCTCTACTAAAAACACACAAAAAAATTAGCCGGGCGTGGTAGCAGGCACCTGTAGTCCCAGCTACTCGGAAGGCTGAGGCAGGAGAATGGCGTGAACCTGGGAGGCAGAGCTTGCAGTAAGCCAAGATCATGCCACTGCACTCCAGCCTGGGCGACAGAGTGAGACTCCGTCTCAAAAAGAAAAAGTGACTAAACAATGTATCTTCCTGTACGTCTCCAAGAAGACAGGGGCTCACAGCACCACGGCTAATGTGCAGGGCTCATAATCACAGACCACTGCCAACATCCCTGAAATGCCGAATCCCAAAAGGCAGCATGACTCAGAAGAATTTGAATTATCCCAAGGTTAACAGTTAAGTATAAAGATGATATACTTTTTTATTTTTTTAAGACAGAGTCTTGCTCTGTCATCCAGGCTGGAGTGCAGTGGCACAGTCTTGGCTCACTGCAACCTCCGCCTCTCCGGTTCAAGTGATTCTCCTGCCTCAGACTCCTAAGTAGCTGGGACTACAGACGCGTGCCACCACACCCGGCTAATTTTTTGTATTTTTAGTAGAGACGGGGTTTCACCATGTTAGCCAGGATGGTCTCGATCTCTTGACCTCGTGATCCGCCCGCCTAGGCCTCCCAAAGTGCTGGGATTACAGGCGTGAGCCACTGCTCCCGGCCGATGACATACTTTTTTAAGAAAAAATTCCATAGTACAGAGAAAACAAAAACAACTCCCCGCTGCTTTTTTTGAAGAAAATCTACCAAGCTCTCAGGCTGTTTTTCAGCTATTCAGGTAGCGCTACAGAACAAGGCCAGTCTGACTCATGATAGCTCAAAATTATAAAATAATCTACCATGGATTCAGCCTTACTGGTTTCAAATACACATAACATACAAACAGATGCCCAGATAAATACATAAAGAAGTGAAGCTAGAATAAGGAATAGTCTAAAAATTGCTGGGGGCTGGAGAATAGAGAGATCCCTTCTGCTTGATGCATCTTGCTTGATACTGGAAGAAAGAACGAGGAGAAAAGTCAAAAAATGAATTAGACAGTCCCTGCCCTCAAAGACTTCCTAGTCTAGCTGAGAAGACAGTCACCCTCACAAATAGCTCAAATCCAGGGCAGATAGTGACAGAGGCTAATTGGAAGTCTCAGCAAAGCGTGATGGGATCACGGAGGCAGGAGCAATTAATCACAGGCAAGCCAAGCAGGCGACACTTAGCCGCAACTCACACAGGGCTGTCATTGTAAAAGGAAATCCACTCTAACAGTTATCATGAAATTGCATCCATGATCTTTGAGTCTTATCAGTCCATACCTTTTATCTGATTAATCGAAATCCCACCCTTTTCCAGGAAAAACAACATTTGTTTATCATTCCCTCCAAGAGCTCTTAAGATGACACAATGACCTTGAATTATCCTTTTATCTTTAGAAAATATCCTCCCTCTGAAAAGGCAACAAAAAAGTGAAGATAATAACCCCAAGGAGTTCAAGACCATAAATGAAAATAACCAAATTGCTTGGTCTCTATCCCATAACTGAGCTGCTGGACTTCACAGTCCACTCAACTGTTTGCCGTGTTAAAAATACTTAAGCAAACAGAGCTATGCTAAAAAGCCATGTGTCTATACAACATTTATTACAGTCTTAGACAGAGGTTCTGTCCCTCATCAAAAAACACTGGTCAAATCCTACACTAAGTCCTATTTTAAAGAGGAAAAAAAAAAGTGTATGCCAAGCTAATGAAATTCCAGTATGGTCTTTTTTTTTTTTTTTAAGAGATGGGTCTCTTTATATTGCCCAGTCTGGTCTGGAATTCCTAACTCAAGTGGTCCTCCTACCTCAGCCTCCTGAGTAGCTGGGATTACAGACTTGAGCTACCACTTCCACCTATTTATTGTCTGCAATTCTGTGACTTGCATTGTGCCAATTTCAATTTCCTGGTTTTGATAATGCAGTATAGCTAAGTAAGATGTCACCACTGGGGAAAGCTGGGTGGTGGGTACCCAGGACCTCTCTATTATCTTTCAACTTCTTGTAAGTAAGTCCACAATTATTTAAAAATAAAGTTTAAAAAAACACTCATGACATTTATCATTTTGCAGAGCTCTACCAATATCCAACAGCTCCCTGTTCCTCCTAGATCCTAATATTTTGATATTGGCCCTTAAAACTTGCAGATACAGGCCAGGCATAGTGGGCATGCCTGTAATCTCAGCACTTTGGGAGGCCGAGGCAGGAGGAATGCTTGAGCCCAGGAGTTTGAGACCAACCTGGGCGAGAGAGTGAGACCCCCTCATCTCTACACAGAAATAAAAAAATTAGCCAGATATGGTGGTGCACAAACTGTGGTCCCAAGTACTCGGAAGGCTAAAGGCAGGAGGATCACTTGATCCTAGGAGGTCAAGGTTACAGTGAGCCATGATCATGCCACTGCACTCCAACCTGGGTGACAGGGCAAGACCGTGTCTCAAAAATAAATAAATGAATAAATCACAATAACAAAAAACTTGCAGGTACAATTCAGCAAACACATGACCCTGCTCCTGGGAGGGGCAGCCAGAAAGGGCATTTCCAGCACAGTTCACTCTCTTCAAGAGTCCAAGAAAGTCAATGTCCTCAGCCTATCCCCACCCTGGACCGGTTCCTTTGCTTTGCTCTGCCACTAATCCCCCTTCCCGAGCCCACTTCCCCTGTATTAGTCCACTTTCACACTGCTGATAAAGACATAACTGAGACTGGGCAATGTACAAAAGAAAGGTTTATTGGACTTAACAGTTCCACATGGCTGGGGAGGCCTCACAATCATGGTGGAAGACAAGGAGGAGCAAGTCACATCTTTCATAGATTGCAGCAGGCAAAAAAAAGAGCTTGTGCAGAGAAAGTCCCATTTTTAAAACCATCAGATCTCATGAGACCCATTCACTATCACAGGAACAGCACGGGAAAGCCCCGCCCCCATGATTTAATCATCTCCCACTGGGTCCCTCCCACAACACATGGGAATTATGGGAGCCATAAGATGAGATTTGGGTAGGCGACACAGAGCCAAACCATATCACCTCCCAACACACACAACACAGATGGGAGACATTTAAAAGTGATATTAAGAAAAGCAAAACCAAGTCAGAGTCTCCAACCACAAAACTCACCTCCACCTTCCTAAGCCTTAACTCTAATAAACCTCAACCATATTTGCTTTAAAAGTATAAAAGACTGGGCTCCTATGGAATTCAAAACACAAGACATACTCAAAGAGATTGCCGTCATCCTAAATTCTTCTCAAAGATACACAAACGTGCAAGCCCTGCTGGTGATCACTGGCTTAGCAGTGATTAATATGGCTCAACACCCACCCCCACCCCACTCAACACAAATTGAGTCCCATGGCTTAAATGTTATCTTAAAAAAAAAAAAAAATCACTCCTAACATTGTCACTCTTGAGCAGGTTCCCAAGATAAAATCCAGACATCATTATAATTTATTAAACTTTTGAGAACTTTAATACTAGGCCTATAGAGCAATGATTAAGAGAAGGAATTTGATGCTAAAGAGGTCAAATCCCTTTAGCTGGATGCATATAGAACCCACCCTTTAAGACCTGAATAATCTTAAGCAAGTTACTTAAACTTTCTCTATAAAATGGAGAGGATGATAGGATTAGTTAGAATCCTGCTTCATTATAATTCTCGGGAAGATTAAATAATTAATACAAAAAAGCTTTAGAACAGGGCCTGCCCTACAGCAGCATGTGTTGTCTATTATTATTACTAATGCAATAAACTTTCATCAAGCACCTGGGTCCCAAACTCTACGAATGCAAGATAAAAGAAGGCACAGCCATGATTCTGGAAGAATCTGCATGTTACTAAATATTCAGACAGAGAAAAGTCAGACCATGCTGGTGCCACCAGCCCATCAGAGCTCTCAGCCCTGTAGGTAGAACTTACGAGTCACAAATAAAACTCCAACAAAGCAGACATGAAATGTCAGTGGTATGTGTCACTCTACCCCTCCTCATTCAATTTTCACCTTAAAAAAAATCAACAAACTCCCAAATACACTGCCCTGTTTCACACAAAGTTTGTGCCATTAGATGAGTTTTTTAAGTTCTGCAGATCACTCTATTAAAACACCAGACATACCAATAACACTGCAACTACTGGCCAAAACCATTCTCCTCCCTTCTTGTCCTTCTTTCCCAGGACACTTTTAAGGTCATACACCAATGACATCCCCAACATTCCCATGAGCAAGGGAAGGATTCCCGGGAAAGTGACAGCTCTCACTAGGAGGCAGAGCTCCGTGCCATATTGATGAGGTTCTCTCGAAACATCTCAAAAGCAGGGATCCTTGTGGTTTCTGAAGTGTTGCCAATCACACAAAGAAAGCCTAATGCATGGTTTTCAAGTCAGTTTTATAAAACGATTCCAAACCTCTAAGTGTGTGAAGCCAAAATTGTAAACGCTGCTAAAATCCCTGGAGTTGTTTAATATTGTTTATTACGATTCCTCTTGGCACCTCCAAAGTCTCTCATCCTGGGCTCATGGAGCATTTTATTAATTTACACACCATCAGTGGAGTTCACAGATGGTGGGACCGAAACACGAAGAAGCGGCTCAAGCACCTCGGCAAAGATCCCAACAACTTGTAAATAAACATAGCTCTAAAAGACCCAGAAGTCTCAACCTCCTCTCCCAAGCACTACTGCTACCACTGGTGCTGAGGTGAGCCACTGGATACCCTGGTTAAAACCAAAAGAAAGTCCGTGGCTCGACCCATCGGGAGCAGGCTCCAGTTCTAAGGTTAAGGATTTCAATACTGTCCTTTTCAAATGAGTCATTTGCTCTTAATTTTTTTTTTTTTTTTTTTTTTTTTGGACAGAGTCTCGCTCTGTCACCCAGGCTGGAGTGCAGTGGTGCAATCTTGGCTTGCTGCAACCTCCACCTCCCTGGTTTACGCAGTTCTCCTGCCTCAGCCTCCAGAGTAGCTGATATTACAGGCGCCCGCCACCACGCCTGGGTAATTTTTTTGTATTTTCAGTAGAGACGGGGTTTCACCATGTTGGCCAGGCTGGTTTTGAACTCCTGACCTCAGGTGATCGGCCAGCCTCAGCCTCCCAAAATGCTAGGATAACAGGCGTCAGCCACCGGGCCCAGCCTAAATCAATCCTTTTAAGGATATTTAAGGAATCAGTGAATGGCTGACCTGTCCAATGTGCCCACAGAAGGAAGTAAGAGCTCTTTGGAAATTTGCATGCTTGCAATTGAAAAGGCTCCTTGAAATTTTGCTGTATCTCACATTGCAGAAAACAAATCCAAACTTAGGGCAAAGACATCAGTTCTGTTAAAAACCTAGGATTTACTTCTACATTATTCAGGGTATTCTTGAAGCACCTGGTTATACTGTTTACTATGTGTCTGTCTATCCTTCTTTTGTTTATATTTTAGTTATTTTTACATTTGTGGCCAAAATCTTACACTTGTAAAGAAAAGAGAAAGACAAAGAGAAGAAATGAGAGTCTGTCAACTGAAAATTTAGGTCACTGACATCAAGTGGTCATCCTGATATCAAGGGGACAAGCCAGGATGGTGAAAGATGGGAACCACTCAGGCCCTTGAATTCTCTTCTTTTATAAAGAAAAGTTCAAATTACGGACTCTCTTTCCCGAGTCAGCTAAAAGGATTCAAAATTACAAAGAGCCAAAACTCCAGTTTTGAAACACTCTTCCTGTTTATAGTGAATAAATTCCCCAAATGCAGAGGAATTAGATTTTAATGAAAGTCTCCACTATCATGCTATTGCTCAATAACATTTTGGCTAAACTGGCTTAACCCTTCCCACAACTTAGAAAATTCTGACACTCTCATCAACGTGAATGGGGAGCAAATTCCTATTCTTAATATCTAATCACTTTTATTTTTCATCTTCTCCCCATGTCTTAGATTAGTTCTATTTTGAGGACACTGATGAGCTCTGTTTACTGTTCTCACACGAAGACAATGGTTCTCTAAGTATGGTCCCCACAAGAGCGTCAGCATCACTCAGGAACTGTTAGACATGCACATTTTCGGGCCTGACCTGAGACCTAATAAATCGGAAACCTAGAAGTGGGGCAATCTATGGTTTACAAAGCTTCCAGGTGGCTGTGATGCAACACACTTTGAGTGCCACCGCTCTCAGCCACCGAAACACCATCACCTGTGTCACCCACATGCCCCCCCCTCCAGGCTTCATCAGTGCGGTGGGTCCTAAGAATGTCTCTGTAAACACATTGCTCCCACACTCATGCTCCTCACTCCCCTAAATGGCAGCAACTCAGACCTTCTCCTTTTCTTTTTTTTTTTTTTTTGAGACGAAGTCTCGCACTGTCACCCAGGCTGGAGTGCAATGGTGCCATCTCAGCTCACTGCAACCACCACCTCCTGGGTTCAAGGATTCTCCTGCCTCAGCCTCTCCAGTAGCTGGAATTACAGGCATCCGCCACCACACCCAGCTAATTTTTGTATTTTTAGTAGAGACGGGGTTTCACTATGTTGGCCAGGCTGGTCTTGAACTCCTGACCTCGTGATCCACCCGCCTCGGCCTCCCAAAGTGTCGGGATTACAGGCGTGAGCCACCACACCCAGCCAGACCTTCTCCTTTCTTAGATCTGACAGTCTCAAAGTTGAGTTTTCTCACAGACTGCCCCTCCACCCCACCTCCTGCTCCCCACATCTCTCTAGGTTGAGGTTCCACAGCCCACAGTCACTCCGCACACCGACTTCCTGCTCCTTGGATGCCAAGCACACAGGACTCCATGCTCAGCTCCACACACCAGCATCACCACCCCTCTCAAAGCCCCATTCAGACCTCCGCACCACAGGCCCGCTTCCCTTGCAGCCATGGCTTGTCCCCCAAGTTCTGCAAATACACCTCTGCCCCTCTCCATCTCTCCTCCAGTGCCTTGCGGCCTTCTCTGGGCTGGAGGAAAAAAATCCATGCTCTCCCAAAGGCCTCCCTCCCTGGTGGGGGGCAGGGGACAGCTGGCTTTTTTTGGCTAAAAGTTCTAACCCTGTCCCCAAAAGCAATGAGAGCTAGGTGAAGGGCAAAGGGTTAAGGAGGCCTTTTTTTTTTTTATTTGGGGGCTTGGGGTTTTCTTTTAAGCAGGATTTATAAAGGCTGGCTGTTGATTCCTTTGAGAGAAAAAAGGAGATCCAAGTTTTCTCTGGCACTACACGAGACAGCCAGGGAAACGCAGCAACATCCTGTCCTGGGAACTGACTGAAGCAGTTATTAAAGTCAATGGAGGCAGCACTGAGGGCGTAGCAGTGTGTGTGTGTGTGTGAGGTTGTGTGTGTGACAGTGTGGAGAGTGTGAGTGTACATGTGAAAGAGCATATATGTGTGTGAAAAAGGGTGTATGTGTGAGTGTGAAACAGTGATTGTGAGTGTGTGTGAGACTGCATTATGTGATTGTGAGCATGTGTGTGACAGTGTATATATTTGTGTGGGTGTGTCAGACTGTGTGTCTGATAGTGTGTGTAATGAGACAGTGTGTGTGTGAGTATATGTAGGAGACTGCGAGTGTGTGTGTGTATGTGTGAGCAACTGTGTGTAAGAGTGTGTGTGACGGTACGTAAATGAGACAGTGAGAGTATGTGAGTGCGTAAGTGTATGAGACTGTGTGAGGGTGTTACGTATGTGAGCATGTGTGAGCGACTGTGTAAGAGTGTGTGTGATAGTGTGTATGTGTATGTGAGAGTGCATGAGACTGAGTTTATGTATAAGTGTGAGCATGTGTGAGCAACTGTGTAAGAATGTGTGCATATGTGTATGAGACTGTGTGAGAGTGAATTGAGTGTTAGTGTGTGTCAGTGACTATGTGTAAGTGTGTGTGCTGATATGTATATGTACGAGACAGGGCGTGAGAGTGTGTGTGAGTGTGTATGTGAGAGAGACACAGAGAGAAAGAAAGGGAGGAGAGAGAGGCAGAGGGAGGGGAGAGAAAAGAGAGAGACCAACAGAGACAGAAAGGGAGAGTCTGAATCCAGTCAACGTGAGTCCTCCCACTGGCAGGCAGATAAATTACCTGGTGGTTTCCTGTGTCTGACGGCAACTAAAATAAGGCATACAAAAGCATGAACTCAGCTGAAGTGAGAGCATTAGGGGCCCGCTCCTCACTGGACGATGTTACAAAGAGCCCCTGAAAAACATTCCATGTTACATCACGGCCACAAGGCAAGTGGCTCCAAGGGTGAGTGGGCTCCTGACATTGAGGACAGGACTGTCCTGCCCACTGGGGATGATTTAGAACCTCTCTCTGCCTCCCACCTCAATCATAAAAGCACCCCCACCCCCATGATCCTAAATGTCCTCAAAAGGGAAGTAGCACCCCACAGAAAATGAAACTCCTGAAATAATCCAAGGGCAAAGAGGAGAGTAAGAAGCTGGGGCTGTGCCTTGAACTTAAAATAATAATAATAACAAAATGCAGCAAATATTAAAAGCTAGAGATTTTAAATACAGGGGATGTCCTAGATTTCACTGTCTGGATAAAGGTGACTACAGAGCAGAAGTTAGCAAACTTCTTGTAAGAGGCCAGCAAAGAAGTATCTCAAACTCCAGGAGCCATTCAGCATGTCTCAACCCTGCCACAGAGGTGCAAAAGCAGCCGTGGAAGATAAATGTATACATGTGGCCATTTCCCAAGAAACTTTTTTTTTTTTTTTTTTTTTGGAGATAGGGTCTCACTCCCTTGCCCAGGCTGGAGTGCAATGGCGCCATCTCGGCTCACTGCAACCTCTGCCTCCCAGGTTCAAGCAATTCTCCTGCCTCAGCCTCCTCAATAGCTGGGATTACAGGTGCCTGCCACCATGCCCAGCTAATTTTTGTATTTTTAATAGAGATGAGGTTTCACCATGTTGGCTAGGCTAGTCTCAAACTCCTGGCCTCAAGTGATCCATCCGTCTTGGCCTCCCAAAGGGCTGGGATTACAGGCATGAGCTACCATGCCCAGCCCCAATAAATGTTATTTACAAAAACAGATGACAGGCGGGATCTGGCCTGCAGGCGGGCTATGGTTTGCCGACTGCTGGGTATCAAGTGTAAGAACGTATGTAATGGGCAATCGGACAGCACTAGAAAGTGCATTTCGTCAGCTCTTTTAAAGAAACAAGACGGCTACCCAAAGGAAAAGAAATCGTTATATCAGAAAGACACCTGCATTTTATATTTATTGCAGCAGGATTCACAGTAGCAACGATACAGAATCCACCTCGGTGTCTATCAACAGATGACTGGATAAAGGAAATGTGATATATATACACAATGGAATAGTATTCAGTTGTGCAAATGAATGAAATCATGTCTTCTGCAGCAACCTAGATGGAACTGGACGCCGTTATCTTAAGTCAGACACAGAAAGACAAGTATTGCAAGTGCTCACTTCTAAGTCGGAGCTAAATAATGTGTACTCATGGCTGTAGAGTGTGGAACGATAGACAACGAAGACTTGAAAGGATGGCGGGGTGCAAAGAGGGTAGATGATGAGAAATTACTTATGGGCACAATGTATGTTATTTGGGCCATTGGTACTCCATAACAGCAGTCCCCAGCCTTTTTGGCACCAGGGACCGGTTTCATGGAAGACAGTTTTTCCATGGATGAGGGGGTGGGGGATGGTTTCGGGATGAAACTGCTCCACCTCAGATCATCAGGCATTAGATTCTTATAAGGTGCACGAAGCCAGGCACAGTGGCTCACGCCTATAATCCCAGCACTTTGGGAGGCTGAGGCAGGTGGATCACCTGGGGTCAGGAGTTCGAGACCAACCTGGCCAACATGGTGAAACCCCATCTCTACTAAAAATACAAAAATTAGCCGGGCATGATAGTGCATGCCTGGAATCCCAGCTACTTGGGAGGCTGAGGAAGGAGAATCACTTGAACCTGGGAGGGAGAGGTTGCAGTGAGCTGGGATCACGCCACTGCACTCCAGCCTGGGAAAGAGAGCAAGACTGTCTCAGGTTAAAAAAAAAAAAAAAAAAAAAAAAGGGAGCACGCAACCTAGATCCCTCGCTCGCATGTGCAGTTCACAATAGGGCTCATGCTCCTATGAGAATCTCATGCTGATCTGACAGGAGGCAGAGCTCAGGTGGTAATGCTCACTCACAGGCCGCATACCTCCTGCTGCGTGGCCTGGTTCCTAACAGACCATAGACAGGTACTGGTCCATGGCCTGGGGATTGGGGACCCCTCCCCTAAAAGCCCTGACTTCACCACTATGCTGCAATCTATGCATGTAACAAAATCGGACATGTATTCCATAAATTTGGACCACTAAACTAAAATATAAAGAAACAAAATAATATCGTAATTCTCCTTTCTCAGATGCTTCTGTTCCTGGATGGGAAGATCTCCCCACATCCACTAATTTGTATCTCCCTTACTCCTGGCTTGTGCATGTCTTCCTCTTTCTGCGTATTTCTTTTTTCTTTTCTTTTCTTTTCTTTTTTTTTTTTTTTTTTTTTTTGAGACGGAGTCTCACTCTGTTGCCCAGGCTGGAGTGCAGTGGCACGATCTCAGCTCACTGCAACCTCCGCCTCCCGGGTTCACGCCATTCTCCTGCCTCAGCCTCCCAAGTAGCTGGGACTACAGGCACATGCCAACATGCCCGGCTAATTTTTTTGTATTTGCAGTAGAGACGGGGTTTCACCGTGTTAGCCAGGATGGTCTCGATTTCCTGACGTCGTGATCCACCCGCCCCGGCCTCCCAAAGTGCTGGGATTATAGGCATGAGCCACCACGCCCGGCCCTCTTTCTGCATATTTCATTGCACTCCATTCTCCCCTCAGTTTTGCTCCTGTCTTTGTCCCCTGCGAAAGGAATACGATTAAATTGATTATCATTCTGCTCCATTAAAAAACAATGGGTAAAATGTATTATCTAGCATTCGCCAGGCCCCTCATCACAGATATGCTGTTTCTTGATACCAGCTCCAGATCAGATTTGAAGTCCCAGGCAAAGAACGTGCAAACAGACCAACCAGATGCCATCTCCTTCCACAGGGTTCCAGTGCTGCTAAATGAGATGAAGACCCAGTCCCAAAGCTGTGAGTGTGACTCAGCCAGTCCCCCCGCAACACGAGCTGGGGTTACGTCACCTGCACAAGGTCAACATCTGGAAAGCAGCAGAGCAACCGTCGTGATGGGAGTGGTGCATTCTTCCAAGTTCAAGGCAACTGCAAACATGACATTTGGCGGATGACAAAGGCCTAAAAGGAGACTTAGGATTTGGTTCAACTCTGTACTTCATTCCCTACCGCCTCAGGCTCTCAGGAGCCCATGGATTTTGCCACTCTGAAAGCACAAGAGAGAGAATTCCAGAGTTGCGGAGAAAAATCTTTGGCAAGCCTCGAAAATGGCCAGAACTCATTTTCTTTGTGACAGCGGAACATACAAGCTAAGGGTCCCCATGTAAAAGTTCCCGTCCTCTTGTGAATCTCCTTAACAACAAGGAGCAGTCAAGTGTCCGTAAGAAAAGCATAAATATACAGCTTATGTACACATGTCTTCTGCAGGTGGTTTTCATCAGACTCAAAAGCGAAGCTGTCCTTTTTCTTCTCGAATCTAACAGTGAAGAATCCCAAAGGATATGAAAAGCTCTCAGAATGAATCAGCCACCACTGGGAAAAGCTTACTAACAGGGCTAATTCCAGGGGCCAGTGGCAGATGGAGGTGGGAGCAACGGCCCCTTTCTATGTGTCCAGTGAACAATCAAAAAAGCATCCCAGGTCAGCTGAGGACCCTCCACCATTTCCTCCTGTCTCTTGTCCAACTTGATGACTTCCAGAACTAAAATATTAAAGAGTGTCTACGTCAGGAAGTGACATCAACCAGAACAATATGAGCCTCTGAAGGACAGGTGTCTGGGCAGTTGGACCCGAACCATAGAAAAAAGAAATTCTCTCTTCTGTTGCCACTGGTGCAGATGGATGAGATCTGAGAATCATTTCCTCAGCGGGCAAAAACCCAGGGAAGAGGAACTGGAAAAAGGTCACGTCCAAACAAATATGTCAACCAAACGAAGAGAGTCCCAAAAGGCATGGGCGGACACACACCGCCCACAATAGGAGAAAGCCACCACTGATTTGAAATCATCACGCACTCCAAGGAACATTCTCACAAATGGCCCCTGGGAAAGTTTGTGTGGTCAGGTGGTTAGATGGCCCTAGGAGGCAGGAAGTCACAGAAAGGGTGTACCCCTGAGGGATGGGGAATGTTCTGTGACTCTTCCAACACTGAGTGTCTCCTTACACCTATAAAACTAAAGCTAGGGCAAAATCAGCAGTCCACGTAAAACAAATGGGAGAGCCTCAGCTATAGAATGTCTTCTTACCCAACGGCCCCAAAGCGTAAGAGAAAATCCCACTATCCCATATAAGATGTCTCTACAAAGTGCTTAGCACAAGGTCAGGAATCCTCAGTAAATTTAACCTAAATTTATAATGTTATTGGTTATCTTATTAACAACAACAATAATATTCATAGCTGCCAATGAAGCAGGTGTTCCCTCCAGAGATTAAAAACTCAGTTACCGTCTAAGCAAACCCATTGAGTTCGCTAATGAACCACTTTCTGGAAATCATAGCTATTCAAAATATTCTTTCAAAGTCCAGTATCCCCCATGTGCAAACACTTGCAGTGTCTGCCCCTTCTTCCCCTCCCATTTCTAACCCAGCAATCAGGGATATGGGTGATCAGTTACTGATGCTAGGACCCAATGTCCTCATTCCAACTAAAATACAACACACTACCTTCACCCAGCTTGCTTTTCTCTGTCGCCACAATTTTTCTCTCCTTTACTTCTCCACTATATGAAGAAATGGTAGGATTGTTGTGGCCTCTTCTGGTTTTACCATTCTCAGCTTCTACACCCTTTTCTTCACATTGCTTTGTTTCCAAGGGCTCCATGACTCCGTTTTACTGGTCAGGGAAGATAATTTGAACGTTTGAGCTCCTGGGTGATGTGGGGACAAAACTGGCCTCTCATTCATTTTTGGCCATGACCCAACAGAATGCCTTCCCCACACTGTCTCCTCCATGTCTCTGTCTCGGCCACCTCCCAGGTCAAGCTCATCTTTATCCTAGTTTATGACCACAGGCTCCTAACAGACATCCTGCCTTCTAGGCCTCCTCCCACCAACCAGCCTTCCCAATGCTACCCAAGGGATTTCTCTCCAAGGCAGGACATAGATTTCATTCTTCCCTAATGAGAAGCTTTCAGTGGCTTTAACTTTCTGTTAGTAAAATTCAAGCTCTTTGGGGTTACCTTTAAAAAGGCCTCCATAACGTGACGCCAGTGGGGCTCTCTCTTCTCCCCTCTCGCCAAATCCTCACAAATCCTATATACCAGCCCCATAGGACAACTCCTCTCCTATTGTGCCCTGCACCTTCAACACTCCACCATTTCCCTGCATGCCTCTGCCACCCGATGCCTCCCAACTCTGGCTAGTCTTCGAAGCACCCTGCAAGATATGCCTCAAATACTGTGCATTCCACATAGTGAAATTTTTTTAATTTTAATAGTTTTGGGAGTACAGGTGGTTTCTGGTTACATGGATAAGTTCTTCAGTGTTGATTGCTGAGATTTTGGTGCAGCCATCACCCAAACAGTATACACTGTACCCCATATGTAGTCTTTTATCCCTTACCCCCTTCCCAACCTTTCCCCCTGAGTCCCCAGAATCCATTATATCACTCTTATGCCTTTGCATCCTCATAGCCTAGTGCCCACTTATAAGTGAGAACATACAATATTTGGTTTTCCATTCCTGAGTTACTTCACCTAGAATAATGGCCTCCAGCTCCATCCAAGTTGCGCAACAGACATGATTTCATTCCTTTTTGTGGCTGTTCCAAGGCAAATATATGCCACATTTTCTTTATCTACTCATTGGCTAATGTGCACACAAAGTGAAGTTTAATATCCAGATAAAAGTGATCACTTGCTCAGCGCTCTCAACCACTTTGCTTACATGACACATATTAAGGGGGACTCCTTAAACTATGTTGGGACATCATGTAGTGGGCCCTAAAGTGAATCAAATTAACATCTGATATGATCCAAGCAAAGATCTTGGTGTGGGACCGAATCAACAAGTCAAAGGAATGTCTTTAATGGGGATGCTGCCTGTATTCATCTGTTTTGACGCTGCTGATAAAGACATATCCAAGATTCAGTAATTATTTTATTTTATTGTATTTCATTTTATTTTATTTTTTTGAGACAGAGTTTCACTCTTGTTGCCCAGGCTGGAGCGCAATGGCACAATCTCGGCTCACTGCAACCTCTGCCTCCTGGGTTCAAGCAATTCTCCTGCCTCAGCCTCCCAAGTAGCTGGGACTACAGGCATGCGCCACCACGTCTGGCTAATTTTTTGTATTTAGTAGAGATGTGGTTTCACTATGTTTGTCAGGCTAGTCTTGAACTCCTGACCTCAGGTGATCTGCCCACCTTGGCCTCCCAAAGTGCTGGGATTACAGTTGTGAGCCACTGTGCCTGGCCAACTGAGTAATTTATAAACAAAAAGAGATTTAAATGGACTCATAGTTCCACATGGCTGGGGAGGCCTCACAGTCACAGCAGAAGGCAAAAGGCACGCCTTACATGGTGGCAGGCAAAAGGAAAAAATGAGAATCAAGCAAAAGGGGAAATCCCTTATAAAAACATCAGATCTCATGAGACTTACTACCATGAGAACAGTACGGGGGAAACCACCCCCATGATTCAATTATCTCCCACTGGGTCCCTCCCACAATACGTGAGAATTATGGGAGCTACAATTCAAGATGAGATTTGGGTGGGGACACAGCCAAACTATATCAGTGTCCTAACAAGCAAAAAGCAAGCACTTGCCATCAGGGACAGAAGAGAACAGATGTACACCTGCAGGTCAATTCCTGCCACACTCTACCTGTGCAGTCAGGGACATGGAGGTTTTCAACAGGATGACCAGGGACAGTCTCGCTGAAAAAGAAACATGACAGAACCCACACCTGAAGGGGGTACATTATGTAACTACCTGGGGAAGAGTGCTCCAGGTAGAGAGACACAGGACAAGAGGCTTGAGGCTGGCACTTGCCATATGAATGAGCAACAGCTGAGTGGAGAGAGAGAGAAATTGAAGATGGGAAGGGGCAGCTCAAGTCAGCCAGGAACCACTGTGAGCCCTTCAGTTTTTATTTCGGGGCAATTGGAAAGGCCCAAAAGGTACTGAGCAGAGTGACACTATCTGACTTTTAAAAAGGTGCCCTCTAGGCCAGGTGCGGTGGCTCATACCTGTAATCCCAGCACTTTGGCAGATCACTTGAGGTCAGGAGTTTGAGACCAGCCTGGCCAACATGGCGAAACCCCATCTCTACTGAAAGTACAAAAATTAGCAGGGCGTGGTGGCACACGCCTGTAATCCCAGCTACTCGGGAGGCTGAGACAGGAGAATCACTTGAACCCGGCAGGCGGAAGTTGAGGTGAGCCGAGATCACGCCACTGCACTCCAGCCTGGGCGACAGAGCGAGACTCTGTCTCAAAAAAAAAAAAAAAAAAAAAAAAAAAGTTGCCCTCTGGCTACTGTTTAGACACAGGGTGGTGGGAAGGCAAGAGAAAAAGCAGCATCCAAATGCAAATTAAACAGCTGCTGTTTTCAGGCAGGGACTGAAAACACCAGCTACCAACTTGGATTTAAGAAAATGGCCAAGGGTGTCCACTCTCCCCTACCCCGGTGGCTGCAGATACAAAGACCTGCAGCATCCTGGCGAGGGATGAAAGGAGAGCTCTCTGTAGTTTTTCAGGCCAACTCCACAGAAGCTATTAGAAAGGTTAGCAGTAAGTGCAGCCCAGCTTTAAACACAGGAGTTAGAGGGGTCACCTCAAATGAAAAGGAGACTGAGAGACAACCTTCTCTTGGGAGCTCCCCTGGAAACAGAGGAAAACACACCGCCAGAGAAGAAAGTCGCCCTGAAAATACCAGCGACACTGGACTTTGCACAGAATCAGCTTCAGAGAGAGGCCTTTTGCTGCAAGCAGGGTGGCGAGGCCTCTTAGAACTACCGTTTCTTTTACTGCAGTTGAAGGAAAGAAAAAGGAGTCAAGGTCACACACTCAGGTGGCTTTGAAGCCCAGCCCCCACCGAGCGGTCTAGCCCAGTAATCCTAGGTTGAAGATGTGTGCAAATTACTCTTCTCTGCACCTCCCATGGTCTCCACGAGATCTGCCGGGCACACCAGGGCTGGCCAGTGACCCTCCTGAAGGAGCTTCAGCTCTGGAATCAACTCAGCCTGAGACCCTGGTAACTAAACTCCTCCAACCTCCTCGCTTCTCCTCCAAAAATCGGTATTCAGTGAGATTCACGTATGAAGAGCACTCAGCACAAGGATGGTACTCAGCAAAGGGGAGTTATTATTGGGATCATTATTGCTAATTCTCTTCAGCTGCACATGAATGCGTGAGAAATTCATGTTAAGTAAAGTAAAATAATGGAAACATTCACTGGTACCATAAGCAATAGATGCATCATCATTAAACAATAGAGTGATAAAAACAGGACAGTGACGCACCTTGTAGAGCGATGTGTCATCTAAAACATCTATTCAAGGAACAGAAGACTCACCTTCAGTTAAATGCCATCCTCCCCAAGATCTTGATCCTTCGGAGATACAAAATCTTCAGCAACACTTACAAGTGAGCTGTTAATACTAGTATGTCCAGACGCTGATGACAGCATTTAAAACCCTCTTTCTGGACACTAATTCAGCAATAATATGCATTAGATGCGTTTAACAGTTTAAACTCTTTTTCCAGTAAATCTGTGTTTAAAATTTTTAATCTAAGGATGGAATAAAAGATACAAAGATTTACACACAAAGAAGTTAATACACCCCACAAGTAGAAAAACAAAAGTGGAAAACAAAATGATGAGCAAAAAGAAGCAATTAAATAAACTACATAACATCCTAGACTGAGCGTGGTGGCTTACACCTGTAATCCCAGCACTTTGGGAGGTCAAGGCGGGTGGATCACCTGAGGTCAGGAGTTCAAGACCAGCCTAGCCAACATGGTGAAACCCCGTCTCTACTAAAAATACAAAAATTATCCAAGCGTGGTGGCGCGTCTGTGGTCCCAGCTACTTGGGAGGCTGAGGCAGGAGAATCGCTTGAACCCGAGAGGTGGAGGCTGCAGCGAGCCAAGATCGTGCTATTGCACTCCAGCCTGGGCAACAAAAGCAAAACTCCGTCTCAAAAACTAAAAATAAAAAATAAATAAACTATATAACATCCTTATAAGAAACTTCTCTGCAATTTTTGAAAAAGCGACTTTAGGAAAAATATCTGTCAGGAGAACCTGAGCTACCTGAGAACCTAGCAAATGGGCAAGGTTGGATGAGATGCAATTTCCTGACTTTGCCACATAATAATAATGATATGTCATGGTATAGAAAACAAGCCTTGAAAGGGACAAAACAGCTCATAGCCCAGGACAGCCACATCAGCCTCCATGTCTGTAAAAAATACCCATGCACCAGAGCCTTCTCCTCTTCTGTTGCATCTCCTCTGGACATCAGTGAACACAAGCTCCACAGAAATTCCAGGAACTAATAGAAAGAACCAGTTGACCTTTCCAGGGAGGCTTACTTAAGGGAAATTTGTGAAAAACTTTTCCAGTATCCCAGACCCTAAAGAGTCTAAAGGTGAGTACATGCAATAAAGCCTCGAAGCAAAGCATATCAGATTGTCCAAAATGATGCAACCATTTAGAATTCATTGAATTGACCACCTGACTTGTTTTACTGTGGTCTACATCACTGTTAGTGTTGGATGTGGTTTTAACCAAGTGTGTATTTTCCAAACTTTGTCCAGCAGAGTAGAATTGCTTTCAGAACTCAAACTTCTATCTAGGGGGTCAAATAGGGTCTCCCTCAAAATAGTGGGTCAAATAGGGTCTCCCCAAAAAATTCACATCCACTCAGAACTTCAGAATGTGACGTTGCTTGGAAATAGGGTCTTTGCAGGTGTAATTAAGATGAAGTCGGCCAGGTGCGGTGACTCACGTCTGTAATCCCAGCACTTTGGGAGGCCAAGGTGGGTGGACCACCTGAGGTCAGGAGTTCGAGACCAGCCTGGCCAACATGGTGAAGCCCCGTCTCTACTAAAAATACAAAAATTAGCCGGGTATGGTGGCGGGTGCCTGTAATCCCAGCTACTTCGGAGGCTGAGGCAGGGGAATCGCTTGAACCTGGGAGGTAGAGGTTGCAGTGAGTGCAGTGAGCCGAGATCATGCCACTACACTCCAGCCTGGGCAACAGAGTGAGACTTCCTCTTAAAAAAAAAAAAGAAAAGAAAAGAAAAAAAAAGATGAGGTCATACTGAATTAGAATGGCCCCTAAATCCAATGACTAGTGGCCTTTAAAGAAGAGAGGACATACAGAGAAGGCCAAGTGAAGAGGGAGGCAGTGACTGGACGTTGCAGCTACAAGCCAAGAAATGCTAAAGATTGCTAGGAGCCACCAGAAGAAGAGTCGGGAAGAATTCCTCCATAGAGCAGGGGTCCCTAACCCTCGGGCTGCTGACCGATACCAGTCTATGGCCTGTTAGGAGCTGGGCCACACAGCAGGAGGTGGGCAGTGGGCAAGCGGGTGAGCATTACCACCTGAGCTCCGCCTCCTGTCAGATCAGCGGTGACATCAGATTCTCATAGGAGCATGAACCCTGTTGTGAACGGCGCACGCGAGGGATCTAGGTTGCGCACTCCTTATGAGAATCGAATGCCGATGATCTGAGATGGAACAGTTTCATTCTGAAACCTTGGGTCCGTGGGAAAAACTGTCTTCCATGAAACTTGTCC
Organism: Homo sapiens; assembly: GCF_000001405.40. NCBI lineage: Eukaryota > Metazoa > Chordata > Mammalia > Primates > Hominidae > Homo > Homo sapiens. Next base: position 31,421,654 of record NC_000021.9, read on the forward strand.
CTGGTGATAAAAAGCTTGGGGAACACTGCCCCAGAGCATTCAGAAGGAGCATGCCAGCCGGCTGCAGTGGCCACGCCTATAATCCCAACGTTGTGGAAGGCCATGGCAGGAGGACGGCTTGAGGCCAGACTTTTAAGACTAGCCTGAGCAACACAGTGAGACCCTATCTCTACAAAAGAAAAAAAAATTAGTCAGGCATGGTAGTGCACGCCAGTACTCCTAGCTACTCGCGAGGCTGAAGCAGGAGGATCTCTTGAGCCCAGGAGGTCGAGACTGCAGTGAGTTATAATCACACCACTGCACTCCAGTCGAGTTGCTGCAGGTAAACAAGAGTTCCATAGGCCTAGATAGGTGACAGAATGACCCTGTCTCTAAAAAAAACAAAAAACAACAACAAAAAAAGGTAGCATGCCTTGCCAACACCTTGACTTCAGGCTTCTGGCTTCCAGAGAACTGCGAGAGAATATATTCCTGTTTTCGTAAGCCACCAAGTTGGTGGCAATATGTGATGGCAGCCCTAGAAAACTAATACAACCTACATACAAAAGTCTCAAAGTAAAGACAAGAAAATCACACAAAAGAGGGATTATTGAGAGGAGAGAATATTAAGAACACATGTTACTTTACAGCTCCGTCTCAGGATACGTATCAAGGATGGAAGATACTCCTGAAGAAATGCTGAAAGCTAAAATTAAGATTTTATAAGCAGTTTTCTTGTTCCTCTGAGCAGTGGTTCCGAAGCATTGGTGTGCATAAGCGTTACGTGGCAAGAGCATTAGAGTGCAGACTCCCAAGCCCCCACCCAAGATCCTGATGCAACAGATGGTATTTTTAACAAGGAACCCTAGATTCCAGTGACACTGGCCTCCTGATCACATTTACGAGAAGTCTGTTGGGAGCTGAACATACATATAACAAAAACATCCTCTGGGGATGTTCATCAAACTCCCTATCCAGCAACCCAAAACCAGATGACCCCTTGATGCCTGCGCTCACACCATCCACGACTGCCACCAGCAATGTCCTGTGCCTCCACCTGCACTCCACCTTTGCACCAATGAGCACCTCTCATGAACACATTGAGTATCTTTGTACCTTTGCTCATGATCTCTACTCAGGGGTTCCTCTCCCTGCCATGGACATATTGGCTTTCTAAAGAAAGTTTGTTCACCTTCCAAAATCCCAATTAAGCATCATTGCTCCGTAAAGATTCCCTAGCATGCTTAAGGGAGAATCATCCATTGCTCCTGCAGCACACTGGACCAGCCTGCAGCATAGACAGCTGTCTGCCCCATGACATGGGGCGCTCCCTACAGGCCCAGTCTCTCTCTCTCTTTACTGTATCACTGTATCACTGTCACACAGAGTCACTTAAAAGTCACTTAATACACACTGATTGAGGGGGTTCCTGATAAGAGAACTGTGAACAGCACTATCTTTTTTTTTTTTTTTTTTTTTTTTTTGAGACGGAGTCTGGCTCTGTCACCCAGGCTGGAGTGCAGTGGCATGATCTCCGCTCACTGCAAGCTCCGCCTCCCGGGTTCACGCCATTCTCCTGCCTCAGTCTCCCGAGTAGCTGGGACTACAGGCGCCCGCCACCACACCTGGCTAATTTTTTGTATTTTTAGTAGAGACAGGGTTTCACCATGTTAGCCAGGATAGTCTCGATCTCCTGACCTCATGATCCCCTCGCCTCGGCCTCCCAAAGCGCTGGGATTACAGGCGTGAGCCACCGCGCCCAGCCTGGCACTATCTTGAAGATGTGAAATAAAAGTCAAGAGTAGCCTACCCTCGCTGTCCCTGCCCCATCATTATACACATTCAGAGAATCCACAGTTTCTCCATTATAGAAACTAGCACACTTGTGATTAATATCAGCATACTAATTCACTTAATGTCCATCTTCCCCACAAGCCTGTGAGCTCTCTGCAGCCAGGGGCTGTGTCTGCTATTTACTGCTGTACCTCTAGGCCCTAGCCCTATAACGAACTCATGGTGATAAATGAATCCTTCACATGTGAGATCATTTGGCATCCTAGAAAGTTGTAAAAAAAAAAAAAAAAAAAAAAAAAAAAACCTTGAAAACATTATGCTACGTGAAAGAAGCCAGTCACAAAAGACCACACATTTTATGATCCCATTTATATGAAACGTCCGGAATAGGCAAGGCCACAGAGAAAGAAAGTAAATTAATGATTATCGGGGGGGGCGGGGGGGGGGTCAAGGGAGTTGGGGAGAAATAGGGAATGATTTGGGGCATGATGAGAGTGTTCTGAAGTTGATTGTAGTGATGATTGCACAACACTGAGAATATACTAAAAAACCACTGAATTATACACTTTACGTGCATGAATTGCACGGTGTGTGAATTATATCTCAATAAAGCTGTTAAAGTTATAGAAGTTCTGCTGTTACAGATACTTGAAAATTAAGTTTGCTCAGAAAAGGAAAATGGTCTAATTGGGAGAAACCATGGAAATCTTTTAGAAGACGCATGGTCTTCTTTCTTTTTCATTTTTAATAGATGCAGATTCGGTTTTATTTAGTATCCTGTAACTAGAGCTTAAATGCTTGTGAACATCTGGTCTGAGCTGCTCATTTCTAAAGAAATAAAAACTGAGACTCAGAAGTTCAGTGATTTGTCTACGATCTCACAGCCAGTGTGAGGAAGCTTAAGATTCAAACTCAATCACAGCTATTCACAGAAGAAAAAGGGTGGATTTGTGGATGCCATCCAAGTACCCACCAACAGGTGTGTGGATAAACGAAATGCGGTGTAGACGTTCCATGGAATATTATTCAGCCTTAAAAGGAAAAATATTCTGACACATGCTACAATATGGATGAACCTTGAAGACATTATGCTAACTGAAATAAACCAGTTGCAAAAAGAGAAATCCTGTGTGCTTCCACTTATATGAGGTACCTAGAGTACCAAATTCATAGAGAAGGAAGGAAAATGGTGGTTGCCAGGGGCTGGGGGAGCAGAGGGAGAATGTGGAGTGATTATTTATTAAACACAGAGTTTCCGTTTCGCAAGATGAAAAGAGTTCTGGAGACTGCACAGGAATGTAAATTAACTGTACTGAACTGTACACATCAAAAGTGCTAAGATGGGCTGGCGCAGTGGCTCACGCCTATAATCCCAGCACTTTTGGAGGCCAAGGCAGGCGGATCACTTGAGGTCAGGAGTTCGAGACCAGCCTGACCAATATGGTAAAATCCTGTCTCCACTTAAAAAATACAAAAATGAGCTGGGTGTGGTGGTGCAGGCCTGTAATCCCAGCTACTACAGAGGCTGAGGCAGGAGAATCGCTTGAACTGGGGAGGCAGAGGTTGCAGTGAGCCAAGATCATACCACTGCACTCCAGTCCAGGCAACAGAGCAGGACTCCGTCTCAAACAAAAAAAAAAAAAGAAAACAAAACAAAATAGCTAAGATGGTGAATTTTATATTATTTTACCGTAATTAAAAATAAACAATTTTTTTAAATCCAAAGTCAAGTCTCCTAACTCTCATCCTGAACTCTCTTCCACGGTGGCCCTTCCCGGACCCAGTGGAATGCACAGATGGAAAGGAAAGCAGGCTGCTTGCTCAGACTTCACAACGGAGAAATCAGAGAGGCCCAAGTCACTGCTTCCAAGGAATTTCGAGAATTTTAACAAATCTCAGCAGGAGCAATCAGTACACAGATCAATAAAATGGAGGCCACTCCACAGGTCTGAGTCTTCCCAAAACGCAGCCCTGCCAAGAGGTAAATGGATGGCAGCAAAAGATAATCTGGTATTGAGTGCCAAGCAGGTTAGACAGCTTCTCAGACTTAAATGAGTTTAAGTCAACTAGGGATCTTGAGATTCTGTGATTCTGGTTTAGTTGGTCTGCAATTACGCATTTCTAACAAACTCCTACATGATGCTGGTCCAGGGACTGCTTTTTTTTTTTTTTTACATTTTTATTTCAATTCCCTCCCTCCCTCCCTCCCTCCCTCTCTCCCTCTTTCTTTCTTTCTCTCTCTCTTTCTTTCTCTCTCTCTCTTTCTTTCTCTCTCTCTCTTCCTTTTTGAGACAGAGTCTCGCTCTGTCGCCCAGGCTGGGTTGCAATGGCGAGATCTCAGCTCATTGCAACCTCCGCCTCGCAGGTTCAAGCAATTCTCCTGCCTCATCTTCCCGAGTAGCTGGGATTACAAGCACATGCCACCACACCCACCTAATTTTTTGTACTTTTAATAGAGATAGGGTTTTGCTAATTTTTGTATTTTTAGTAGAGATGAGGTCTCGTCATGTTGGCCAGGCTGGTCTCAAACTCCTGACCTCAGGTGATCCACCTGCCTGGGCTTCCCAAAGTGCTGGGATTACAGGCGTAAACCACCGCGCCCAGACCATTTTAATAGTTTTTGGGGATCAGGCGGTTTTTGGTTACATGGATAAGTCCTTTAGTGGTGATTTCTGAGATTTTGGTGCACCCATCACCCAAGCAGTGTACACTGTACCCAGTATGTGGTCTTTTATCCCTCACCCACCTCCCACCCTTCCTCCTGAGTCCCCAAAGTCCATTGTATCACTCTTATGTCTTTGCATAAGGGCCCGCTTTTTAACACTTTGAGTAGCTGGCGTAGCAATGAAACTACATCACATTCCTTACCCCAAATGAGAAGCCACCTTCTCAGACTTGGGGCTCCATGGGATCATTCTATTTTCAGTAGATCTAAGCACACGATGACAAGCCAACACATTTCAGCTCACTTTAGGTTGAGTTAGAAAACATACATATTTCACTTCCACGGTTTGTGAAAATGAAATCTTCATTATGTTAAAATCAGGCCAGTGGATTGGTTGCTTGATTGCAGGGGAAGGAAAGAAACCAACTGTGGTCTGTTTCTAAAGGAAATATAAAATAGGACTTAAAACTCAGAAGTCAGTGGAATGTGGTCTAATAACTGATTCAGAAACTCACTCAGGTCCCTTGGTAAGCCACAATGTCAGGAGCTACAACTGAAAGAGAGCCCAAACATTCCACTTTGCAGAGAGTCATAGCACGGTTTTTTTCAACTTTGGTTTTCATGAAGTCTGGGGTTTCATGCCAGTTCTTAGTGAAAATTAACTTGAAAGAAAAGTCATCAGAACAGCAAGAAAAAGCAATTTGTAAGGCCCAGAGCCTCATCAACCAACAAGACAGATGCTATAAAGACAAGCACTTGAGGGAAATTAGAATATTTAATAACATGCTATGTTTTTGAGGGGCTTGGGGTGGGTGTTTTTAGTTTTTATTTTTATTTTATTATTACTTTTTTATACATAGTGTTTGTTGCCCAGGCTGAAGTGCAGTGGCACAATCATATCTCATTGCAGCCTCCAACTCCTGGGCTCAAGCAATCCTCCCACCTCAGCCTCCTGAGTAGCTAAGACTACAGGTGTGTGCCACCATGCCTGGCTCATGTCTTATTTTCTGTAATGACAAGATCTCGCAATATTGCCCAGGTTGGACAAATTCCTGGCCTCAAGCAATCCTCCCGCCTTGGCAATATACTATGTCTTTAAGATTAAAGGTCATCGACCGGGCACAGTGGCTCACACCTGTAATCCCAGCACTTTGGGAGGCCAAGGTGGGCGGATCACGAGGTCAGGGGATCGAGACCATCCTGGCTAATATGGTGAAACCCTGTCTCTACTAAAATATGCAAAAAATTGGCCGGGCGTGGTGGTGGGCGCCTGTAGTCCCAGCTACTCGGGAGGCTGAGGCAGGAGAATGGCGTGAACCTGGAAGGCGGGGGTTGCAGTGAGCCGAGATTATGCCACTGCACTCCAGCCTGGGGGACAGAGCGAGACTCTGTCTCAAAAAAATAATAATAAATTAAAATAAATTTTAAAAAAGATTAAAGATCACCAATTAAAATTAAAAACATGGAGCCAGACGCAGTGGCTAATGCCTATAAGCCCAGTATTTTAGGAGGCCGAGGTCAGGAGTTCAAGACCAGACTGGGCATCATAACGAGACCTCATATCTATGAAAAATTTTTTTTAAAAAATTAAAAATAGCTAGGTGTGGTGGTGTGCACCTATAGTCCCAGCTACTCAGGAGGCTGAGGCGGGAGGATTGCTTGAGCCCAGGAGATTGAGGCTGCAGTGAGCTGTGATCACACCAGTGCACTCCAGCCTGGACAACAGAGCAATACCCCGTCTCAAAAACAATAAATAAATTTAAATACATTAAATTAAAAGCAGTCTTCTTGTAGAAAGGGAACGAAAAACTTTTTAAAAAGAGAAAGCAAATAATCAATTCCTTGCAACCAAAAACCATCCCAAAAATCCTCTATAGAAACTGAACGCGGCCAGGCGCAGTGGCTCATGCCTGTAATCCCAGCACTTTGGGAGGCCGAAGCGGGTGGATCACCTGAGGTAAGAAGTTCGATACCAGCCTGATCAACATGGTGAAACCCTGTCTCTACTAAAAATACAAAATTAGCCAGGCCTAGTGGCCTGTAATTTCAGCTACTTGGGAGGCTGAGGCAGCAGAATCGCTTGAACCCAGGAGGCAGAGGTTGCAGTGAGCCGAGATCACACCATTGCACTCTAGCCTGGGTAACAGGAGTGAAATCCCATCTCAACAAAAAAAAGAAAGAAAGAAACTGAATGTGGCAAACTAACTCTGCACCAAATAAGCTTCTAATTTCCACTGCACTTGTTAATACCCCTTCCTATATATGTGTCAGCTAATTTACCTTCTGGTTTTATTGTTATTATGATTAGTAAGTCCCCAGGACAGGAGAGGGTGGTATACCTATTACTCATGATATACATTAAGCGATTCTCTCGAGGTTCAAAGCCACTAATGTTTACTTGTTGCAAAGTCAATTTAATTAAATATATATACACAAAATACACACAACTCTTCCCTTTAAAGGCTGGAAATAAACAATTCAAATGGAAACCTCAAGATGTAAAAGGAGAGACCTGGCACAGTGGCTCATGCCTGTAATTCCAGCACTTTGGGAGGTCGAGGCAGGCAAATGGCTTGAGGCCAGGAGTTCGAGACCAGCCTGGGAAACATGGCAAAACCCCACCTCTACAAAAAATACAAAAATTAGCCAGGCATAATGGCACATGCCTGTAGTCTCAGCTACTGGGGAGGCTGAGGTGGGAGGCCTTCTTGAGCCCAGGAGGCCAAGGCTGCAGTGAGCTGAGATCACGCCACTGTACTCCAGCCTGGGTGACAGAGCCAGACCCTGTCTCAAAAAAAAAAAAAAGTAAAAGTAAAGCAGATACAGTGCTCAGCACTATCCAAGGTGAGGTAAGATAACATGCTTCATATCCTACTCTGGTGGCAGAATTGATACAACCTAACTTTGTTTGTTTGTTTGTTTGTTTAAGGCAGGGTCTCACTCTGTCCCCCAGGCTGGAGTGCAGTGGTGCGATCATGCCTCACTGCAACCTCTGCCTCCTGGGCTCACACCATCCTCCCACCTCAGCCTCCCCAGTTGCTGGGACCACAGGTGTGCACATGACCAGGCCCAGCTGGGTTTTGTATTTTTTGTAGAGACAGGGTTTCATTATGTTGCCGAGCCTGGTCTCGAACTCCTGGGCTCAAGTGATCCGCCTGCCTTGGCCTCCCGAAGTGTTGGGATTGCATGGGATTGCAGACGTAAGCCACAGCACTGGCCAACCTACCTTTGTGGAAAGTAAATTGGCAACATCTAAAGACTCAAAAATATTCAGACCCTTTGACCCATTAATTCTTTTTCTGAGGATCTGTCCCAAGGAAATGATCCAAGATTTAGAAAACGTTGCACATGGAAAAAAAAGACATCCACTGCAGTATTTCCTAAGAAGAGAATAAAAATTGGAAATACACCCCGGGGAGGCGGAGGGGTGTGCCCTGCCACTGTAGCTAAGTGGGACCTCATTTCCCAGAATTCCCTCTCCTGGACGGCAGGGAGTGAGTGGCAGCCATGGGGGAGTTTGCACAGTATGTGAAGGCAGGAGGGGAGAAGCAGGTCAAGCAGAGTTAGGCGTGGGCGCACCACCTGTGGCTGCAGCCTCCCACAGTCCCTTGGGCTCCTGGGTCAGGCACTGTGCAGTCCAACAGCCAGGGCGTGGAGTCTTCTGTGCACCGCTCCCAGTCATCCAGATGGGAAGTGGAAGAAACAGACATGGGCTCCACCGCGAACTGGCTCCGCTACTCCACATGTTACTTTTCTTCTGGACTCCTGGCCCAGCCAGAGGCAGAGACAACAGTCTTCCACAGACTTCTTTCAGCTCCCAAAGTTGCACAGGGGGAGCCGGGAGTGGTGGCACACGCCTGTCCTAGCACTTTGGGAGGCCTAGGCAGGTGGATCACTTGAGGTCAGGAGTTCAAGACCAGCCTGGCCAACATGGTGAAACCCCGTCTCTACTAAAAATACAAAAAATTAGCCAGGCGTGTTGGCGGGTACCTGTAATCCGGCTACTCCGGAGGCTGAGGCAGGAGAATCGCTTGAACCCGGGAGATGGAGGTTGCAGTGAGCCGAGGTCGCGCCATTGCACTCCAGCCTGGGCAACAAGAGCGAAACTCCATCTCAAAGAAAAAAAAAAAAAAAATATATATATATATATATATATACACACACACACACACACACACACACATATATATATATATTGCACAGTGGGGAATCCCCATGATAAATCCCTCTGCCATGCGCCTCACCGAACCCAAACTGATAATTACCATACATGCAAACAAGAGCTAAGTAAACCCCAGTGCAGCACCCATGGAATAGGAAACACTTGTTAAATGAATATTTACAAATGATTTAAGGCCACCTGCAACACAACCATTTTTACCACTAAATGGGAAAAACATCAAGCTAGCGTTTATACTTATGTATTATGTATAATAAACAAAGACCAGACAAAGGGGGAAAAAAGATGAAATCAAAGTATACCTGCAAAATAAAAATAGTTTCAGTCTAGGCTGAACTGAGTTAGCTTTTGATTCTTCCGTTCTTAAAGTTTTCTGTAGATTTTCTGCATGGATTTGTTTTAGAATTAAAATTCTCTGAAGATTTTGTATGAATTTCTAAGAATTAGGTTCTAAATTCTTTATTGTTTTCTTCATTTAAATTCCTTATTGTTCTGTATCTTTTCCTCCACTCTCACCTTAGATTTTGAGTCTATCATAAAGTAATTTTTCTAATTTAAAAAAGCCTCTATTTTTTGTATATATGTAACAGAATTGCAAATATGATTACTTCATTTCACTGCTAAAAACATCTTTGGTTGTTTTCCAGAAGAAAAGCCAAACTTCTTGGCATGATCTGGCCACTGATCTTGCCAGCTTAGCTCATCTTATAACCCTGACTTAAGAATATGTAATAGTAATAATAAGAACATAATGACAATAATAATAATTCTCATCCCCAGAGGTGACCAGGCCCTTTGATTGTTCTGTACTTCTGCATGTATGGGTCTCCTGGCTTGAAAATGCTTTCCTTCTCCCCCTTATCCACTGGAAGAACAACCACTCATCATCTAAGACTTAACTTGAACTTGGCTCATCTGAAGACCTACCTAATTCTGCACCGCCTTCAACTTCACCTCCCAAACTACTCTGAGATGCACTCCACGTATGTTCAGTAGCTCTTACCAGACTGTACTGAATGTGTCCATCTCTCCAGCTGTAGGGCTTGTTAAACCTCTAGTTGTTGGGCTATACCCCTAGAATTTCTGATTCAGTAGATTGGGGGTGGATGGGGGTGGGCAAGAATGTGCATTTCTAGCAAGTTCCCAGATGATGCTGATGTTGCTGGTCTGGGAACCACAGTGGGAGAACCACTGAGCTAGACTCTGAGACTCTTGAAGGTGGGGACTTTTATTCAATGTTGCATCCTAAGGCCCAAGAACAGTACCTGACACTTACTGCAAGATTGGTCAGAAATCATTTTATTTATTTTACTTTTTAAAATACAGTCATATATAGTCACACATCACTTAACAACAGATACATGTTCTGAGAAATGCCGTTAGGCAATTACGTCACTTTACGAACACTAGAGAGTGTACTTAGACAAACCCAGATGGTACAGCCTTTTGCTTGTAGGCCAAAGCCTGTACAGTATGGTACTGTCCTGAATACTGCAGGCAACAGTAATACAATGGTATTCGTGTATCTAAACATATCCCAATAAAGAAAAAAATACAGTCAAAATATGAGATCACCGTCATATATGCAATCTTATGGGACCACCATCATGTATGTGATCCCTTAACCGAAATGCAACATGCACTGCAAAATGACTGTAAACAAAATCCTTTCCCATACACATGGCTGCCATCACTAGAATGCCACATCGCATGCTATGCAGAGTTACATGCCATCTTACAACTAATTCCTTGATCATATCTTTGTGAAATCTGGAAACCTTAATAAATATGGGGTGAACATGTCAAAAATCTAAGATTCCTTTTTTTTTTTTTTTTTTTTTTTTTTTTGAGACGGAGTCTCGCTCTGACACCAGGCTGGAGGGCAGTGGCGTAATCTCAACTCACTGCAACCTCCACCTCCCGGGTTCAAGCGATTCTCCTGCCTCAGCCTCCTGAGTAGCTGGGACTACAGGCACATGCCACCATGCCCAGCTAATTTTTGTATTTTTAGTGGAGACAGGATTTCACTATGTTGGCCAGCATGGTCTCGATCTCCTGACCTCATGATCTGCCCGCCTCAGGCTCCCAAAGTGCTGGGATTACAGGCGTGAGCCACCACGCCCTGCCCTTCCATACTCTTTATTCTGCCACTGCGTTTCTACCTCTATAATGATGACAGGCTGGCAGTACCAAAGCGAGGAGCCAGAGTTGGGTGATCTGGCCTGCTTTCTAAATTACCTTCCTGGTAATAGTGACCATGGCCTTCCCAGACACACTCTCCGGCCAGTTTGTGAAAAAGCCATAGGAATGCAGAGAAGAAAAGCAACTCCACTTGTAAAGACTGGAAAGATGCGGCAACATGCATGAAGTGGGAGGGGAAGGCACAGTAAGAAAGATTTTCCAGGGAAACAGTAGAAACAAACACAGGGGTGTTAAAATAAATGACATGCCCCTGCAGTGTCAGGAAATGTGCCTTGTGGATGAAATAGAATGTGTGATGGGAGACGGGAGCAGAAAATAATTTGGGGCCAGACTGTGGAAGGTCTGAAGTGCCGTATCACAAAGATCAGACTTTAATCTGTATGTGGTCGCTCCCGTCAAAGGGGAGTGGCAATGATCAGAATTACATGTCGGAAAACAACTCTAATGGCTGGATGAATGATAAAAGGGGCATTGGAGGGGACATTCTGTGCATTACAGATAAAGAAATGCCAAATGAAACTGCAAGGGAAACATGTAACAAATTTAAATGTATGTGGGTATGTCTTTATCCAACATTGAAGTAATGGCCTTTTGTGTTCTCTTTTCAGTCTCTCTCATTTCATTTCCAAAACAACATAAGGTAGATAAATAACCAATTGAAGCAATAGGTACTAGAGAAATTGAAAGCCAGAGCTCTTCAGAGCAGGGGAGTCACCCAAGCCTTCCTAGATTTGATCCTAGCCTTTAAAAAGTAAGAAAGACTTCACCAGTATGAATGATGCCATTTATAGTTATTGGTATCATTTAGAGCTATGCAGAAGAGCTAAGTTTGCCTTGCTCTTTACAGCCAAAATCTTCTGAAATGTGCCTTAAACCCAAATTAACATCATTCAGGTGATTAGGTTGAGCAAACTGGGTAGAAGGAGAATGAAAACGAATACATCAGTTATGCCATTTGCAGATACAACCTCTGAAAGTAAATGGAATAATTAGATTTATACTTCAACTGCAATAATGCTTTATGGTCCATTCTTTTAGTTGGAAGCTAGGGCAATGCATACCAAACTCTGGAAACTCAAATCATTCCTTTTAGAACAATTTCTCAGAATATAAGAAGAAAAGGAAGCAAATTAAAAAAAGGATTGATCCCTTGGAGGCTGAGAGATTTTAATTATCCTTTAAGATGAGGGTGGTAATTGACTTATACTCTGAAACATCTTAACTCAGCGCTCATACACAGACACAACTTAATGATCAGATTGTCAGGGAATACGTTATTCCACACATGTGAATTTACCACATAACTGAACCTTAATATTTCTAAATGTCCTTTTTTTTTTTTGAGACGAAGTCTCGCTCTGTCTCCCAGGCTGGAGTGCAGTGGTTTGATCTCGGCTCACTGCAACCTTCACCTCCCAGGCTCCAGCGATCCTCGCACCTCAGCCTCCTGAGTAGCTGGGACCACAGGCATGTACCACCACACCCGGCTAATTTTTGTATTTTTGTTAGAGACAGGGTTTTGCCACGTTGCCCAGGCTGGTCTCAAACTCCTGAGCTCAAGCGATCCACCCACCTCGGCCTCCCAAAGTGCTAGGATTATAGCAACCGTGCCTGGCCTAAATGTCCAAATATTTGTTTAAATGTGTTTAAATCCCTATTTTTAAAGAAAAAAAAAGGCATTGTAAAATATATTGCAGAACTTCTACATCCAGCTAAGATGCAGTAACAAGGACCAGATTTATACTCCCACCTGAAACAATTTAAAAATTGGACAAAATCTATGAAACAATGGTTTTCAGACACTGAACAACAGGTAGCACAGGACACTGATCTCTAACAGACTAAATACCAAACAGATGAGCATTACGATCTGCCCCAGTGTCCCGGCTGCTAGGCCTTAGCACAGGGAGAGGGAACTCGAGCAGAATCTGTGGTGCCCTGGAGTTGAGAAGTTGAAGCTGAAATAGATAACCATGCCACCATTTGAAATGGGCATGCTAAAGCGTTTGCTTCTTGATGGCAAATGGTCACTTGTATACTATGTTATGCTCGAATATTGTGAAGACCATGGTTAAGAGCTGGAAAGATCTCTTCTCAATACTGTTAAACTTTTAAAAATTCAGACATGCTCTTATAATGAATTTTTACTTCCTCACTTCCTAACAGGCCATCACTGCAACTAACCACAACCGTGTTTTAATTGCAGTTATAGTTAATTGCACCTTCCATCTTTTGAGTCCCAAACGCGATAGCTCAGAGTGTGTGGACAGGCTCTAGGTGAGACACACAGTGACCCTCCAGAGTGAAGCACTACTACAAGGACTGTGGTGAGCTCTGTGTTAACAGCTTGGCCGTCCCAGTTCTCTGTAATGTCCCACGGAGACTTTTGCCAACAAGTGACCTCTGGCCTGGCACTCAGTAGGCATGCAATGAATAACCACTGAACTAATTAATTACTTAGTAAACGAATGAAGTATTATGGTTAAAAGTCTCAGGCAGCATGTATCCTCTTTGCTAAATTCATATGCTGTTCATATTTAGATCAGTCTGAACAGACTACGGAGATGTCTTTGGTACTGAGCAGATTCTTGGCTTCCTTCCCTAAGAGTGATCCCCAACATTCTTGCCAAGAACTTCGGGGCCACTGGCCACACCACCCCTTTGCCTGAACTGAACCTGTTTGTAAAAGAACACTGGAACCCACATTGCACACCAGCAGTCTCAGCCTTCATGTCTTTAAAACTAACATCCTGCTTCATTCAAGTTAGTCTTTAAAATGCTCTTCGTCTTCAAGTTTAAGGCAAGAAGATAAAAAGGGTTTACTTTATGCACCCAGGAATTACTCTAAAGATACATGCTTATAGAGTAACTTTAAAGTTACTCTAAAGATACATGCTTATAAGGTCACAAGATGCCTTGTCAATTGTTGTAAACAAGATTTTAATTAATTCCAGGAAATTGATGAATCTAATTTTCATATAAAAAGGCCCAGTGGAATTTGAGCCCTGAATCATTCATACACGTTTGCTGCATGTAGTACTAATGACAATAGTACTAATTTTCATTCACACAGCAACTTATAGATTATGGGATGAAACTAAGTAGGCAGCTCCCATTCACATTACAGAAAGCAAATGAAAAATTGGCCTAGTGTTTCTTGGCCCCACTTTGGTTCATAAACTTCTACACTGCCATCAAGATCTGCCATGGTTTGAATGTGTTCCCCAACATTCAAGGGTTAGAAATTTAATCTCCAATGCAACAATGTTGAGAGGTGGGACCTTTAAGAGGTAACTAGGTCAAGAGGGTTCTGCTCTCATGAATGGATTAATGTCACTGTCTTGGAAGTGGGTTCGTTATAAAAACAAGCTCGGCCCTTTCTTGTTCTCTCTCACTCTCTCTCACCATGTGATGCTTTGCATCAGGGCAGCAAGAAGGCCCTCACCAGATGCAGCCCCTTGATCTTGGACTTCCCAGCCTCCAGAATCATGAGCCAAATAACCTTATATTGTTTATAAATTATGCAGTCTGTGGTATTTTGTTATAGCAGCCCAAAACTAAGACAAGATCCTTCACATATGCCACCTCCTCCATAAAGCCTCATTTTATATCTGTGAAGAAACTTGGCTATTCAACCTCTATTGTCCCATAGAACTTTGTTCTCATCCCTACAGCAACACTTACTGCACTATGGTGGGATCTATCTATTCATTTATCAGCCTCCACTATAGACTGCAGGCTCCCCCAAGGACAAGCACCACGTAATATACACGTCATTCAATCACCAGTGTCCACCACTGCCTCTGGCACATGGCAGCCACTTAATAAGCAAAGGACTCTTGTTCCCAAAAGATAAATTCATTTATCTAAAGTATACGCCAGAGCCAGGTGCGGTGGCTCATGCCTGTAATCTCAGCACTTTGGGAGACTAAGGCAGGCAGTCAGCAGTTTGAGACCAACCTGGCCAATATGGTGAAACCCCATCTCAACTAAAAATGCAAAAATTAGCCAGGCATGGTTACGCATGCCTGTAATCCCAGCTACTCAGGAGACTGAGGCACAAGAATCACTTGAACCTGGGAGGTAGAGGTTGCAGTGAGCTGAGATGGAGATCACACCACTGCACTCCACCCTGGGTGACAGAGCGAGACTCGGTCTCAAATAAAAATAAATAAATTAATTAATTAATTTAAAAAAATATAGGCCAGGAGCAGTGGCTCACACCTGTAATTCCAGCACTTTGGGAGGCCAATGCAGGCAGATCGTCTGAGGTTAGGAGTTTGAGACCAGCCTAGCCAACATGGTGAAACCCCATCTTTACTAAAAATACAAAAATTTGCTGGGTGTGGTGGTGCATGCCTGTGATCCCAGCTACTCAGGAGGCTGACACAGGAGAATCGCTTGCACCCAGGAGGTGGAGGTTGCACTGAGCTGAGATCACTCCACTGTACTCCAGCCTGGGTGACACAGTGAGATTCCATCTCAACAATAAAAATAAAAATAAAAAACGATACAATATAAAACCTTCGCCACTGTAGCAAACTCTGAAATATTTACATTTTTCTTATCTCAAAAGTAATGTCTTTGTAAAAGAAAAAATTTGGTAAAATATCACATTATGGAGAAAATAGTTCTCCACTGTTCAAACTATAGGTTTCCGGTCTATTTTTAATGTAAATATATCAAAGTTAAGCTCATATTATACATAGTTATTGATCTAATTTATTTTATATCCAATATCTTAAACATACTCCCATGTCACTAAAATATTATGGCTGGGCACACTGGTGCACGCTTGTAATCCTAAGGATTGCTTGAGCCCAGTTCAAAACCAGCCTGTGCAACATGGTGAAACCCATCTCTACTAAAAGTACAAAAATTAGCTGGACGTGGTGGCAGGCACCTGTAATCCCAGCTACTCAGTGGGGCTGAGGTAGGAGGATCAATTGACCCTGGGAGGTTGAGGCTGGAGTGAATCATGATTGTGTCACTGCACTCTATCCTTGGTGACAGAGAGAGACCCTGTCTCAAAAAAAAAAAAAAGCAACTACATAATAGGGTGGTATGGTTTGGATTTGTGTTCCCACCCAAATCTCATGTTGAATTATAATCCCCAATGTTGGAGAAAGGGCCTGTGGGAGGTGACTGGATCACGAGGGTGGACATCCCCCTTGTTGTTCTCATGACAGTGAGTGAGTTCTCACAAGATCTGGTTGTTTGAAAGTGTATAGCACCTCCACCCTCTCTCTCTCTTCCACCTGCTCTGGCCACGTAAGAGTTGCCTGCTTCACCTTCTGCCATGAAAGTAAGTTTCCCGAGATCCCCCAGCCATGCTTCCAGTATAGCCTGGAGCACCATAAGCCAATTAAACCTCTTCTCTTTATAAATTACCAAATTTCAGATATTTCTTTATAGCAGTGTGAGAACAGACTAATACGTATGGATATTCCATAACTTACTTAACCATTTCTTTCTTTTTGGACAGTTAGATCACCTCTGGTAGTTGAACATTCAAAAAATTATCTCAGCTTGCTTTCTTAATAAGAGGTTAACCCTTCCAAGATGATGCTGCAGGAATTCATGAATGGAGCAGCTACCCTCATCAACTACTTTTTACTAACCCCTTAAGCACAAGACAACAAAAGGTCCCAAGACGTGACCATGTTACTAGGCCACACATACATATGTAATTGCGTATTTGTGATCTTTTTTTTTTTTTTTTTTTTTTTTTTTTTTGAGACAGAGTCTCACTGTGTTGCCCAGACTGGAGTGCAGTGGCATGATCTGGGCCCACCACAACCTCCACCTCCCAGGTTCAAGTGATTCTCCTGTCTCAGCCTCCCAAGTAGCTGGGATTACAGGCGCCTGCCACCATGCCCAGCTAATTTTTGTATTTTTAGTAGAGACAGGGTTTTGCCATGTTGGACAGGCTGGTCTCGAACTCCTGACCTCAAGTGACCCACCCACCTCAGTCTCCCAAAGTGATGGGATTACAAGTGTGAGCCACTGCACCCAGCATATTTGTGATCTTTTCCATGAGCTGACAGTCTGTGCTGTGTTTGTCAAATAGGGCACTGGAGAGAATGAAAAGATCTGTGCACAAACGTACCATCAGCTCACCTGTCATGATGTAACCCTTTTCCCTCTTTTTCTTGCATGTGTCCTGCTCTCTCCCCCAAGTCCTCTTTTGTATCCCACTTCTTACTACCAACTACCTGTTAAGAAACCCTCCAAAGGTCAAAAGTCTCTGTCTCAGTGCTATTGGCATTTTGGGCTGAATAATTCATTGTCACAGGGAAAGAGAGAAGTTCTGTGCATTGTAGGATGTTTGGCAGCATCCCTGGCCTCCATCCACTGGGATGCCAGTAGCAACCCACAACAACCCCACTATGACAACCAAAACCAACTCTAGACATTGCCAACTGTCTATCTCCTAGAAGGCAGTTTCATCCCCAGTTGAGAAATAATAATCTAAATTGATCATTTACTTATTTGATAATAAACGCAAGAAAGAGATCCACTAGAGCTGTGAGAATTCAGTTTCAATTACATTAACATGCTGACTATAATCACTAGGTAGCGATTACCTGATGTCATGCAGGGGAAAGTGCTATCGTTGATTGGGGATGTCTGCCACAGGTTGGGGAAGGGCAGCCTGCCATCCCCACCACCTCACCAGAGGCAGCTGAACAGGAACAGGGGGTAGCCACAGTGATTAAAACTAGACTTGGCCCCAAGAGACCCAGACCCAATACCATCTTTCCTTGAACCCACAGAAGAATAACAGAAACCTTAAAAGCATTGTATTCTTTGTTTTTGTTCGTCTGTTTGTTTGAGATGGCATCTTACTCTGTCGCCCAGGCTGGAGTGCAGTGGCACGATCTCGGCTCACTGCAACCTCTGTTTCCTGGGTTCAAGCGACTCTTGTGCCTCAGCCTCCCGGGTAGCTGGGATTACAGGCATGCACCACCATGTCCAGCTAATTTTTGTATTTTTACTAGAGACAGTGTTTCACCATGTTGGCCAGGCTGGTCTTGAACTCCTGACCTCAAGTAATTCACCCGCGTTGGCCTCCCAAAGTGCTGGCATTACAGGCATGGGCCACCACACCCATACAGTATTGTATTCTTTAACATGCATTTGATTATAACATCCTACGAAATGATCCCCAGAAGAAACTACAGTTGACCAGTCATTAATATGTATAAGCTTCCTATTCTATCCAAGCACGCTGTACGCCATCAAAGGCTGGTAAGAAATAGAACTTACTTTACCCGCATCCTCAAAAAGTTGGCAGCACTGAGTGCTAACCCAGAAACCATAATTATCGTGAAAAGAAATAGAACCACTTTCTGCTGAACCATGTAATCTATGTTTAAAAAAGAGGGAGGGGTCTCTCGAAGAACCACTGGTTGTCTAAGAATATAACAGCTAGTGTAGAACAAACCAGACTGAGATGGAACAAAACCATGGATGGCTGATGCTTCCGATTGTCAATAGGGTCTTGATCACCGGCAATGTAACCTTGCAGTTACCTAACCTCTCTGTGTCTCAGTTTCCCTCGTTTGGTAAAACAGGGAAAAAATAGTACTCATACCTCCTAGTGTTGTTAAGATGAAGAAATAAGAGAATAACAAAAGCCATATGCAGTAAGTATTCTACAAACGTTAGCTAATATTGTGTGATGTCAGAACTATATTCAATCGAGAAAGCATCCAACAGCTTGTGTCATATTTGCCAGCAGCGTAGCAACTGAAGGTGTTAAGAAATGAGAAACTCAGAAAAAGTCTCACTCAAAGGCTGTATTCACAATCTAGCTTTCCCTTATAATTTCAGTGTGCTCAAACTACATCTCATGCAGGTCCAAATATTTCTTCTTACCTAGTCCTTAGTGGAATTAAGAAAATCTGATCACCACACTGCTGACTCCCCCAGTCCCCAAATATCTGATTATAGCCTAATTCCTGACACAAAATAAACCTAAATTCTTGGCCTTTAAAAAAAAGTCACAACACAAATGACCAAGTTAATACAGATGCTATCAGGGTTGTCCTGGTCCCAGATCAGTGATTCTTAGCAGAATAGGTTAAGAAAACCTTTAGATTTCCAATGGATTGAAAGACAAATGGCTGGGCATGGTGGCTCATGCCTGTAATCCCAGCACTTTGGGAGGCCGAGGCAGGCGGATCATGAGGTCAGAGCATCGAGACCATCCTGGCCAACATGGTGAAACCCCGTCTCTACTAAAAATACAAAAATTAGCTGGGTGTGGTGGCGTGTGCCTGTAATCCCAGCTACTGGGGAGGCTGAGGTGGGAGAATCACTTGAACCAGGGAGGCAGAGGTTGCAGTGAGCAGAGATCATGCCATTGCACTCCAGCCTGGCAACAGAGTGAGACTGTTTCAAAAAAAAAGAAAAAAAGACAAATGAAGTGGTAAACTGTCCACTTTAATTAGTTGCAAAGGAAAACATGCATTTACATTTTCTGTGTTCCCCATTCTAGTTCCCAGCACCCCATCGTGGAAGGAAACACATAAGGTAATATCTCAGTGGGTTCCCAGAGCAGAAGAGTCACAGCAAGATGATTATGGTGCCTATTTAATCAGCTGGTCTTAACAGGTCACCATGCTTTTATGAACTCAGGATATGGGAAGAATCCTTTGTGATTTTGCTGGTTCAATTTCTCTCTTCATCTTAGAGGGAAATGCTTGCCTTTTTCCATGTGAAAGCTCACAGCACAACAGAATCATGGCCCATTAGGGTTGGAAGGAACTTAGCAAATATTATAAACAGCATTTACCAAGGTGTGGCCCAAGCATCCCCCTGCATAAGAATCACATGTGACACTTGTTTAAAATGCAGATTCATGTGTTGGTATTCAACAAACTCATTCCTTCTTAAATGTGGCTGCATGGCTTGACTCTAGCCAATAAGGAATGTGAGTGGGAAAGATGTGTCTGCCCCTCTCACAAACCTGCAAGCACTTTCCCCTTCTAGGACTTGAGTCCCAGGAATATGGCAATGTTGGAAGGCACAAGTTGGCGATAGCAGAGCCACAATATGGAAGGAGCCTGGGTCCTGGAATCACCATTTGGTAAAGAACTTTTATGTGGACAAGAAATAACCTTTTGTTGGGTTAAGCCACTGTAATTTCAGACTTTGTTCCAGGATTGAGCCTTCCCTACCTAACATACAGGCTTCCTATCTTAGACATAGCAAGTAAGATCTGGAGGTCACTGAAGAAAAAAATTGACACTTGTTAAAAGAGTAATGAAGACTTAATTCAAAACTATTGCTGAGCATGGTGGCTCATGCCTGTAATCCCAGCACTTTGGGAGGCCAAGGTGGGTGGATCACTTGAGCCCAGGAGTTCGAGACTAGCCTGGGCAGCATGGTGAAACCCCATGTTTACAAAAAAAAAAAAATACAAAAATTAGCCAGGCAGGGTGGCACATGCCTGGAGTCTCAGCTACTCAGGAGGCTGAGGTGGGAGGATCATTTGAGCTCAAGAGGTGGGAATTATAGTGAGCTGAGACAGTGCCATTGCACTCCAGCCTGAGCAATGAAATGAGACCCTATCTCAGAACAAATAAATAAATATATATATATATATAGAACAATAAGGGTATTGTAACAGGGAAAAGAGATCAAGCTCAACTCCAAACACAGCAAGGACAAGTGAGAACTTACAGCCAAGGAGTGAAGCTGAGAGGGTCAGTCAATGGACAATTACTAAGACGTAACGTCAGGAGTAGGGAGTTTTTTTTTTTTTTTTTTGAAACAGAGTCTCCCTCTGTTGCCTAGGCTGGAGTGCAGTGGCACGATCTTGGCTCGCTGCAACCTCCACCTCCTGGGCTCAAGTGATTCTCCCACCTCAGCCTCCTGAGTAGCTGAGGCTACAGGTGCACGCCACCATGCCTGGGTAATTTTTGGATTGTTAGTGGAGACAGGGTTTCACCATGTTGGCCAGGCTGGTATGGAACGTCTGACTTCAAGTTATCTGCCTGCCTCCGCCTCCCAAGGCACTGGGATTACAGGCATGAGCTACCACGCCCAGCCGGGAGATTCTTGCAATCTTGCAAAACTGGCCTAACAGAATTCTTGCTAAAGACAGGCCAAGGACTTACACATCAAAGGTGGAAAATGAGGAACTTGATCAGATTATCAAGGGTGGTCAGATATCAAGAATGAAAGGATAACCTAGCAGGATTCTTTGCGAAGACTGGAATGGATAAGCCAAAGAGAGGATGGGGCCAGGGTCACAGCCTAGTCAAAAAGAGGGCTCAGAGGAGCCTGACTACAGTTTCATCAAGGAGGGAATTATTGTCAAGGTAGGGCTCTGGAATTCTGTATTTAACAAGCTCATTAAGATTTAGAAAGAAAAATAAGCTGAGGAAGGAGAAAGACCATGCACCAGGTCACATATGCAAATATGAGACGGCCAGGACCTGAAGAAGTCCCCAGGGACTGGTCAGGTTGGATCCAGTGTTTCAATGAACTAGTGTATTAAATAGCAAATTGCAATGCGGCTCCTATGTACATGTTACCCAGGATTGAAAGCAACTTTGAACTGCCTTGGAGCAATTTCCACAGAAAGCGTATCTGCCTGAGAAGTAGAAACCTTGGACTGTGGAGTTTCATTTTACAACTTTAACTCTGAAAAAACAAAGGGAAAAGAGGATGGAAAGGAATGGGTTACAAAAGTGCCCAACATGGGACAAGGCCAGGGCTGTTGGACTCCCCAGCTGCTTTTGGTCATTGGGAATAATTAAACCCCCTAGTAACAGACAAGAAATAATGAACAGACATATCAGGGCCAGCTCCCCAGATATTATAAAAGCATGGGAAGTAGGGGAGGCAACATCTTCCCACAAGACAATTACAGTAGAGATGCGTCCATAACCCAGAGTCTATGGACCACGCTGCTGTATGTCAGTGGTTTAATTCTTTTCCTTTTAAGGAAAGATCTGATATTTTAATGGTTTTTTAAACGTTATCATGCAGAGCTAAGTGTTAATATTCTTTCAATGCATTCTCCTGCTTTTTAGCCTCTCTTGCCTTCCTTGCAAATCTGCCTGTTGAAGCCCTCCTTGACCATCAAGGACCAGTTTAAATGCCCTCATGTAAGAAGTCTCACCTGACCCACAACCACCACCACCCACCACTGGAAGAAAATCCCCTGATATCAGACTCCTGTGGTCCATCAGTGGTGAATCTCTTTTAGCTTCTGAAATATAATTTCTGATGTTTATTAGAGGCAAAAAGAATCATATTTTATAGCCATGGTTTCTACAATGAGCCCTGAACTATTGTGGTTTTCCAAGTTTTCATTCTCAAATAAGCTCAGAGCATCCCTATCCCTCCTGCAAATCCCTAAAAACTGGAATTTGAAATTCATTGTATGCAACATAAATCTGACTGGTTACATAATATAAAACATCAGACAGAGCTGGCTTCCATTCAAGTCATTTAGAACATGTTTCATAAAAGCTGAACCTCATGGGAGGCAGCCTCTCAAAGCCAAAGCAAAGCTGCAGTTCATCCTTAGACCCTCCTTGGTCTCAAATTAAAATATCCAGGAGGATAGAAATTGATGAGATTTCATTAAGTAAAAAATTTCATGAAAATCAATCCTAACCTCTGTAGCTCCCAGCAGCGGGATCTGTGTTTATATGAACAGCATTAAAGATAAGCTGTCCCACGGAAATTACAGCAGCAGTTATCAAACAACTTTAATGCACTCTTAAGTAGAGGCACTAAAATTTAGAATTCGCACTGGCTTTTCTGTCGTTCACGGCGTGGCGCTGAGTCAGCCTGCAACCACACAAGAAAACAGCTGTTGAGAAATACAGCTTCCTGATTTAAAAATAAAATCAGTAAATTTCTACTAAAAGTTTCTGCTAAATTCCTTATTGCATTCTATTTCAAAGGAGGGGTGAAATATCTAGAATGCCACGATGGTTTTTAAGCATAAGGGGTTGGATCTGATGAATTTCATGTTTGTGCTCTGGGACTTTACTAGAAAAAAATGAGGGATAGATGACTAATTGCTACAATATTAATTTCATACTTACATTCCCCATAAGGCATGAAGCAAAATTTGTCAGCTTGAGGGAAATGAGACTGGACTAATTATCAGGACCTCAGCAAATAATGATCCAATATCCAAAGAACTGCAGTCTGCCATGAAATATTTGACAATTCTTTTAAAAAGTCAGCAAACTTTTCTAAGAAGAGAACGCAGGCCAGGCGCGGTGGCTCACGCCTGTAATGCCAGCACTTTGGGAGGCCAAGGTGGGCGGAACACCTGAGGTCGGGAGCTTGAGACCAGCCTGACCAACATGGTGAAACCCCATCTATACTAAAAATACAAAATTAGCAATGCATGGTCGCACATGCCTGTAATCCCAAGTACTTGGGAAGCTGAGGCAGGAGAACTGCTTGAACCTGGGAGGCGGAGGTTGCAGTGAGCTGAGATCACGCCATTGCACTTCAGCCTGGGCAACAAGAGCGAAATTACATCTAAAAAAAAAAGGAAAACAAAGAACAGAAGAGAAGAGAAAAGAAAGAACAGAATGCAAAGACAACTACTGCTTTTGATACAGGCAATTTTATGACCAGTAACAAGTAGATGTTTCTGTGGGAAATGTCTCCTAGCATATGAGATACAACATCAAATGTCGCAGGCTAATGTGAGAAACAGTCTATGATGATGAGTGAATCTTGACTTTGAGCAACACACGGAAACTCCAAGGCCTCAGGTTTTGTTTTTAAATCTATTAAATAAAGAATCTAGGCTCATTGTATTACTGTGCCCCTGCTGGCTTCAACCTTCTGTAATGCTAAGACCAGCCTCACTCTGTTTAATACGTGTGTCTTCCAGAATGTTCTTTAACCACAGTTCTTCTGTATGACATTTCCTCTGGTTTTGCTGAAAGAGGGGCAATGGCTACTCCAAAAGACTCCTTTATGTAAGTTCCAAACTTTGTGGAAAATAATCTGGTAAATCCAGGAGATGTTATATTCCCACTTGCCATTCTGGATGTCGTCTATTAATTCCAATTAATAGGGACACAGCTCATTGGTGACTACATGGAATTCTATCACCCCAAATGCTCACCTCTCACTGCCTACCCTGCAGAAATCTCAGGCACTCAAACTGCAGGCAGTATCCAAAGACCTGTTCTCTTCATCAGGAGACCCAGGAGATCCCCAATCCTTGTAAAATTCAAGAGTTTATTCAAGACTATCAACCATTGTTTCCTGGATCGGACTATACCCATTACATTTTAACAGCCCTCTCTGACTCAGGGACATGAGTACAGCCAGGGGGAGGAGGGGAGGAGAGACGCTAAAGGAGAGATTGGGGTTTTGTTGGTTGTATTTTAACGTTTGAGTTTTGGGAAGGTTGGTTTCATGGTTTTACTTTTGGTTTTTTGAGGACTATGTTTGTTTTTATTTTTATTTTTTATTTTTTTATTTTTGAGACAGAATTTTGCTATTGTTGCCCAGGCTGGAGTGCAGTGGCACGATCTCAGCTCACTGCAATCTCGGCCTCCCAGGTTCAAACTATTCTCCTGCCTCAGCCTCCCAAGTAGCTGGCATTACAGGCACCCGCCACCACACCTGGCTAATTTTTGTACTTGGGGTAGAGGCAGGGTTTCACCATGTTGGCCAGGCTGGTCTTGAACTCCTGACCTCAGGTGATCCACCTGCCTCAGCCTCCCAAAGTTCTGGGATTACAGGTGTGAGCCACCTCGCCCTGCCACTGTGTTTGTTTTTTAACTTACCCTACCATTGGCTGAAATTTCTGCAGCTGAAAAATAGAAGCAAGCTCTAGTTGCTTTCTACTTAAGATAGGTATGTAAGTCCTGGCTACATCATGCCTCATGACCCAAACAGCCATTCTAGGGGCACAGGCAGCAGGCAGCATGCATAATTCCATCTGTCTCATGCTAAGATTCACGGGTGATCACTTTCAAAGAGCATGCTGAACTTCTAGTGAAACTTTACACACTGAAAACTTACACACCACACTTTCATGGTGGACTGCAAGGTCAGTGTTTATGGACACTACTGAGAGAAGGCCAGGGAGAGTGATGAAGTATGAATATGAAAGATGCAGAGAAGGCAAAGAAAACAGAAAAGAAACACAAAGCTTATGTCCCTGACATAACGATGGGAGACAGTCACTCACCACAAACAGGAAATAGAACAAGAAAGACCTCTAGCCACAGTGGCAGGCACCATAGCAGCAGCCGGGCCACGCTCAGCCAACCCACCAGAGCGTTTTCGTGCAAAATGTTATCGATGTGCTGCACATCTTCAGTGAAAACAAATGCTAAGCACAGAAAAGTTGCAAATCTTGCAGTAAAAGCAAAACAGTAAAGTTCACATAGAAATACTTTATTCATCTTAAAGAAAAGATTTACTTTGAAGAAAGTAGGGTAGCTGGAGACATTCTTGGAAATTCTGGTTTGCAAAACCATTGGTTTTGTTTACTATCAGGGATTTTGTGTTAAGACAAATGATATCAGTATCATTCTTACCCCTATGAACCACAATTATTACGGCCATTGTGGGCCTTAAGGTAGGACAGGATAGGGTAGGATAATAAGAAAGATAGAAAAGTAGGCCAGACACAGTGGCTCACACCTGTAATCCCAGCACTCTGGGAGGCTGAGGAAGGGGGATCACTTGAGCCCAGGAGTTCCAGACCAGCCTGACCAACAAAGGGAAACCCCAACTCTACAAAATTTTTCTTTCTTTATTTTACTATAGCTGGTAGCAACTGGGAAAAAAATTTTTTTTTAATTAGCAGGGTGTAGTGGTGTGCACCTGTAGTCCCAGCTCTCAGGAGGCTGAGGTGGGAAGACTGCTTGAGCATAGGAGGTCAAGCCTGCAGTGAGCTGTGTTCATGCCACTGCACTCCAGCCTGGGCAACAGAGCAAGACTCTATCTCAAGAAGATTTAAAAAAGGAAGAAAAGCAAGGAGAAGGAAAAAAGGAAAGAAAAATGGAGAAAGCAGAGAAATAGGAAAGAAATTCTCTGAAGATCAATAAATTAGAATAAAGGAGGAAAAATATGAGAGTGATCTGAATGTGTTAAAAACTGAACTGTGAGTTCGGAGATAAGAGGAGCAAAAGCAAATGGAAGTGAAGAGACTGTGGCTCACGTGTTTCCCTGAAGCATCTGCAGGAATGTTGGTCAGATGCCTGCTGGCCTGAGAAATGAGGAGGTGGACAGTGACCAGGGATGAGTGCTTGTACTAGTCAGGGTTCTCATGATAAACAGAATCTATACATATGCACATATATGCACAACACACATGTATATATCTGCATGAAGAGATTTATTATAAGGAATTGGCTCGTGTGATTATGGAGGTTAACATATCTGAAGATCTGCAGTTGGCAAACTGGAGAACTAGGAGAGCAATGGTGGAGTTCCAGTCCAAGGCTGAAAGCAGGAGGGAAAAAATGATGTCCTAGCTCCAAAGAAAGTCAGGCAGGAGAAATTCCCCCTCACTCAGGGGTAGGGCCCGAGTTTTGTTCCATTCAGGCCTTCAACTGAAAGGAGAGGAGGAGAGACGAGGCCAATATCTTTCACTCAGTCTACTGATTTCAAGGTTCATCTCATCCAAAAACACCCTCATAGAAACAACCAGAATATCTGACCACGTATCTGGGCACCTTGTGGCCCAGTCAAGCTGACACACAAAATTAACCATCACAGCAGTCATTGTGTAATAGGCCCCAAGAAAAACACATGAGGAACACTGGTTACTCCTAAAACATCTACATTGACCAAGATTAGAGGACAGAATCTAAATTAGAAGTGCAACTTGGAGGCCAGGCGCGGTGGCTCATGCCTGTAATCCCAGTATTTTGAGAGGAGGAGGCGGGCGGATCACCTGAGGCCAGGAGTTCGAGACCAGTCTGGCCAACATGGCAAAACCCCATCTCTATTAAAATACAAAAGAATTAGCTAGGCGTGGTAATGCGTGCCTGTAGTCCCAGCTACTCAGGAGGCTGAGGGACGAGAATTGCTCGAGCCTAGGCAGTAGAGATTGCAGTGAGCCAAGATTGTGCCACTGCACTCCAGCCTGGGTGACAGAGAGAGACTCCATCTCAATTAAAAAAAAAAAAAAAAACAAGAAGTGCAAATTGGAGAAGCCCAAGGAAGGTGCTGAGCATGGAGGTGTCTTGCAAATATTCCTTTCCAGCTCCACCACAGACCTCAGGCTGCAACTTCCCTGTCACTCAAGACTCCACAATCAGAACTGTGGCAGCTCTCAGAACCTCTACAAGACAGGATGGCAAATCCTCAAATTATAGGCATGGGTTTCGGGTCAGAAAGTCCAGCTCTGCCAAGTGGAGATCCCTGGCATCTACTTCTGAAAGTCCCTGTGGCCTAGGTACTTGACCTCTCCCAACCTCAGTTTCCCCATTTGCAACAGCAAATATAACAGTGCCCACCTGCTAGGATTGGCTTGTTTTGGTTTTTTTTTCTGAGACAGGGTCACTCTGTCACCCAGGCTGGAGTGCCATGGTACCATCATGGCTCACTGCAGCCTCAACTTCCCAGGCCAGGTGATCCTCCCACCTCAGCCTCCCGAGTAGCTGGGACTACAGGCACACACCACCACATCCAGCTAATTTTTGTATTTTTTGTAAAGATGGGGTTTCACCATGTTGCCCAGGCTGGTCTTGAACTCCTGGGCTCAAGTGATCGTCACACTGTTGTTTCCCAAAGTGCTGGGATCACAGGTGTGAGCCACCGTGGCTGGTCAGGATTGTTATGAGATGAGAAAGAAGCAACAGATACTAAGGAATTAGCCCAATACCAGACACATACTAGGTGCTCAAAAAAACAGTCATAGTTCTTTTTGTTTTGTTTCTTATTTTATTTATTTATTTATTTGAGACAGAGTCTTGCTCTGTCTCCCAGGCTGGAGTACAGTGGCACAATCTCACTGCACTGCAACCTCCAATTCCCAGGTTCAAGCGATTCTCCTGCCTCGGCCTCCTGAGTAGCTGGGATTACAGTCATGCGCCACCACACCCAGCTAATTTTTTATTTTTAGTAAAGACGGGGTTTCACCATGTTGGTCAGGCTGGTCTCGAACTCCTGACCTCAGATGATCTGCCCGCCTCGGCCTCCCAAAGTGCTGGCATTACAGGTGGGAGCCACTGCGCCTGGTCTGTTTTTTAATTAAATGCTTGTTCCCTCCACAAAGTTTCTGCCCAGAAAAACACCAGCCACTTCCACAGAGAAATCTTCCTGGCAACTGTCACAACTCCCTTTTCTTTCTATCCAGGGTAGGCCTGGTTTGTAGTCAGGCAACTGACTATGTCAAGTACCAAGAGAGGTCCCTGCAGATTGACCAAGCCTAGGCAGAAAATGTTCACACTGAGGCATAACTGAATTAGGCAGAAAAGCAAATGCCTGGCAGGTTGGTTGAGAGGAAGGCCAGAGGGGCCTGGGGGACTTCCTTTGGGCAGCCAGGCCGATAATCAGGCAGCAACCACGTAACTGGCCTTGCCTCTTCCCTCCCCACAGAATATAAGGGATAATGGAAGGAGCTGCTCGTGAATCGTGCAGCTGCAGCAAACAGGCCTCCTGGGCCCCGAAAGCATTGCTACCCTTTTCCCCACTGCCTGTTATCGGACAAAGGCAGGATGCAATTTCCCTTCTTCCCAGAATATACAAGACAACTCTGTATCCTATCATAACTGGAATCCTGCAAATTACCTCTTTTCAGAGAGGCCCCATCCAACTTCCCTACAGAAACAACAGTGCCTCTCTCCTACTCCAAGGAGAAGCACGTCCGAGATGTTTTCTTGGAATGTTTCCTTGACTTTCTGCAAGAAGCAGGTCGTGCTTATTAACGGTGCCAGCTCCTCCTGTAGCTCTATTGTTAGGAAGTGTCACTCTTGCCCCTGGGCACCCTGCCTCCCACCCAGATCCGAGATTCTTCAAGGCAGAACAGGTGCTTTCTCTCTGCACATTGCTTTCCTGGGCCTGGGAAAATGCAGAGCACATACCCAAAGGACCTCAGTGAAGGGCAGCATTGACCCACAGAGGCACCAGGGGGACAGGGGGACTCTCTTCCCTCCTTGAGAGTTGTGTTAGTCTGTTTTCATGCTGCTGATAAAGACATACCCGAGACTGAGTAATTTATAAGAACAAAGTGTAATGGACTCACAGTTCCACATGGCTGGGGAGGCCTCACAATCGTGGCAGAAGGCGAAACGCGTGCCTTACATTGGTGTCAGGCAAGAGAGAGAATGAGAGCCAAGCGGAAAGGGTTTCCCCTTTTAAAACCATCAGATCTCATGAGACTTATTCACTACCATGAGAACAGTATGGAGGAAGCCACCTCCATGATTCAATTACCTCCCACTGGGTCCCTTCCACAACATGTGGGAATTACGGGAGCTACACTTCAAGATGAGATTTGGGTGGGGACACAGCCAAACCATATCAAGAGTCTATCAAAACAGTCCTTGTGGGCTTCAGACATCATTAAGCAGCTCCTAATCCATCTAGTGGTCAATTAAGCTAAGAAGCTAAACTGAGATTCTCAGAGGAAAAAAAAAAAAAAGGTTCGCTCTGGATGGATATGGCTGAGGTCCCACATGCTAGGATAGGCCCCGGCATCTGCGTCATCCCGTGGAGCAATATGCGGCTCCGAGGCCAGCATAAATCAGGCCCAGAGCCACAGGTGCGGCCAGCCCACCTGGCCACAGGCATGCCACAGCACCATCCATCACACTGTGGCTGCCCAGCCATCAGCAGAGTCGGCCACGGGGACAGGAGGGCTTGGTGACTGGCTGCCAAACAGCAGCATGTTTGATTAATATTATCATATTTTTCTCATGAATTTTTAAATTCAGATAATTCACCCCGCATTACTTTTATAGATGTATATATACACACTGCATACAGGGAAGTTAGCCAAGTCTACACATGACTGAGTAATCCAATTTCAATGACCTTGATGATTCTAACATAAAGAAAGTCACTGGGCCTAAGTGGACCAGAGTCTGTAGTTCAGAGAAAGAGCAAATGCGGTGGCTTGGGAGGGGTAATGGGAAATGTGGCCAAGGACATCCCAGGAAGGACAGACAAGCTCCAAACCAACACAGCAGAAATGTGGAAGTGAAGCAATTTGTTCATAGAGAAAAGGATGGACAATTAAGCCAACACCAGGCACCAGGCTGAGTGAAAGCATGTGTGTGCGTGTGTGTGTGTGTGTGTGTGTGTGTGTGTGTGTGTGTGTGTGAGACACAGAGAGAGAGAGAGAGAGAGAGATAAAGAGAGAGTGAGAGATACAAAAACTAGTGTTTAGGAAGATGGTTTACAAAGGACATGTCCAGGAAAGTTTGAGAGTACTTCGTAAGTGCAAGGATACTGAAAATGACAAAGAAAAAGAAGGGTCAGTGCTAACACCCAGACTAAAAATCTGGTGGCTGGAACACTGGAGGTGATGCTAATAGAGATGAAGAAGTTGGAAGAGGGAAAACAGTAAGTTTGGGTTTCAGGTTAAACTTCCAAGATTGGCAGACCACCTTACAGAGGGCACATCCTAAGGTGATCGATCCCAAATGATCCATGTTCTTGTATAACCCCTCCCCTTGAATGTGGGCAGGACATGACAAAATGATGAGGTGTCACTCCTCTGATTATATTTCATTATGTAAGATTTCATCTAAGCAGGCTGGGCCTTGAAAAAGCAAACTGCCGAGCTCAGGAGTTCAAGACCAGCCGAGCCAACATGATGAAATCCTGTCTCTACTAAAAATACAAAATGTTGGCCAGGCATGGTGGCACACACCTATAGTCCCAGCTACTCGGGAGGCTGAGGCATGAGAATCACTTGAGCCCGGGAGGCAGAGATTGCAGTGAGCCAAGATCGCACTCCGGCCTGGGCCACAGAGCAAGACCCTATTTCGAAACAACAACAACAAAAGAAAGGTTATAAGCGCCATGGCTATGACTAGTGTCAAATTGCTTGCCATTGTTTTAAGAAAGCCAGATACCTGGATTGGACTCTGGGGTGTTCTCCGAGGGACACCTTCGTCACACAAACTCTGTACTTCCTGGAATCGATATAGCACTAAGTTATGTGCACCAAATTATAAAAGACTTATCCATAATATTTTCTCACTGAAATTCTCAGGGCTTTTAATATCTCCAGAATATATTTTTCCATTTTCCATAAGACTCAAAAGTAATAAAAGCTCTAATAAATCTACTACAAAGTCACTGCAAAAAGTAGAAGATGAAGAGGACTCTGAGGAAGACAGCAATCATGATGAGATGAGTGAGCAGGAAGAGGAGCTTGAGGATGACCCTACGATAGTCAAAGACTATCAAGACCTGGAAAAAGCAGTGCAGTCTTTTTGGTATGACGATGTCCTGAAGACAGGCCTAGATATTGGGAGAAACAAAGTGGAAGATGCGTTCTACAAAGGTGAACTCAGGCTGAATGGGGAAAAGTTATGGAAGAAAAACAGAACGGTCAAAGTGGGAGATACACTGGATCTTCTCATTGGAGATCTTCTGGATCCAATGTATCTGGGAGATATATTGGATCTTCTGTTTGGAGAGGATAAAGAAGGAGGAACCGAGACAGTGATGAGGATTCTCCTGAAAAAAGTGTTTGAAGACTGAAAGTGAAAAACACAGTGGTGTTACGGCGGTGGAAAAACTTAAAGTTGCCTAGGAAGAGAATGTCTAAATAAACGGATTGCTTTTTGCAATACAGCTGCTTTCTAGTGGTAGAGGAAGCAGTCAAAGAAAAAAGAAAAAAAGAAAATTGCCATGTTGGAACTGCCTATGAAGGGGCTGTGTGGCAGGAACTGTGGGTGTCTATAGGTAGGGAGAACGGCCTCTAAGCACTGAGGTGGCCTCCAGCTGACAGCCATTAAGAAACCAGGGGGCAGGGCATGGTGGCTCACGTCTGTAATCCCAGCACTTTGGGAGGTCAAGGTGACCCGAGCTCGGGAGTTCGAGACCAGCCTGACCAACATGGCGAAACTCCATGTCTACAAAAATGCAAAAATTAGCCGGGTGTGGTGGCGCACGCCTGTAGTCCCAGCTACTCGGGAGGCTGAGGCAGGAGAATTGCTTGAACCCAGGAGGCAGAGGTTGCAGTGAGATTGCGCCACTGCACTCCAACCTGGGCAATAGAGCGAGACTCCATCTCCAGTAAATAAATAAATAAATAAATAAATAAATAAATAAATAAATAAATTTTAAAAAATAAAAAAAAAGAAAGTGCAGTAGAATGAATACATTTCCATGGGTTAAAAAGGAAATGGCCAAAAGAGGGGGGAAATAATTGTGCTACAAAGACCAACATGACCTGGCCTGCTTGACCTCGCTGAACCTTCTATACGCTCCTTCTTGCTCAGCCTGGTCCAGGCACACTGGCCACCTTTCTGTTGCTCCCACTCCAGCACGAGCTGTTATTACCTCTTCCCAGAATGCTCTTCCTCCATAGACACATTTCCTTCCATTGTTTGCCCAAAGCCTTTCCTATAAATGCCTACCCTGACCAATGTATTTTTAATTGCACTCCAGTTACCTCATGAGCTGCTGTACTTTTATCCAGACCATTTATCACCTTCTGCCATGCTCTAAGATTTACTATTTGTTATGTTGATTGTTTTTGTCTCCCCCTGCTAGAATGCAAGCTCCACAAAGACCGATTTTTGTCTGTATTTTTTTGCTGATAAATTCCAAGATTTCAGAACAATACATAGTACAAAACACATGCTCAGGAAAATATTTACTGAATGGTTCAAGGCAGTCATTAAGCAATGAGATTGGTCTACATGTATTACTGTTGTAAGATGTCCATGAGATCTCATAAGGTTAAAAATTTTAAGAGCATGTCAGAAAACAACATGTGTACTATGATCCTTTCTTATATATGTAAAAAACAAAAACTTTCCTTTCCAAGCAATCCATTCCTGAAGTCTTAACACGGGCCAGAGCAAGGTAGGCGTTCACACAGGAAGGGGAGGCCATGATGTCACTGAGTGGGGTGTCCAACCCAACCCAGCAGGGTGAGGAAGGGGCCATGTGGAACAGCAGCCCAGCACGCGTGTCCAAGCCAAGCATGACAAGGAGGGCATCCACGTGGGAGGAGGTAGAGCCAGGACATAGAGATTGGTTACAAACATGCCAGTTGACCAAATAAGTAAAGATATGAAGGATAATGGGCACCAGAGTTTTGCTTGTTGGAGAAGCCATTTAAATGTGGAAAAAGAGAAAACTAGAATGAACCTTGTGGAGCTGAATCAGAATTGAAGGCATCAGTGTGAATTCATGTGTGTGAAGATGTAACTCCCTAGTGAGCGTCTGGGGACAGCGACTCCCCAATAAGCAGGGAGCACACCTTAAGCCCAGATTTTGGTTTCTACGTCCTGGTGTCCACTAAAAGAAACCACGACTCCTTAGAGAAATGGCTGGTTCCCCTGCTGGGGCAAGCAAAGAATAAGATGAGCCTAGAGTCCAGGCACGGTGGCTCACACCTGTAATCCTAGCACTTTGGGAGGCTGAGAGGGGTAGATCACCTGAGGTCAGGAGTTCGAGACCAGCCTGACCAACGTGGAGAAACCCGTTTCTACTAAAAATACAAAATCAGCCAGGCATGGTGGCACACGCCTGTAATCCCAGATACTTGGGTGGCTGAGGCAGGAGAACTGCTTGAATCCAAGAGGCAGAGGTTGCAGTGAGGTGAGATCATACCATTGCACTCCAGCCTGGGCAACAAGAGTGAAACTCTGCCTCAAAAAAAAAAAAAAAAAAAAAGACCCTAGAACATAGGCTAGAAAGTAAGGAAGTACTTAAAGAATGATAGCACAGAGAAACAAGCTCCTCTCAGCCAGATGAGTGGCAATATGAGTATCAAAATAATTTAATTTTAATTTTTTTTTTTTTGAGACGGAGTCTCACTCTTGTCGCCCACACTGGAGTGCAGTGGTATGATCTCAGCTCACTTCAACCTCCACCTCCCAGGCTCAAGCTATTCTCCTACCTCAGCCTCCTGAGTAGCTGGGATTACAGGCACCTGCCATGACGCCCAGCTAATTTTTGTACTTTTAGTAGAATGAGAGTAATGAAATATAGGCCACTGAACAAGACACAGTAAACTATGAGTTAATAGTAGAACAGCTCAAAATCTGGACCACCAGATGGGAAGCGCTAGAACACAGCGATTCTGTGACGCTGCTGCCAAAAATGCAGAACCAGATTCTAATTGTGGAAAAATTATCAGGCAAACCAAAATTGAGGAATCTTCTAGAAAACAATAGCCTGCCATCCTCAAAAGTGTTAAGGAAAATCATGGCTGTCAAGGAAAAACTGAGGAACTGATCTCAACTGAAGGAAACCACTAAATGTGATGCATGATTCTGAACTAGATCCTTTTGCTTACAAAGGACATTCCAGGAACAAGGGGAGAAATCTGACTGGGGTCTGAGGACTAGAGGGTGGCAATGTGTCCGTGTTAATTTCCGGATATCAACGGCTATCTTGAGATTACACAGGAGAATGTTCCTGGTTGTGGGAAGCACACACTGAGAATTCCAGGGTAGCAGAACATCAATATGTCACTACACTCAAGTGGTTCCAGAAGGGGGTTGTTGGAAAAGAAATCTCTTTTGCATTATATTCTTATCTTTCTGTGACTGTTTAAAATTTGTATATTATCTAAAGAATAAAACATTTGCAAAAAAAGGTAGGCTGGTCCACAGATCATTTCTGGAAGGGTGCAGGAGAGATGGAGGAGGCTCAGGAAGGAAGACTCTCCTATCAGCTCTGCAGGGACACTGTGGCACAGAGAGGGTCATACCTGGCGGAACCCAGGACCAGGTGCGTGAGGATCAGTAGCCTCCCTGCCGCCCTGGCAAGGGTGAGCTTCCTCGAGCTCCTGTTCCCATATCCGCCTGTCACTCAGGGCAAAGGGCCTTTGCCAGGGAAACTGGGAAACGTCTGCTGCATTTGGAAGATTTTTTAAGATAAGATGAAAAAGTTGGCAAATTTCTCACACTGCTTCTTTCATTATTATTTTAGGCTGCAAAGAGGTTTGTGATGTGCTACAGTTGATCAACTTTCATGTTTTTAAAACTTTTTACTTGGAAATGTTTTATGGTAGGTACATAATCCCCATGTACTCACGATATAGCTTCAACTATTCAATCCTAGTTTGCTATACTCCCCCAACACTGGCTTATTTATTTTGAAGAAAATAAGCATCCTATTCTATCATCCATTAATACCTCAACACTTATTTCTAAAAGAGAAGGACCTTTTACTTAAACATCATCCCACCCACCACCCAAAAATCCTTACCACCACCAATTAACCATTCCCTGTTTAAATGTCCCTGATTCTGTCTGCCTCTCTCTCCTTCTCTCACAGTTGTTGTGTTCAAATCAGGATCCATACAAGACCCAACATTGCACTTGGTTGATTTGATTCTTCCACAGATTCCTTCTATTTCTTTTCCTTTTGCAATGTTTTTCACAGTTTTCCTTTTCCAGTTCAACATCTTTGCAGTTTAAGATGCTCCTCTCTCCCCCTTTTTACTGACTCCCCATGTCTCCTCCCTGATCATTTTTTTAGAAAATTTCTTATTAACAAATCTTCCATGAGCCCAGAATACGGGCACTTTATGTTCAGGCTCCGGCAGGGAGCTCAGAGGAGGAGGTAGAGAGCTCTGCTAATCCCAGCACGAACTTCACAGAAAACAAAAGTGCAAGTAA
This sequence comes from Homo sapiens, assembly GCF_000001405.40. Taxonomy (NCBI): domain Eukaryota; kingdom Metazoa; phylum Chordata; class Mammalia; order Primates; family Hominidae; genus Homo; species Homo sapiens. The sequence continues at coordinate 31,457,256 of NC_000021.9, forward strand.
ATTCCACAGAAACACCCAGACGGTCATTGCTCTACCATTAGCCAAGATTTGGGTGCACCACTGTCCCCTTAGCTTCCTCATCTTTAAATTAAAGGCATTGAAAAAGATCATGATAATGACAGCAATGACAACGACATTAACAGGACATTTAATATTTGTCCAAAGGTCCCTCAAGATTCCTTCCAGTCAAGACTTTCTCTGTGATTTTAACCATCAAACACACTTCAATATATTAGTGAAGAGCAACATTCTGGTTAGGGGGGAGATATTTCATAAATGACAAATGAAAAGTAAGACAATGATAACAAAGGAACGGAGACCACAAATGTAGATGACAAAAGAAAACTACGGTCATTGTCATATCTAAATTTGAATAACATGCTATGTTTCAAAGCACTTTCTTATACATTAGCAAATCTCAGCCACACTAATAGGTAAATGATAAAGAATGGTATAAAAGGTTAATAATGGTGGAACCTTGGGTATGCAGGTGTTTCACTAAGCCAGTGGATCTCAACCAGGGTAATCTTGTGTCCCCCCACCTCCTGCCTCCAGGGGTCATTTAGCAATGTCTGGGGACATTTTGGTTGTCCCAGCTAGGAAGGTGTCCTGACCTCTACTGGGCAGAGGCCAAGGCTGCACTGAAATATCCTTCGATACTTGGCACAGACTGCACCACAAAGTATCCAGCCCACAATGTCAGTAGTTCAGAAACTGAGAGATCCTGAGATAGGCAAGTCCCCTTGTTACCCAACTAAAACTGTACTAGACCAGGGGACTAGGGAGGCTACTGAGGCCTGAAGGCACAGGAAGTCAGACACCTTGTATTACAACCCTCCACACTGTGGGCTACCCTAACACATGAGGTTCGATAAAACAATCGGCCGGGTGCGGGGGCTCACGCCTGTAATCCCAACACTTTGGGAGGCCAAGGTGGGTAGATCACCTAAGGTCAGGAGTTCAAGACCAGCCTAGCCAACATAGTGAAATCCGTCCCTACTAAAAATACAAAAATTAGCTGGGCATAGGGGGCGGGCGCCTGTAATCCCAGCTACTCAGGAGGCTGTGGCAGGAGAATCGCTTGAACCCGGGAGACGGAGGTTGCAGTGAGCCAAGATCACACCATTGCACTCCAGCCTGGGCAACAAGAGCGAAACTCCATCTCAAAAAAAAAAGAAAAAGAAAAAGAAAAAAGAAAACTGTCCTGGTTTGGTTTTGTTACCGAGATAGATCACAATATATATTTCTAAGTCTGAACTATTCCCTCAATGTATTCTTCTTGGGAAACTGTACTTACCAGACACTGTCCAACTGAAGAATTTACCTGCTTAGCAGACCTGTCTCTGAATGACAGCACCTGCGCTGATTTAGACAATGGGCACCTGCATCCTTGGGAACCCTTTACTCTAATGGGAGCGACTGACAATGAATACGTCCATGAGAAAGAGTCAGGTGGCCATGAGTGCCATGACGAGAACAGAGCCGGAACAGGAAGGGGAGGGGAGGGAGGGGTCTGGGGAGAGGGCTGCTACTTCAGCTTAGGTTCTCAGGGAAGCCTGTCCGGGGAGGCGATATTTGAGCCAAGACCTGAAGGAAGTGAATGGCTAGCCAGGCAGAGCTTGGAAGGAGAGTATTGGGGGCATGCAGTGGGAAGGCCTGTAGCAGGGGCACGCTGCGTGTATTCTAGTCCCAGAAGAAAGGCCTCTGAAGTGCCCTAAATGAGGAGGACAGGAGGTGAGAGAGAGGCGGGGCCAAATCCCTTGAGGCCTCCTAGTCCCAGCAGAAAGTCTAGCTTTCAAACAAACTATAATGGGAAGCCATTGGAAGTTCAACCGGAGGAGTAAGGAGACTTGATTGCTATTGATTGATTGATTGATTGACTGAGACAGGGTCTTGTTCTGTCACCCAGGCTGACTGCAGATCAAAGCTCACTGTGGCCTCAACCTCCCAGGCTCACACGATCCTCCCACCTCAGCCTCCTGAGTAACTAGGACTACAGGCACGTGCCACCATGCCCAGTTAATTTTTTTTATTTTTTCATAGAGATTGTCTGGCTATGTTGCCCAGGCTGGTCTTGAACTTCTGGATGCAAACTATTCAGATCCCTCTAGCTATTCTGTGGAGAATGGACATTATGCAGGCAAGAAGGAAGAAGAAAACCAACTGAGAGGCAACTGCATTAAGAATTTTACTGAAAATCAAAACCACCCAAAAAGAGAAATATCTGCCATTGATAAAGATATTCCAAAGAAGAATTCACTCCTAAAAGCTATTTCAAAAGAAGAGAAAAGGCCCCAGATGTTTAATTATTAGTGGTCTCTTTCCAGTAAGGGTGCTGGGCAGTGTTGCCTCCCCACCCTAGATGGCGTCCGCAACCAGAAACTCTGGTGTGAAGCTATTAATAACTTTCTCCAACAGGCTGGGACTCTGGGATTTTACCATCAGGGGGTGGTGAAGAGCACCCACCACCTGGGAGAAGCCTGGCCAGAGGGAGCAATGCACAAGGAACTTTTGGACCAGAGTAAGAGTGAATATAAGCTCAGATCTGCGTGGTATACTCTCTCTCATATTTTATTTGTGTTCTTGAGTGTTCTGGTCTCCCAGTCTTCAAAGAGCCAACTGGAGCCGGATGGTGCATGGGAAAAACGGAGGCTGAGACTCTCAGCCTGAGGTTCCATTATCTTCCCCTCTTTTTCCTCAGGGTGCTTTTCCTCATACTTATTATTCCCAGCCAGCATGGCAACAAGGTCCATGGGGGACCCACACCCAGATTACAGTGTGGATCTAGAAAATGCACCAAGGAAGCTCCTCTGCAGGTTTTAAACAAGCCCCAGGTCAGTCTAGCACGTGGTAGACTCCAACTCCCCAGGAAGTTAGCCTGAGACCTGAAGCTGAAGCCACTGCCCATTTTAAGGAGTTTGTCCTCTCCTCCCTGACAAACCCCAGGCAGTAGTGGGTGGGTGGTCAAGCATCAGAGGATGATCCCCTGTCCCTGCCTTTCTTCTACCATCTCCTTCGACCACACACACATAAAGGCAGGTAGCAAAACCCCACAATCTGTGCACCACTCCGGAAGTGCCACTGTTCAAGGTTGGGCGTGGTGGCTCACACCTGTAATCCCAGCACTTTGCGAAGCTGAGGCGGGTGGATCACTTGAGGTCAGGAGTTCGAGATCAGCCTGGCCAACATAGTGAAACCCCATCTCTACTAAAAATACAAAAATTAGCCAGGTGTGGTGGTGGGCACCTGTAATCCCAGCTACTCGAGAGGCTGAGGCCACAGAATCACTTGAACTGAGAGGCAGAGGTTGCAGTGAGCCAAGACGGTGCCACTGCATTCCTGCCTGGGCAACAGAGCGAGACTCTGTCTCAAAAACAAAAATGAAAAAGGAAGTGCTACTGTTGAAGAACAAGTATAGACATCCCCGCATCCTAAGAGGTCCTTCATCCACCCAAACTTAAGCTTCACACTTCAAAGACTGTTAATTACACATTATGACACCAATTATATCTGAATGCATTATAAAACAGAATCTTTGGTAAGCTATTTTACTGTTTTAATTCTTTTCTTCCACCATTTTTAATAATTAAACTCCTGTTTTTATATTAAGATGCAATTAAAAAAGAAAAGTCCTTTAAATTTTCAATCTATTTCATTTTTTTTACATAAAGAATTCAATAGCCATCCATTATAATGTAGCACACAATATAGCCAAAGGAAAAATGAATAACTTAGATAAAACAAGATGAATTCCATTTAGGGGGAAAAAATACAAGTCTACGTATTTTGAAAGCCCTTAGCATGAAATAGTCAATTAAAATATGGGGAACTCCCGACCAAACACAGATAAAACAAACCACATGGTAGCATACTCCTATGAAAGAGAAAGCTTTACTCTGTAAAAGAAGAGGGCACAGCGAATCGGGTCTCAAAATGCTGAATTTGAGGCCAGGTGCAGTGGCTCATACCTGTAATCCCAGCACTTTGCGAGGCCGAGGCGGGCAGATCACTGGAGGTCAGGAGTTCGAAATCAGCCTGGTCAACATGGTGTAACCCCGTCTCTACTAAAAATGCAAAAAATTAGCTGGGCGTGATGTGCATGTCTGTAATCCCAGCTACTCAGGAGGCTGAGGCAAAAGAATTGTTTGAACCCGGGAGGCGGAGGTTGGAGTAAACTGAGATCACGCCACTGTACTGCAGCCTGGGCAACAGAGAGAGGCCCTCTCTCAAAAAAATAAAAATTTAAAAAATTTAAAATGCTGAATTTGGGGACTGCCAGCATTCAATTATCGATGAAGTAAAAGGACACCATTATTTAGTGTGAGCCTACCCATGCTGAATTACATTTCAAATATAAGGATAATGTCTCACATGTACAAGAGTAAACAAGGAAAATTAAATAATTTTGATCCTTTTGTGTGTGTGTGAGAGACCTGATCTTGCTCTATTGCCCAAGCTGGAGTGCAGTAGTGTGATCATGGCTCACTGCAGCCTCAACTTCCCAGACTCAGGTGATTTTCCCACCTCAGCCTCCCGGCCAGCTGGGACCACAGGCATGCGCTACTATGCCTGGCTAATTTTTCTATATTTTTGTAGAGACGGGGTCTCTCCGTGTTGCCCAGGCTGGTCTCGAACTCCTGGGCTCAAGCGATCCTCCCGCCTCAGCCTCCCAAAGTGCCGGGATTACAGGCATGGGCCACCATGTGCAGCCAGTTTTGATACTTTAAAGCCACAGTTTGTGAGCTACAAACTTCACATTCACATGTACTAAGACTGAACAATGTGTCGGGGACGAGAAGTATTCCTGTGTGATCCATCTACTACAGCCTTATTCATCCTTTGTTTCTCTTCTAACCCAAAGATCAGCAAACTTTTTTTTAAAATAAAGGGCCAAATAGTAACGATCTCAGGCTTTATAGGCCATATTTCACAACTACTCAACTCTGCTGTTGTAACAAGAAAGCGCAGCTATAAATAACAGGTACACAAAGGAGTATGGCTGTGTTCCAAATAAAACTTTATTTACAAAAACAGGCCCATGGGCTGTGATTTGCTGACCCCTGTTCTAGTTCTCAGGGTGCTAGAAAGGAGGAGTGAAGCAGAGATACACTTAAGACACTCCTGAAAGAACACAGTAGGAATAAGCAAAGAGATCCAGTTGATCCTAATGTATCCACCAGGCATAGCCGATTACACCCAGGAGTATTCTTGTAAGACAAAAACCAAGTCGAGAGATATTAGGTTGGTGCAAAAGTAACTGTGGTTTTTGCCCCTGAAAGTAATGGAAAAACTGCAATTACTTCTGCACCAATCTAATACCAGGGAGGCATCATTTCTCAACAACCACAACTCTCAAGACACGAGGGCCTCTCCCTCACAGAAGCAGCAACATTCCATCATGGGGTTTGTCCCCTGAACTGCATATCCACTGGAGATTCTATAGTGACCTCTCCGAACTGCCTACCTAACCCCACTTTTTTGTTTTTTTTTTTTGTTTTTTTTTTTGAGACCAAGTCTCACTCTATTGACCAGGCTGGAGGGCAGTGATGCAATCTTCGCTCACTGCAACCTCCGCCTCCCAGGTTCAAGCCATTCTCCTGCCTCAGCCTCCCAAGTAGCTGGGATTACAGGCACCTGCCACCATGCCCAACTAATTTTTGTATTTGGAGTAGAGATAGGGTTTCACCATGTTGGCCAGGCTGGTCTCCAACTCCTGACGTCAGGTGATCCACCCACCTCGGCCTCCCAAAGTGCTGGGATTACAGGGGCATGAGCCACCGCGCCCAGCCAGCCTGCCTCTTCTTATGTCTAGCAGCACACCAGGGCTGGGGACGCAGGCTGTGGTCACCAATTCAAAAGAGGTAACTGCTCTACCAGGGAGTGACCTTACCCAGGAACTAATCAACAACTCGATGAGAGCTCAAGACATAAGCCTTTCGACTCCAGCTTTGAACTCTTACCTGCCGAAGGGCCGAGAAGAGCCCACTGAGCCCAGAGCAGCCGTGATCAACCACTGTCACTTCACAAACCCCAAATACATGGGTTCTTCCTTCTCGTGGACACATCTTCCTCTCACACTTCACACTCCGCCCGGAGCAAACCCTGTCAATTCAACCCTCAAAGGGTTCCAGAATCTGCTGCATCTCCATCGCCAGCAGCCCATTGCCAGTACCAGCTACATCGCCAGCACCCTCATCACTGTCACCTCCTAATTGGTCTCCCTGACTTTGCTCTTGCCTCACTTCCAACAGAATATTGTCATGTTAAAAAAGAAGTAAGAGGCCGGGTGCAGTGGCTCATGCCTGTAATCCCAGCACTTTGGGAGGCCGAGGCAGACGGATCACCTGAGGTAAGGAGTTCGAGACCAGCCTGGCCAACATGACGAGACCTCATCTCTACTAAAAATACAAAAATCAGCCAGGCATTGTGGCGGGCACCTGTAATCCCAGCTACTCAGGAGGCCGAGGCAGGGGAATGGCTTAAACCCAGGAGGCGGAGGTTGCAGTGAGCCAAGATAGCGCCATTGCACTCCAGCAACAGACTAAGGCTCCGTCTCCAAAAAAAAAAAAAAGAATAGGGGGTGAAAATCAACAAACAGCAGGCACAGATTTGGGGCTAGATAATAGACAAATAAGTGAAAAAGCAAATTTATTCACATACCCTTGATGCCCCTAGAAAGTCCTTCAAAGCACATGACAGGGCGTATATGAAAGTGTAAACTGCTCACCATATGACCGTCAGGCTTCTGAAGCTGTTTACATCTGGAATGCGACCATCAACCTGGAAGGTAAGAAAAACAAACAAACAAAAAAACTTCTGAGTGACAAACAGCTTCCACAAAGCCCATCCATTTTATTCCACAGAAGAAAAAGAAGTGCGTCATTTATAAAACTCTACCAGAGGAGGCAACAGCCATCGCTAATAACAGAGGAAAGAAACAAAGGCCGTAAAATTAGAAGCAGAGGAGCAGAACCATCCAGGACCTTGAAATAAAGATGGAGTCCACACAGAGTCAACCCCGGCACATCACCCTAACAGCCTTCTACAGTAACAATATTCCTAGGTCGGCAACACAGGCTCAACCAGGCTCAGAATCCTGTTCAAGGACACAAGATGAGTAATACGTTTTTATTCTATTTTTATTTTTATTTTCTTAAGATGGTTAAAATTGCACCAGGCGCAGTGGTTCACACCCTAATCCCAGCATCTTGAGAGGCTGAGGCTGGCAGATCACTTGACCCCAGGAGTTCAAGACCAGTCTCGGCAACACGGCAAAACGCTGTCTCTACAAAAAATAAAAATACAGGCCGGGTGCGGTGGCTCACGCCTGTAATCCTAGCACTTTGGAAGGCCGAGGTGGGTGGATCACTCGAGGTCAGAAGTTCAAGACCAGCCTGGCCAACATGGTGAAACCCTGTCTCTACTAAAGATACAAAAATTAGCCAGGCGTGGGGGCATGCACCTGTAATCCCAACTACTTGGGTGGCTGAGGCAGGAGACTCCCTTGAACTCGGGAGGCGGAGATTGCAGTGAGCCAAGATCGAGTCACTGCACTCCAGCCTGGGTGATAGAGCAAGCTTCCGTCTCGGGAAAAAAAAAAAAAAAAAAGCCAGATGCGGTGGCTCACACCTGTAATCCCAGCACTTTGAGAGGCTGAGACACGAGAATTGATTGAACCCAGGAGGCGGAGGTTGCAATAAGCTGAGATGGCACCGCCGCACTCCAGCTTGGGGGACAGAGTGAGACTCTGCCTAAAAAAATAAAAATAAATTTAAAAATAAAAATGAAAAATATCAGCCTGGTGCAGTGGTATGCAACTGTAGTCCCAGCGACTAGGAAGGCTGCGGTGAGAGGATTCCCTCAACCTGGGAGGTCAAGGCTGCAGTGAACGGTGATTGCGTGATTGCACCACAGCACTCCAGCCTGGGCGACAGAGCAAGAACCTGTCTCAAAAAAAAATTTTTCTTTTCAAAGCTAATATATTCTTATTTTATTTTATTATTTTTATTTATTTATTTATTTTTAGTGCAGAGTGCAGTGGCAAGATCTGTAGTCTTGAACTCCAAAGCTCAAACGATCCTCCCACCGCAGCCTCCCAAGTAGCTGGGACTACAGGCATGTGCCACTATGCTTGGTTAAAAGCTAATATATTCTCTTAATAAGGGAGGGAACAGCTTTCAAAGAAAGACAGAATTAAGATGAATGAGTAAAAGCTGAGGCAGATTTCAGCCCTTGCTTGAGACCAAGGCAGGGCTTCTTAACAAGGAGAACCAGCCTATAAGGGCAGTGACTGGGCCCCTGGCAGTGAGTAGTGATCTTCTTTTTTTTTTTTTGAGACGGAGTCTCGCCCTGTTACCCAGGCTGGAGTGCAGTGGTGCGATCTTGGCTCACTGCAAGCCCCGCCTCCCGGGTTCACGCCATTCTCCTGCCTCAGCCTCCGGAGTAGCTGGGACTACAGGCGCCCGCCACCATGCCCAGCGAATTTTTTGTATTTTTAGTAGAGACGGGGTTTCACCGTGTTAGCCTGGATGGTCTCAATCTCCTGACCTCATGATCCGCCCTCCTTGGCCTCCCAAAAGTGCTGGGTTTACCGGCGTGAGCCACCGCACCTGGCTAATTTTTTTGTATTTTTAGTAGAGACGGGGTTTCACCGTGTTGGCCTGGCTGGACTCGATCTCCTGACCTTGTGATCCGCCCGCCTCGGCCTCCCAAAGTGCTGGGATTACAGGCGTGAGCCACGGCGCCCGGCCTTCTTACAGGTCTTGATATTCAGGCGAGGTTGAACTAGAGGTCCTTGAGGATCCCAATCAATTCCAAGGTTTTATGATGGGTCATGTCAAAGCAAAAAATTATTCTGACATTTTTTACAAATGGTAAGGCAGACTTTATTTAGGATTACAACAACAGGTGTCAAGGTCATTGCAATAGGGAGAAAGATTGGGCTCAACTCCAAATACAGCAAAGACGTCTGGAGATCAGTAGCCAATGAGCCGGGGAGGCGTCTGTGGAGGGGAAATTACTAAGAAGAGATATTAAAGTCAGGGGGATTCTTGCTAAATCAACTTAACAGGATTCCTGCTGAAGGCAGGTTGACTTAGACAACAAGGATAGGGACAAGGAACTTGATCAGGTGTGATCAGATATCCAGAATAAAGGATATCTCTCTAAACTCATCTAGCAGCTCTCTAACTTTAGCAGGATTCTTGCTAAAACTAACTGGGAAGGCCTGGAAGGTGGGGGTGGGCTAACGGCCTAGCTGAGAAGGGGGCTCAGAGAAGCCGGATTCAAGTTTGGTCAAGGAGCAAGTCTTCATCAGTAATAGTAACTCCAGGGAACAGAGGTCCTGATACCTCGAGGTGGTGCCCAAGGCAACAGGGAAGTACTAGCCAGAGCAAAGAGCAGAATCCAGACGTCCTGGCCCGAAGCTCAGTGGGGTGAGTTGTAGCTGGTGCCCAGTAATACCTGACACCACATAACACCTTCTAGTTTCTCCATTTCTTCCCGCGTATAATTGCGCTTTTTTGCAAAATCTAGAAATGGCCGTTTCTAAACATCAAGCTACCGTACAATAAGGGGAAACTACCTTTGCACATAATGCCATGTGAGCAATTTATATACAATTCCCTGTGATATTGAGGCAGATTGATTCATCATCATGAAGACAATGAGGCTTTTCAAAGTGGCCTTGTAATGACAGGCATATAAATAAAATAGGCCAAAAAAAAAAAAAAACTGAAACTAAAAGACTGGATTTAAAAGCCTCTGGCAAAAACCAGGAAGCTTGCGATCACTAACAGAATTACTAAACTACCCTAGCAAAGTTAAACAAAGTTCCATAATCCCCAAATCCAAAGGAGAGCATTTAAAGCTGACCCCAGCCTGGTCAACATAGCAAGACCCCATCTCCATAAAAACTTCTTTTAAAGATTAAGTGGGCGTGGTGGCACATGCCTGTTGCCCTGGCTACTTCAGAGGCTGAGGCAAGAGGATCATTTGAGTCCGGGAGTTCCAGGCTGCAATGAACTACGTTCACAACACTGCACTCCAGCCTGAGTGGCAGAGTGAGAGTCCCTGTTTCTTAAAAAATAAAAATAAGGCCGGGCGCAGTGGCTCACACCTGTAATCCCGGCACTCTGGGAGGCCGAGGTGGGCAGGTAATGAGGAGTTCGAGACCAGCCTAGCCAATATGGTGAAACCCCGTGTCTACTAAAAATACAAAAATTAGCTGGGCGTGGCGACACATGCCTATAATCCCAGCTACTTGGGAGGCTGAGGCAGAAGAATCCTTTGAACCCAGGAGGCAGAGGTTGCAGTGAGCCAAGATTGGGCCACTGCACTCCAGCTTGGGCAACAAAGTGAGGCTCCATCTCAAAAAAAAAAAGAATAAATAAATAAAAATAAAATAAATAAATAAATAAAATTAGCCAGGCATGGTGGCATGCCTGTAGTCCCAGCTACTTGAGACACTGATGTGGGAGGATTGCTCGAGTCCAGGGTTCAAGGTTACAGAATATCCGTTTCTAAAATAATAATAAAAGTAAAAACAGGCCAGGTGCGGCAGCTCATGCCTGTAATCCTAGCACTTTAGGAGGCCAAGGCAGGTGGGGGGATCACGAGGTCAGGAGTTTGAGACCAGCCTGGCCAACATGGTGAAACCCTGTCTATGCTAAAAATATGAAAATTAGCTGGACGTGGTGGTGGGCACCTGTAATCCCAGCTACTCAGGAGACTGAGGCAGGAGAATTGCTTGAACCTGGGAGGTGGAGGTTGCAGTGAGCCAGGATCATCACACCATTGCACTCCACCCTGGGCGACAAGAGCGAAACTCTTAAAAAAAAAAAAAAAGTAGAAATAAATAAAACGACACAGCTGCCTTTCTTGATCTCAAAAGTGCGATCTACTTGCTGGGCAGAGGTTATTTAAGAATCCAGAAGGGTTGGTCACACACAGTGGCTCACGCATGTAATCCCAGTACTTTGGGAGGCCAAGGCAGGCGGATCACTGGAGGTGAGGAGTTCAAGACTAGCCTAGCCAACATGGTGAAACCCTGACTCTACTGAAAAAATAGAAAAAAAAAATTAGCCGGGTGTGGTGGTGCATGCCTGTAATCCCAGCTACTTGGGAGGCTGAGGCAGGAGAATCGCTTGAGCCCGCAAGGTGGAGGTTTCAGTGAGCGAAGATCACACCACTGCACTCCAGCCTGGACAACAAAGTGAGACTACCTCTCAAAAAAAAAAAAGACCGGGCACGGTGACTCAGGGCTGTAATCCCAGCACTTTGGGAGACCAAAGCGGGCGGATCACGAGGTCAGGAGGTGGAGACCATCCTAGCTAACACGGTGAAACCCGTCTCTACTAAAAATACAAAAAAATTAGCCAGGCGTGGTGTCGGGTGCCTGTTGTCCCAGTGACTTGGGAGGCTGAGGCAGGAGAATGGCGTGAACCCGGGAGGCGGAACTTGCAGTGAGCCGAGATGGTGCCACTGCACTCCAGCCTGGGTGACAGAGCGAGACTCCATCTCAAAAAAAACGAACCTAGAAGGGCGACGTGCTAAATACTCTCAGATTGCCCTTCAGATGACTTTTCCTCTTTTTCCTCTGGGATCTGTGCCTGGGAGGCTGCCCTTCCACACTTTCTGGCCCTGGGGAGGCACCACGGGCAGGGATGACTGTCGGAAGAGGGTCAAGACAGTAGGAACACTGACCCCCTGCTTCCTCCCCACAGCAGCACCTGGAGGTCTCTCGATCACAAGTCCCTTTTTCTCTCAGGCTTCAGTTCTAGGGAACAAAGGGGCTTCCTCCTGCTGCCCCAGTGGAACCAATCCCTTTTTTTTTTTTTTTTTTTTTGAGACAGGGTCTCATTCTGTCACCCAGGCTGGAGTACAGTGGCACGATCATAGTTCACTGCAGCCTTGAACTCCCGTGCTGAGCTTACATGATCTTGCCCCTCAGCCTCCCAAGTAGCTGGGACTACAGGCACACGCCACCACACCATACCTGGCTAATCTGGGAAGCAGCAGGGGGGTTGGTAGAGAAAGGGTCTCATTATGTTGCCCAGGCTGGTCTCAAACTCCAGGGCTCAAGCAATCCTCCTGCCTCAGCCTCCCAAAGTGCTGAGATTAGAGGTGTGAGCCACTGCACCCAGCCTGTCTGCTTTTCTTAACTCCGTGAAAACACTTTCTCTCGTGACTCTCTTCTGTCACCTGTGAGTGTGCGATATACTTTCCTGCCAAGCCTCTGACTGACAACAGTAGAAGAAGAAGAGGGGCAGAGAATTTAACATTCAATTTTCTGGCCAGGCACGGTGGCTCACGCCTGTAATCCCAGCACTTTGGGAGGCCAAGGCAGGCAGATCACGAGGTCAGGAGATGGAGACCATCCTGGCTAACACGGTGAAACCCCATTTCTACTAAAAAAAGTACAAAAAAATTAGCCGGGTGTGGTGGCGGGCGCCTGTAGTCCCAGCTACTCAGAAGGCTGAGGCAGAAGAATGGTGTGAACCCGGGAGGCAGAGCTTGCAGTGAGCCAAGATCGCGCCACTGCCCTCCAGCCTGGGTGACAGAGCGAGACTCCATCTCAAAAAACAAACAAACAAAAAAAAAATCAATTTTCTATCTTTGCCCTCAATGGAGAGGGAAGAAACAGAGAACCTGATTTTTAAGCTAGATTTCCAGGCATGGGTAGGGGCAGGTGTGGCGCACTGTCTGAGGAGGCTCCGAGTGTTACGAGTGTCAGTGAAAACCTTGAATTTTTTTTTTTTTTTTTTCTGAGACACAGTCTGGCTCTGTCACCCAGGCTGGAGTGCAGTGGCGCGATCTCAGCTCACTGCAACCCCTGGCCCCCTAGGTTCAAGTGATTCTCCTGCCTCAGCCTCTCAAGTAGCTGGGACTACAGGTGTGTGCCACCACACCTGGCCAATTTTTATATTTTTGGTAGAGACAGGGTTTCACCATATTGGCCAGGCTGGGCTCAAACTCCTAACCTCAGGCGATCTGCCCACCTCAGCCTCCCATAGTGCTGGGATTACAGGTGTGAGCTCCCACGCCAGGCTGAAAACTTCAAATGTTATTTATTTATTTACTTATTTATATTTCCTTGAGACAGAGTTTCACTCTTGTTGCCCAGGCTGGAGTGCAGTGGCACGATCTCGGCTCACTGCAACTTCTACCTCCAGGGTTCAAGCGATGCTCCTGCCTCAGCCTCCCAAGTAGCTGAGATTACAGGCATATGCCACCAGGCCTGGCTAATTTTGTATTTTTAGTAGAGACAGGGTTTCACCATGTTGGTCAGGCTCGTCTCGAACTCTTGACCTCAGGTGATCCACCCGCCTCAGCCTCCCAAAGTGCTGGGATTACAGGTGTGAGCCACCACACCTGGCTAAAACCTCGAATTTTCTACACAAAATTGTGTGTATGTGTGCATTTTTCTGAAAAGAGAAATCCAGAAAGGAAAAGGTCAAAATGTTTCTATATCCTCAAAAGGTGACCAAAAATTTTAAGAGACAATGCTGCCGGGAAAACCATGTAGAAACAGCCACTGTCTCCCCAGGAGAAGAGAGAGGAACCGGCAGGTGGTGGGTACCCAGGTCAGCTCCATGAGCAGGAATGCCACCTCTTCCCTTGCCAAGGGGAGCTGGGCTGGAGGAAGGACCAGCACCACCCCTCCAGCCGCCACCCACCCCCGAGGGGGCAGCTGGGATGGTGCGTTCCTGCAAATCTCTCACAGCTCCCTCTCAACACTCAGTGACATTTGCAAAGCTCATCAGCCCAGCAGGTGTCGGATGCACAAGCAACAGCAAAAGCAGTTCCGGGGCTGGGGAAAATCTCATCGTGTTGTTCTGAAAACCTCCGGGCTGCTGAGAGTCTCCAGGCAGCAAACCAGGAGGGAAAAAATACTCAGGAGACAAGAGAACAGCAGAGCGGACCACACAGGAAATGCCCAGGTGGGCACAACGAAGCCCGGAGCTGTCTGCAGATTCCTGCCCCGGTGGGCATCGGTCAGCCCTTCCGGAGCCCAGATCCGCCCCTCAGGAGCTGTGTGGGGAGGATCAGCGGCCCCCTCCCACTAGGCTCGGTTCCCCCCTTTACCACACAGACACGATCATTCAGAATGAACCTCATAGGGCTGTTGTGGGGTCAAGGAGAAAATGTGCTTTGCATGTCACCAAGACCCAGTAAATGCCTTCAGATGTGTGTTGGGATTAGTATCAGAGCTCTTCTCTGTTTTCTTCCCTGCAGGGGTGATCACGGGTACAAACAAACAGCAGGTGACAAGGGAGGTTGATGGAATCAACTTCCCAGTTCCACAGGGCCCTTGCCCAAAGGGAGTGGCAAGGGCTAGGTAAGGTGGCTTATACCTGTAATCCCAGCACTTTGGGAGGCTGAGACGGGTGGATCACCTGAGGTCAGGAGTTAGAGACCAGCCTGACCAACATGGAGAAACCCTATCTCTACTAAAAATACAAAATTAGCCAGGCATGGTGGTGCGTGCCTGTAATCCCAGCTGCTCGGGAGGCTGAGGCAGGAGAATCACTTAAACCCAGGAGGCAGAGGTTGCAGTAAGCTGAGATTGCGCCATTGCATTCCAGCCTGGGCAACAAGAGCGAAACTCCATCTCAAATAATAATAATAATAATAATAATAATAATAAAGGGAGTGGCAAGCCAGCCAGGCAATGCCACCTGAGAGGGGCGGGAGCCTTGAGTCCACAGGGAGCCCTACAATGATCTCCATCTCCCATGCTGTGGTCCCTTTTCCAGCTGTGTCAGTGTCCTCAGCTCAGAGGCACAAGGCTGTTGTGGTTAAGAGCCTGGATGGGGAGCCTCGGTGGACACTTGGTCTTGCCATGAACTGACTGGACGGCCGTGTGCAAGTTATATCATCTCTCTGTGACTTAGTTTCCTCATCCATAAATCAGGATGATCATAATCATAGTACCTGTGTTTCTGTGAGGTTTAAATAAATTCAAACAAAGTTATCAGAATAGTGTCTGGGCCAGGCTCAATGTCTCACGCTTGTAATCCCAGCACTTTGGGAGGCTGAGGCGGGCAGATCACTTGAAGGCAGGAGTTTGAGACCGGCCTGGCCAACATGGCTAAACCCCATCTCTACTAAAAATACAAAAATCAACTGGGTGTGGTAGCACATGCCTGTAGTCCCAGCTACTCGGGAGGCTGAGAGAGGAGAATCGCTTAAACACAGGGGGCAGAGGTTTCAGTGAGCCGAGATCGTGCCACTGCACTCCAGCCTGAGCAACAAAGCAAGACTGTCTGAAAAAAAATAAATAAATAAAAATAGTGTCTGGTGTGCAGCAATAACTCAATAGATGCTGGCTGTCACATGCCCCGCATGTTTCAGTGAGTTTCCAAGGACCATTAACAAAGAGGCCTCTGTGCTCCAGATACTGGCACCACCAGCCCATGAGCCTACTACTACATGGCCTTGATCCTAAGATGGGTTCTGTAATTTAATGTTCCTAAACTTACAATAGACATGCACATTTCACATAGATTTTCTCATCTGTTAAATGGGGATAATAACAGCATCTAGCTAACAAGATTAGTGGAGGATTAAGGATTAATATAAGCAGAATGCTTTGAACAGAGCTTGGCATGGCGTACGCATCAGAAATTGTCCTCTGCAGGTATTTTCACCGTCATTACAGTAATTGATCTGATCTGCTGCAAGTCTTCGCACTCCAGTCAAATGTGGAAATTCTTCCTCACCCCTCACTCAATCCAGGCATCACCTGACCCTGGTACCAAAGATGCACGGTCTGGAGCTGGCAAGGGAATGGCCTCGGTAAACAGAAAGATGCTGTGGAGTTTCAGGCATTTTCTGGGGTTTTCCCACTCTGTTGTCTTCCCAGAATTAGTTACTTACAAAAAGAACATGGCAGCCAGGCACGGTGGCTCACGCCTGTAATCCCAGCACTTTGGGAGGCCAAGCGGGCAGATCACGAGGCCAGGAGATCGAGACCATCCTGGCTAACACGGTGAAACCCCATCTCTACTAAAAAATACAAAAAATTAGCTGGGCGTGGTGGCGGGTGCCTGTAGTCCCAGCTACTCGGGAGGCTGAGGCAGGAGAATAGCGTGAGCCTGGGAGGCAGAGCTTGCAGTGAGCCGTGATCGTGCCACTGCACTCTAGGCTGGGGGACAGATCAAGACTCCATCTCAAAAAAAAAAAAAAAAAAAAAAAAAAAAAAAAAAAAACATGGCTTAGAAGTTGCTGAGTTGCATATTAGATCCCAGGTTGATTTAAGGTTAATTTTGTTTTTTTTTGCTGTTGGAGTAATTTTCAGGTCACTATGTTGGCTTCTTGGTGGCCCCTGGAGCACAGCTGGCCTCCCGTCAGTCTGAGGGCCTCATGGAAAATAAACCTTTAGCAGGGGCACACAAGGAAAACAACCGGAAGTGGAGAGAAAAAGTAGCAGGAAAGGGGTCCCAGTACAGTCAAAGATCAGCGAGTGAGCCAGGGATTGAGACAATCACTAAATCAGTGGCCTCCACTGTCCGTAACAAAGTCTGAAATAAGTTCCATAAAATCACTATTTTCCCCTCCTCTGTCACCTTAGCTGGTGCCGCCCTGCACTGGAGACTTGCAGAATCATTAGTCTGTTCCTGCACTGCTATAAAAAAACACCAGAGACTGGGTAACTTACAAAGAAAAGAGGTTTATTTGGCGCACAGTTCTGCAGGCTGCACAAGAAGCATGGCACCAGCATCTGTTTCTGGTGAGGCCTCAAGAAGCTTCCACTCATGGCAGAGGCAAAGGGGGAGCAGACATGTCACAAGGCGAGAGAGAGCGCAAGAGAGAGAAGGAAGTGCCAAGCTCTTCAAACAATCAGCTCTCCCATGAACTAACAGAGTGAGAGCTCACTCATCACCATGGGGATGGCACCAAGCCGTCTGTGAGGGATCCACCCCCATGACCCAAACACCTCCTGCCAGGCCCCACCTCCAATACTGGAGATCACATTTCAACATGAGATTTGGAGGGAACAAGCATCCAAATCGTATTAGAGAATATTAAACCAATTAGGGTACAGTCAATGAAAGGCAGAATCCTAACAGCACAGACTCTGGGTCAGGACACCTGGATTCAAATCCTGGTTCCCTCAACATTTAGCCATGTGACCATGGTCCAGCCCCAGGCACTCTGTGCCTCAGTTTCCTCATCTGTAAGATGAGGATGGCAGCAGCTAACAGGCAAGTGAGGTGTAAATGAATTAATATATATGAAGCTCTTAGAAAAGTGGCAGACACACAACAAGCACTCACAAACCTTTAGTCTTTTTTTTTTTTTTTTGAGATGGAGTTTCACTCTTGTTGCCCAGGCTGAAGTGCAATGACGTGATCTCGGCTCACCGCAACCTCCGCCTCCCGGGTTCAAGCGATTCTCCTGCCTCAGCCTCCCGAGTAGCTGGGACTACAGGCATGCACCACCATGCCCGGCTAATTTTGTATTTTTAGTAGAGACGGGGTTTCCTCCATGTTGGTCAGGCTGGTCTCGAACTCCCGACCTCAGTTGATCCGCCTGCCTTGGCCTCTCAAAGTGCTGGGATTACAGGCCACCGCTCCCAGCCAACCTTTAGCCTTTATTATTCTTCAGTTCCTGCACCCTGGGAGCCCTACAGGGAAAACCTGTTTAGGGTAAGGAAGGGAACTTTTCCAGCTTCCTGCAGCCGGTGAAATGGGAAGATAATTGGAGACCCACAGAACAGGATTTGAATTGCAGCCGCTCCACATATAAGTTGCTGTGAGCTAGTTTTTTATTATTATTATTATTATTATTATTATTATTATTATTTAGTTTTAGACAAGGTCTTACTCTGTCTCCCAGGCTGGAGTGCAGTGGTTTGATCACAGCTCACTGCAGCATCGACCTCCCCAGGTTCAGGTGATTCTCCCACCTCAGCCCTGCAAGTAGCTGGGACTACAGGTGCACATTATCACATCCAGGTGATTTTTGTATTCCTTTGTAGAGACAGGGTTTCTCCATGTTGCCCAGGCTGGTCTCAAACTCCTGGGCTCAAGTGATCCACCCTCCTCAGCCTCCCAAAGTGTTAGGATTACGGATTACTGATTACAGGAGTAAGCCACTGCATCCGGCACTGTGAGCTATTCTAGTTATGAAGTTCTCTGAAACTCGTCCTCTTCATCAGCTACATAGGGTTTGGCGACTTCCTGGAATTGTTGTAAGAAATGAGACTACACCATGTAGGTATTAAATAAATGTTATTTTCTTCATCTCTTCCCCTTCCTTGGGGTGCAAAGGAGGCAATCAAAGCAAACGCTACATTCTTGCAACTCTCAGAAAGCTTGTCACCCACCCAGATCAAGGCCTCAGGGTGCCCTGATACATCATGGCCAGCTGGGTCTAGTGATGTTTTCTTGCCAAGAAACCAAGAATCAGTGCACTTCACCAAGGCACACCCATGTGGCCTGTCCTCCAGTGCTGAGATGTCAGCCATTTTCCACCCATGGCCCAGAGAGCAGGAATCAGGAAACGCAGAGAAAACAGCGAAACGATCTTGGCCTGGAGTTCTCCTGAGCAAATCCTAATTCTAACCAAAAGTTATGGGAACAACTTGACAACTACTTCATGAGGTGATGTCCGAATCATTAGCAAGAAAGGGTAGGGCAGGTCATTTTTATATAAACATCTGAAGGATAAAGAGTGTAGATAAATGTCAAAAACAATGCCTAAAACGGCTGCCTACTGCCTGCTTACACAGCTTTTTCCTTCTTTAGACAAATGATAAAACATCAGCACTTCTGAATATAAATCATCTTCAATTAAGACATTTCTGTTGGAAAAGCACTTTTGGCAGGACAAACGAAATATCTGCCACTGTTCTCCAACTTGGGTCTTTCAAGGTTGGCAGGGCGATTTATTTTTGTTGATTAAACAAAATACAAATGGAAAGGGCCTAAAAATTGATTAGCCAATTAAACTCAATGATTCTCAACAATGAAATGTGCATTATTAGCTTTGCCAGAGTTATAAAAATGTCTCCTAGCTTTACTGCCATTTTCACGATTTACACCATTGATATTTGTGCTGACAGAAAGATTAAGGACTGGCTGATGCAAAATTTGTCTTCTCTTTTGCTGGAACGGAAGGAAGAGAAACGATTAAGGGCTTGGGCCATTTCAGGAAGAACATCTGCACTGCATTGGTAATTCTTGAAAGAACGATCTGGGTTGAGCGAGGGAGCTGTTGTCACTCATTTTGTGTGTACTTGTTCTTTAGTAAATTACAGATTCACTAATAGGGGCCAATTTGTTGAGATGACAACAATCATAAATATCCAGATTCTTCATTTTCTCTTCTCATTTTCCGTGGGGATGAGTGTCCAGACAGGCAGCCAACCAAATGATGGGTGTCAGATGCTTTTGCAAAATCGATCCATGCACGGAGGGACGCCATGAGCCTATTTCAGTCCCGAACAGTTTTTCTTAATTGCCACCATGAGGTCAAGATCACAACTGCAATAAATTTACTTACAATAGCCCAAAACCCAGGGCAGTAGAATGCTGATGCTTCCTGGTGGTCAGAGCAGAAATGTTGCCGGCTGCTATGAATTTTTAAACTTGATTGTATATAATTGTTAATCACTGACCCATTCTGCAACCCTTCTGGGCTGGAACATGTTGCTAGGCAACCAGTTTTGCTCTAGATACTTTCTGAAAGCTAGTGAGGCAACAACCAAGTGTCAACTAAGTAAACACTAACCATTAGAGACAGGTTCAAATAAAAAAGGGATGCCTGACTTCCTTAGAGCACATGCATCTCATGTCCTTTCTTAATGTAGACATGTATTTCCTGCGCTTACGACTTAGCAAATAAGCAATCTTAGGTTGAACTGGGGGAAATTGCCCTTTTGGTAGCTCAATTTGGCAATTCATATGGGTCAACCTAATCAGAGGGAGGTTTCCACAGTCTGTGAAATAGAAGAACTATTTTCCTCCACAAGCGTAATCATAATTGGGCTTTGCATCAATAACACATCACTTACCTAAGTCACATATTTCCTGAAATTCTTTTTATAAGAAAGAGTTGGGAGAGGCAATCTGCTGGCAAATGCCTGAATAAGAAATCACAGTTATTTTTCCATTTTAGACTAACACAATCTGATTTGACCGATTCTTGTACAATATCCACGCATTCCCCACCTTTTCAAATGTTCAGCGACTCAGGAAAGGGAACTAAATGCATTTTTTTTTTTTTTTTTTGAGACGGAATCTGGCTTTGTCACCCAGGCTGCAGTGCAGTGGCGCAATCTCGGCTCACTGCAACCTCCACTTCCCAGGTTCAAGCAATTCTTCTGCCTCAGCCTCCCAAGTAGCTAGGAGTATAGGTGCACGCCACCACGCCCAGCTGATTTTTGTATTTTTAGGAGAGACGGGGGTTTCACCATGTTGGCCAGGCTAGTCTCAAACTCTAAATGCATTTTTTTAAAATTGAGATCAGGAACCCCAGAGGACATCCTGAAGATGAGGACAGAACTGCCAACTGCATGAAAGAAGTTCATTTAGGAGGAAAGAGGAAGGAAGGCAGCATGTTGGTATCATGGCATGATGCTATCCTTGGGAAGCAAGTGAAGTCTAATGACTCTCCGTGTCCCAGGCAGCTGAGAGCCTCACAGTCAAGAAATGCTAAAGAAACAGAATGGCCCTATGTTAGTTTACAGAATATCTCCAGGAGGTTCTTAGAATGAATTACCACTGGGAGTACAGAATAACAACCAGCTTAGGCAGTGCATGCGCACAGGTGATTAACCTCATTAGGAAAGAATTGGGAAAAAATTATGAGGTGAAGGGAGAACTCGCAGTGAAGTTTAAGGTTAGATTGCTGGCCTTATTGAGCAGGTGTGAACAGCTATGCAATTTTAATTTTTAGCAAGCAAAATCAATTATTTCTAGGATTACTACATAACAATTTATAAACTAGACACATGTAAACTTTTTATTGGGCAAATGGCAAATTGCCTTAAAAGGACAATAGAAAGTTTGTCATCCATTCCCAGATGAGTCCTCTTAAAATAGAACCAAGCTTTCTGTTTAGTCTGGATTTGCTTTACTACCTACTTGTAATTAAAAAGTTTAAAAAAATCAATCCATACAGAAACATGTAGAGTTAAAAGTGAACAAATTATATCCTCATTGTCACTCCCCAGAGGTAACTGCCAATTTGTTTGCCTACTTTTCACAAAAGTCACATCGTAATACATATCCTGGCGACTTGCTTTTTCACTCAACATTATAGCACAGAAACTACTTTTAAATGGAGTCCTCTGGAACATTTCAGTATTCACCAGCCAACGTGTCCACAATTTCAAAATAAAGCTTCTTTTTGTTTTTCTTTTTTTGTCTTTTTTGTTCAAAATAAAGCTTCTAAGTTGGTAAGAATCATCCCCTACCCATGAGTTTACAACAATTTAAAGACCACCAAAACAATGATCAATTATTCATCTTTCCAAAAGCTCCAAAGCACGCTGTCAGAAGCCAAAGTGTTTCAACTCCATAGATGTGTCAAGGAAATCCAGCCCAACACAAATGGGGTGGAGGCAGCTAGCTGACACCCCAAATGCGTGGCTTAAGTTGGAATCCTAAAGGAAAGATGACTACATCACCCAAAAAGAGATAAATGAAATCCAGAAACATCGAAGACTCAAGAAATATTAAGAGCCAACTGCTAAATTAGATTCTGAAACTATCTGCTATGCACTAGGAAAAGAATGTGATTTCTACAAGGACATTTTTAACTACCTGTGAAAGAAATCGTGAGCCTGGTGGGAACAAGCAACTATTGAGACAAGGAACAAAAACAGCTTCGTGAGCATTAGGACTGTCACAACTGTGGTCTGCACAACTTAGATTCCACATTGCTTCAACTCAAGAATTGCTAAACCATATTCTTTACTTGAATTCTGGAGAAAACGGTCCTAATAGCTCAATGAACAGAATTTTAAAAAGCCACTTCCCCTCTCTAGACATTAGTTTTCTTGTCTATAAAATGAGAGGACTTGATTTAAAAAAACTCTAAAATCTGCAACATGATTTATTCCTGTGATTCTGTCTGGTTATAATTATGCATGTGGATGGATGATTGGATGGATGGATGGATGGATGGATGGATGGACGGAGGGGCGGGCGGATGGACGGACGGACGGATGAATGGAAGGATGGATGGATAGATGGATGGATGGATGGATGGAAGGATGGATGAGCGGCAGAGGTCTGCTGGAGTGGGATTGTATAGGCTTGTGACCAATTGTTAAAGTTTTAGGAATTTTGTAGACCAGTTGATATCATGCTGATAGCTTGGAATTGGCGATGATGGGAAAATTTATACCATAGAAATCGACAAAACACTACAAATCAGGCCTCTTTATTCACCTTGGGAGCCAATTTACTAACACGCCACTGAAGGAAGTGAAAAAGGAAGGATAAGAAGAGGAGAAGAAAGACAAAGAAACAGTACCTGTAAGTGCCTACAAAGTCCTCCAAGTGGGCTGTTCCCCCATATCTCCACATTGATACACTTCATATTTTCTCTGCTTGAAACCCTATTCCCCACTGGGATTCCCTGCCTGTTTTCCCTCTTTTAGAAAAGCCATTCCCGGCGTCTGCCCTCCACCTGAGATGCCCCTACACGTGCTCTCACAGCATGCAGTAATTACCCCTCTCCACCCTCCTAGGGAACACCTACTATACAGTGCGGCCATTGTCCATTTAGTCAGCCCTGCTAAAGCATCAGCTAATTCTGCACAGCAGCTATGCATTTTAGCTCTTGGTGCTTAACGCCCAACACAAAGACAGGCACATAGCCACCATCCAATCAATCGATTTTAAATTAAAGCAATGGTTTTAGCTGCAAGGCAGAGCAAAAACATCTGATGATAAAAGGTTCAGCCTCCAAGAGCAGCACTTCTATCCTGGTCATCATTGGGTAGCTTAAGCTTTTCGGGTCCACTTTCCCTTACATTGTGATTTACCATTAAATCAGTTAACCTACTCTTGTCACAAAGCAGTGTAGTGTGTCACTGGCCCACTTTGTTTATTTCTTTGCTACTCAATGACATCCACATGTCACTATGAGTTGCATTTTTAAACAAGGAATTAACTGTCTCTGTCCTGGATTTACCCAAGGGAGGCTTGGGATGCACCCTTGGGCTCTATTGCCTAATACACTAAAGTGACTTGGAGCAAACTGCTTAAACTTTCTCATCCTTAGCTACCCAATCCACTAAATGAAGACAGAAGACTAGAAATAGCACAGACAAGAAAGAAACCACCACATTGCCGCATGCCAGAGTAAAGGCAGGGACACCAGCCAGCCCTGACCTTGGCAGTGGCTGCAAATGGAGCCACACCCTTCTATCACCTTTGGAAGGAAGGAGGGAAAGTGTCTTAGTCTCCCTGGGCTGCCATAACAAAATAGCACAGACTGGGGGATTCAACAACATTCATTCATTCATTCATTCGTTTGTTCATTCATTTATTTTTGAGACAGAATAGTCTCACTCTGTTGCCCAGGCTGGAGTGCACTGGCACAATCTTGGCTTACTGCAACCTCCGTCTCCCAGGTTCAGACAATTCTCCTGCCTCAGGCTCCCGAATAGCTGTGATTACAGACATGAGCCCCCACGCCCAACTAATTTTTTTGTATTTTTAGTAGAGATGGGGTTTCACCATGTTGGTCAGGCTGGTTTCGAACTCCTGACCTCATACGATCCACCACTTCAGGCTCCCAAAGTGCTGGGATTACAGGCATGAACCACTGCGCCCAGCCAACAGACATTTATTTTCTTACAGTCCTAGAGGCTGGTAGTCCATGATTGAGGTGCTGTCTGCATTGGTTTCTGGTGAGGCCTTTCTTCTTGGCTTGTGGACAGCCACCTTCTTTCTGTGTCCTCACATGGCCTTTCCTCTGTACACACAAGTGTGTACAGGTCCTATACACTCAACAATAAGATTTAACCCAGATGCCAAAGGTATAGTCAACACTTCCAAGTTAAGCCATAGCTCCTTGTTGGGGTACCTGTTTCTATCCTACATCATGAACTGCTTTTACTCACACTTCTGACACCAAATGTGTGGGGTTTTTCCTCACACCAACCAATGCTCCAACTCTCTGGATGCCAACTGAGGGTCCTACAATTCAATTCAGGACTGACGCTAACTACCCACAGTTAGCAGAGAACCTACAGGTTAAGGGCTCAGTCCCACAAGATTGCCCCCATTTCAGACACCAGCTACAGATGGAGGGCCCACACTTCGGCTTGACCAACTACAAATTCTGGGGTTCCCATGATCCTCTCCCCAGGCTCAATAATTTGCTACAATGGCTGGCAGAACTCAGGAAAACACCTGACTTACTACTACTGTTTTATGATCAAGGACACAACTCAGAAACAGCCAAATGTTAGAGATGCACAGGGCAATGTGTTGGGGAGAGCACCCAGCTCCCACACCCTCTCTGGAAACGCCACCTCACAGCACCAACATGTGTTCACCAACCCAGAAGCTCTCTGAATTCTGTTGTTTAGAGATCTTACAGCATGAGTGAGTAAATCATTGGCCACTGATGATTAATTCAATCTCTCGCCCCTCTCTCCTCTCCCTAAGGAGAGGATGGAGCTGAAAGTTTCAACCCTCTAATCACATGGTTTGGTCTTTCTGGAAACCAGCCCTCATCCCGAAGCTATCAAGAGGTCCCCAGTGTACCAAAGAAAGACATTCCATCGCTCCAGAGATTCCAAGGGTTTGGAGAACTGTGTGCCAGGAACTGGGACAAAGTGTGTGTGTGTGTGTGTGTGTGTGTGTGTGTGTGTATACATATATATATACACACATATATATTTATATACATTTTTTTTCTTACCATAACAAACATCCTTTTTTTTTGAGTCGGAATCTTGCTCTGTCGCTCAGGCTGGAGTGCAGCGGCGCAATCTCGGCTCACTGCAACCTCCATCTCCCAGGTTCAAGTGATTCTCCTGCCTCAGCCTCCCGAGTAGCTGGGATTACAGGCTCCCGCCACCATGCCCGGCTAATTTTTGTACTTATAGTAGAGACAGGGTTTCACCACGCTGTCCAGGCTGGTCTCGAACTCCTGACCTCAGGTGATCCACCCACCTCAGCCTCCCAAAGTGCTGTGATTACAGGCACGCACCTGGCCCATCACACCCATCTTAACCAGAAATTCTGCCTTGCACACCAACCTAAAGATGGTGCCCTCTTGTCACCTGGGCTAAATCAGCCTAGCATGAGGGAATCAAGAAAGGGCTTATTTTCTGGCTCTGAGGCAGTACCAGTTTGTTTTGTTTCTGTCTAGTGATGGCTTCTGGTGGGAGGTGGGAGGAGAGAGCGCAGAGTGGGAGCCCAGAAGCACAACAGAAGGGTGATGCAATATGCAAGCTGACGCTCAGGACACGCCTACCTGCCTGCCCATGTGCATCTGGTAAAGTGAATTTGAAGCTTGCCGGTCCTCAGCTGAACCAGAAGCACCCCTAGTCAAGGCCAACGTAACACTGAAAACAGCATGGGAGCCCTTGGCAGTGACCCAGAGCAATGTAAGGACTGTGCTAATCATGAGATTATAAGAAGAACAGATACCATTTACTGAGTAGCTACTGTGCCAGGCCCTGGGCACTGTGTATATATAATCATGGTCACACTGGTAATGAAAGTGTTGCGCCCATTTTACAGATGAGGATACAGAGGCTCAGACACTAAGCAGCCTGCCCCAGGTCACACAGCTGGTAAATGAAGGACAGGAACCCAAGTGTATCTGGCTGTAAAGGCCATG
Source organism: Homo sapiens (assembly GCF_000001405.40). Classification (NCBI taxonomy): domain Eukaryota; kingdom Metazoa; phylum Chordata; class Mammalia; order Primates; family Hominidae; genus Homo; species Homo sapiens. Next base: position 31,483,074 of record NC_000021.9, read on the forward strand.
GTCTTGGTATCACACCATGGCGGGCTGTCTCTCTGGCTCCTTCCTGAAGTCCTCAGACTTATGTTTAGAAAAAAGGAGATATTTTATAAACATAAGCAAACATAAGTAGGCCAAAACTAACAGGACTTGCAGCAAATGGTGCTGCAGTCCCCACCACCATGGGATCAAGCACCCTCCCACTCCTTTGTTTTATGAAATCTGAGGTCTTGAAAAGACACATACGCACTGCACCCCACGCTTCAACCCGAGATTCAGTGTGTAAAAGACAGAGTGGGTCTCGTGCCAAGAAGTTGGAGCCAGTTTATTTTAGTCTCAATGTTAAGACAGCCAGCACCAGGTTGAGGCTGAGAATTGCTCCTTCTAATTAAAACTTTATTTTCAAACACATGTCACAGTTTCAACATGGTGAGACTCATTTTTTGCTATGTGGATTTCTAAGAGTAGAAGCAGCTGCTTCTACTGACAGTCTCTTCCATTCATTTTGGGACAACCAGAGGATCCCAAGGGGCCAAGATTGGTTTTATATGCAGGACAGGAGCAATGTGAGCTCTGTGAGCATTCAAGATACCTACAAAATCAAGAAAAATGAGACACTATCATCAATCTAGCTGATATCGCAAGAGGCACTGCTTCATGACAGAGTCCGTGCATCCAGTCAAGGAGCAGCCTGACAAATCTGCACATAGGACCAGAGACAATGTCCCTTGTCCCCATCTGGTGGGAAAGTAAGGTCCAATATAAGAAACTCCCAAGCAGATCCAAGGCAGCCTTGGAAAAAGGGACTGAACCAAGTCATTATGGAACCCTGGTCATTGCTGGAAAAGGAGTGAGAAAATCCAATGCCATAGGCTGAAAGGTTGGGTCCCCTGCAGAACTCACACTTTCAAATCCTCACCTGAAATGTGATGGCCTTTGAAAGGTGATCAGTCATAAGGTGCAATCCTCATGTATGGGATTAGTGCTCTTATAAAACAGACCCCAAAGAACACCCTCACTCTTCTACCAGGTGAGGACACGGCAAAAGTTGGCTGTCTATGAGCCAGGAAGCCAGCCCTCACCAGACACAAATCTGCTGGCTCCCTGATCTTGGACTTCCCAGCCACCAGAACTGTGTTGTTTACATGCCACCCAGTCTGTGGTATTCTGTGACAGCAACCCAAACAGATGAAGACACCCACTAAGAACACTGTACCCCAACTGCCTGTCACTTTGCGTGTCCCCCACAGGACTCCACAAAGAGGCTTCTGGGCTGGGGACTGTGTGTGCTTTGCTCCCCGGTTCATCTGCAGGCACATACCCGCAGGTATGAGCTCAATACGTCAACACCTGCTGGTTGAATTGGCACAATGGAGCTAGCACTGTGGGTGGCCTCCAAACCCAGCTTGCCTCTGCCTCCGGGGCAGGGACATTACTTAAACAGCAGCTCTTAACCAATGTGAAAATCAGGGAGAAACACACAAAGGAAGGACTGAGGAAGGCTGAAAGAGCAAACTACTATGGGTTTCAAATCCTTTAGTAGTAAACCTACTCAAGGCCCAGCTATTAAAGCAGGCCCCAAAGTCCACAGCACTGTGCATCCTGTAATCTCAGCTTCCTGCTCCTCCAGGAAGGGAGGCCTGAGAGACTTTCTAGGACCGTGACCCCAGCCATGGCCATCTTCACGTTCTGAGGCTCCCCCAGTACAGCCAGTGCTGTGACCTAAATGTTTGTGCCCCACCTCTCCAAATTCCTATCTCCCTGAAATCCTAGCCCCTTAGGTGATGGTATCAGGAGGTGGGGCCTTTCGGAGGTGACTGGGTAGGAGGGCAGAGCCCTTGTGAATGGGATTAGTGTGCTTATACAAGAGGTCTCAGAGTACAAGCCAGTCCCTTCCACCATGTAAGGACTCAGTGAGAAGACAGTCTTCTACGAACCAGGAAGCAGGTCTTCACCAGACACCAAATCTGCCAGTGCCTTGATCTTGGACTTTCCAGCCTCCAGAACCGTGAGCCAAATAAACTTCTGTTCTTTATAAATTACCCAATCTCTGAATAATTTCATTCTTTCAGAGTAGCAAAACACAGACTAAGACAAGCACCAATCGTAGCATAACACATCCACTGAGGAACAGAGACTGAAGAGCAAGTGTAGAGCAACACGCTGCCTTCCCACAAACCAGGGCATGCCTCACTCCATGCCTCGCACACATTCCAACTGGTCCCCAGAAAGGAGTCCCAGGGGCTTCTCAGACATGGGCTATTCTCATCCTCACATCTTACAACACAGAACATAAAATAACTCTGACCCCAAGAGGTGGCACTACTGGGTGGACAATTTTTAACTCACTGTAGCATTGTCCAGGAGCCTATAAAATTCATGTGCTCATTCCGAGACAAAAAAATGAAAACATTTAATACACTGTTGCCTGAGAGTGTGGAGAGAGGAGGCAGAGAGAAAGCAAAACGCTAACTCTGGGATAACAGATCAAAATTCAGACCTGGAATCTCTAATGACCATATTCTCTCTGTTGGACTCCAGCAGCCGCCATTGTATCAGGAACCTCAATAAGCTCTCACATCCTCAGAGACAGCCTGCCCTCTAGAGACAGCACACTCCTGAAGGGAGGGGCTTGTACGGCTTGTGTCCCAGGGAAGCAGCAAGGTGCCAACAATTCCAACACCACCACCACCAACAGCCACTGGGTGCCAACCACGGCCAGATACTGGTCTAAGCCCCCACACGTATTAGCACACTAAAGCTTCGCACCTACCTGAGGGGTAGGTGCTACTAACATTCCTACTTTGCAGATGAGGAAACCCAGGCACGAAGGGGGTGAGTTCCCTGTACAAGGTGACGGTCCAGCTCCAGAACCTTTCCTCTTAGCTCTACGCCCTGCCTAACCACATGTTCGCAGTGCCTGGTTCTCTGATTCCCTGATTCCAAGCAACCATCTTCACATACACGATCTGCTCCCCTGTGGGCTCAGAACAAGCTGCACACCACTGAGTGGAAACCAATAGCACATCTCACCCCTCTTCCACCTGAGGATTCACCATTCAAAACCAGTTCTTGTCCACAATAAAATATGAACTGTGGGGAGGGAGGTGCCATAAGGCACTGTGAAACCAGCGTCCCTTTAGGAGGAATGGGAGTCCCAGCCATCCAGCACTGGAACGCAGGACACTTTCCACTCTGGATCATCCTGGGGAAAAAATGAAAACGCTCGCCCTCTGACAGCCAGTCAGTGGCCCCCAAGGAACTCCCCACCATCCCTCTGAAAGCCAGCTGCACCGGCGTCATCCTGCCCTCAAATCTGAGGCTGCATTTAGAACCTGAAGCAGCAGAAATGAGCGTCCCGCTGTCCTGCATCATCCTACAGGGTCAGGACGAAGGGGACAAAGGGTGCGTCAGCACCTCCACCAGCCTGTCCCTCCTTGGGCAGCAAGATTTACAAAGCATTTAATTTAGGTCCGACAAATATTATGTGCCCTGAGGTGCTGCTCTGGGCTTGGTTGTGCCTTTTTACATTCATCTGCTCCTCAGTGACCACTGCCCAATCACCCATGTCACGGGCTTGGCAGCCAGGCTCAGGTGGAAGCTTCCTGCATCCGTCCTCTCCACTGAGGAGGGGAACAGGCTGGGCCATCCTTCCTGATGGGAAGCCCAAGGACCAGTAAAGCCTGGTGGTCTTTGATGTGGGGCAGTCCCAGGGCAGAAGCACTTTGTGCAAAGCTGCCTCGTCCACAGCCTGAGATGTAATGAGAGTCATATCACCACTCAGGCCCCCGCATGTCACACGAGGGAGCACTGAGACCTTTCTGCTGTGTGGCCGCTTTGCCCAACTCCTCACCGGGGCCACAGGAGTCTCCACCTAGGGTCAGGAGAGGACAGGCAGTGGTGCTAGCTAAGACTTGGTGACACAGCCACAGCAGTTCTCTCCTTGGAATGTGGGATGGCAGATCTTCAGGGGCTGGGAAAGGAGGCACTGGAGGTCACGCCTAGCTTCACAGGTGCTTGACAACCTGGCTGCCCATCAGTTTTGTTCAGGGCTGGGGGCAATCCAGGTGATAAATCCTGACTGGTCCAGTCCAGGGGTTTAAAACTCAAGGAGCTTTTTCCGACAGGGCACATTTGATGGTGTCTGAAAACAGCTGGAGGTGGGGGCTGTTAGTCATGAGCAGAGCCCTACAAGGCACAGGACAGCCCCCACGACAAAGAATCCTCCAGCCCAAAAGCTCAATACTGCCACGGTTCACACGTCCCAGTCTAAGCAACTTATGACATCCAGTTTTCCTTTGCCAGAAACCAGGATTTTCTTTTTCTTTTTTCTTTTTTTGAGAAGGAGTCTCACTCTGTCGCCCAGGCTGAAGTGCAGTGGTGCGATCTCGGCTCACCATAACCTCCGCCTCCTGGGTTCAAGCGATTCTCCTGCCTCAGCCTCCCAAGTAGCTGGGATTACAGGTGGCCGCCACCATGCCCAGCTAATTTTTTTTTTTTTTGTATTTTTTTTTTTTTTGAGACGGAGTCTCGCTCTGTCGCCCAGGCCGGACTGCGGACTGCAGTGGCGCAATCTCGGCTCACTGCAAGCTCCGCTTCCCGGGTTCACGCCATTCTCCTGCCTCAGCCTCCCAAGTAGCTGGGACTACAGGCGCCCGCCACCGCGCCCGGCTAATTTTTTGTATTTTTAGTAGAGACGGGGTTTCACCTTGTTAGCCAGGATGGTCTCGATCTCCTGACCTCATGATCCACCCGCCTCGGCCTCCCAAAGTGCTGGGATTACAGGCGTGAGCCACCGCGCCCGGCCTTTTTTTGTATTTTTAGTGGAGATGAGGTTTCGCCATGTTGGCCAGGCTGGTCTCAAGCATCTGGGCTCAAGTGATCCGTCCGCCTTGGCCTCCCAAAGTGCTAGGATTACAGGCACGAGCCACTGCGCCCGGCCACTTGATCCTTTTAAAACACAAAAATGTAGGAAGAAATCTATAGTCTATTTGTAACTCCTGACCTCAGGTGATCCACCCACTTCGGCCTCCCGAAGTGCTGGGATTACAGGAAACCAGGGTTTTCATCCCCACTTCACAGCAGAGGGAGGGCATGTGAAAGAGTAGTCGCTGAGAAGGCAGGAGACTGTCAGGCAGGAATGTCTATGCCGACGCTGGGCACAGGACTGAGTACTCCAGGGAGCTTTACAATTGGTCCTCATAGCTACCCTTATTCTCGTTTCACAGACTGGGAAACTGAGGCACATAATGAACACATTCTGCTTAGAAGAGCTGGGATTTGAATCCAGGCAGTCCGACCCCAGTCAGTGTATTCAGGGGGATGGGGAGGGAGATACAAAATTATATCTGTATTCTGTGTGATCCTCATATGTACAGACAGAAAAAAGAAAAGGAAGAGGAGGAAGGGGAAACGGGAGGTGTATTAATCTGCTCTCACACTGCTAATAAAGACATACATGAGACTGGGTAATTTATAAAGGAAAGAAGTTTCATGGACTCAGTTCCACATGGCTGGGGAGGCCTCACTATCACAGCGGAAGGTGAAGGAGGAGCAAACTCATGTCTTACATGGTGACGGGCAAAAGAGCATATGCCAGGGAACTGCCATTTATAAAACCATCAGATCTCGTGAGACTTATTCACTACCAGAACAGTATGAGGGAAACCATCCCCATGATTCAATTATCTCCACCTGGCCCCATCTTGGCATGTGGGGATTATTATAATTCAAGGTGAGATTTGGGTGGGGACACAAATCTTATCCGGAAGGGAGAGGAGGAAAGAGGAGAACAAGGGAAAAACATAGATATATAAGAGAAAAAAAGACAGGAAAACATAAGTGAAAAATGTTAACAGCAGCTATTCATAAGTGGCAAAATTATGGATAACTTTTGTTTTCTTCTCTATGCCTTCCTGTATTGTATTCTCTCCAAGGAAAATGCATGCTACAATCAGAAAAAAAAAAATACTTGCCAAGCATATATTTCAAGATTTTCGTCAGCACCAGCCAACTAAACGGTAACAATAATAACTGTGGGCCGGGTGCAGTAGCTCACGCCTGCAATTGCAGCAATTTGGGAGGCTGAGGCAGGAGGAATGCTTGAGTCTAGGAGTTTGAGAACAGCCTGGGCAACATAGAGACCTTATCTCTACAAGAATTTTTGCAACCTTGGCCAGGCATAGTGGTGCACACCCACAGTCCCAGCTACTTGGGAGGCTGACGGAGGAGGATGGCTTGAACCCAGGAGTTCAAGGCTGCAACGAGCTATGATTACACCACTGCACTCCAGTGTTGGTGACAGACAAGGTTGGGGGGGAGAGGAGGAGGAGGAGGAGGAGAGGGAGGGGAGGGGGAGGGAAGAAGAAGAACAAGAGAAGAACAAGAAGCAGGAGGAGAAGAAAGAAAGAGAAAGAAAGTGAGAAGGAGATGAAAGAAAGAGAGAGAGGGAGGGAGACAGGGAGGGAAGGAAGGGAGGGAGGGAGGGAGGGAGGGAAAATTGTGCTAAGGGAAAAGTGCAGACCCCCCCCCCCTTGGCAGATGGGAGGGGCCACCCTGGGTCTCTTGGACCCATCATACCTCTACAACCATGACCTTAGGAAGCCATCCTCAGGAAGCCACGCTCACAGCACACCTGTAAGGATCCGGTCCTGAAGATAAACACTCCCTGGAGTCTGAGACAGCATGTCAGCTCCTCATCCATCTCAGGGCAGACAGTCCCCAGAGGGAGAGCCCTGGAGGGGAAGGTCAAATCCCCCTCCCCTCCCCATCCCACTTCATCTGGCTGTTCATGCCCATGCTCAAAGCACTTGAAGAAACTTCCAGAAAAACAAGGTTTCCGGATCATTACAATTGTCTTTCAGCAGTTTTATTAACTGGCAGGAGTAAGAGGAAAAAGAAGACTTTTTTATCCAGCCCTTCATATGAAAGTTTGTTCTAGGAAAAAAAAGGAAAAGAATTCTAGCGTTCACTGAAAAGTGTGCCTTTCCAATTTTTTTCCCAAAAAAACTTGTACATGTGTTACTGTTAATTCTGTTTGGAGTCTCCTTCCACCATAAAAACCTACTGTATGCAGAGGTGCCCATTATCTAATAAATCTTTTTTGTTATTATTCTTGTTAACTCAGAGAGGCAAATTCTTCTATTCCTGCCCTGTGATCATGACTTGGGGTCACTGTGAGGCCCTCTCTAATTCTACTTTATGTAAAATAATTAAGTGGCTTTATAAAAAAATTCTTACAGATATCCTCAAGTTTAAAGAAGAATCTCTAAAGTTTAAGATACCACACCCAAAAATGCAGAGATTCAAAATACCCAAATGTCACCATTGATTAAAACACGAAATAAAATGATTTTTTTTAGACTGCCAGCAGGACTGGACCTAGCCTTTACATAATAATAATAATAAATGCCTAGTTGCCTTCCCAAGAGCACCCCTTGGATGCCTCCCTCCCTGTCAACAGAACACTGATCATCCAAGTTCATTCTCAGGCCAGGACAGACTCAGGGAACCGCCGCTGCCCAGCCCCAGCCTGAAATAAGCCAGATATAAACCAATGAGAGCCTCCCATTACTCCTTGCCTGTGATTGGGTTAGGGCTGGCCATGTGACTCAGCTGCCACCAATGGAACAAGACAGGAAGTAGACTGGGGAGTTCCAGGAAGGATTCTTTGCAGATGAAAAGAGGCCAACTGGTAGAAATGCCTGCCTCTTCATTCAAGTGTTGTTGCAATTACTGGCAGTGCTGCAACTCCAGCTGCCACCCCTGCTATTGTGTAGAAATAAGCCCAAGGATTGGCCGAGCGTGGTGGCTCACGCCTGTAATCCCAGCACTTTGGGAGGCCAAGGTGGGCGGATCGCGAGGTCTGGAGATCCAGACCAGCCTGGCCAACATGGTGAAACCCCGTCTCTACTAAAAATACAAAAATTAGCCGGGCGTGGTGGTGCGTGCCTGTAATCCCAACTACTCCAGAGGCGGAGGCTGAGGCAGGAGAATCGCTTGACCTAGGGAGTCGGAGGTTGCCGTGAGCCGGGATTGCGCCACTGCGCTCCAACCTGGCTACACAGTGAAATTCCGTCGAAAGAAAGAAAGAACGAAAGAAAGGAAGGGAAGGAAGGGAAGGAAGGAAGGAGCCCAAGGATCAAGCAAAGAACCTGAGGACAGTGGAGTAGAAAAGTGGAAAGAACTCATGATTCTGATGCCATCACTGCATTAATGAACTAACCTTGGAACCACCATGTGAGATACTAAACCCCATATTGTTTAAGGTATGTTTGGTTGGGTGTTTTGTTTCTAGCAGCCAAAACCATCCTAACTGATAGAACCCTATACCAAGGCTCATTACTAAGAGTCTGGAATCTTACAAACATATTAAAGCCAAAAGACAATGTGTCAGATTGTCTGGAGCTGATCCCCAGCAAGGCACAGAGAAGAACGGAGAGGACAGGCGACCAGGACCTTCACGATGACTTCCTGTCGGTCACCAACCTGTTTTCCAACCCTCCTTTCTTCACACTCTGTCTGTAACTCATCCTAACAGAAGGCTGACCAACTGATATCTTTTATGACATATTCAAGAGGTAGAAAATTGATGCTTTGTGGCCATCTGAGAAGGAGCAGTGAAAGCCAGGATTCAAAAGCTCTCTTTGCTTTCGCAATTTATAGACTACCCACTGCTAAATGTCATCCCCAAGTTTAGACATTAAATAAAACTGATTGATGAATCTACGAGACTTTGGAGAAGAAAATCTTCCAAAGCAATTTTTTCAAGGATGGAGGTTGGTGGGGGAGACAGTGCTAGATAAATCAGTACATAAATCATCTTGTTAAAGATAAGAATTTCACGTAGGACTCTCCATGCTTAGGAAACAGACATAAACAAAAGATAACACCATCTGACTGGATAGAAAATTTCTCTACTATGTGCCTGCAAGGTTATTCTTCAAGAACTAACTTCCTGAGACTACATAAGCATTAAAAATAATTACTTATATATGTGTGTATATATATATGTGATGTGTGTATATATGTATGTATATGTATATGCATACGTATGTGTATATGAACACACAGAGAGAGAGAAAGAGAGGAAAATGAATCTCAAGACCCCAAAATCGTTAAGCCAAGGGAGAAGTCAAGCTGGGAACTACATCAGGTAAACCTGCCTCCTATTTTATTACTAAATAAGACAGCTAAAAAGATTTTAAAAAGCTACATACCTCCCTCACAATTTGGAATTTCCTGGTGGGCCTCAAGATCTTTACCCGAAAACAGTTCTGAACTGAAAGCTGATCTTCACAGGTGCAGGAATGAAAGTCATCCCTCTGCTCACCTGAGACGAAGGCATATCTGATTGCTTCCTCCACCACACTGTTTATGTAAGAATGCAGATTCACTGAACCAGACTGAATTGTGTAAATTTACACAAAGAACAGAAAACTTTAAAGACTGATCAAGGACTCAAAAGAATGCAACCTTTTGTCTCTTATCTACCTATGACCTGGAAGCCCCTCGCTTAGAGTTCTCCCACCTTACCAGACCAAACCAATGTACATCTTACACATATTGATTGCTGTCTCATTTCTCCCTAAAATGTATAAAAGCAACCTGTGCCCCGACCACCTTGGGCACAGGTCATCAGGACCTCCTGAGGCTGTGTCATGGGCACACTGTTAATCTTGGCAAAATAAACTTTCTAAATTGATTGAGACCTGAGATATTTTGGGTTACACACACACACACACACACACACACACACACACACACACACACACACGTTAAGTGAAAAAAATCCATCTATCATATATATACTGATTCCAAAAGAAGGTACATACGTGCTCAGTGAAAAGACCAGAAAGAATCTGGAGGAATAAATAATTTTTTAAGGTGTGTTTTAATGAAGTTGCCTTTTTAATGAAGTTAATAGTTATGTATTTTTTTTTTAAATGAAGTCGTTTAAGTTGATGATGAGTATCTGTATGTTCTCAGATATCTCCAGTGCTTGGAACTGTCTGTTCATCAAAACCACTCACTGACCTTCTTACCTTTATTAAGCTCAATCCTGCGTAATCTGAGGGCCAACTACATTCCAGGTACCATGCAGGCTCTGCAAAGGATTCAGTTATATTTCAGATACAGCCCTAGTGGCCTTGAACTCTTTCTGGAAGGTGAGAAATGAGGGAAAGCATGAAGGAAGATGAATTTTACCTTCTAAGAATGCATAATCTAATTAGGAGCAGGGAGGAGTAAGTGAAGGGTAAATACAGACACATATAACCTAAGACACACAATCAATCAATGATAAAAAGATATAAAATGATAGCTTTAAATGAGGAAGAGATCGCATTGAGAATTTCAGGAAAGGTGTCATGAGAGAGGTGGCATCGGAAATGGAAACCAAAGGATGGAAATTAGGTAGACTGGCATTTTCAGAGGGTAGCAACAGCTTAAGCAAAGACAAAAAAACAGAAAACTTTAACAAGAATTCTGGGAACAATGTAGAGTATCAAGATAAGCTGGAGTGCAGGGTATGTATAGGCAAGTCATGGGTTTAGAAGAAAAGCAGATGGCAAGACCTGCAGGACCAGATGCCAGGCTGCCTTGGTTTGAGAGGCAACGAAGGGTTAGAAGAATAGCCTGGCTTGGCAGTGACACGTCGGAGCTGTGCTTTAGAAATAAATGGATCCAGCAGCAGCAGGTGACCTGGTCTGGAGCTGGAGAAGGGACCAGCTGGTGGCGTCTGCACTCACTCAGGGCAGAAGTAGGGAATGTATAACCACAGCTGGCAGCACAGTGGGTAGAGCGTAGACAGCTCCACAGATATTTGTTAAAGTGAGTTAGGTTTCTTATGGGCAGGAATTAGATCTATTTCTTTTTTAAAAAAAAAGACAGAGTGTCACTCTGTCACCCGGGCTGGAGTACAGTGGCGCAATCTCAGCTCACTGCAACCTCCACCTCCCAGGTTCAAGCAATTCTCATGCCTCAGCCTCCCCAGTAGCTGGGATTACAGGCATGTGCCACTACGCCCAGCTAATTTTTGTATTTTTATAGAGACAGGGTTTTGCCATGTTAGCCAGGCTGGTCTCGAACTCCTGATCTCAAGTGATCCAGCCACCCTGGCCTCCCAAAGTGCTGGGATTACAGGTGTAAGTCACTGTGCCCGGCCCATCTAATAATTTATTTCTGTACCCTCTACAGGCTCTGAACACACATAAGGCACTAACTAATGATGCCAGCTCCTCTTGCCCCCTTCTTCTTCCACAAGTGATCCAATCCAAAAAGCACACAGATGAAGCACCAAGATCAAGACAAACCCTCCCTTTTCCTATTTCCAATGAAGAATCCTCTTTCTCCCAAAGCAAACATGAGGAAAGCACAGAAGCTGAACAAACACTCCAGGAAAGGGCTATGGGTCCAAGAAAGAATACCTTATCAGCTTGATATGAAAAAGTAAGATGCTTTCCACCTCTCTGCTCCTATGCAGGAAAAGTCAGCGTAGAAGACTGCTAAAAATCAGCCAGGCACAGTGGCTTACGCCTGTAATCCCAGCACTTTGGGAGGCCGAGGCAGGTGGATCACACGGTCAAGAGATGGAGACCATCCTGGCCAACACGGTGAAAACCTGTCTCTACTAAAAATACAAGAATTAGCCGGGTGTGGTGGCACATGCCTGTAGTCCCAGCTACTCAGGAGGCTGAGGCAGGAGAACTGCTTGAACCTCGGAGGCAGAGATTGCAATAAGCCGAGATCGCACCACTGAACTCCAGCCTGGCGACAGAGTGAGACTCTGTCTCAAAAAAAAGGAGTCCTAAAAATTAACAGAAATGTATACCCACCTAACTAGCACAAAGCAACACCTGCAGAAAAGTGCAATAGAATTAGAGGTTCTCTGAGAACGTGCAAGGATGTCCTCATTCTTCAGGCCACCACACTGAAGTACTTAGGCAGCAAAGGGACGTCATGTTGCCAAAATACTCTAAAATAGGTCAGGGAAAAAACAGTGTGTGTATAAGTGTGCATATATAAATGTGTAGGAGGATAAATGTGTTAGGCGTAAAAGTGTGTGGATACATATTTAGATAAATATAGAGAGAATTATAAAGCAAATGGGATGAAATGCAAACAACTGGTGAATTTTGGTAACGTGTATGTCTTAATCAGCTTGTGCAGCTGCAACAAAATACCTGAGACTAGGTAATTTATAAAGAAGAGAAATTTATTTTCTCACAGTTCCGGAGGCTGGGAAGTCCAAGATCAAGGCACCGGCAGATTCAGTTGTCTGGGGAGAACTGCTTTCTGCCTCCAAGATGGTACCTTTTGATGTGGCATCCTCCAGAGAGGAGCAGCGCTGTGTTCTCACCTGGCAGAAGGTGGAATGGCAAGAGAGCCAAATGCCGCGTAAAGTCTCCTTTATAAGGGCCTTAATGCCATTCACGACAGAGGAGCCTCCACGGCAGAGGAGCCTCCACAGCCTAATCGCCTCTTAAAGGCCCCACCTCCCAACACCATCATACTAGAAACACCTGAATTTTGGAGGGGCCACATTCGAACCACAGCAATACATTCATGCACTGCACGATGACATTTCAGTCAGTGACAGTGGTCTGAACCATATACGACAGTGCTCTTATTACAATGGAGGCCAGGCGCAGTGGCTCACGCCTGTAATCCCGGCACTTTGGGAGGCCAAGGCGGGGCGGGGGGATCACCTGAGGTCAGGAGTTCAAGACTAGCTTGGCCATAGTGAAACCCCGTCTCTACTAAAAATACAAAATTTAGCCAGGTGCAGGGGCAGGCGCCTATAATCCCAGCTACTCAGGAGGCTGAGGTAGGAGAATCACTTGAACCCAGGGGTTGGAGGTTGCAGTGAGCCGAGATCGCTCCACTGCACTCCAGCCTGAGTGACAGAGTGAGGGTCTCAAAAAAAAAAAAGATTACAATGGAGCTCTCACTGCCCCTGAAGAGTTTCCCAAAAGACAAGGACAAGACGTGGAGGTGGACAACAGTGATACTGCTGGCCTGCTCCTGTGTAGGCCTAGGCCAATGAGTATGTCCGTATCTTGGTTTTTAACTAAAAGTTTAAAAAGTTAAAAAAATAAAATAAAATGTTTAAAAGTAGAAAAAAGTGTACAGAAAAAGGATGTAAAGAAGGAGAATACTGGCCAAGCACGGTGGCTCACGCCTGTAATCCCAACACATTGGGAGGCTGAGGCAGGTGGATTACTTGAGATCAGGTGGTCGAGACCAACCTGACCAACATGGTGAAACCCCATCTCTACCAAAAATACAAAAATTAGCTGAGTGTGATGGCATGCACCAGTAGTCCCAGTTACTTGGGACTGAATCCAGGAGACGAAGTTTGCAGTGAGCCAAGATTGCATCACTGCACTCCAGCCTGGGCAACTCTGTCTCAAAAAAAAAAAAAAAAAAAAAAAATGGAAACTATCTTTTGTACAGCTGTGCATTGAGCTTATGTTTTAAACAGGTTACAACAGAGTCAAGTTTTTAAAAAATTAAAGTCTGTGAAGTTAAAAAGCTACAGTAAGCTACTGTTATTATTAAAGAAAAAAAAATTTTTATACATTTAGTGTAGCCTAAGTGTCCAATATTTATAGTCTATTTTAGTGTCCAGAATGTCCTAGGCCTTTACATTCACTCACCACTCACTCACTGACCCACTCACCGCAACTTCCAGTCCTGCAAGCTCCACTCATGGCAAGCACCCTATACGGGTGTAGCACTTTTTCTCTTTCATTCTGTATTTTTGCTGTATCTTTCCTTTGTTTAGATGCACAATTTTTCCATGGACTGGGGTGGGGGGTCGGGGAGGATGGTTTCAGAATGAAGCTGCTCCACCTCAGATCATCAAGCATTAGTTAGATTCTCATAAGGAGCACGCAACCTACATCCCTCGCATGAGCAGTTCACAATAAGAGTTCGCACTCCTATGAGAATCTAATACCACCACTGATCTGACAAAAGGTAGAGTTCAGGCCGTAATGCTCACCCACCTGCCACTCACCTCCAGCTGTGCGGCCCTGTTCCTAACAGGCCATTGACCGGTATCGGTCAGGGGTTGGGGATCCCCTAGGCTATCATCCAGCGTAGGTGTGTTGTAGGGTATACCATCTAGGTTTAGGAAAATACACCCTATGTTGTCTGTACCATGATGCAATTGCCTAACAACACATTTCTCAGAACATATCCCAAGCGTTAAGCAACGCATAACTGTGTATGAAAGTTTTTTACATTATTCTTGCTACTTTTCTGTAAGTCTGAAATTGAAATAATATCAAAACAAATAGTTATAAGAGTAAGGAAGCGTTATACTGATATGATCTTTAAAAATATGCAAAATAAAAAAATGCAAAATGAGATGTATGGAATATCACCATTCATTTCAGAAGTGGAGAGGAAAAGGTACTGATATGTATTTATTTGGATGTTATATCCGTAATGGCAGATAAGAAACTGGTACCATTACTACCTCTTTGTAGAAGGGAACAGGGTAGTTGGAGATGGAGTGGAATGGAGATTTTTCACTATTTACTTTTATATATTTTGAATTTTGAACCTTGTGAACATATTGTGTATTCAAAATATAAATAAAGGAAATAAAATTACTTTGAAAATATGTTCAAGGAAAATAATAAAATAATAGCGCGAGCAGACAGTTTGGAGTGGCTTAGGCCAGAGACACATAAGAAATCAGCTAAAAGCCACCTGGCAGGGTGCTGCCCAGATGTCACCTCATGAGCCACTGTGCTTGGAGAGTTGCCTGTTTAGAAAGGGCGCATTCCAGACAAGTAAAGCTGGGGGCTTGGAAAAACATGTTCTATCAAGTTTCAGCCTAAATTGGACAGAACTTTCACATAAAATAAATTATGTGATTGACTTACAAGCCACAATTCCCCATAGCCCTGTTCCCCCAAGCTGATATTGCTGGTTCTGTGACTGAATCATGTGACACACTGCACATCTGTCCTCCATGTGACTGTCACAACCTGCTAAAGCCCTCAGGAGGATATCCCATTCCTTGGAAGGACAAACCCGAATGTAAACAGCATCCAACCCTCTTCAGTGGCAGCCTCCCTCCCTTGGAGATAACAGCCAACAAGCCATTTGGTGGTGTGTCACTGAAGGAAAGAGATTCTTGGATCTACGCAAGAGCTTTCCAAGATGATCACAGATTATTCCAGCAGCAAGCAATTCTGAATGGACAAATGAACTTTCTCACCAGCCTAGACTCACCACGTTAAACTTCATGGGACTTGAGCAAGCTCTCAGACAACCATAGAGAGGTAAGAAGGTACTACTGTCTGCAGAAGCCAGACTGAGAAGATGGTGAGCTCATCTGGCTTTCCAATTGTCAGAACACCAGGCAAGGGACCCCGCAGCACCCCCACTCTCCCTTAAGGAAACCCACAGTTGCTCTCCCAGCCAAGATCCCGGCTCCATGACCCAGTCTCTAGTGCTTTGGGGAAGGATTTGATTGGGCACACCTGTGCATGTTTGTACCACATGAACTGTAGCCTGAAATGTGATTGATATTTGTATTTGAAAAAGGGTGTGGGACTAGTGAGAAGTCAAGACATGGGATGAGAAAACAGGGTCCTGGCCAGACACGGTGGCTCACGCCTGTACTGCCAGCACTTTGGAAGGCTGAGGCAGGTGGATCACCTGAGGTCAAGAGTTCGAGACCAGCCTGGCCAACATGGTGAAACCCCATCTCTACTAAAATTATAAAAATTAGCCAGGCGTGATGGCGGGTGCCTGGAATCCCAGCTACTTGGGAGGCTGAGGCAGGAGAATTGCTTGAACCCGGGAGGCGGGGGTTGCAGTGAGCCGAGATCATGCCACTGCACTCCAGCCTGGGCTACAGAGCGAGACTCCATCAAAAGAAGAAAGAAAAGAAAAGAAAAGAGCGAAGAGAAGAGAAGGGAGGGGAGGGGAGGGGAGGGGAGGGGGAAAGGAAGAAAGGAAAGAAAAGAGGGTCCTTTTCCCCCAGAACATTAAGATGATGGGATCTATTTATTTGGCAAAGATACCTTGAGCATTGGCTCTGTCAGTCAGTGAGCAAAGCCTGGAAAGACAGAGCTGAGGAGCTCCTAGTCCAGTGGAGGGAGACAAACACCAATCACAAGGGATGGGGAAGGTCCTCACCCCATCTCCCTGGGGTGCTATGAAGGAGACACATTTACACATAAATGACATACTTTAACAAAGATACAGCCAGGCACAGTGGCTCACACCTGTAATCTCAGCACTTTGGGAGGCTGAGGTGGACAAATCACTTGAGCCCAGGAGTTTGAGACCAGCCTGGGCAACACGGTGAAATCGCATCTCTATAAAAAATACCAAAAATTAGCCAGGCATGGCAGTACACGCTGCACGGGGGCATGAGGATCACTTGAGACCAGGAGTTCAAGGTTATGGTGAGCAACGGTCACGCTGCTGCTCTCCAGCCTGGACCAGAAAGCAAGACCCTGTCTCTGAAAAAAAATTAAGACTAAAAAAAAAAACGCTGAGCACGGTGGCTCACGCCTGTAATCTCAGCACTTTGGGAGGCCGAGGAAGACGGATAACAAGGTCAGGAGTTCAAAACCAGACTAGCCAACATGGTGAAACCCCATCTCTACTAAAAATACAAAAATTAGCCAGGTGTGGTGGTGTGCCCCTGTAATCCCACCTACTCAGGAGGCTGAGGCAGGAGAATTGCTTGAACCTGGGAGGCAGAGGTTGCAGTGAGCCAAGATCGAGCTACTGCACTCCAGCCTGGGCAACAGAACAAGACTCCGTCTTAGGAAATAAAAAGAAGAAGAAAACAAAAAAAAAAACAGCTGGATGCAGTGGCTCACGCCTGTAATCCCAGCACTTTGGGAGGTCAAGGCGGCAAATCCCCTGAGGTCAGAAGTTCAAGACCAGCCTGGCCAACATGGTGAAACCCTGTCTCCACTAAAATACAAAAATTAGCTGGGCATGGTGGCGGGCACCTGTAATCCCAGCTACTCAGAGGCTGAGGCAGGAGAATCACTTGAACCCAGGAGACAGAGGTTGCAGTGAGCCAAGATCGCACCATTGCACTCCAGCCTGGGTGACAGAGCGAGACTCCATCTCAAAAAATAAAATAAAATAAATAAAAACAAAGAGGAGTGGTAGCAAAGGAGGACAAGTACACCCTTGGAAAGGCCAGCTTGCTGTCAGAAAGCTGGATTCGGGCCCAGCTCTTCACTGACAGGCAGCATATGACTGGGTCAGCTACTTCACTCCTGAAACTCAGTTTTCTCTGGAAAGAACAACAGCAACCTTCAAAAAGGTGAAGCTGCAAGGGTCTAACACAGCATCCGCCATGCAGTAGACCCTTGGCCAACGAGGCTTTTCCCCTTTGTCAGCTGACATCAGGCCAGCACACAAGTCCTCTGTTAGGGGTTTAACCGGGTCTCCCAGAAAGATATGTTGAAGTCCTTACTTT
This sequence comes from Homo sapiens, assembly GCF_000001405.40. NCBI lineage: Eukaryota > Metazoa > Chordata > Mammalia > Primates > Hominidae > Homo > Homo sapiens. The sequence continues at coordinate 31,500,520 of NC_000021.9, forward strand.
ACATCCCCAGTAGCTTGGAATATGACCTTATCTGGAAACAAGGTCACTGCAGATGTGGTCAAGTTAAGAAGAGGTCACACTGGGGCACAGCAGTCTTTTAATCCAGTATGTTTAGCATCCTCAGGAGGAGGACAAGGAGAGACAGAGACACACAGGGATGATGGAGGCACAAAATGGAGGGAGGCCTCTACAAGTCAAGGAACTCCAAAGCTTTCAGAGAAACCACCAGAAACTAGGAAGAGGCATGGAACTGACGGTCCCACGGAGCCGTCAGAATGAACCTACCTGGCCGACATCTTGATTTTGGACTTCTGGCCTCCAGAATTGTGAGAGGATTCATTTCTGCTGTTGGAAGCTACCAGTTTGTGCTATGTTATAACGGCAGTCCGAGGAAACAGCTACATCCTCCTCCCCTCTACAAAAACCAAATTCTTGACTTGCCTGAGAAAACAGGACACTTTTACAAAGGCAACTAATAAATAACATTTCAGGAAAGGCTATCTTTGCTAACACGCCCTGGCAGCAGAAAGAGAAATGTGGGTGTTTTGTTGGTTCTTTTTTTTTCCCTCTCTCCTCCTCCCTGCCCCTCTCATATTGGACTCGCCACCATTTGGGGTTAATGATTCCCCCAAGGGATAAAGATACAGCGAAAGAAGGACCTTCAGATGCAGTCCAGAAGGTCAGGACCACACATTCCATTACTGCAGAGGCTGGTTCACACCCCACGTACATTGCACCCTCCAGGAGCCCCTTACCAATGCTGCTCAGTTACAACGGTGAAGAACCGGGGTGCTGGATTTTTTTTGTTTTTAAAAACGGAATGGGCTCTCAGCAAGCCACAGGTCAATCAGGATGGAAAGAAGAGAAGGGGGAGAGAGTCAACGCAAAGCAGAAAATCACTTTTCTAGGCATCTACACAACTAGGAGGAAAAAAAGTGACCTTTGGGCCTGATTGACCAAAGTGACCCAAGCTCGACGGCTTTCTTTGGCCTTTCGTATCTACCTGTTGTTCTCTCAAGACAAAACTGGTATTTCTCACTGGAACCCACCAAATCCATGAAGTGGTTTTTGTTTGTTTGTTTGTTTGTTTGTTTGTTTTTTGAGACAGGGTCTCGCTCTGTTGCCCAGGCTGGAGTGCAGTGGCGCGATCTCGGCTCGCTGCAACCTGCACCTCCCAGGTTCAAGCGATTCTCCTGCCGCAGCCTCCAGAGTAGCTGGGATTACAGGCATCTACCACCACGCCTGGCTAATTTTTGTATTTTTAGTAGAGACGGAGTTTCACCATGTTGGCCAGGCTGGTCTCGAACTCCTGACCTCAGGTGATCTGTCCACCTCGGCCTCCCAAAGTGCTGGGATTACAGGCGTGAGCACTGCGCCCAGCCTTGTAAAGTGGTTTTTACCAACAACAAAGAAGCCACTTGCTTGGAAATGTGGGACCAACGGGCTGAATGCCCCATCCGCAGCCACCTGGGAATTTAATCAGGGTAAGACTAAGAGCAGGCACTGCCTTGTCCATCCTATTTATTCTCCCCCAGGTTTCACTTAGCTGTTTTGAGAGCTGGGGGAAAGTTCCAGTGTCAAGGAATTCAACTGGCAGAATTAATGACTCAATAGCTTCAGTTCTAATAAGGTTACCAAACCAGTCCGCCAAGTAACATATCTTAAAGAAAAAAAAAGGTAAAAGGAGAAATACCAGAGAGGACATTTTAGGGGCCCACAAACACTGTCAGGAAGGAAGCAATTTTATTATTTGTTTTTTATTTATCTTTTGAGACAGGGTCTCGCTCTGTCGCCCAGGCAGGAGTGCAGTGAGGTAATCTAGGCTCACGGCAGCCTCGAACTCCTGGGCTCACGCAATTATCCCGGCCTCAGCCTCCCAAGTGGCTGGGATTACAGGTGTAAGCCACCGCACCCAGCCTGGAAGCAATTTTAAGAGAGGGCTGACTTCCATGTCCATTACTACCACAACCACCACCATCACCTACCACTTCCTACCACCCTCCCCCAAATCTGGGTCAGCACCAAGCATGAGGAAAATGGAACTAAGGACAGGATTTCAGCTAGGAAAAAAAGGAGATCACGAAGCCTAGATAATGAGTCAGGTGAGAGGAGTTTCTGCTCCATTCAGGACGCTGCCTTAAGATGTATTATGCCTAGATCATCCGTCTTGAGTTTCCTGGTTCACTCCGGATTGCACCCTTTAAAGCATTTCGTAGTTTCCCTTTACAATCAGATCCTAATGATTCAAGGATTGCTAATCCAGGTGGCTGTACTCTCCAATTTTGGTTGCCAGCCATTTCTCTGCTTAGGAGCATCTCATCAAAGGGAGAGCAAAGGAAGTTTAAAGAAAGCCAATCAGTCAAGCAAGGCACCCTCACATTCCAAGCTCTTACTTGAGTTAGGATGATGAAATTGACTTGGCAGGGGCCAAATCAAAAATAGAGGAAAAAAAAGGATGGGCGCAGTGGCTCACGCCTGCTGTGAGAGCCACACCCTGGGCTCTGATGTATGTTGCAGTGACATGGCTAAATGTACCAAGGTCAAAATTGTCCATAATCCGCTATTGTGTCTCCCTTAGGAAAATGGTGAAGAAGGCTGGGTGCGGTGGTTCACGCCTGTAATCCCAGCACTTTGGGAGGCTGCGGCGGGTGGGTCGTTTGAGATCAGGAGTTCAAGACCAGCTTGGCCAACACAGCAAAACCCCGTCTCTACTAAAAATAAAAAAAATAGCCAGGTGTGGTGGTGCGTGCCCGTAATCCCAGCTACTCAGGAGGCTGAGGCACAAGAATCACTTGAACCCGGGAGGTGGAGGTTGCAGTGAGCCGAGATTGTGCCACTGCACTCCAGCCTGGCCAACAGAGTAAACTGAGGAAAGAAAAGAAAAAGAAGAGAAGAGAAGAGGAGAAAGAGAGAGGAAGGAAAGAAGGAAGGAAGGAAGGGAGGGAGGAAGGGAGGGAGGGAGGGAGGGAAAGAGAGAAAGAGAAAGAGAAAAAAAGAGAAAGAGAAAGGAAGGAAAGAAGGAAGGAAGGAAGGGAGGGAAGGAGGGAAAGAAGAGAGAAAGAGAAAGAGAGGAGGGGAGGGGAGGGGAGGGGAGGGACCTGAAATCAGCACTCCAAAATACACTTGCTTTTTCTCTGACAAAACCAAAACGGCAGGCTGTAGGGATCCAGCACTGTGCATCCTGCATGAAAACAGTGGCTGACAGTGTCAGGACCCACAATACCTCTTCATCATCACAGTAAAGTCCGCCCTCAGAAGACTGGAGAGGTTGAAAGACCAGGAGAAACACCACCATTTGAGACATCACTAGCCTAAAATAAATAGGTTAATTTATGTTTAAAAAAAAAAAGTGAGGACCAGACTATGACCCCTTCCACGTCCAAAATTCTAAGCACGATTTGATAGACTAACTATCCTAGGTATTCCAATGGAAGAGTTGGGATCAGCCCATCCACTTTCCCAGAGCAGATCTCTAATGCTTATATGGTATCATTCACAAAGGGATAAAAGAGTAACTGTCCCTCCTGCCAATCCCTGCCCAACCTTACAGTGAACAAGAGCCTGAATCTTCCAGATGAAGCATGAGCGCTCTCCAAGTTAAGCATGGGCGTGCAAAGGGCTGGCATGCTGTCTGTCTTGACTTGCTGAGGACTGACAGGTTCCTGCTTGCTGGCATATGTGTTACAAGGCAACCCAGGCCTACAATGAACAACAGCCTGAGAGGGGTTGCCTTTGCAGGTAAAAGGGAGATCTGATTTAATCTTCACAGAGATGCAAGGGTGCATCCAGAAGAGGGGGCATGGCCGCTGAGAAGTGAGGAATCCAACCCTTTGGGGTAATTCATTCCCCGATACTTTTCAAGGATGGGCTGCCACTATGTCAAAAAGAAGGTACAACAAGTTCGCTACCTGGCAATTTCAGAAGCCACCTTGAGGGCAATGCACCCCTCCTCCAAGTTCAAGAATGCCACTGTAAGAAGCAGAAGCAATATGGGGAGCTGGGATCTAGGTCGCTCCTCTGTTAGATCTGAAAAGACTAAAACATGAAAACTTCCAAAGCTGGTAAAGCTCCTACTTCCCAGTTAGCTCAACCCAGTGGAACCAAGGGTAGTTCTCCAGGTCAATGTCTCTGACTGCACCAGGGGCTGATGACTTCTGCAGTGGAGGGGGAAATGCAGAACTCAGTTTGGTTTTTTCTACGTTCAGATCCCAAGTCATCCCTTTCTTCTTTGGATGTTAAAGTAGTATTCATCGGCCTGCATTTTTTCAGGATCTCATGCTTGCTAATAACCACTGTTACTAAAAAAAAGAAAAAACTTCTAGAGAAACCTGACCCTTCTCCCAGAAGCTAAGAACTTGACAGCTATGGTCTCCTCCACATAATAGATACTCCTGCCCTGATACTGCAAGACAGAAATGACCACTTTTAAAGAAATTAGCAAGTACCTTCAACAAATTTGTTATTAGCCTCTGACAGTCCCGCACTGGAGACCTCAGAAACACCAAAAATAAAAAGATACAATCCCTGTCATAAAGGGACTTAGGACACAGAATGAGTGAGGACCCCATGGGCCTAAAGCAGCATCCCATGGTGTGTAGCTAAGAACAAACCAGATTCAATCACAACTCAGCCACTGATTGGCCGGGCGACCACAAGGCCAAGCAAGCTACTTAACCCTCAGTTTCCTCACCTACAAGATAGAGATCGTGAATCCACCTCACAGTGTTGACATAGGATTCAATGATATAACTCATGCAAAAAAGCTTAGCTCTCTACAGGAGATATTATCATCAGCATGAATAATTAGATTCTAAGACCAAGAAGTATAAATGTTAAAAGATATGAAAGGTCAAGGAAATTTTAAAACTAGAAGACCTGGAAACTGGATAAACAAAGAGCAAAGAGAGATCAAGAAAAAAAAAAGTAAATGTATTCTTCTTAAGCCAAGCTCACTGGTGTCATTCACAAACACAGGGAATTCTTGACCAAAAAGATGACTAAGATAACTACTTCAACCAGCACACTCTGGAGCCCATGGAATTGGAAGAGCACTCATTGAGTGTAGACATTGCAGAGAATTGTGGGGGAAAAAATCAGTGGATCAGCATTACCGTCTTAGATGTTTAAAGCCTCTGAAGTTTTCTTAGATGGAAAGATCATCAAAGGTTACTATTCCAGCTCATTTTAAAAGCTGATGCCAGGCCGGGCACGGCATCAGATTTTTTTTGTAATCCTAGCAGTTTGGGAGGCTGAAGCGGGCGGATCACCTGAGGTCGGGAGTTCGAGACGAGCATGGCCAACACAGTGAATGAAACCCCGTCTCTACTAAAATTACAAAAATTAGCCGGACGTGGTGGCGGGTGCCTGTAGTCCCAGCTACTTGGGAGGCTGAGGCAGGAAAAATGCTTGAACCCAGGAGGCGGAGGTTGCACTGAGCCAAGATCTTGGGCCACTGCACTCCAGCCTGGGCGACACGGTGAGACTCTGCCTCAAAAAAAAAAAAAAAAAAAAAGGCTGATGCGCACAACAGGAAACGACCAACTTGCTCAAGGTCCCACAGCTTGCTGGAGACAAAGCTCTGATTACAACCCAGGCACTGATGGCTGCCCTCATAGTTTTCTGCCCAGCACGACTCCTCTTCACAGCAGGAAATCAGCCACCTACACAGGCTCCCTCCCCATTTCCATCTCTCTTCCCATCCCTAATAGCACTCTCTCTAAACTCACGCACTCTCACACACGTACACACACACACACACACACATATGCATCTGCATCTTTTTCCTCCCTTCCATATCTTTTTTTAAGGTATAAGAAATACATATACCATAACATCTATCATCTTAACCCTTCTTAAGTGTACAGTTCAGTGTTATTAAGTACATTCACATTATTGTGCAACTATCACCAACATCCATCTTCCGAACTCTTTCCATCTTGCTAAACTGAAAGTCTATACCCGTCCAACACAAACTCCCTTGAATTTCACTACTCTAGGTCCCTCATACAAGTGGAATCACATAGTATTTCTCTTTCTGTGTCTGGCTAATTTTACTTAACGTAATGTCTTCAAGATTCATCCATGTTGTAGCATGTGTCAGAATTTCCTTCCTTTTTGGCCAGGCACAGTGGCTCATGCCTGTAATCCCAGCACTTTGGGAGGCTGAGGCAGTTGAATCACTCAAGGTCAGGAGTTCAAGACCAGCCTGGGCAACATGGTGAAACCCCATCTCTATTAAAAATACAGAACTTAGCCAGGCATGGTGGCGCAAGCCTGTAATCCTAGCTACCTGGGTGGTTGAGGCAGGAGAATCACTTTAACCGGGAGGCAGAGGTTGCAGTGAGCCGAGATCGTGCCACTATACTCCAGCCTGGGCGACAGAGGGAGACCCTGTCTCAAACAAACAAACAAAAAACTCCCTTCTTAAGGCTAAATCATATTCCACTGTACGTATACACATTTTGTTGACCCACTCAATCAACAGACACTTGGGTTGCTTCCTCTTTTGGCTATTGTGAATAATGCTGTTATGTGCGTGGGTATGCAAATATCTCTCTAAGTGTCTGCTTTCAATTCTTTTGGGTAGAGACCCAGAAGTGAAATTGCTAGATCATATGGTAATTCTATTTTTAATTTTTTGAGGTGCATGCACCTTTTTAATTTTTTTTTTTTTTTTTTTTTTTTTTTTTTTTTTTTTTTTTTTTGAGACAGAGTCTTTCTCTGTCGCCCAGGATGGAGTGCAGTGCAAGGATCTCAGCTCATGAAACCTCTGCCTCCTGGGTTCAAGCAATTCTCTTGCCTCAGCCTCCTGAGTAGCTGGGATTACAGGCACCTGCCACCATGCCCCGCTAATTTTTTTGTATTCTTAGTAGAGATGGGGTTTCACCATGTTGGCCAGGCTGGTCTTGAACTCCTGACCTCAAGTGATCTGCCCACCTCAGCCTCTCAAAGTGCTGGGATTACAGGTGTGAGCCTGTAAAAGGGACCATGTCTGGTCCCTTTTAAAATTATATCACACTTCTCCATAACTACAACTAATAGCAAAATATGTTTTCTTTTTTATTCAACTAATGTTTATTCAGCACCAATTATATGGTAGGCCTTGGGCTATGTACCTGGGATACGATCAATCATGACCTAAAGTCATGGTCCCCGTCCTCTTGGGACTCACAGTCTAGCAGGAGGGACAGACAGGAATCAGATCACAGGCAGCTATCTGGAGCAGACAGACAACAGTGAAACTGACGCAGGCAGCAGTAACTCTGCCATCAATCATATTATGGGAAGGTGTTTTAGGGTGGTAGCCCAGGGGTGGGTGTGTGCTGTGGGTTGAATTGAGTGCCTTAAAAGATATGCTGAAGTCCTACCTGTCCTACCTCCCAGAACCTGTGACTGTGACCCAACTGGAAATAGGGTCTTCGTAGACATAATCAAGTTAAGATGAAGTCATACTGGCTTAAGGTGGGCCCTATTCTAATGACCAATGTCCTAATAAAAAGAGGGAGACTTGGACACAGACAGACATGGGGAAGGAGGACATGGAAGACACAGACAGGGACAGGAAGGACGCAGCTGCACACTGAGGAAGCCACCAGAAGCTGGAAGAGGGAAGGACAGGTTCTTCCTTAGAGCCTTCAGAGTGAACGTGGCCCTGCTCACACCTCAGTCGTGGACTTCGAGCCTCCTGAACTGTGGGAGACTACATTTGCATTGCTTGACGCTTCCCCTCCATGGTACTCTGTTAGCACAGCCCTAGGAAACCCTACAGGGTGGAACGTAGTCCTAGGTTGGATTCTTTTCTACCTTTCCTTGGAGTGGGGAGGAGAGAGATAGAGAAATAAAGAACTAGGTTTTCATATTGAAATTTCTTTTTTTTTTTTTTTTTTGAGACAGAATTTGGCTCTTGTTGCCCAGGATGGAGTGCAATGGCACAATCTCGGCTCACTGCAACCTCCGCCTCCCGGGTTCAAGCGATTCTCCTGCCTCAGCCTCCTAAGTAGCTGGGATTACAGGCATAAGCCACCACCACACCCAGCTAATTTTGTATTTTCAGTAGAGATGGGGTTTCTCCATGTTGCCAGGCTGGTCTCAAACTCCTGACCTCAGGTGATCTGCCCGCCTCTGCTTCCCAAAGTGCTAGGATTACAGGCATAAACCACCGCGCCCAGACTCATCTTGAAATTTCTAACCAACTTTCGATCCTGGCCTGTGGACCTGGGTCTCAGCTTCTGACTCTGTAGGGTGAGTGTGCCCTTAGACTATATCCGAGATCCTAGCGTTGAAGTGGTCCTAAGGTTCCCACGGAGTCTTTTTCAAGCTAGCCCACAGGGCAGTTCCTGATCACCCCCATGGGAGACCTATGCGCACACTATTGGTATTAAGATATGACTTGCTGCAGGACATTTAGCAAACTGGGCTGTGCTACGAACTCACCTGCCCCTCCCCCATGCCTTGTCATGAACAAAAATGCCTCCACCCCCATGTCTAGAGAAGCCAGCAAGAGGTGAGACCCCCTGGAGGGAATGAGTCTTAAAGCTGGGTCATAGAGCAGGCCACTGATTTTCCATGAGATCTATGTTTGAATACATTTGGAGTATCTGCGTGCCTCCGTGGTGGAGATTATGGGGTATGGAGGGCACCCTGCACAACGGTTCTTCAGGACTACCCGACAAACCCTACCTGCTGAGACTGGGAGGTCACCCCAGGGAGACTCACCCATTTAGGGAACCACTACTACAGCTGGGAGTGTCTCACCCTGTTGGATGGATCAGGCATGGCATGGGGAAGCCTCCTGAATATGACATGGAAAAAGGAAGCAGACATCCCCCGGCAGAGGTGCAAACCCAGCTCTCCTGGAGTCCTGCAAAGCCCCCAGGACCCACTCAAGGGCCATGTGAGCACCAAGTCACCTGCCTGGCACAGGCGCCACTTCCCACCCGCTCCTCGGGCACCCAACTGTTCCAGCACTCATCACTGCACCTCCTCCGCCACTGTCAACACAAACACCCACACCCAGGCAGGAAGTAAAAATAACCAGCCGTTTCATAGCATGTCTCATGCCTCATCTCCTTCCCGAGGCACGCCTCTCTCAGTCCCCTGCAGGCATCAAGGACCCACAGAGAGGAGAGAGAGGCAGGGAGTTAAGACAGTTCCAATGCCCTGTGCTTTGTCTACACTGTCAGACAGAGATCATCTCTAAAAGGGATAAAAGTCAGAGGCCCTTCCCTTGCAACAAAGACGGGGCTGCATGTTTCTCTCTCAGGGGCGCCCCCTACCTGGAAGGACAGTTCTTTCTACCAGTAAATTCCACGTGCCTGGAGAGCCGCAGAACTTCAGGGATGAGTCAGCCAATTACCGCTGGGCCCCTCCCCACCACGAGAGTGTGTTTATCTATCTCAGGCAGAGGTACTAGTGCCCAGGCAGAAAAGACATGAAAATCACAACCCCAGACCAGAACTAGCATCTTTTATGAGGCACAGCCATCAAAGGACCTCCTGACAGCAAAGCCTGGTGCTATGGTTCTGAAGTGCATCCCCCAAAAAGATATGCTGAAGTCCTAACCCGGGGTACCCGTAAATGTAACTGCATCAGTTTGCTAGGCTTGCCATAACAAAATACCAGAGTCTAGGTGGTTTGAACAACAGCAACTTATTATCTTACAGTTCTGGAGACTGGAGTCCGCGACCAAAGGGCCAGCAGGGTGGTTTCTCCTGAGGCCTCTCCTCGGCTGGCAGATGGCTGCCTTCTTTCTCGCTGTGTCCTCACACAGCCTCTCCTCTGTGCGTGCACATCCCTGGTGCCTCTATGACCAAATTTCCTCTACTCATAAGGACAACGGTCAGATGGATTAGAGCCCACCCTAAGGACCTCATTTGCACTTCATCATCTCTTTAGAAGTCCTGTCTCCAAATACAATCACATTCTGGCGTAATGAGGGTTCGGGATTCAACATATGAAGTTTCAACATAGGAAGTTTTGGGGGAACACATTTCAGCCCATAACAGACCTCATTTGAAAACTGTTGGGCTCACACCTGTAATCCCAGCACTTTGGGAGGCCAAGGCGGATGGATTGCCTGAGGTCAGGAGTTTGAGACCAGTCTGGCCAACAAGATGAAACCTCGTCTCTACTAAAAATACAAAAAATTAGCCGGGCGTGGTGACAAGCACCTGTAATCCCAGCTACTCAGGAGGCTGAGACGGGAGAATTGCTTGAACCCAGGAGGCGGAGGTTGCAGTGAGTTGAGATCATGCCACTACACTCCAGCCTGGGCTACAAGAGTGAAACTCCATCTCAAAAAAAAAAAAACAAAAAAAACTGTTTACTTTTTATGATCATGTCTTGCAGATGTAATTCATTAAGATGAGGACATATTGGAGTAGGGTGGTCCCTGAGTTCCTATGACTGGTGTCTTTGCAAGAAGAAAAAAGACACAAAGATACACACAGTGAAGGTAACCATTTGAAAGCAGAGACACATAGGACAACGCCATGTGGCAACAGAAGAGAGACAAGTCAAAGAATGCCATAGGTTGCTGGGAAGCACCATAAGTTAGGAAAAGGCAAAGAAGGATTCTACACAGCATCACAGGAGGAACCAATGCCGCGGGCACCCTGAGTCTGGGCTTGTGCCCTGCAGAACAACGAGAGAATAAACTTGTGTTGTTCTAAGTCACCCTGTTGGTGGCACTTTGTTAGGGCAACCCTAGGACACTCAGCCCTAGGAAACCAGGGTGAGCAGTTGGCTGGGCACTAAAGGTTCAGACCTCTTGAGGCCGCTTAGCCATACATAGAAAGCCTCCGTCAACACTATTTCCTTCTAATAAAATTCAATAATTGACTTGCAATACAGCCTAGCAGAGGAATTCTTAGTGCGGACTCTGTGGCCAGACTGCCTGGGTTCAGAACCTTGGTCTGTCCCTTACCAGACATCTGACCTTGGCCAAGACACACCCCCAGGGCCTCAGTTTTCCTCATCTGTAAAAAGGGCATGATAATAATAGTATCTAGCTCATCCTGCTAGGAAAATCACATGAGGCAATACTTACGCAGCAATCAATGCCTGGCACCGAGTCCAAGCTATGCATGGGTTTGATAAGTCCTGACAAAGAGTTATGTCACCGACGTATGCTTCTCTCAGTTGTATGTGAAATCCCGAAGAATCCTGGGTCGGGCCTCCCCGATCCTGGACTGATCATGTGTAACCTTAAAATTCACCAAAGTTCCAGGAAGGCACTTTGCAGAAAGGGAAAATGTAATAATACAAAGGAAACATTCCTAAATGATTAAAATGTCCCAAACTTACACCTCGTTGCTAGGGCAAGGGAAAAATATTATAACAACAAAATTTAATTTGAGAATCTATTTGAAAAATCAGCTGGAAGTGACAGGCAGAAATAGACAAGAGAGACACCATCTCAGCCATGGGCACGAAGGAGAGTGGCAGGTTAGGGTCAAGTGGCAAACCACAGCCCGTGGCAAACTCCTGGGTATGTCACACACAAAAACGTTGACAAGACATTTACCTAAGCTGCCTGGGATGCACTGAATTTCCTTATCCTACTGCAATTTATTTTATTTGTTTATTTTATTTTTTGAGATAGGGTCTCACTCTGTTGCCCAGGCTGGAGTACAGTGGTACAATCTTGGCTCACTGCAGCCTTGACCTCCTAGGTTGAAGCGATCCTCCCACCTCAGCCTCCCAAGTAGCTGGGACTACAGGCACATATCACCATGCCCAGCTAATTTTTTTTCACTTTTTGTAGAGGTGGGGCCTCCCCTGTGTTGCCCAGGCTGGTCTCAAACTCCTGGGCTCAAGTCATCCACCCGCCTCGGCCTCCCAAAGTGCTGGAATTACAGGTATGAGCCATCTCATCTGGCCACAATTTTATTTTTACTGTTGTCACAACAGCACTATATAAATCAATGAATGGCCTGTGACCCAGTTTGAAAACTACGGACACAGCCCTCTGCAAAATCCTTCCTACTTCATTTTTTCAGAATATTTAACTCCAGGGACTAAATTCTGAGGAAAACTCCCGGGACCTTCTTTTCTTTTCCAGAGTCAAAGACAGTCCTGTCTTTTTCTTTTTTCTTTTCTTTTTTTTTTTTTTTTTTGAGACAGGGTCTCACTCTGTCACCCAGACTAAAGTGCAGTGGCGTGATCTTGGCTCACCGCAACCTCCACCTCCCAGGCTCAAGCAATCCTCCCGCCTCAGACTCCCAAGTAGCTGGGACAACCGTTGCAAGCCACCATGCCTAGTTAGGTGTTTTTTTGTTTGTTTGTTTGTTTGTTTTGTATTTTTGGTAGAGACGGGATTTCACCATGTTGCCCAGACTGGTCTCAGACTCCTGAGCTCAAGTGATCCTCCTACCTCAGCCTCCCAAAGTGCTGTGATTACAGGCACGACACACGGCACCCAGCCAAAGACAGTCTTTTCTAACCATAGGGAAAACTATAATGTTCTAAAATAAACAATATGAGACTGGACACTAAAGACTATGAGGAAACAGGCTTCCAGAGGGCTAACTGCTCTATGCTAAAAATTCAGTGAAGTTTAACATTTACTCTTTTTTAACATAATTCTTAACTTCTAAAGCAATGCTATTTATTTTGTTTAATAAACATTTTCACACATGCCATATATATATGTTCCATACATATACACGTACCATGTTCCAGACACTATTTTAAACCCTTCACAAATATTAACTCATTTAATCCTCACAATGACCCTATGAAATAGGTAAACTATATGACACCATTTTACAGGTGGGGAAACTGAGGCCCAGAGAAGCTACCTGCCCAAAGTTAAGAGCTGGGATTCCAGTCCACTAGTCTGTGCTGCTCTAATTGATTTCTTCATCAATTTTCTCACTATCTCAGGTGCCCCTGTTCGCTATTAAGCGAACTTCCTCTTGAGTTTCAATGCTACCATGTTGTGAAATGCAAACTCTTAAACAAACAGCCCTGCCATTCAGGAGGGTGACCCACAAGCTCTCACCCTTTCAGCAGTCATCATCCCTTCCATGTTCTTTAGCAGTAGAATCAGACTGTCAAAATTAGCTCCTTAGAAACCAGAATATACCTATATTGAAAGAGCTAACTTCTGGATCTGTTTTAATGGAAACTCTTGTACAGATACCATGCCCTTCAGTTGTTTTCTTTAGGGTCAATCTAGACCTACTTGTAAAAATAAGGTTCTGGAGCCAGATGCAGTGACTCATGCCTGTAATTCCAGCACTTTGGGAAGCCGAGGCGGGTGGATCACCTGAGGTCAGGAGTTCAAGACCAGCCTGGCCAACATAGCGAAACCCCATCTCTACTAAAAATACAAAATTAGCCGGGCATGGTGGCATATGCCTGTAATCCCAGCTACTCCGGAGGCTCAGGCAGGAGAATCACTTGAACCTGGGAGGCAGAGGATGTAGTGAGCCGAGATGGTGCCATCGCACTCCAGCCTGAGCAACAAGAGCGAAACTCCATCTCAAAAAAATAATAATAATAAGGTTCTGGCACATCCCCCAAAGGCCTGCGACAGAGGGACATTTCTGGAAGGAAAATTCCCTTGTATTTCAAAAGCGGCTCTGACCCCATCCTCCTGCCTCATCCCACCCTCAATTGTATTTCATGATCTAAGAGGTGAAATTAAGAACAGACTCCCTGACTTGTAGAATCAAAGATGTTTGCCCCCACACATAATGCAAACCCAAGATTAAAGAAAGTAAAAACCGTTTAAGACCAAAAAGGCAATTATCCAACCAATCTCGTTTAATGAGAGAATTTACAAATTCTAGGTTCTTCCTTCTAGGGTTCTAAAGATTAGCCACCAATTGCTCAGGGCCAGCAAAGCAGCTGCCACAAATGTTAAGTTCCTAGCTGGAAAGTTAAAAAAATCATATTGATTTTTGAACTTTGGGAGGCCAAAATGGGCAGATCACCTGGGGTCAGGAGTTTGAGACCAGCCTGACCAAGATGGTAAAACCCCATCTCTACTAAAAATACAAAAAAAAAAAAAAAATAGCCAGGTGTGGTGGCAGGCACCACACCTGTAAACCCAGCTACTCAGCAGGCTGAGGCACGAGAATCGCTTAAACCTGGGAGGTGGAGATTGCAGTGAGCCAAGATTGCACCGCTGTTCTCCAGCCTGGGTGACAAAGTGAGACGCTTATCTCAAAAAAAAAATATTGATCTGAGTTTTGATACAACCACAGTCCTCCAAACCTCCAGCGTTCTGAACTGCAGAGTGCACGCCTGGAGGTCTGGAGTGTGGTCCCTGCTGATGCAGCTGCGCTGCCCTCTCTCTGCAAGAAAAAGGCCTCCTGCAGCCCGCAGCTGGGTGGAACCACGGGACAAAGCAGACTTTGTTCCAGCGGAAAGCCGATGTTAGGAGTTGGGAGAGATGGAAAGCAAGATAGAGTCACTTTATTTCTTGCTTCCAACTCTCATTATGTCTATTACACAGGCACACGACAGCTGCCAGACCCAGAAGTAGGCAGACGGGCCTTGCCTGGTTCGGTGACTCTTTTGCCAAAGGACATTGTGGATTTGACTACACTTTTGCAGAAACCCAAGTTTGGCCCTGGACCAAAAACCAGTCCTACCCTTTGTTATCCACCTTTTACCTTTCTTCGCTATCGACCCACAGGCCCCAACTCCAAAATCATGACCCACCCTCCCCACGCAGCCCTCATGTGCCTGGAGGGCCCCTTCTTCTTTTGTCTCTCTAGGAAAATCTCACCATCTTCTAGGTTGAGTTAGATACTCTATCCTCCATCCTATTGCACAGAAATCCTCAAAGTGTGGTCCCTGGACCAGTGGCATCAATATCAAAATCTGTGCACTGTGCCCCAGATCTACTGAAACAGAAGCTTGGGGTGAACCAGCAACCTGTGCTTTCACAAGCCCTCCGGGGGTGTTGATGCCCACTCAAGCTTTGCCCACTTCAACAGCCATAATCACTACTTTACCTCCTCCCTACTTAGCTTAGGACTCTGTCATTGTAAGTCCCTCAGAGTCTGGCACAAGCTAGGCACCCTATAAACACCCAATTGTTGAATTAAGCTAAATAACCTCTTCTAAAACTTGAAAGGGCAGTGTGAAATCGACAACTTTACAGGCTGCTGAACCTCCACCACCATCTTCAGACATGCAGCGCCAGCAACACCCAGGAATCCTGCAGAATAAAATCCTGCAGAATAAAGCCAGACTCGGTCAGAATTTCCATGGAGCAAGTGATTTGGGAAAAATTAATATGTGGCTCCTGTTCATGACCATTGTCTGCAGTAAGATTCTAAAACACACCAGGGACTGGACACATGGCTCACACCTGTAATCCCAGAACTTTGAGAGGCCAAGGCAGGCGGATCACCTGAGGTCAGGAGTTCGAGACCAGCCTGGGCAACATGGCAAAACCCCATCTGTACTAAAAATAGAAAAATTAGCTGGGTGTGGTGGTGTGCACCTGTAATCCCAGCTACTCAGGAGGCTGAGGTAGGAGAATCACTTGAACCCAGGAGGCGGAGGTTGCAGTGAGCCAAGAAGGCGTCACCACACTCCGGCATGGGAGATACAGCGAGACTCCATCTCAAAAAAAAAAAAAAAAAATAGGGGCTGGGCACAGTGGCTCACACCTGTAATCCCAGCACTCTGAGAGGCCAAGGCAGGCAGATCACCTGAGGCCAGGAGTTAAAGACCAGCCTGGCCAACATGGTGAAACCCCATCTCTACTAAAAATACAAAAATTAGCCGGGAGTGGTGGCATGTGCCTGTAATCCCAGCTACTAGTGAGGCTGAGGCAGGAGAATTGTTTGAACCCAGGAGGTGGAGGTTGCACTGAGCTGAGATCTCGCCACTGCACTCCAGTCTGGGTGACAAAGAGAGACTCTGTCTCAAAACAATAAATAAAATTAAAAAATAAAACACACTAGGGCAATGTTGGGAATGACACTGGTTTATGTCTCAAAAGGAGTCTTCACTGGCTCCATCAGGACAGCAGAGTTGAACCACTCCCTAAGGAAGAGAATTCTCTAAGAGAAATTAACCCACAGTATTTGGTATAACGTCCTCTTGCCTCATTAGAGCCACTGATTCCAAGCTTCCACCCTGCAAAACTCAACACACTATTGGTGCTCACACAACTGGACTTACCCTAAAAAAAAAAAAAAGAAGGAGAAGAAAAGATAGATAAAAATCAGAATAAAATTGAATAACAGGGCAGCACAGCACAAAATCCTTAGAAATATAATGAATTCAGGCTGGGCTCGGTGGCTCACACCTGTAATCCCAACACTTTGGGAGGCCGAGGCAGATCACGAGGTCAGGAGTTGAAGACCAGCCTGACCAATATGGTGAAACCCCATCTCTACTAAAAATACAAAAATTAGCTGGGCGTGGTGGCGGGCGCCTGTAGTCCACCTACTTGGGAGGCTGAGGCAGGAGAATCACTTGAACACAGGAGGTGGAAGTTGCAGTGAGCCAAGATCACGCCGGTGCACTCCAGCCTTGGCGACAGAGCAAGACTCTGTCTCAAAAAAAAAAAAAAAAAAGAAAAGAAAAGAAAAGAATACAATGAATTCACATGTTCTAGGCTTCTCTCTTTGCCAAGCACTATGTCAGGGTCTTCAAGGCTCACAGTGCAGCGGTTAAGGCTACAACTCTAAAGGCAGACCACACAAGTGTTCCCTGCTCCATCACACGATCTCAGGAGATCTGTGTAAAGAGCTTTAAAACAGACTGAGGGTCATGGCTCGTGCCTGTAATCCCAGCACTTTAGGAGGCCAGAACAGGAGAATCACTTGAGGCCAGGAGTTCAAGACAGCCTGAGCAACATGACGAAACCCCGTCTCTGTAAATAAATAAATTGTTAAAACTTTAAAACGGTCCTATAATATAAAAATATTAATGGATGATACTATTACTATGATTACTCATTGTGGAAGACTAAAACTGTCCCCAAAGTTATCCCCAGGCCCTAAAGAGGGAGGCAGAGGGAGAGTCCACGTAGATCTAAGAGAAGAAAACACACGCAGAAGAGGAAAAAGCTATGTGACCACAGCGGCAGAGATGGAGCAATACAGTCACAGGCCAAGGAATGCCGGTACCATGGTAGAATATGAAACACCCAAATATGCCACTTTGGCTTAAGGAAAGTTTTGAATTAAAGACACTTAAACAACAGATGCAAGAAGGGCACTCTGACCTCCTTTTTCTTCCTGCAAGCCAGAAATAAAACCATGCAAAAGATGTCCTTCTTGTACCAGGAGGAAGGAAACTTTCTTATCAACAGAGATGGCGAGTCGAGGCCAAGAGAAATCTGTACAAACAAACCTTGTTAAACTAACCCTTATCTTCCTAGTCACTCCTCCATGATCAACTTCCTTAGCCCAAACCCCTCTGCCTAGCCACGTTTCCACAGTTTAATGCACTTGGTTCAAACAAGTATATGAGCTCTCAGCCCTCACCGCCCCTTCGAGTCTTCATTTTTCTCATGAACTTGTAAAAATAACTCAATAAAATATGCATGCTTTTCTCCCGTTAATCTGTCTTTTGCTAGTCTAACATATAAGGCCTCAGCCAGAAATCCTAAGATGGGTAGAGGAAAAAGATCTCCCTCTCTCATACCAGAAGCTGGAGAGGCAAGGGTTCTCCCCTGGTGCCTTGGGTATGAGCATAGCCCTGCCAATTACAGTTGGGGCCAGTGGAACTCATTTGGGACTTCTGGTCTCAGAACTTAAAAAGAATAAATGAGTGGGGTTTTTTTGTGGGTTTTTTGGGGTTTTTTTTTGAAATGAAGTTTCACTCTTGTTGCCCAGGCTGCAGTGCAATGGCATGATCTCGACTCACCACAACCTCCACCTCCCGGGTTCAAGTGATTCTCCTGCCTCAGCCTCCCAAGTAGCTGAGATTACAGGCATGCGCCACCACGCCCAGCTAACTTTGTATTTTTAGTAGACACGGGATTTCTCCATGTTGGTCAGGCTGGTCTCAAACTCCCGACCTGAGGTGATCCACCCGCCTCAGCCTCCCAAAGTGCTGGGATTACAGGTGTTGGCCACTGCGCCCGGCCCTAAATGAGTGTTTTTTAAGCTACTGAATTTGTGGCTTAGGAAATGAAATACCATCATCAGTCACTTCATCTTTTTCAACAATAATGCAGGCGAGCCAGTATCACCCCCACTGTAAGCACAGGAATGCTTACACTGGGAAGGTGGGGTGGCAGCTCACATCATGGAGATAGGACAAAGCCAGGTGCAAGTAATAGCAATCTGATCTTCCCAGCATGCCTGGCCGGCTCCAGTGAATCCACATGTTGCTTTCTGGCCTTTAGGGATAGCCTGGAAAACAATCACCCTGGTAACATTGTTTTTACAGAAAATGTAGTCTGGATTTCAAATAAAAGACAAATGGCTCACGCCTGTAATCCCAACACTTTGGGAGGACAAGGCAAGAGGATCACTTGAGGTCAGGAGTTCGAGACCAGCCTGGCCAACATGGTGAAACCCCGCCTTGGCCGGGCGCAGTGGCTCACCTGTAATCCCAGCACTTTGGGAGGCTGAGGCGGGCAGATCACCTGAGGTCAGGAGTTCGAGACCAGCCTCAACATGGAGAAACCCCGTCTCTACTAAAAATACAAAATTAGCCAGGCGTAGTGGTACATGCCTGTAATCTCAGCTACTCAGGAGGCTGAGGCAGGAGAATTGCTTGAACCTGGGAGGCGGAGGTTGCGGTGAGCCGAGATCGCGCCACTGCACTCCAGCCTGGGCAACAAGAGTGAAACTCTGTCTCAAAAAAAAAAAAAAAAAAAAAAAGAAACCTCGCCTCTACTAAAAATACAAAATATTAGCCAGGCGTTGTGGCCCATGTTTGTCATCCCAGCTACTCAGGAGGTTGAGGCATGAGAATTGATTGAACCTGGGAAGCAGAGGTTGCAGTGAGCTGAGATCGCACTACTGCACTCCAGCCTGAGCCACAGAGCGAGATTCTGTCTCAAAAAAAAAAAAAAAAAAAAAAATTAAACAGAATTACCACATGATCCAACAAATCCACTTCAGAGTAAACACCCAAAAGAAAGCAAGAAATTGAACAGATATTTGTACACCCGTTAACAACAGCCAAAAGATAGAAGTAACCCAAGCGTGCTTTGACGCATGAACAGATAAGCAAAAGGTGGCATATCCATACAATGGAATACTATTCAGCCTTAAAAGGGAAGGAAATTCTGGCACGCACTGCAACACAGAACCCTAAAAACATCATGCTAAGAGAAATAAGCCAAAAAAGACAAATACTGTTAAGATTCCACTTACATGAGGTCCCTAGAGCAGTCGAATACATAGAGATAGAAAGTAGAATGGCGGTGCCAGGGCCTGGAGGGAGGGTGGAAAT
Organism: Homo sapiens; assembly: GCF_000001405.40. NCBI lineage: Eukaryota > Metazoa > Chordata > Mammalia > Primates > Hominidae > Homo > Homo sapiens. Next base: position 31,519,906 of record NC_000021.9, read on the forward strand.
GGGAGTTATTGTTGAATGGGTACGGAGTTTCGGAGTTTCCATTTGGGAAGATGAAAAGTTCTGGAGATGGCTGCTGGTGAGGCAACGTTACATTGTAAATGTACTTAAAGCCACTGAACTTGACACTTTAAAATGGTTAAAATGGGCCGGGCGCGGTGGCCACGCCTTGAATCCCAGCACTCTGGGAGGCTGAGGCACGCGGAGCACCTGAGGTCGGGAGTTCGAGACCAGCCTGACCAACATGGAAAAACCCTATCTCTACTAACAATACAAAAATTAGCTGGGTGTGGTGGCGCATGCCTATAATCCAAGCTACTCGGGAGGCTGGGACAGGAGAATCGCTTGAACCTGGGAGGCGGAGGTTGTGGCGAGCTGAGATCGCGCCATTGCACTCCAGCCTGGGCAACAAGAGCTAAACTCTGTCTCAAAAAAAAAAAAAAAGAAATGGTTACAATGACAAACGATGTTATACATATTTTACTGTAATAAAAAAAAGAAGTACTAGCAATAACTGTTTAAGAATAATAGGTTTTTGAGTGCGGTTTTACTTTTTCCTTTGAGTCCTAAATTTTCATTCATGAAATTTCTCTTAAAAAGAGAAAAGGCATTTGTGGTATAAACAGCAAAAGGAAAGAAATGTGCTGTCCTAAGGCAGGCCAACTCATTGAGGACCCACAGCTTCAGGGATTAATGGGATTCCTGTGGCAATGACCTTCCCCACTTCTGTAATATGAATGATCGCAAAGCGAAAATCCAATTCCCTCTCTGTGTTTATGAAAGCCATTCCTTTAGGACAGCTGAAGCAACAAAGCCAGTCAAAAGCACTTCCCAGCCGTGCGATTGGAGATTTATATTGCACATCAACATAAAGAAACATTATGTAACTTAAGCTGTGGGCCAGGAGGCGTGGGTCAGAAGCTGAATTCAAGACATGCTTCGCCCTCCAATTCCCACCACTGGACCAATTAAAAACTCCCCAGGCTTCTGCTGCCTTTTCCGTAAGGTGAAAGAACACCTGCTTCATAAGGTAACCGTAAATCCTGCAAAGAACCCATGCCTGGCAAATGTCAGGGGTTTAGACACAGCATGTGTGAAAGAACACAGCCTGCCACAGAGCAGGTGCTTAATAAATGCCCAAGGCTTGCTTCCTTTCACTCCATCCATGCAGGCACTCAAAGCTTTATGCTTGCTTGTTCCTCAACTTCTGAAGAAGGAATAGATTGCCAGATTTACTCTTAATTGCCTCAACTCCGCCACCTTCTCTAAAAAGAAACCCTCATCCTAAAACTCTTAATGAGGTCGGCTTTCTATTTTATGGCCAGATAACTGGAAATGACCGGAGAGCTGGCAAAATGACAAGCTGGAAGGCTTCATTTAAATTAGAAAAAGGTTTCTAGAGTTTCTCTTCAAGATTATATTCTAGAGATCCAGAAAACCTAAGGTTCCAGCAGTCATTAGCTGCATGACCCTGGGCAAAGTACTTATCCTTAGAGCACTGATATTCACATCACAAATGATGTAAACCAGATATACACAATTGAGTCTCTTAAAAAGTTAAAAGAGTGCACACCTGTAATCCCAGTGATTTGGTAGGTGGAGGCGGGAGGATCACATGAGGCTAGGAGTTGAAGACCAGCCTGGGTAATATAGCAATACCCCATCTCAACAAAAAATTTAAAAACTTAGCCAGTAGTGGTGGTGTGCACCTGTAGTCCCAGCTATTCAGGAAGCTGAGGTGGAAGGATTGCTTGAGCCCGGGAGTTCAAGGCTGTAGTGAGCCATGACTTGTACCACTGCATGCCAGCCTGGGCAACAGAGCAAGACCCTGCCTCACACACAAACACACACACACACACACACACACACACACACAAAGTAAAGGACAGTAAGAACTCTAATAATTTTTTTTGTTTGTTAGAGTATCACTCTGGCCCAGGCTAGAATGCAGTGGTGCAATCTTGGCTCTTAATAATTCTTTTTTTTGGAGACGGAGTCTCTCTCTGTCGCCCAGGCTGGAGTGCAGTTGTGCCATCTCGGCTCACTGCAAGCTCCGCCTCCCGGGTTCAGGCCATTCTCCAGCCTCAGGCTCCCAAGTAGCTGGGACTAGAGGCGCCTGCAACCACGCCCGGATAATTTTTTGTATTTTTAGTAGAGACAGGGTTTCACCATGTTAACCAGGATGGTCTCAATCTCCTGACCTTGTGATCCGCCCGCCTCGGCCTCCCAAAATGCTGGGATTACAGGCGTGAGCCACCACGCCCGGCCGGCTCTTAATAATTCTTAATTATTCTTAATAATTTTTAATTATTAAGAAATTATTGCTGGGCCCGGTGGCTCATGCCTGTAATTCCAACACTTTGGGAGGCCAAGGTGGGCGGATCACCTGAGGTCAAAAGTTCGAGACCAGTCTGACCAACATAGAGAAACCCCGACTCTACTAAAAATACAAAAAAACTCAGCCAGGCATGGTGGCGCATGCCTGTAATCCCAGCTACTCAGTAGGCTGAGGCAGGAGAATCGCTTGAACCCGGGAGGCAGAGGTTGCGGTGAGCCGAGATCGCACCATTGCACTCCAGCCTGGGCAAGAAGAGTGAAACTCCATCCCAAAAAAAAAAACAAAAACAAAAACAAAAAATAATAATAATTAATCATGTCCCCACCATGAAACTATTAAACATAATTGTTTATCGTCAGGGAGCCCTTGTTCCTGGGCTGGGCCTCAGGCTTCCCATCAGTAGTAAATGGGCCAAACCACCAGTTCTCTCAAAGGAGGCTTCTAACACGAATGTTCCACAACACTTGTAAGGCCCATCTGTCCAACCGAAGCAGTCCTTTATAAAGTTCTATCCAAATGGGATCACTGGCTATAACATATCAAGAATTGGAAATAGTGATGACCAGGAAGTTTCTTTTGATTTGACCAATTAAAACAACATTTTTTTCTCATATCTAACACTTATTCTCATATCTAACACTACCCCGTATTTCAATGTCATAGGTTTTTAAGCTACAACCACAAATTCTGTCGTTTAAATTTAGGAGCAATCACAATAATTCACCGACCAGCTATAAAATAAATTTTTAGCACATTCTCAATCATTCTCAATAAACTGTCATCATTCACGGATTTCAACAGCACCCAATGCCATGTTTTTAAGCAGCAGTAACTCCTCTGCAAAGCAATATTTCTCTTTGCAACTTATCACACCTTACAAAAGATACCTGCAAAGAGAGGTAAATCAAACAAAACATGTAAGTTATGTTTATTTTCCCATTACAAACGGTATCAAAGTACAGAGCTACAGCATCGAGACATAAAAAGGATGCCCTGAAATTTTACTGGGTGCAATTTTCACTAAATATAGCCTAATGAACTGAATAGTTCAATGCTTTTGCAGAAAAAGTCCTAAGCAGTGCAATTAAGAAAAATCTAAAACAACACAATGATTTTATATAAGCAGCAGAAATCTTCTTCCCAAATGAGAACAAGTCATATGCACCACTCATTTAAGACTCTTCAAAATGCAGAAAGATGTCTGGATTTTGAAAGTGAGGAAGGAAGACTAATAGTTCAGGGCAGCAGCATGAAATAGCAAAAGCTCCCAGACATCAGGGATACAGCCTGAAGCCTCCAGGCTCAACCTAGCTGTTTACTAATTGTGTGACTGTGGGCAAATCTCTTCATCTCTGAACCTCAGTTTGCTCATCAATAAAGTGGAGATAATAGTACGTACTCAGTGGGGCAAGATGGCTCACCCCTGTGATCCCAGCACTTTGGGAGGCCAAGGCGGGCAGATCACCCGAGGTCAGGAGTTCGAGAACAGCCTGGCCAACAAGGTGAAACCCCATCTCTACTAAAAATACAAAAATTAGCCAGGCATGGTGGCCTGTAATCTCAGCTACCCGGGAGGCTAAGGCACAAGAATCACTTGAACCCGGGAGGTGGAGGTTGCAGTGAGCTGAGATCGCGCCACTGCACTCCAGCCTGGGTGACAGAGCCAGATTCCATCTCAAAAAAAAAAAAAAAAATAGTATGTACTCTGCCTGCTCTGCAGGCATGATAATTCCCAATGCTCACTCCAGCCTGGGTGACGAAGCCAGACCCCAACTCAAAAAAAAAAAATAGTGTACTCTGCCTGCTCTGCAGGGGTGATAATTACCAATGCTCAGGTGAAAAAAAAGCTAAGACTCAGGATACACTTCCAAGACTAGTGTGTCAGGCCACTTTTGCATTGCTGTAAGGAAATACCTAAGGCTGGGTAATTTATATAGAAAAGAGGTTTAATTGGCTCATGGTTCTGCAGATTGTACAAGAAGCACGGCTTCTGGGAAAGCCTCAGGGAGCTTTTACTCATGGTGCAAGGTGAAGTGGGGGTAGGAGTCTCACATGGCAGAGGAGGAGCAAGAGAGAGTAGAGGGAGGTGTCACACTTTACAACAGCCAGATCTTGCGAGAACTGGCTCACTATGGCAAGAACTGCACCAAGCCAAGAGGGATCCGCCCCCACAACACAAACACCTCCCACCAGGCCCCTCCTCCAACACCGGGAGTTAATCTTAACAAGAGATTTGGAGGGGACATCCAACTATATTAGCTAGTGAATCCCAGAACCTGGACTCAAAAGTATATTCTCTTGCTAGATGGCAAAAAGCATTTGCTGGTGAAGGGTTTGATCCTGAGAGCTTTGAAATAGAAAAATGGAAAATCTAATGGGAAATCAGGAGGAATAATCAGAGTTTACTCTCTCTCTGCCAAGCTTATAAGCAAAAGAGCTGAAGTGTATTGAACACTATGCCCAAGAGTTTTATATCCATTTTATCATGCAATGCTCCTTTAGCTAGATAATTACAGCAAAAACTTACATAGCATTTAGTGTGTGCCTTGTACCATTCCAAACTTCTATCATGTGATTCATCTGCTCTTCCCAACATCTCAGGGAGGCAGACACATCCTTGTCTTAGTACATTTGTGCTGCTACAAAGGAATGCCTGAGACTGTGTAATTACAAAGAAAAGGGGTCTATTTGGCTCATGGTTCTGCAGACTGTACAAGAAAAATGGCAGCAACATCTGCTTCTGGGGAGGCCTCAGGAAGCTTCCACTCATGGTGGAAGGAAAAGGGGGAGCGAGCATGTCACGTGGCAAGGAGGAGGAAAAGAGAGAGGGGCCAGACTCTTTAATAATCAGATCTGAGGCTGGGCGCGGTGGCTCATACCTGTAATCTCAGCACTTTGGGAGGCCGATCACCTGAGGTCAAGAGTTCAAGACCAGCCTGGCCAACATGGTGACACCTGTCTCTAATAAAAACACAAAAATTAGCCAGGCATGGTGGCGCACACCTGTAATCTCAGCTACTTCGGAGGCTGAGGCAGGAGAATCACTTGAACCCAGGAGGTAGAGGTTGCAGTGAGCTGAGATTGCGCCACGCACTCCAACCTGGGCGACAGAGCCAGACTCCGTCTCAAAAAAAAAAAAAAAAATCAGATCTGACGGGAACTCATAGAGCGAGAACTCGCTCCTTGTGAGAATGGCACCAAGGCATTCATGAGGGATCCACCCCCAAGACCCAAACACCTCTCACTAGGCCCCACCTCCAACACTAGGAAACAAATTTCAGCATGAGATTTGGAGGGGACAAATACCCCAACTATTAGGAATCATCATTTTATAGACAAGGCACTTGAGGCACAGAGCCAAGTGACTTCCCCAAAGTCACACTGCTAGCAGGGCCAGAATTCAAACCCAGGCAGTCTGGCACCAGAGTCCATGCTATTAACCCCTGTACCAGGGACTCTTATTATATGAAGAAATAAAATGAGAGGGTGACACATTAATTATGTCATCCGACGCCAGGCACGGGGGCTCATGTCTGTAACCCCAGCACTTTGGAAGGCTGAGATGGGTGGATCATTTGAAGTCAGGAGTTCGAGGCCAGCCTGGCCAACATGGTGAAATCCCGCCTTTACTAAAAATACAAAAATTAGCTGGGCTTGGTGGCGGGCGCCTGTAGTCCCAGCTACTCGAGAGGCTGAGGCAGGAGAATCGCTTGAACCCGGGAGGCAGAGGTTGCAGTGAGCCGAGATCACGCCACTGCACTCAAGCCTGGGTGGCAGAGCAAGACTCCATCTCAAAAAAAAAAAAAAAAAAAAATTATCTCATCCAAGTGAGCACAACTTGCTTTGAACCTGGTCTGCAGTTCTCCCTGTCTGGGCACTCACCACCATGCTGTGTGTTCAGGCCTGGCAGGCAGGGGTGCCACCCCCATAGCAGCACTGAGCCCTGGGGCAGATGAGTAAGCAAACAGGATGAGATCTGGGTCTTCACAGCAGGAGACTGAAGAGGGAAGGATAAGAAACAAGTGACCAGGGAAGATGGAAGGCAGCGGGAAGCAAGCAGCAAAACTAAAAGAGGTCAAAGGCTCCACTGACTGTTTCTGCTGACTTTGATGAGTGCATGCACGGCGGAAACTTCTGGAAACTTCTGGTTTCCGTAACTATTTTATCTATGCTCAGGGGCTCCATGAGCTGAGTTCATTTAGCAAATTAATGACCTTCTAAGCCTTTTAAGTCATTCTGAACAGAAAAAGAATTGCTCAGCAAATCACTTGGAGAGGAAATCTCATGAGGAAACTCCCTTTTTTTCTAAGACGATATGACAATGCTTTCCCACGACAATGCAGACCCTGCATGGCCACAGGTGGGAATCGTGATAGTAAGCCTGGGGTCACATATCTCATCATGTACTTTACCTTCATCATATATCTATGGGAATCTCAAAAGCTGTATTCTCTTTTTTTGTTGTTTGTTTGTTTGTTTGTGACAGAGTCTCCCTATGTCACCCAGGCTGGAGTAGAGGGGCATGATCTCAGCTCACTAAAACCTCCGCCTCCCAGGTTCGTGCGATTTTCCTGCCTCAACCTCCCAAGTAGCTGGGACTACAGGCACGCACCACCATGCCAAGCTCATTTTGGTATTTTTAGTAGAGACGGGGTTTTGCCATGTTGACCAGGCTGGTCTCGAACTCCTGACCTCAGGTGATCCACCTGCCTCAGCCTCCCAAAGTGCTGGGATTACAGGCGTGAGCCACCACGCCTGGCCAAAAGCTGTATACTCTTTCCTGATCTTCCATCAAGCTTCCAAAGACTTCCAAAGATATCCGGGCCACACACTGTGGAACAGACACCGGAGAAACTGGGCTCCAACACAGAGACTAGATTTAACTCCTGCTTGGCAACAGCTGGAGCCTAGAAGCTCTGCACACCAATACAGAGCCTGCAAAACTCTCCATGCCTCCTGCCTCTGTTAACCCAGCTTCCTCCCCCTGTCTTAAGCTGAAACTCCTCCGTGGGACTTACTCATGCTGACACACAAGCATTTTCTAAATAGAAAATTTTGGTAGAGAATGAGTAGGGTAAACTCAGGTTATCAGAATCTTAGAGGAGGCCCAGAGACACAAAAAGACCACATTTAGGTGCCTCTCAACTTTGCAGGAAAGTTCTAAAAATAGAGGGCCTGATTTCAAGTGGAAGTGATTTTAAACTACAATCTATTATTTAAATAGCAAACACGTTGAGTATCTAAAAGATCAAGACAAAGATGAGTGAGACATTCGAAGAGCATGGGGACCTAGCACACATTTTTGCCAGCTCTCCATCTGCCCTGATGGATTACTAAATTCACAGCTGACTCTCCAGTTTTAACCATTTTCTTCTGATTGGGTGTTAAGACATTCCCAGAGGGAAGGGATGGAGCTAAAATCACCCATCTATCAGCCACCTGCCCCACCCCATTCCACCCTGTCACTTATCACAAAATCCTAAAATACAGATATGATCTTAAAGGCCACCAGTCCCAACCCAATGCTTAGAATCTCCTCAGTGTGTCCCAGTCTCCACTCACCTGGGCCACTTGTGGTCAACAGTCTCTCAATGTTGATCACATTGAGTCCCCTGATCAAGCCCATCACTACCCTTCAGAAACAGATTTGCTCCCAAGGAAATGTCTTGCTTCTCCCTACACAAACAGGAACAGAGTGGGAGCACCATGTGTGTTAATTCCAACAGGATGCTAGACTGTTGTTGATACAAGTGTTACAGTGTTAATATAGCTGAGATGGGAAGCCCTAAACTAGTGATTCTAGGCTTTCCAGCGTACAAGATTGATGAGACTTCAGTGTTTAAACAACATTCACTGACAGAGAGAAAGAGATAACTAGGGAGATTAAGGGAGCAGGGAGGGGGGATGCCGATCAATGAAAATATTTCTTCCAGGGAAGAGGCAGCACTATCAATGCACTAAGTATGTGACCTCTATTTAAAATACTTCCCAAAGCCAGGCACAGTGGCTCATCCCTATACTCCCAGCACTTTGGGAGGCCAAGGCAGGAAGATTGCTTGAGGCCAGGAGTCCAAGACCAGCCTGAGCAACATACCAAGACCCTGTCTCTACAAAAAATTTGAAAATTAGCTGGGCATAGTGGTGCATCTAGCTACTCAGTCCTAGCTACTCAGGAGGCGGAGGCAGGAAGCTCCCTGAGCACAAGAGATGGAGGCTGCAGTGAGCTAGGATCGCGCCTCCATACTCCAGCCTGGGCAACAGAAATAAAAATTAAAATAAATAGGCAGGTCACGGTGGCTCACACCTGTAATCCCAGCACTTTGGGAGGCCGAGGCGGGCGGATCACATGGTCAGGAGTTTGAGACCAGCCTGGGCAACATGGTGAAACCCTGTCTCTACTAAAAAAATAAAAAAATTAGCCAGGCATGGTGTGGTGTGCCTGTAATCCCAGCTACTCGGGAGGCTGAGGCAGGAGAATTGCTTGAACCCGGGAGGCGGAGGTTGCAGTGAGTGGAGATTGTACCACTGAACTCCAGCCTGGGCAACAGAGCAAGACTCTAAATAAATAAATAAATAAACAAACAAATTAAAAAAAAAAAACTCTCAAGATTAAAATTCAGTTCTATTTATCATATCCTTTCAGGAAACTGGAAGAATAGGTATTATGAAAATGAAATGTCTTTTTATTCTTTTTTTTTTTTTTGAGACAGAGTCTCAGTCGCCCAGGCTGGAGTGCAGTGGCGCGATCTCAGCTCACTACAAGCTCCGCCTCCCGGGTTCACGCCATTCTCCCACCTCAGCCTCCCGAGTAGCCGGGACTACAGGCGCCCACCATGCCCAGCTAATTTTTTTGTATTTTTAGTAGAGACGGGGTTTCACCGTGTTAGCCAGGATGGTCTCGATCTCCTGACCTCCTGATCTGCCCACCTCGGCCTCCCAAAGTGCTGGGATTACAGGTGTGAGCCACCGCGCCCAGCCGAAATGTCTTTTTATTCTTTCAAACAGATACTTGAGTCCAATGGGGAAAGGTGGAAAAAAAAAGTCACAAAACCTGTCCTCAAAAAGCCCTCCATCCTATTAGGTTGGGGAGAGAAAATTAATGCAGATAAAACAATTAGAAAACAATAACTAATGTAATTATGGGTTGTTACTACTGTAACAATTACTAGTGTAATTTTGAGTTCCAAGCATAAGATTTCAGAAACGAGGAGTATGTTCCCTTCAGTAGCTCTTGAATACCTTGAGTAAACAGAGAAGGAAGCAGGAAACCAAACATTCTCTTCTTTATCTCTTCAATGTATCTTCTTTATCAGCAAATGGATTTCCTTTCAGGGAGTTTAAGACCTTGTGGGTCAGGGCTACCTGCCCAGTTCAGGCCAGAAGGAAACAAAGGAAATAAATTAGGTCACCCATCCAGCATTGCTCCTTCCCAAATACCTGCTCCTCAAATGCAGAGAGCAACTGTCATTGCAAGACAGCTGTGCAGACATGTGTTTATAAACTTAAAGTCCATGAACTCCAACCTGGTATCATCTCTCCTAACTCCAGAGAAAATTCACCTCATGCCCCCTTCCTCTCGAGGGAAGGTCCGCAGAGACAATGTAAGATGTTCTCACCAGGGAAGATTCCACCTTGCTTGGCCTCCTGTCAGTTTCTGTCATCTCCGCGGAAGTGTCATGGACATTACAGCATTCTCTTGTTGCCACCTTTGCTGGAGCCAGGACCTAGCACTGCTTTTGCGACCCCCCTGCAAATGTTTATTTCTACTAACACGTTGGAAGGCAAGAAGACAACCTGGCATTCACACAACCATATGAGGAAACTCAAGGAGGAACTTAACTCCTTTCTTAGAGCCTGATGTCACCACTATTCTCCCAGTTCCAGGCTACCGTCAATGCCATCTCCCAGGGCAACCTCATCTGGGAAGGTCTCCTCTGAATTCATACTGAAAAGGTTTTGAAGATGACCTCCACATATTTCAAGAATAGCTATCATCGATCTACCTGAAAGTTTGCTGCCAAGCAAAGTTATCTCTACACAACATTTCTTTAACCCTCTCACCACCACTTTTTAGACAAGGCAATTGAGGCTGAGACATTCAGCAACTTGGCCAAGAGGCCTGAACACTGTCCAGAGGCCTGAACAGTGATGGAATTCCAAAAATCCCAAAATCCCCAAATGCCTGCTCTTCACCGTCAATGCTATTCTGTCTCCCTTCACAACAGTGTAGCTTTTCAGTCTGGCAAATGGAAACCAGCTCAACGTACTAAAGCATATTTGTGTGGCTATGAAACTCCTAGAGGAAGCAGAGCCACGAAGATGAATGGAGATCTACAAATAAAACTGTGGGGCACCCCAGTGCCCGACTGTATGAGCCCCCCTGGTGGGCACACACCTGGACGCCTCCTGGTGGAAGCAAGGCGCCTTCTGATCCACACTGAGCCATCAGCTGTCCCCACCAGCTGGTCAGCCGCACTTCGCATCCCCAGAACCAACCTCCAAGACCCCGGACCCCTGGCCTGGAAATGTAAGTGGGCAGGCAATGTTTCTGGAAGACACTCTCCTATCTGTTCACTCGTATACCCAAGCCTTATAATCCCCAGAATACAGTAGGATTGGCTTCATTCCTGAGTAATAAATTTAGAGGTTAAAAAAAAATGATTCCTAGTATCAAGAACAAGAAACAGGACTGAACAGTCCTGGCTCCAAGTCAATCACAGCGCCACTGACTTACGCCCCACAGAGTAGCAACCATGGCTAATTTCTCTCCAGATGGCGGCTTGTACTTTTCCAAGCAGAATCTCATCTCCCCAAGCCTTGCCTCACCTTTCTACAGCTCTTTGTGTTTTCCCAACGTCCTCTCTGTGCACAGAGGGCTTTGCAACACCTCCAAATTTACTGCCACCCACAGATTTAATTAGCAGACTGTTTACTCCCCCCTTCTCTGATTGGAATATCTTAAGTAAAACCAGGCCTCCACTGAGCCCGTGGGTACTCCACCCTGGGCCTCTGTCCAATCGGCTCCCCAGTGAAAAACAGTGTTTGCTCAGCTCCAACTGTAGGGTTGGCCCAGGTCCAAGGCAGGTCTATGCTGTGAGCCAGCCACCGGTGCCACACAAGGGCCGCAACCCCTGGGGGCTGCCTAGTGAGAGGAGACTGTATGGAAGGAAGGGCAGAGGTGACCAAATAAAAAGAAACAAAACGACACCCTGGTAAGCAAGGCATTAGTAGTAAAAGTTAGGGTACAGAGACAAACTGGCTAAACACATATTTCTCTTGACTTCTCCATGTGATCGCTATAGTGAAAGAAAAAAGAAGAGGAAGAAACAGTAGCATACATTATAGAAGGGAATGAGATGGTGAAAGAAATGGAAAAAGGAGGATCAAAGAGGACCCAGAGAAGAAAGGAGGGCAGGAGAGAAGGGAAGGGAATAATCTGCTTTTTTTTACTCACCATTAAGTAAACTAATTAAAAACCACTAAACTGAATATCCATTTTACATTCAACTATACAGGAGTTAAAAAAAAAAAAAAGATGCCTCCTTGGGAGAAACAAAATCAACAGCAAGAGAAACAAATATGAAACCAACAGAAGGCCAGGCACGGTGGCTCATGCTTATAATCCCAGCACTTTGGGAGGCCGAGGCAGGCAGATTGCTCGAGTCCAGGAGTTTGAGACCAGCCTGGGCAACAGAGGGGAACCCCATCTCTATGAAAAATTAAAAAATTAACCAGGCATGGTGGCGTGTGCCTGCAGTCCCAGCTACTTAGGGAGCTGAGGTAGGAGGATTCCTTGAGCCTGGGAGTTCCAGGCTGCAATGAGCCATGATTGTGCCACTGCATTCCAGCCTGGGTGACAGAGCAAGACCCTGTCTCAAAAAGAAAAAAAGAAACCAACAGCAAGCAATGCAAACAGGCCTACAGTTCACTCTCCTACAGAGCCATTTAATGATGCAAGGACTGACATGCTATCTCTGGCTGTGGAGTAAGAGTGGAGGAGATTACACAGAAGCACCTCCTTGGTCCAACTAAAACTAGGCACAGCCTTGGCTGCACACACCAAAACAGCCCAGTGCTGATGGTAATTACACACATGACCAACCAACACACAAAATCTCTTCTTGATAGGCTGAGCCTCCCCCTCCGATGCTATGCTGCTTGCTTTTATGTCCTTCATTAATTTTTCCTAAACTATTTTAAGGTTTTATGACTACTCTTACTTCTTTATTCTTAGACTTTTAAAGGGGAGTCAAGCAATTAAATACACAGAGCTATTGTTACTCACAATAGGCACTGATATAATGTCTACCTAATCTTTTAAATGTGCCTACATTAATTTTGCTGCAGAGAAAATTCCTATCTTTCCAATATGCTAGTGATGAAAATTCATTTTTGGAAACCACTTAGCCTTGTACTTTTTAATCTCCCCGCACTCTAGCTTCAAACACGCTTTGTGGGGTGAAGGGGCCCATTAAAATTAAGAAATTCCTGAAATAAGAGAAATTTCCCCATCCTATCCAGCATGGGCAACGTGGCCAAATCCCATCTCTACAAAAAATTAGCCCGTGTGGTGGCGCATGCCTGCAGTCCCAGCTGCTCAGGACGGGGAGGTAAAAGGATCCTTGTGTCCTGTAGGTCGAGGCCACAGTGAGTTGTGGTTACACCACTACACTCCAGCCTGGGCAACAAAGAGAAAAAAATAAATAAATATACCTACCCTAGCAGGTTATCCCAGCAAGATAGGTGGACAGCCTTTCTCTAGGCCAGGGGAAAACATAATTTTAAATTTTCAGGCCAGGCGTATCTCAACATAATCATGCCTGTAATCTCAGCACTCTGGGAGGCTGAGGTGGGCAGGTCACTTGAGGCCAAGAGTTCAAGGCCAGCCTGGCCAACATGGTGAAACCCTGTCTCTACTAAAACCACAAAAATTAGCCAGGCATGGTGGCACGCACCTGTAATCCCAGCTACTCGGGAGGCTGAGGCAGGAGAATCGCTTGAACATGGGAGGCAGAAGGTGCAGTGAGCTGAGATAGTACCACTGCACTCCAGCTTAGGCAACAGAGTGAGACTCTGTCTCAAAAACAGTAATAATAAAATAAATTTTCTAGTAGCCACATGTTTTTAAAAGTTAAAAGGTTAAACAGAATTTCATAACCTATTTTATTCAACCAGGTATATCACGGATACTATCATTTCAACATATAATCAACACAAAAAATTATTCACGTGGCTGGGTGTAGTGGCTCACACCTGTCATCCCAGCACTTAGGAAGGCCAACCCAGGAGGCTCACTTGAGGTCGGGAGTTCAAGACAAGCCCACTTACAAAAATTATTTTTAATTAGCCAGGGGTGGTGGTACACACCTGTAGTCTCAGCTACCAGGGAGGCTGAGGTGGCAGGATCACTTAAGCCCAGAAGTTTGAGGCTGCACGAGCTGTGTTCATGCCACTGCTCTCCGGCCTGGGTGACAGAGCAAGACCCTGTCTCTAAAAAAATAAAATAAAAAATTATTACTGAGATAGCAAACATTCTTCTCCTTCTTCCTGTGTCTTTGAAATCTGGTTTGTAGTTTATGCTGACAGTACTTCCCAATTCAGACTAGCCACATGTCAACATAGTGGGCAGTACAGCTACAGACCCTCTGATGGAAATGTGCGGACAGGAGGGAATAGGGTTAGATAAAGAAGTACCTAAGCACGAGGGATTCGGGATCTCTTAAGTGCTCAATTACAGGATGTGCTTAGCTTTCCTTTCACACAGCCCCTCCAAAGGACACACATGCCCTGTGGTCTTTCGGAAATACCCGCCTGGCATCCAGAGAATCTCTCTAGGGCTCTGAGTTGCAGTTCCAAAACCTCACCCACTCCATATAATGGAAAACACAATGAAGAGAAAGCGAGTACCTCCAAGGTACAAAAACCACGCTAGGCGCTGACACTAAGCATATTCAAACTCACCATTAACATCTAAGCCTAACATGCTGGCCAGGAGACATTGTCTTCTATGGATCTCCATGCCTTATTAAAAAGTCATTAAATCCAGTGCCTACATCGAGAACAACCAGACTTAACAACAGGAAACTGAGCTCCCTGGCCTAATGGCCTGTCTTGTTCTAAGTTCCAGGACAAACCAAAGAAGCACTTAAGAATCCAAAATCAACTGGGTTCATGCCTGTAATCCCAGCACTTTGGGAGGCCGAGGTGGGTGGATCACCCAAGGTCAGGAGTTCAAGACCAGCCTGGCCAACATAGTGAAACCCATCTCTTTTAAAAATACAAAAATTAGCTGGGCATGGTGGTGTGTATCTGTAATCCCAGCTACTCGGGAAGCTGAGATAGAAGAATTGTTGAACCCGGGAGGCAGAGGTTGCAGTGAGTCGAGATCACGCCATTGTACTCCAGCCTGGGCAACAGAGCAAGACTCTCTCTCAAAAACAGAATCCAAAATCAGCACTTAAGAATCTTAATTTCTACCTGCCTGGTCAAAACCACTGCCCATCACTGAATCTTGACTGCCCCCAAAATCCTAAAAGAGTAATCATTGTGAGCATTTGACATATTTTCTCAGTATCTTTGTTGTCATAAAATTAATCCAGGGCCAGGCATGGTGCAAACACTTTGGGAGACCAAGCTGGGAGGATTACTGAGCCCAGGAGTTCGAGAACAGCTTGGGCAACATGACGAAACCCCATCTCTACAAAAAATTAGGCAGGTGTGGTGGCACCAGCCCTGGCTACTTGGGAAGCTGAGGTGAGAGGATCACCTGAACCCAGGAGGTCAAAGCTGCAGTGAGCCATGACTGTGCCACTGCACTCCAGCCTGGGTGACAGAGGAAGACCCTGTCTCAAAAAAAAAAAGGCTGAGCGCAGTGGCTCACGCCTGTAATCCCAGCACTTTGGGAGGCCAAGGCAGGCGAATCACAAGGTCAGGAGTTCGAGACCAGCCTGGCCAATATGGTGAAACCCTGTCTCTACTAAAAATACAAAAATTAGCTGGGCATGGTGGCAGGCGCCTGTAGTCCCAGCTGCTCAGGAGGCTGAGGCAGAAGAATCGCTTGACCTTGGGAGGAGGAGATTGCAGTGAGCCAGGATTGTGCCACTGCACTCCAGCCTGGGCGACAGAGGAAGGCTCCATCTCAAAAAAAAAAAAAAAAAAAAAAAAAAAAAAGTTTATCCAGAAAGTTCTTGTTCCAATTTTTTCTCTTATCACTTTAAAACTAAAGCACATGCAAATGGGCTCTGATTCCTTAAATTAATTGAAAAACATGGACCCCAACCTTTACAGAGCTTCATGCACAAGCTTATCAATGAGTATGGCCTGCCCATCTAAAGATTTTCTAAGAGGCTGCCCACGTAAAGGGGATGTCAGAGCTCCTGGAGCTTTGGGACAGCCACAAGCCCTCTACCTGGTTCTCTATCTAGGTCTTTTCCTCCTTCCCATTGCCCCAGTCTCTCCCAGAGCTCAGACACACTCTATACCTTCCCATGGGAACAAAAAAGCCCCCAGGTGAGTGTTTTTTGGCTGATGTGTGAGTTTGACATCCAGCACTGGCACATCCACCGTGTGACACTTGGGACATCACTCAACTCATCACTTGCTCTTTTCCCAAGCAAGTACCAAACTGAAGGCCCATCAGGTGCCAGCAGCCATGCCAGGGACAGGGATGACAAAACACCAGAATGAGCCTGCTCTCAAGAATTAGAGGCACGCCAACAGATGAATGGAAGACGATGGGTTACTATGCCAGCAGAAAAGGTCCTGGGAGGCTTTCTAGAGGCGATGGTGCCTGTGTTGGGCCTTTAAAAATAAGCAAGAATGGACCAGAAGGGGAGAAAATGCGGCACAGGCAGAGAGGCCGGGGGTTGATGCTTCCTGGGCCCACACCAGGCACCAGGCCTGTTCAAAGCATCTACAGGAATCGGCTCATTCACTCCTCACAACCATCCCTATGAAATAGGTTCTATTATTTTCCCCATGTGATAGACGAGGAAACTGAGGCATAAGGCAAATTGCATCGTCCGAGGTCATTCTATTCATAAGTGGCTAAGCAATGCAGTCTGGCTCAGATTGGGGGTTTCCCCTATGGTCTGTGAGATGACTGCCCTTACCCACTGCACACCATGGCACCTGCCCATGCAAGCGCATGCTGTGCTTGTGAACTGCAAGCAAATGGTGCAATCTGGACCACCCCGGATACCCCAAAGGTCACCTAAATGCAGGAAGCTGAAGGAAGGGAGTCTTCAGGACAGCCGGGACCCACTAGAGATTCAAACTCTCACCCGATACTCTTCAATCCAAACATATTAGGTTGGTTAAAAGTAATGGCAAACATCACAATTACTTTTGCACCAACCTAAAAACCTATAGTCACCCCACAGGTATCTGCTGACGTGTGTCCCCCAGCAGAGCTGAGTGGGCAGGGCTGGGGTGAGCAAGGAGTGAGGAGAAACGGGTGGAACAGGGCATGGGCACGAGCCCTATGGCCTCAGACCTCATCTCAAGCCACGGGGAAGATGATGAATTCTAAACCCCAACACTCAGACACATACTAGGGAGACAGCTGACCTCCCATGGAAGTCACATTGAAAGGTTAGGACAAGATGGCAGGGACCAGGAGGCCATGTTCAGGAGAGAGGGCAAGAAGAGGGCATTAGCTTCCTAGGCCTGCCATGACAGAGACGTTGATTGTCACAGTTCTGGACACTAGAAGTCCAAAATCCAAAGTGTTGGCAGGACTGCACTCCCTCAAGAGACTCTGGGGAAGGATCCTTCCTTGCCTCTTCCAACTTCTGGTAGCTCCGGGCGGCTTCTTGGCTTGTGGCTGCATTGCTGCAATTCTGCCTCTGTCTTCGTGTGGCATTCTCTGTGTGCCCACACCTCTGTATCTGAACCATTGGATCTGGGGTCCACTATAATCCAGTAGGACCCCTTCTTATCTGATGACAACTGCAAAGACCCTATGTCCAAAGGCGGCCACATTCTGAAGTTCCAGTGACATGAGTGTTTGGAGGGATAGTATTCAACTCACCCGCATAGGGCTGAACATAGGTCAAGGGTCTTGGGACTGAAGAGGAGCAAGCAAAGGAAAAAAATATAGCAAGGTGTATGACAGTAAAGAAGATGTGCTATCTTTTTGGTTGGGGGGGATGCAAAAATTAGCACGCCTGTGCTTATATAAACCAATACTGCAAGAAATCGCAAAAAAAAAAAAAAAAAGTATTAATAGGGCCGAGAGCAGTGGCTCATGCCTGTTATCCCAGCACTTTGGGAGGCTAAGGTGGGTGGATCGCTCGAGGCCAGGAGTTCAAGACCAGCCTGGACAACATGATGAAACCCTGTCTCTACTAAAAATACAAAAATTGCCCAGGCATGGTGGTGGATGCGTGTATTCCCAGCTACTTGAAAGGCTGAGACACAAGAATTGCTCGAACCTGGAAGGCGGAGGTTGCCATGATCCAAGATCGCACCACTGCACTCCAGCCTGGGCAACAGAGCAAGTCTATCTCCAAAAGAAAAAAAAAAAGAGAGAAAAGTATTAATATTTACCCAAGAGGATAGAAAACTAGGGTATTAAGGGATGGGGTGAGCACAAGACTGCTCTATGTGTACTTCATTATAATCTTTTTAATCTTGAAACCATGTAAAGGCATTATTTATCCAAACAAAGAAAACTTAAAAACAATGTTTTGGAAGTGAAAATTACAAATGGATGAATCTCACAAACATAACAGTGAACGAAAGACACCAAATACAATCAAGTACATCCTGTGCGATTCCTTACTATCAAGTACAAAAATACATCTATGGGGTTAGAAATCAGGATTGGGGTTGCCCTGAAGGGGGCGCAACAGGAAAGTTTCTGGGGTCTCAGCATGTTCTGTTTCTAGATCTATGTGCTGGTTACATGGTTTTATCCCATTTGTAAGAATTCATCAAGCTGTACAAATACAATAACGTACACTTTTCTGTATGTATGTTATATTTAATTTCAATAATTTTTTAATTAAATACATATGTGGCCAGGTGCGGTTACTCACGCCTATAATCCCAGTACTTTGGGAGGTTGAGACAGAAGGAATGCATGAGGCCAGAAGTTTGAGACCAGCCTGGGCAACACAGTGAGACCCTGTCTCTATAAAAAATTTTTTAAATAGCCGGGTGTCATGGCATGCGCCTGTAGTCTCAGCTACTCAGGAGGCTGAGATGGGAGAAGACCGTATCTCTATATAAATTAAAAAGTATTTTTAAAATAAGTAAATATATACATAATGTTAGTGCATAGCTTCCTATCTGTAAAATGGGGATGATATCACCCCGTTTACAGCAAAGCTCTCCTGCCTGAGGACGCCCAGAATTCCAAGGAAGAACACAGAATGCTGTCATCATTCAAGCCCAATGTCATGCACGTCCATGTCACATGCTCTAAAAGATTTTTCCAAAAGAAATATGGACATGACAATGTTTTCATTAATGCTGCCTTGGTTTCGAAAGAGATTTGGCCCCTTATTGTCAAAGCCTGAAATTTTAGCTGCAAAGCAAGCGGGGAGGGGTCCCTGAAAACGTTTTTATGCATTTCTCGCTGAAACAAAAGACCAAAAATGGACTTTCCCCAAGAAGTGGTGGGAGGAGGGGCAGCCTGCACGCATCGTCCCTGCACGGCCGCTCATTCCAGCCACCTACCATGCCTCCCGTAATGGAAACACCACATTTAAACAGGTGCCGTAACAGTAAAGGGGCCCCATAAATGGGAAACCCAGGAGGCCTCTCAGAGCTGGACAGCTGGTGCGAAAGGGAGGGTTACAGACCTAAGTGGTCCCCAGACTTCCGGAGTCTGCTATCCTTCACCTCACACACTCTTAAACATCCATTTGCCTCCAAGAGCACACACACACCACATACATTAAATCTCTCAACAGGAAATTTCTTCCATTCTTAAATGGTCTCGACTAAATAAAATACCTTTGACAGAGTATTCTGAGGCACTGGATTGTATTAAATGACAGGGGAAGAGAGGGAATGGGTTACTCTTTTTTTTTTTTTGAGACAGAGTCCCGCTCTGTGGCCCAGGCTGGAGTGCAGTGGCACGATCTCGGCTCACTGCAAGCTCCACCTCCCGGGTTCACGCCATTCTCCTGCCTCAGCCTCCCGAGTAGCTGGGACTACAGGCGCCCACCACCACACCCGGCTAATTTTTTGTATTTTTAGTAGAGACGGGGTTTCACCGTGTTAGCCAGGATGGTCTTGATCTCCTGACCTCGTGATCCGCCCGTCTCAGCCGCCCAAAGTGCTGGGATTACAGGCGTGAGCCACCGCGCCCGGCCGGAATGGGCTAGTTATTCTGTACTAAACCTTCTGCTCAGTTTAGCAGAGTCACATGGACACTCCGGACTGCTTCACAGAGGGACACGAAATGAGAAGGGGGAGGGCAATGTGGTGGCCCTGGCAGACGCAGAATTCAGGGGAGGGTGAGAATCAGTGAATCCCAGCCACATAAGCACCCAAGTGCTGCTAGCAGTTGATGAGAGTGGATTTCATCGCACCCAGGTTGTGTGGCCTGTCACGGATCTAATCTCTTTGCTTCTCCAATTTTTCATCTGTAAAATGGGATGGCAGTACTCACCTTTTGAGGACTTCTTAATGATAACATGTAAAGTATCAAAAAGGCCCAGTGCAAGCTGTGGTACGCACCTGTAATATCAGCTACTTGGGAGGCTGAGGCACAAGGATCACTTGAGCCCAGGAGTTCAAGACCAGCCTAGGCAACATAGTGAAACCTCGTCTCAAAAAAACATAAAAAAAAAAGAAAAAAAAAATTAAGGCCTAGCACAAGGGAAAGGATCAATAAAAGGTAGGAAGTACAGGCCGGGCGCAGTGGCTCACGCCTATAATCCCAGCACTTTGGGAGGCCAAGGCAGGTGGATTACTGGAGGTCGGGAGTTCAAGTCTACCTTGGCCAACGTGGTGAAACCTCATCTTTACTAAAAATACAAAATTAGCTGGGTGTCGTGGCATGCGCCTGTAATCCCAGCTACTTGGGAGGCTGAGGCAGGAGAATCACTTGAACCCAGGAGAAGGAGGTTGCAGTGAGCCAAGATCACGCCATTGCACTCCAGCCTAGGCAAAAAGAGCAATACTCCATCTCAAAAAAAAAAAAAAAAAGGTAGCGAGTACAATGGTTATAGTCCTAAACACCACTTATAAAAGTATTCAAGTGGCCGGAAGAGGTGGCTCACGCCTATAATCCCGGCACTTTGGGAAGCTGAGGCAGGAGGATCGCTTAAGCCTGGGAGTTTGTGACCAGCTTGGGCAACATACGGGGACCCCCATCTCTGCAGATGAGGCTCTCTTATGTCCAGCCTGCTCACTTCTTAAACTTCTGGTTCATAAAATCAAAGACTCAAGACACTGGAAGCTAGAAAGGAC
Organism: Homo sapiens; assembly: GCF_000001405.40. Taxonomy (NCBI): domain Eukaryota; kingdom Metazoa; phylum Chordata; class Mammalia; order Primates; family Hominidae; genus Homo; species Homo sapiens. The sequence goes on from NC_000021.9 coordinate 31,540,667, forward strand.
CTCAGAAACAACATCTCACAGATGAGGAATCCAAAGACAGTTGTTCATAGTTTTCTTTTGTTTGTTTTTTTTGCTCTGAGGCGTAAGAAAGATTTAAGTGATAAGATAATGATAGTGTTTTGTAAACACTTAAAACAATGTTTAAAGTAATAAACACGAAAAGTAAAGTCTACCTGAAAAGTAAAGAAATGGAGAAAGAGAGAGAGCCGGAGATATTGTTCAATTAACAGCAACAAAATAAAGTGAAATGATTAAGATTCCGTTGCTAGTTAGGCTGTGGTGAGTCCAATATACTTATTATTGATAAATTCATATATGGATATATACATCAACTGATGAAGACCAATCAAGCTTCTGGAAGGCAGTTTGGCAATTCAAATCAAGAGCTATTTTTTACAGTGTCATATTTAATACATATTGAATACAGAACCCACATCCTGGGAATTTATCCTGAGAAAAGTATGTTTAGAAAAGAAAGCAAGCAAACAATATATACTTAAAGAATGTCAGGCTGGGCATGGTGGCTCATGCCTTAATCCCATCACTTTGGGAGGCTGAGGCGGGCAGATCACTTGAGGCTAGGAGTCTGAGGCTAGATTGGGCAACATGGCAAAACCCCTTCTCTACAAAAAATACAAAAGTTAGCCAGGTGTGGTGGTGCCCGCCTGTAGTCCCAGCTACCCGGAAGACTGAGGTGGGAGGATCGCTTCAGCCCCAGAGGTTGAGGCTGCACTGAGCCAAGATCATGCCACTGCACTCCAGCCTGGGCAACAGAGTGAGACCCTGTCTCAAAAAGAAGGAAAAAGAAAGAAAAGAAAAAGGTCAAAAAAGATTATTAAAATAGTGATGAAAATAATACTACATAAATGTTCAATTACAGGAGAATAGTTAAGTAAATTATGAGCTCACTGAAATGTATGACCATTATAAATGAGAAATATGAGGATAAAGTGGCTACAATATGCAGGCTGATGGTGTAACACTACCTGAAAAGAAACAAAATACAAAGCTGTATCTATTTAAGAGTTACAATTATATAAAAAGTACATCCAAAATATGGATAAGAAAAAACAGAGAAAACCAAAAGCAACCAATGTGTTCCTATCCTAGGAATGCAGAAGAATGTCTCCTTTTAAATGCATTTTATTGTTCTTACAAAAATCATGCAGTCAATAAAAACACATTTTAAAAGAGTAAGCTGATCCATGTGCAGCACAAAATCCCTTTCGAAGCTAAGTGCTTGCCCAACTGCCTAGAAAAATAGGTTGGGAAAGTCAAGCAAAGGCCTGAATCCTTATCAGATCTCAATTAGCAATTTCCTCACTTTCCCTAAAACCAGTGCCCTCACCCCTCCCTCTGTGGTCATTCGAAATGAAGACTATGCCCTCAACCCTTGACCCAACCACAGGCATTCAAGCCAGGCTCCTCCCATGAAGATCTCCTTCATTCTTCTGAATGCTTAGTAATGGGTACAGCAGGCCAGGTGCGGTGGCTCACGCCTGTAATCCCAGCACTTTGGGAGGCCGAGGCGGGAGGATGACAAAGTCAGGAGAACGAGACCATCCTGGCTAACACGGTGAAACTCCGTCTCTACTAAAAATAAAAAAAAAATTAGCCGGGCGTGGTGGTGTGTGCCTGTATTCCCAGCTTCTGGGGAGGCTGAGGCAGGAGAATGGCGTGAACCCAGGAGGAGGAGCTTACAGTGAGCCGAGACCGCGCCACTGCACTCCAGCCTGGGGGATAGAGCGAGACTCCGTCTCAAAAAAAAAGAAAAAAAAAAGTAATAGGTACAGCATTGTGGGATCATCTCACCTCTGAGGCAAAATGTTTTCTCCTTGAGGTTAGGGAACTCAGCTTCTCTCTATTTCTACTTGCCCCCCAACCCTTACTACTCCCTCAAGGATCATCCATGATTTTCTACACATAGGCTCAGTATCCAGGTACAAATTCTTCCGCAACCATTTGCAGGTTAGGTCCTGGGCTGCTCAGTCCCTGTGACACTTTTTAAAAACCCAGGTCCACGGTTGGGCACAGTAATGCCTGTAATCCCAGCACTTTGGGAGACTGAGCAGGGCAGATCACTTGAGGTCAGGGGTTCAAGACCAAGGCCTGGTCAACATGGCAAAACCCTGTCTCTACTAAAAACACAAAAATTAGCCAGGATGGTGGTGCGCACCTGTAGTCCCAGATACTCGGGAGGCTGAGGTAGAAGAATCACTCAAACTCGGGAGGCGGAGGTTGCAGTGAGCCGAGACTGCGCCACGGAACTCCAGCCTGGGTGACAGAGCAAGACTCCATCTCAAAATAAATAAAAAATAAATAAAAATAAAAACAGGTCCAGAAGGGCTCACCTTGGAATCAAAGGCATATCGGTGCGATGTTTTTCTTGGTTTTCTGGTTTCTGTTTATCTGCTGGTTCCAAACTGCTTGCCTACCCTGCTTCCCCCTCAGAGTACATGCTGCCTCATGTTGCCTCTTCCTATACATCAGTTTCACCCTGGCTGGAAACTGCTCATCAGCAACTAAGAGAAACTTTCTTCTCCAATGGGCCCATAGGGAAGTTGCCCTCTCTGATCTCTCCTGAGTAAAATCCCCTTTTCACTTTGGGCTTCTCGTCCCACAGCCGCCACCATTCCAAGCTCGCGCTCTTGGCAATGACCTGCGCGTCATGCGTGCGTACAGACTGCTGAGTTACAAATCGGGGCAAGTTTATCCAAACACAGGCCAAGCTCCTCCACAGCAGCGCCGTGGGAGATGAATGTGGCTGAGACCTTGCCATCTAAGAGTTTGCGGTCTGGCAAGTGTCCACAGAGACCCAAGCTAGACTATAACAACACACAGAAAAGAAACATTGTAACGATTCAGAAGGGAAGGGACGACTTCAAGTCACGGAGGAAGCAGAACATCGAGGAAAACTGTAAGAAGATGGCTGATTTCAACCACACCTAGAAGAGGAGGTAGATTTTGACGTGCAGAAATAGAAATGTCCCAGATCTGGAAACAGTGTGAGCAAAAGAATAAGAAAACAGGATATATCCCCGAGGAGAAGTAACTCCTGTTTCACTGGCTCAAAGGATTTGAACAAGGAGTCCTGTCAGACAAGATTGAAAAACAAGGTCTGGACCAGTAGGGCTAGCCATAGCCACCGAAAGTTTAAAACACAGGTGGCGTATCAGAGCTAAGCTTTCAGAAAATCAAGCTTCTTAGCACTGAGGACATATCCATATTACACGTCCTTAACCAATTTAAATAGGCAGTCTAAGACCCAGCACAGTGGCTCACGCCTGTAATTCCAGGACTTTGGGAGGCCAAGGTGGGCAGATCGTTCAAGTCAGGAGTTCAAGACCAACCTGGCGAACACAGCGAAAACCCATCTGTATTAAAAATATAAAAATTAGCTGGGCATGGTGGCAAGTGCCTGTAATCCCAGCTACTCAGGAGGCTGAGACAGGAGAATCGCTTGAACCTGGGAGGCGGAGGTTGCAGTGCCAAGATCATATCACTGCACTCCAGCCAGGGGGGCAGAGGGAGATGGTCTCAAAAAATAAATAATAAATAAATAAATAAAAATAGGCCACTTGTGGTGGCTCACGCCTGTAATCCCAGCACTTTGGGAGGCCCAGGTAGGCAGATTACATGAGGTCAGGATGAAAAGCCCATTTCTTTCTCAAAAGGGCCACGATCCCTCTTGCTGTCCCAGACCACCAGAGCTAACATTTGGTTCCGGTGAAATGGAAACCTCGAAATGACGAAGGAGTTCAAGAGCAGCCTGGCCAACATGGTGAAACCCCACCCCTACAAAAATACAAAAATTAGCCAGGCACGATGGTGGGCGCCTGTAATCCCAGCTACTCAGGAGGCTGAGGCAGGAGAATCACTTGAACCCCGGTGGCAAAGGTTGCAGTCAGCTGAGATCACGCCATTGCACTCCAGCCTGGGTAACAGAGCAAGACTCCGTCTCAAAATAAATAAATAAACAAGCAAACAAACAGGCAGTCTAACAGAGCAGCTGGGCATGGTTATGGGTTGAACTGTAGCCCTCAAAAAAAGATATGTCAAAATCCTGGCCAGGCACGGTGGCTCACGCCTGTAATCCCAGCACTTTGGGAGGCCGAGGCAGGTGGATCACAAGGTCAGGAGATCGAGACCATCCTGGCTAACATGGTGAAACCCCATCTCTACTAAAAATACAAAAAATTAGCCAGGCGTGGCAGCATGCGCCTGTATTCCCAGCTTCTGGGGAGGCTGAGGCAGGAGAATGGCGTGAACCCGGGAGGCGGAGCTTGCAGTAAGCCAAGATCACGCCACTGTACTCCAGCCTGGGTGACAGAGTGAGACTCCGTCTCAAAAAAAAAAGATATGTCAAAACCTTAATCCCTGGTACCTGTGAATGTGAGCTTCTTTGGAAACAGGGTCTTTGCAGATATAATCAAGTTAAGAAGAGGTCATACTGAATTAGGCTGGGCCCTACAGCCAATAGCTGATAACCTTATAAGAGAAAGGGGGAGATGTGGAAACAGACACACAGACACACATGGAGAATGCAGCCATGTGATAATGTCAGAGATTGGAATGATAATGTGACAAGCCAAGGATTGCCTGGAGCCACCAAAAGCTGGAAGAGGCAAGAAAAGAATTTTCCCTAGGGCCCTCAGAGGGAGTGTGGCCCTGTTGACACCTTGATTACAGACTTCTAGCCTCCAGTTCTGTGAAAGAATAAACTTCTGTTGTCTTAAGTCACCAGATTGAGGTACCTTGTTACCGGGAGGAAACTAACAAAGACATGAATTAAATGTCTTGGAAATCATCAATGCTTTGGGACATTCAGAGAAGATGGGATCATTCATGAACCAGGAGGCAATCCTAGAGAAAAGCTGAAGTCATGAGACACAACCATGATTGGGACTGTGGATATAAGACTAGTGTCTAAGGAGAAAGGGGAAAAAAGGGGAGGCACTCAACCCTCCAAGGTCAACAATGTTCTGATGACTGAGGGTCTTGGTTCAATCCCAGCCTGAAAGGATCCATTAATAGCGCTAATCCTTCCATTGAGATTTAATCACTGGGCTCCTCTGTGGCCCCCACTGGCTTTCTCATCTTTGTTCACTCTGACAGAGCCCACATATTCTTTATTCTTCCCAAGGTCCTTGTTGTTAAGAGGAACACTTTGTGATTAATCTCCATGTGTAAAGTGGATTACAAAACGAGAAAATATGACTTTGGGGGGCTTAAGTGTCCACTAGTCACACCCATTCAAAGATGAAGGTGTATATTCATTAATGTGATTTTTCTGATTATACAAGTAACTACTACTCATCACAAAATCTTTCAAAGTTAGAGAAAATCATACAGAAGAAAATAAGTTGCTTTTATACAGGAAGAGAAAAAAATTGTTTTAATTTATTTTAAAAAAAATTTTTAATAAAAGAAAATAACAACCACCCTTAATCTCAACACTAAAGAATATTTATAATGGGTATTCTGGCACACTTTATGTAATGAAAAGAGGTATTTGTAATTTAAAAAAAAAAAAAAACTGTGATGGAATCTTCCAGAAGAATTACCCAGGTAGAAGGAAAAAAAAATGTTAAAAAGAAACCAGAGGCCAGGCTCAGTGGCTCACACCTGTAATCTCAGCACTTTGGGAGGTCCAGGCAGGCAGATCACGAGGTCAGGAGTTCGAGACCAGCCTGGCCAACATGGCGAAACCCCATGTCTACTAAAAATACAAAAATGAGCCAGGCATGGTGGCGCATGCCTGTAATCCCAGCTACTCAGGAGGCTGAGGAAGGAGAATCGCTTGAAACCAGGAGGTGGAGGTTGCAGTGAGATGAGATCGCACCATTGCACTCCAGCCTGGGTGACAGAGCAAGACTCCATCTCAAAAAAAAAAGAAAGAAAGAAAGAAAGAAAGAAAGAAACCAGAGCATGCCTGAGAAAAATGGAGAAGGGTGGGCCCATGTAATCAAAGGCTATTAACCATTTTAACACTGCTAGAGGTCAGAAATATTTTATTCATGGCAAAGGAAAAAATTCAAGGATATGCATGTCACAGCATCTACAGTGGGAGTAAAAACTATTAAACCTGACTCTCCTCTGCTCCAGAATTCCACGAAGTAACTTGTTGAAGCTTGAAAAACCTTGAGTTTTCAAGTTTTTCCCAAATTAAAGTTCTCTAGCAACCATAATGCAGCAACCAAGACCATATCTTATACCCTTGAAACAACTTTCCCCAAAGCCCTGTTACTACTGTCTCAGCTGTCTCAGCTGCAGGGCTGTGCCCCAAAATAGTGGGGGGGGGCTGGCTCCTATGTTGTAATAAAGATAAGGTCCAGGCATTCCAGCTTACTAGTTGCTAGTTGCTAGGAGGCTCATAAATTCACTTTTCCTGACTTGGATGAGATTCAGAACTGCTGTATCACAGGCTGAGAAGACATGGATCACTACAATTAAAATTCAGTCTGTCCAAAAGGAACAATTTTAGCCCTTCCCACTCTAATAAGCTACATTAACTGGTCCTGTTTTAAAGAATGGGCAGTTAACTGGGATCTCTAAAGTCTTTGTCATGAAGACTGCAGGTTCCTCATGCTAACCGGCAACTTTTAGAAACAAAGTATATCTGGTTTTGAGCCCATCTTCCAAGAAAGAGACTGTCATTTGTGTATTCTTACTTGAAGTCCACTGAAATTGTGGCAACAGACTCCCACAAACTTTTAAGATAATTTGAATTGTTTGATACAATTGGTGAGGTTTCACAGGGCCAAGGTTGCAGGCAGATCCAACCCTCAAAATTAAAGCAATTAGCTGTCCGTCAGCAGGGGGAAAAAAGGAAAAAAACTACAGGGTGAGGATTTTCAATCTACTTTTAAGGAATTCGATTGCTAAATTGTTTAGTTAACTAAGAACCACAGTTACAAGGTTTTAATTTTTATAATTACAATGAAATGTTAAAGTTCAATTGATATAATTGTGGCACTGAAATTGTAACTTCTAATCACAGAGATTTCAAGATGAGATAATTATTTGAACATTCACACATCTTTTCTAAAATGTCATGGTAGACCATGCACCACACTTGGAACGTTTTCTGAAAATATTTTCAATGCTCGATAAACTGCTTAAGAGGAGTAATTTTGTAATAATCACCCAGCAATATATTAACCATAACAGATTTGAGGGTTAAGGATGAGCTTTGCATGACACAGTTATTAGCAATATCCAGAAGACATTAATTGAAAGAACTTGCTCAAGCACACAAAAGCCCAAAACACCTGAAATTATTATCTAGCTTTAAAGAACTTTCTACTGTATAAAAGGAAGATACACTTTCTTAATTTAATTCCAGCTAAAATAATAACCAAAAGCTGATGCCTCAAGATAGCTCAGTTCCAAATATCTAGAAAGTACAAGATTCTTTCCTAAGACATTTCAACATGTGATCTCGAATAGTATTTGTTATTTGTGTCTTTTTTTTTTTTTTTTTTTTTTTTGCTGAGAGAGTCCCGCTGTGTCACCCAGGCTGGAGTACAGTGGCGAGATCTCAGCTCACTGCAACCTCCGCCTCCTGGGTTCAAGCAATTCTCATGTGCCTCAGTCTCCTCAGTAGCTGAGATTACAGGTGTGTGCCACCACACCCAGCCAATTTTTGTATTTTTAGTAGGGACGGGTTTCGCCATGTTGGCCAGGCTGGTCTCGAACTCCTGACCTCAAGTGATCTGACCACCTCAGCCTCTCAAAGTGTTGGGATTACAGGCGTGACCCACCGTGCCAGGCCATCTGTGTCTTTTAAATGTGGGGTTTCTCAACCTTAACCTTTTGTTGTTGTTTTTTTTTTTTTTTGAGACGAGAGCCTCGTTCTGTCACTCAGGCTGGAGTGCAATGGCACAATCTCAGCTCACTGCAAACTCTGCTCCTGGGCTCAAACAATCCTCCTGCCTCAGCCTCCCAAGTAGCTGGGACTACAGGCATGCACCACCATGCCCAGCTAATTTTTGTATTTTTTTCTAGAGATGGGTCTTCACCATGTTGGCCAGGCTGGTCTCGAACTCCTGGCCACAAGCGATCCACCCACCTCAGCCTCCCCAAGTGCCAGCATTGCAGGCATGAGCCACCGTGCCAGGCCAAGCTGAACATTATTGACTATGGACCTGATCACTGTCCTGGTGGGCTGTTCTATGCACTGGAGGATGTTCAGCAGCATCATTGGCCTTTACCCACTAGATGCCACTAGAACCTCTCTAGCCATGACAACCAAAAATATCTCCAGACATTGCCAAATGTTTGGAGGCAAGGCTGCCCCCAGTTGAGAGCCTCTGTATTAATAAAACACAACAAAAACTACCACCCAGCAAAAGTTTAACACCCAAAAGCTGATACCAAAGGTAGTTCACTTCCAAATCTCATTGCAAATATTTCCTTCAAGAAGCTCTGATAAATAAAATAACTGAGTGATTCAGAGTTTTTTTAAGTAAACAAAGTTTTGCTTTTTTTAAGTGTGAAATTGGTGTTTTAAAACAAAATGTTTCCTGTGTTCCTTTTCTTGATCTATAACTTAATTAGTCATGCCAGAAGTGTAGAAAAGGAAATGTAAATTAGCATACCACCTACATATGTAGTGAAAAGTATTGGCAGAATCATGACTAAGTAAACATTTTTTATTGACTTTCAGCTTTTAAAAATAAATATGCATAGGGCATCATCAAGAAAATTAAATGACAACGCACAGAATGGAGAAAATGTTTGCAAATCATATATTTGATAAGGGACTTATAACTAGAATAGATAAAGAATTCTTACAACTTATTAATAAAAAAAAATTAAAAATGAGCAACACGTCTGAAGATACATTTCTTCAAAGAAAATATACGATTAGCCTACAAGCACATGAAACGATGTTCTGTTCAATGACATTATTTATTGGAGAAATGCATATCAAAACCATGAGGAGATACAGCCGCTCATCCAATAGGATGGCTATAATCAAAAAGACAGACAATAACAAGTGTTGACAAAGATGTGGGAAAATTGGACTCTTTATGCACTGCTGGTGGGATGTAAAATGGTGCACCCACTTTGGGAAATAATCTGGTAGTTCCTCAATACGTTAAACATAGAATTACGTATGACGTAGCAACTCCATTCTTAGGTTTACATCCAAAAGAATATTTTTTTAAAAGGCCGGGCGTGGTGGCTCACGCCTGTAATCTCAGCACTTTGGGAGGCCAAGGCAGGCAGGTGGCCTGAGGTCAGGAGTTCGAGACCAGCCTGGCCAACATGGTGAAACTCTGTCTCTACTAAAAACACAAAAATTAGCCAGGCATGGTGGCATGCATCTGTGGTCTCAGCTACTCAGGAGGCAGAGGCAGGAAAATTGCTTGAACCTGGGAGGTGGAGGCTACAGTGAGCCGAAATCGTGCCTCTGCACTCCAGCCTGGGCGACAGAGAGAGATTCCGTCTCAAAAGAAAAAAAAAAAGAATTTAAAAAAAAAAGATATTCAAACAAATACTTGTGCCATATTCATTCATAACAGTAACTACACACAAAGGCCAAAAGGTGGAAATAACCCAATGTCTATCAACTGATACATGGATAAACAAAATGTAGTATACCCATACAATGGAATATTATTCAGCCAGAAAAAGGAGTAAAATACTGATACACGTCACACTACAGATGAACCTTGAAAACATGATGCTAAATGAAAGAAGCCGGTCACAAAAGACCACATATTATAGGATTCTATTTCTCGGTAATGTCCAGACTAAGCAAATCCATGGTGACAGAAAGTAGATTAGTGGTAGCCAAGTGCTGGGAGGAAGGGTAGAGAAAGGAAGTGACTGTGAATGGGTACAGGGTTTCTTTTGGGGTGATGAAAGTGTCCTAAAATCGACTGTGGTGATGGTTGTACAACTCTGTAAATTTATCAAAAACCACTGAAATGTCTACTTTAAAAAGAGGTGGAAGTATATCTTAATAATACTGTCATAAAAATAAAAACAATCTATAGAGAAAACCTAGAAGACTTAATCATGATTACAGAAATACAATGTACCAACACAACATTACCACTCCTGACTGCTGACGGAGCTGGGGGTAGAGCCAGGAAGAAAGTTAAGGAGAAAAAGAGAAGATCAGGACATCCATTTCTAATTTCACAAGGGCAGGGAGGGATTAAAAGTCACTGTCATTGGTTGATGTAACTAAATTAAAGGTCTATGTCAGTAATATAAAGACTGAAGAATAATCAATTCAAGAACCATAAGGCCAGGCGCAGTGGCTCACGCCTGTAATCCCAGCACTTTGGGAGGCTTGGAGGAGAGTGGATCATGAGGTCAGGAGTTCAAGACCAGCCTGGCCAAGATGGTGAAACCTAGTCTCTACTAAAAATACAAAAAAAATTAGCCAGGCACAGTGGCAGGTGCCTGTAATCCCAGCCACTTGGGAGGCTGAGGCAAGAGAATCGCTTGAACCTGGGAGGCAGAGGTTGCAGTGAGCCAAGATCATGCCACTGCACTCCAGCCTGGGCAACAGAGTGAGACTCCATCTCAAAACAAAAACAAAAACAAGAATAAAAGAAAAAAGAAAAAGAACCACGGCTGGACGTGGTGGCTCACACCTGTAATCCCAGCTACTTGGGAGGTTGAGACAGGAGAACTGCTTGAACCTGGGAGGTGGAGAGATTGCACCAAGCCGCGATCATGCCATTGCACTCCAGCCTGGGGAACAGAGCGAGGCTCTGTCTCAAAAAAGAAAAAAAGAAAAGAAAAAGAAAGAAAGAAAAAGAACCATTAAAAAAAATGCCATGGCTCACACCTGTAATCCAGAACTTTGGGAGGCTGAGGCAGGAGGATCGCTTGAGTCCAGGAGTTCAAGACCAGCCTGAGCACTATAGTAGAACCCCTATCTCTATAGCAAAAAATTAAAAAATTAGCCGGCCATACTGGCATGCACCTGTAGTCCCAGCTACTCCAAAGGCTGAGGCAGGAGGATCGCTTGAGCCTGGGTGCTTGAGGCTGCAGTGAGCCGTGACTGCACTACAGTCTAGGCAGCAGAGCGAGACCCTATCTCAAAGAAAAGAAAAAAAGAACCATAAGTATAATTATCAAAAAATGTGGAGAATGAAGGAAGTAGGTGAGATGCAATTGCCACTCATTATAACAGGAAGCTGAGAATTAAATCATATATTCATACTATTTAGAGATATAAAGATAATCACTAGAAGCACTAAAAACAAAAATGAACAAATGTAATTGTTTCCAGAGAATATCAGGCTGGATGGGAATAAAACAGGACCGGGGCAGAAGACTGTTACAATACTTTTCAAGAGAAGCGCATCTGTTCTGAGTCTCTTAATGCTATATGGAATTTTTACTCTGCACTACTTTTTTTTTTTTTTTTTTTTTTTTTTTGAGACGGAGGCTCACTCTGTCACCCAGGCTGGAGTGCAGTGGCGTGATCTCGGCTCACTGCAACCTCCACCTCCCAGGTTCAAGCAATTCTCCTGCCTCAGCCTCCTGAGTAGCTGGGATTACAGGTGTGCGCCACCACACCCAGCTAATTTTTGTATTTTTAGTAGAGACAGCACCCAGCCTGCACATTATTTTTACAATCAAATCGAACTTTGCATTACTTGAGTCGAAGTATCTGCATGAAATAAAAATATAATTTATGTCAGAAAAAATATTAAACTAGATCATTACTACTGAGTAAAATTGTGAATTAAGTGTGATTTAAGCAAAACCAACTCAAGTTTGATAGACAAAAACTGCGTCCCTACTACAAAGGTAGCTGAGAGATGTAGGCTGGATCCTTAACAAGAAACCTCCGCCAGGCGCGGTGGCTCACACCTGTAATCCCAGCACTTTGGGAGGCCGGGGCAGGCAGATCACCTGAGGTCAGGAGTTCGAGACCAGCCTGGTCAACATGGTGAAACCCTGCCTCTCCTAAAAATACAGAAATTAGCCAGGCATGGTGGTAGGCGCCTGTACAGCTACTAGGGAGGCTGAGGCACAAGAATTGCTTGAACCTGGGAGATGGAGGTTGCAGTGAGCCGAGATTGTGCCACTGCACTCCAGCCTGGGTGACAAGAGTAAGACTCTATCTCCAAAAAGAAAAAAAGAGAGAGAATAAGAAACCTGTTGAAAGTCCCTACCACACCACATGTAGGGCAGACAGTAAGAATCATCATAAAAAGGTCAAAACTCTGCCATGGCAAGAATGAGCATCCAAATACCTTAATAACTCTGGAATCCAAAGAAAATTTCAGGTGAAAGGAAGTGCACGTGGCACCGCCTTCATCTCTCCACCAACAAGCACAGCCGACCCCAGTTAGAACACACTTTGAAACCAAAAGGCAGATGCTGCTAACCACTAGAACAAAGCAGAATCTGCCATCAGAACAGTACTAGATAGAGTTATTTAAAACATACTCAGAGTTACAGCTGGGACACTTGGGACACAGGATTCTGAGAGACCAAAGTGGGTCATTTTTGAGCATGTCAGGTGGTAGAATTAATAATGACACCAGGCAACAGGCATGAGGAGGAGTGTCCTGGGGTACCCCACGGAGCTTGGGGCCTTAGCAGTGTGGAGATGCACCCTGTGGTTATCAGTACCCAGGTAGCCCATATTATGCTAAAGAACTTGCCCTCCAAATTATCACTTTCCAAAGATATCCTGTGTCCTGTGAGGAGATGGAGATGCACATTCTGCAAGAAGGAAAGAACTTACACTTTACTCCAGTTGGTTGGGTGAGGGTCCTGTTAAGTTTCAAACAAAACAAAACCCACAGAAGGTCATGGCAAGAATAAACCCCGTGGTTCTGAGCCTCTGAAAACACTGCCCAAAGAGTGAGTGGGAACGAGCTCATGAGACCCTCCTGGACTTTCCTGCAAGAAATTATCATTTGCCTGGAATGCGGCCACCCAGCCCAGGTGATGGCCAAAAGAGGGTTGGGTTGATAGAGATCTTGCCCCAGGATCTGAAGAAGCCCTGGAAGGTGAGGCCTGGGGCTGCAATCTTTCCCAACAGACAATGGAGGCCTCCAACAAGGCTCAGAGGAGAGGTTTTGCAGGTCAGACCCTCACCCCTACCTCAAGGCCCCTCAACAAGCAGACGTCACTATTGTCCCGATCCCACCTTCCCTCCTGAGCAAGCAATGGGTAGCAAATCCTGTTCACCCCATTTCCATGGTCCTGACATCTCCCCTTCCCCTAGCGAAGAGGATTCCAAGACCCACTCCTCATCGTGACCTCCCCCTGCCCCCAGATGACGCGGTGGCTTTCTGGGGCTCATTATTACCCCTGCAGAGTGGGCAGAGGAAACCAAGAGCAGGAACTAGGATTGATGGATTGACCTATGTTTACAAGGTTAGCAGCTCTCAGGCAAGGTGGGAGGGACAGTGGAAGGGAGGCAGGAGAACGCTCCTTTGGAAACAGGCTTTGCAAAGCCAGGATTTTTTGGCAGGATATCCTGTCTTCCTCATGGTCACAGAGAAGCGTGTTTTGGGTCTTTAAGGAAAAGCAACTGAATCCTCATAGCCCAATCTCCAATCAGTTTCTCCACCCATTCCAAGCTTGGACACTCAGCCCCACTGCCTCCCAATTATATCTTTTTCCCAGCACAACTGCATTAGAGTCCTTTGCTCTTTAATAAAATCATACTCTAGCGGGGCAGAAGCTGGAATAAATAATACAGGTGTTATTTTCTTAAAACCAAAGACACTTCCCCCTCCCTTTCATCTTTCTTTCATGAATTCAAAGTGGTCCCAAACAGAAAACATCCATATTATACTTCAGTTTTGCTAGGTTCCAAAAGGCTAGGATGCCCCCACTCCAACTACACCCAAGTCTTCCTTTAAGGAAAGAAATACTTGGTGACAGGACCAAGCCTCAAAGGGCCCTGGGCCCATTCTGAAACTGAGATTGTGCTCAGCTGAAAGAAACTTCCTCCCACAGAGTTCTTCGATGAATCATCACTCTTTGTTTAACATCCTCTGAAAGCAGACAATTGATCGGCTCTCAGATCATGCCTGCGTAGTACCCCCACCCCCTCCACCTCTGCAATCCTTTCAGTGAGCTGAGACCCCACTCCAGGGCTCCGTGGTAGGATGCAGTCTCCCAGCTCTGCCTCAGCCCAGAGGGAGAAGAACCTCTTCACCTAGTGAAAGAGCTTCAAGGTCTTCTAGAAGAATCTCACACACGCACTGGAGGAATCTCTGCGGCTTCCCATGCCCACAGTCTAGGCCCTTATGAATTTCTTAATGAGGTCCCTGGAGACCACAGGAACAGGGAAGGTCTTATGCTGGAGGGTGTGGAGGACGGTGCCAGAGGCTGGGAAGGGAATGGAAGGGGAAAACTCCACCTAACTATTAATATCGTGTACCCTTTTACACTAGAACATTGTTTTATTTTAAAAAACACTCTGTTCCTTGCTGAGTACTGCTTTATTTCTGAATGTCTCTTTTATTATTTTTTTAATAAATGATTTGGCCTACAATGATGATGAGAGAGAATTTGTTCTTTTTTTTTTTTTTTACACAGGAGTTATAGCTTATATAAAATGGAGTACTTAGAGATGAAAAGACCTGAAGTTTGGAATTGGGAAAAACAGAAACGTTTACTAGAGCCCTGCTAATCTGATTTTTCTGGTCCAGAATTGAGGGAAAAACAAAAGGAGAGTTACCCTTAGAAACATACCTTCTACCTGTTTGCTTAATTTAGAAAGAAAATGTACATGTAAATATACATGTGTGTATATAACATACACACACACATCCCCAGTGAAAGTGTGTTTTTGATACAGAAGACCAAATGACTGGAGATCGTAAAACGAGGCTCTTTCTTAACCACGAGCCTGAGTCCGTGGTGTTCAGCACTTTCATGAGAATCTGTAACCTGGCCCAGAGGAACAGAATTTTCTTCCTGGCTTCTCACTCCCACTCCTCTGCCCTCCTCAAGCAGACAGAAGCCCCCTCTCCCGGCACAGATTTCTAGGCAAGGCTTTGATGTGGTTCCCATGCTCTCACCTGCCTTCCTCATTTGGAAAAACCAGAGGCTTCTACTGCACATCTATGAAAGTGTTGTCTCACAAAACGTGTTTCTCCTTTAGACAGTATGATCCTTGCAGAAATCGCAGAAGTGTTAATACATGCACCTAGTAGGCCCTCAGCAAACTCTCCCAAGGAATTCCTGCTCAGGGCTCCAGGGTTTCAGTCGGCACACTAGAACTGCAGGAATCTGGGGGGAAGGAGACAGGCCCAACGCTGCTTTTCCTTTCTGGTTTAGAGGGGGAGGGGAGAAGAGAGGAGCAAGGAGAAAGAACTGCAAAGGGAAAGGAGAGGAAGTCTTTGTCCGGGCTCTTTGGACGAGCATTAGAGTGGAGTTAAATTGTCAGCTAATGAGATTTCCTAACCACGTGCTCCCTTTTAAGTCTAGGCCCCCAACTGATTTGATCCCCACACAACAGCAGGGGGGAAAGAGGCCTTCAGCATCCCTAAGGGCGCGAGAATTCCCAGAACAAGTACAAGAAGGATGAGAATCATTTCTGAGAGTTCAACTTTAAATAGGTTATCATATTTATTAATTGACATCTAGCAACAATGCTACTGGCCGCGTTCCACATCAACAGCCGAATAGGGGTTCACGGGAGTCAGATTCCACTCGGGGTAACTGAGGCAGGCCCAGGGGAACGGAAGAGACAGAGCGCAATCCTGAGGGCTTCTCCAACCACTGGACAGCCTACAAGTCGAGTTTATGTTTGTTTGTTTGCCTGTTTTGGCTGGCAAAGGCCCCTGGGGCCTACATTCAAAGAATGTGTTGTTGGACCCAATAATTTATTCCAACAGGCAAAAGGGTGTTAAAACAGGAAGTTTTTTTTTTTCAATAAAATCTTTGTCGTTAAGCCTGAGATCATCTGATCTGATTATGGACTGTTATTATTTTGTGTTGTTTATTTCTATATGAAACTGATTTCTCTTTTTGCCTAAAGAAAAGTAGCAGTGCAGAGCTAGTGGAGGAAAAACAACTCAAAACACATTCACAACATTTTGAAGATATTCAATGAAATTGATTCTCTTCTACCTTCCCTGCTTAGTCAACAGCCTCTTCCTTAAGTTTTATTTCTCCTCTATTCAAAGATAATTACTTAGCAACGTCGGTGTTTACCACGCAAAGGCATCCACCCTCCCTAGCCCAGCTTTTTACCTTGAGATACAAAAAAGCATATGCTGGAAACCAACAATTTACCAAACTTCTTCAGCTACAAGGCATAGCTTAAATTTCATCTCTCCTAGAAAGTGTTCCCTCCTAACCTCCAGACATCTCTTTGTTCAAACCTCCCTCCTTCCTGGACTTAATCACTTTCCACAGCAGTCCTTGGTTCACTGGCAACTGCTTTCCACCTGGAAGGGTTTTTCCTTCTCCAAACCCAGGTCTGGGTCCCAGCAGAATCTTGAAGAAGAAAGAAGAAACAACTAAAACCTAATGGAAATTCAAACACATTTTTAAAAGGGCTGCAAGCGATTAGATAAATCTAATTAAACCTAAGGCCAAGTAAAACAAGTCCTGTTTGAAGCTGAGAACAGCAGTCCTTCATGCCTTTTATAATAAAAAGAAATTGGGGCTGGGGGAGTGAAGAACGCAGAAAAGGAAAGCGACAAGGGGCCATCCTCTATTACAGATTTCCTCTAACACAGAATCAACAGGACTCTAATATTTCATACGTGGCTGTCACTGTGCTTTGAGGTTAATCTATATGGTCGTTTAAGCCCCGCCCCCCTAGAGGTTATTCCTTATCCCCACTTTACAGATGCGCAAACTGAGACACAGGAAGATAGAATAGCTCGGCCGGGATCACCCAGCTTGTGAGTGACACCGAGCAGGTACTGGAACCCGGGTTTGTTTGACCTCAGCGCACAGGCTCTAAACCTCTGCTCCAACTCAAAGTATGCGCCAAGTCAGCGTGCATGGGTAACCCGATCCGGACGGCTCTGACTCGGGATGCGGCACAGCTGCCCTGCGGGGCCGCGCGGGTGTCACCGAGGCGGGCACAGACTGCACAGTGTCCCCAAGGGCTCGCGCACGTCCTTCAAGACCTGCCAGCGCGCGGGAAAAGGCAGGCTCCGAGTCAACCAGGGCTGACCCGGGGGCAAGACCAGGAGACGCGACGACTGGAACCGGGTGAGTGTGGCCGAGTCGGCGCCCCGAGGGCCGCCAGCCTGGACCCCAGGCTGGGACACGGGCGCCCCCGGGTGCAGGGGACCTAGAGGCGCCGTGCGCGGCGGGGGCTGGGCGCGAAGGCGCCGAGACGGCATCTTTCCCCTGCAGCATCCCGCCCCGCGGCCGGGGGGAGGGGGCGTCACCTGACAGCGCGCAACAACTTCTCCAGGTTTCGAGGGGGCAAGCGGCAGCCGCCGGGGCTGGGGGGCGCACGGCGCGCTGCTCTCGCCCAATGGCGAGGTCTGTAAACAAAAGCGGGCCCCACGCGGGTCCCCAGCCGGGTGGCGAGGGGCGCGGCGCAGCAGCATCGCAGCGGCAGAGCTGGTGAGAGGGCGAGGCGGGGACGGGATAGGGCGCGGGGACCCAGGGCACAGTCCCCGGGACCCGACCGCCCGGATGAGGCATTGTCTGCGCACCCGCAGGATTCCGCTTTTAATGCCCCCCTCCGGGGGTTCGTCGCGGGTCCCCAGCTCCGTGCGCCGGCCCCCGGGCTTTCCGCCCGGTGAGCCCGGCCCCGAGGGCGGCACGGATCGCCAAGGTGAGCGCCCAGGACGCGTCGCCGAAAAGCCAGGCCCGGAGGTGCCTAAGTCAGGGACCGAGACGCAAACATAGACACAAGGATGCACAAGCACGCCCTCCCCGAAGTTGACAAAAATCAGCCGATAAAATACAAAGTGCCGCGGCCGCCGCAGGTCAGCGCTGACCTCCTGCTGCCGAGAGGACCGAATGCCGACGTCCGGACGCTGTCATTTCCATCCAGCGAAGGCACCTGGGCTGCACGGTCTCGTCTCCCTCCTTCGCGCGAGGGATGCCTCCTCCTGCCTCTCCTCCCCGCATCTCCCCACCTCCCAAGTGTGTGAACACGAAAACAATACGTGGAAAGCCCGATCGGGGGGAGCTAGGACCCGCCGGGAGCCCCAGTGTGCGGGAGACGGGGGTCAGAACGTGCCCGGCACGGGCACCGAGGCTCCGGGCATCCTCGCCGCCGTCTCCCGGGGCGGCTCCGGCCGGACGCCCGCGCACCCCAGGCCCGCGGTACTCACCCGCGACGGTCGTCCGGGATCTCCGCGACGGGGCCGGGCACGATGCGGGGCAGCCGTGCCCCTGGGGCTGCGGGCGCCAAGGCGTCCGCGGAGCTGCAGAGCTGCGCGCCCGACGGCGGCGGCGCTGCTCTGCCGGCCGCGCTCGAACCCGCTCGTGGTCTGCCAATCGGAGCTGTCAGGGCCCCTCCGCCTGCGGCCTCGGGGGCCGGGCCGCGGGAGCCCGTGGGAAACCGAGCTCCGATTGGGCCGCCTGACAATCGCTCCGCCTCCGGCCAGCCAATCCGAGGCGGTGGATGCAGGAGCGGGGCGTTCGGAGTTGGGCTGTAGAGCGACTATGGGCGCACGCCGGGTATCCGCGCCGCAGCCAGGCTCGGAGCGCGCGGCTGGAGGGGCGCGGGCGGCGCGCGCTCCAGAGATGCCTTCCTGCGAGGCTCCGTCAGCGCGGCCCGGGGAGATCGCCCGCAGGCAGCGGAGGCGCGGCGGGCCGGGGGACGACCAGGGAGCCCCTAACAAAGCAGCTTTGGGAGGGCCGGAGGCCTCTGCCTCCCTCGGCGATAGGTCCGCGAAGCTGCCTGTCATCTCGCATAGGTGGAGGTGGCCAATGGCGTGCACAGACGGAGCTCTAGTTGGCGCGCGCGCGCGGCTCGGCATCGGTGGGATTGGTCGGAGGTAAAGGATTTTCCTGCCACCTAAGGCGGAGAGGAAGGGGGATCGAAACGGGGGAGGCGAAGAGTCAAAAAATGTTGTGCCTGGGACAAGTGGTCTGGCGCGGGAGGCGTGTGCCTGGCTCTAGGGGGAGACAGGAACTTTTTTACGAGAGAAAAAAATCCTAACGCAATCCCTTCCCGTGGATGCTAGAGGATGTTAGACCCTGAGCAGCCTCCAGGTAGGGCATGGTGGCCTTCACCAGAGTCCAGGACTCCCAGGGTTCACTTACCGTGCCCAGCAAGCGAACTTGGAATAACAGCGTGGGGTTTGGGCCTTACGCTTACCTGCTGGGCAGAGTAAGTGACTCGGGCAGGGTTCACGCAGACCTCCTGGGCTCCTCTGTAAAATCCGGAAACTACAGTTGCAGTTTACCTCTCGCAAGGTTGTGGAGAACGCGGAAACGGAGACGCTGGCGGTACAGCCTCGAGCGAAACCTTTCCCTACACGAGGCCGGAGCTTCCTCCTCTCCTGAAGAGCTCTAGACTTCCCCATTTACAACAAAGGCTGGGATGTATGTTCCTTACACCTTGATTCCATACACACGTGTTCGCCCCGGGAGCTGGGAAGGTCTGCGCTCCCGGGGTGATCTTGTTGAAAACAAAAAGAATTGCCCACGCTGTGGAAGATAAACCTAAACCGGAAAATTGAAAGTCATCCCTGATTCCTCCTTCTTCTTAACCCTCTCCCATCCATTTTTGTTAACCTCCCAAACCCATTCCTCCCATCCTGTCTCACCTGGACCTCAGTAAAGGGCTCCCATCGTCCTTCTGTCCCAGGCCTTGCCCCCTGAAATCTGTTCTCCACTTTGCAGAATGATCCTTCTAAGCAGAAAAATCTCATTTTGCGCTCCCAACTCTGGGTCTCTTTTCTTTCCCCAGAACACGTCAACCCCCAGCCCCTCCCTTCACTTCACTAATTCCTACCCTTCTTCAGATCCCAGCTTGGCCGCCAAGGCATCCATGCAGTAGGCATTGCTGAACTACTGCTCTTACAGACCCCGGGAAGCCTCCTGTACCCTGTCAAGGTTAGATGCCACATTTCCACTTCCAGTGCTTCCACCCCCTGTGCTCCCCTCACAGGCCTGTATGACACGGGGCTGAAGTTGCCTGTTGCACTGCAGCCTTCCATGGAAGCCGGAATCTTATCTATCTTCCCTGCTGGATCCCAGTCCTAGCACAGTGTTTGGCACATTTGGGGCACTGAAAAAACATGGAATCCATGAATTATAGAGGAGCTATAATTATAGGCAAGAGCTTTAAGGATTTGAAGTGCTTCTAAAACATCAGTTTGAGAAGAATGGGTAGCATGGTAGCTCTTGAACGGATGCGTCCACCAGGTTCCATGATCAGTATTACAGGGAGGTTTTTGAGTCAAGTTTGAGAGATTTTCCAAAGACACCCCTTCCAAAACCAGCCTCGTTTCAGCCAACAGCTTGGAATGGAGAATAATTCCCTTGAGAAGCTTTTCATCCCAGGACAAAGAGCCATTTCTTTACCTGTTACAAGCCACCATCTAGGGGAAATACATATATTTGAAAATGAGTAGAGGGTTTTTCCCTAAGGAAGTTTAGAAGTACATCTGGCCATCCTTAAAAGAACAGACCCTGGAGTGAGGCTGCCTAATTTCAGGCCCGGTTCCTTTCTAGCTGTTACCTAGGGCAAGTTACTTCAGGCCTCCGTGCCTCGGTTTCCCCATTTATATAAATGAGATAACAATAGTGCTTCATACCACATACAGTTGGTACGAGGATGAATGAGTTAATATTAACAATGTGCTGGCCAGGCGCGGTGGCTCACTCCTGTAATCCTAGCACTTTGGGAGGCCAAGATGGGCAGATTGCCTGAGCTCAGGAGTTTGAGACCAGCCTGGGCAACACGGTGAAACCCCGTCTCTACTAAAAATACAAAAAATTAGCCGGGCATGGCGGTGTACTCCTGTGGTCCCAGCTACTCAGGAGGCTGAGGGCAGGAGAATTGCTTGAACCCAGAAGGCAGTGGTTGCAGTAAGCCGAGATTGCGCCACTGCACTCCAGCCTGGGCAACAGAACGAGACTCCGTCTCCAAAAAAAAAATAAATAAAAAACAACAATTTAAAAAAAAAATGTGTTTAGAAGAGTACCTGGCACATAGTAGCATTTAATAATGTTTACTGAATAAATAAACAGCTTCCACTGGACATGTGTGTGATGGGTAGGGAGTCCTCATGAGTGAGTGGCGGGTTACTAGAGGCTTCCCTGAAGGTGAGTAATGGGATCTCTCTTCCCTGCCTCATCTGAGGGCTGCTGCCTTAGGGTCTCCTGTTAAGGAGGTGACATTATTGTAAGGAGAACCTCAGATGAATCATCACAGCAGCCATCTGATTGCCTTGTGCCTAAGACGTCTGAAAAGCACTTTGAGATGCAGAATCCTGGCGGTAGGTTGGCTGGGTTGAATCTCAGCTCTACCACCTACCAGCTCTGTAGCCTTGAGAAGGTTACTTAATCTTTCTTAAGCCTCAGTTTATTGATCTCTGAAATAAGGGTAGTAACACCTAACCCGTAAGGATACGGAGACAGTTAAAAAGAGGTCACGCGTAGCATATGGTACAAACTCATCAAAGTTGGTGATCGGGTTCAGCTAAGTTAGTGAAAAACAGGATAATAACATTCCATTAAATGGTTGAAAAACCTGGATGAGGCCGGGTGTGGTGGCTCACCCCTGTAATCTCAGCACTTTTTGAGGCCAAGGCATGTGGATCACTTGAGGCCAGGAGTTAGAGATAAGCCTGGCCAACATGGTGAAATCCCTTCTCTACTAAAAATACAAAAATTAGCCAGGCGTGATGGTGCATACCTGTAATCCCAGCTACTCGGGAGGCTGGAGGCAGCAGATGCAGTGAGCCGAGATCCAGCCACGGCACTCCAACCTGGGCAACAGAGTGAGACTGTCTCAAAAAAAAAAAAAAGAAAGAAAGAAAAACCTGGATGAGACAATGCAGGAGAAATACTCACTGCCCATAGGGGAGATAGATACATAGGGAACCACTGTTTGGGCCCTTTCTCTCATTCACTTTCTCCCTGAACCCCACTTACTTCAACATGTCAGTACTTTGGCTCTCAGAATCTGCTCACAGCTGACTGTGGGAGGCTTTGTTCCCACAATCATGGTGCTGGGTTCTGCCACTGAAGTTGACAGAATTAAGCCAATCCAGCCTTTGGGTACCTTTATTTTTATTGTATTTATTTATTTATTTATTTATTTTTTGAGACGGAGTCTTACCCTGTCGCCCAGGCTGGAGTGCAATGGCACAATCTCAGCTCACCACAACCTCCACCTCCCGAGTTCAAGCAATTCTCCTGCCTCAGCCTCCCGAGTAGCTGGTATTACAGGCGCGTGCCACCAGGCCTGGCTAATTTTTTGTATCTTTAGTAGAGACGGGGTTTCACCATGTTGGCCAGGCTGGTCTCGAACTCCTGACCTTGTGATCTGCCCACCTTGGCCTCCCAGAGTGCTGGGATTACAGGTGTGAGCCACCGCACCTGGCCTGGGTATCTTTCTTGACCTCGCAAACCTAAAAAGCTACTGCAGGCTTCAGTGCTGTTTCTTGTCTCCGCCCTACACGGTACATCGCTACTTCACACTGGCAAAGAGAATGGGGCATTTTGATTAAAATACAGACAAATGCCATCTGGCCGAGTATTCTGACATCTTATCTCCTGAGGGCACTGTTGACATCTAAAGAGAACATGGAATTGGCATTAAAGGAAAAAATGGGGTGGTCAAAGGCAGAATCAAGGTTTAGGGCAGGAGAATGAGCACAAGTTACATTTCTAGTACATGACCCTAGCTGCAACTAAGAGTCAACATTTTCTTCCCCACTGGTTATTGAAAGGCTGACTAAACAATCGTAGCTGAGTTACAACAAATGGTCTTCCCCAGTACGAAGATACCTACACATGCGCTCTGGGCAGCCCTGCCTCACTTGTGTTCCTGAGCTGGTCTTTCTCTCTAACAGATGCTCCCTCAGGGTTAGACTTTGGCCTGTTTAATTCACTGCTCTATTCATAAAGTGTCTCGAACAGTGCCAAGCACATAGTATGTGCTCAATAAATATCTATTGGATGAATGAAGTTTAGCCTTCCGCACTCTACGAGGAGTTTGGCACTGAATTATTTTCTTTTCTGTCATCTATTTGTGGATGCCCTCTTTAAAGAAAGGACAGGAGGCAGCTTATACAAAAATAGATCTTGGGCTAGGCGTGGTGGCTCACACCTGTAATCCCAGCACTTTGGGAGGCCGAGGCAGATGGATCACCTGAGGTCAGGAGTTCGAGACCAGCCTGGCCAACAAGGCAAAACTCCATCTCTACTAAAAATACAAAAGTCAGCCAGGCGTGGTGGCAGGTGCCTGTATTCCCAGCTTCTTGGGGGTCTGAGGCAGGAGAATCACTTGAACCTGGGAGGCGGAGGTTGCAGTGAGCCATGATCACACCACTGCACTCCAGCCTGGCAACAAAGCAAGACTGCATCTCTATATATATATATTTTTTTATATGCATATATATATTTTTATATATGCATATATATTTTTATATATGCATATATATATTTTTATATATATAAATATATATATGCATGCCAGGCATGGTGGCTTATGCCTGTAATCCCAGCACTTTGGGAGGCTGAGGTGGGTGGATCACCTGAGGTCAGGAGTTCAAGACCAGCCTGGCCAACGTGGTGAAACCCCATCTCTCTTAAAAATACAAAAAAAAAGTAGCCAGGCGTGGTGGCGGGTGCCTGTAATCCCAGCTACTCGGAAGGCTAAGGCAGGAGAATCGCTTGAACCCAGGAGGCGGAGCTTGCAGTGAGCCGAGAGAGCGCCACTGCACTCCAGTCTGGGCAATGGAGTAACATAACACTGTCTCAAAAAAAAAAAAAAAAAAAAATACACAGGCAGCCAAATTAACCTTCCTTCGGAGGGTCTTGTGATGCCTGGCAACGTCTTTTCCCTGGGTAAAGAACCTTGTCGCGAGTTCCTCAGATTGTTGATGTGCTGATTAATGCATACCCCACTGACACTGAAAAGTATGCTGACTTCTTTCTGAGTCATAAACTTTCACTGACTGTCTTTCAGGGGTACATTTTAGCCGGTATGTTGCAGTCTGTAGCCAGTTCTTACAACCTCTGTATTGCACCCTCTAATGAAAAAGGACAACCCCAGTATAAGGAGTCTCCCTCCCTTCTCCCAAACACCTTGTAACAGACTCCAGAACACTCCCAACTTTGTTGATGTGACTTCCCCCATCATCAGTCTTCACATTTGGCTTCCAAGAAGCCTTTATCAAATTATTTCAGTCTTAATTTTGGTTGACATTTTATATATATATATATACGTACGTGTATGTCTTCTGTTGGTTCTGTTTTTTTTTTTTTTTTTTTGGAGAACCCTAATGCACATCCCAATAGTTTTTCCCATAACCATTCAATATTCCTCTGCAGACTTGCTACCCAAAGTGTAGTCTGCGGATCAGCAGCAGTGGCATCGCCTGGTGTCAGAAACACAATCCCAGACACCAAGCCAGACACTTAACTCAAATCTACGTCTTAACACTCAGGTGATATATCTGTGTATAAAGTTTGAGAAGTACCTCATAACTTCTTTGGGGTTTATTTATTTATTTATTTATATTGAAACAGGGTCTTGCTCTGCCACCCAGGCTAGAGTACAATGGTGGAACTCGACTCACTGCAACTTCTGCCTCCCGGATTCAAGCGGTTCTCCTGCCTCAGCCTCTCAAGTAGCTGGGATTCCAGGCGCATGCCACCATGCCCAGCTAATTTTTTGTACTTTTAGTAGAGACGAGGTTTCACCATGTGGCCCAGGCTGGTCTTGAACTCCTGAGCTCAGCTGATCCGCCCGCCTCAGCCTCCCAAAGTGCTAGGATTACTGGTGTGAGCCACCGTGCCCAGACACTTTGGGGTTTTTTGTTTGTTTGTTTTTGTTTTTGAGACAAGGTCTCACTCTGTTGCCCAGGCTGGAGTACAGTGGCGTGATCTCAGCTCACTGCAACCTCCACCTCCTGGGTTCAAGCGATTCTCCTGCCTCAGCCTCCCAAGTAGCAGCGACTACAGGCACGCGCCATCATGCCCGGATAATTTTTTTGTATTTTTTTTGGTAGGGATAGCGTTTCACTGTGTTGGCCAGGCTGGTCTCAAACTCGTGGCCTCAAGTGATCTGCCCACCTCGGCCCCCCAAAGTGCTGGGATTACAGGCATTAGCCACCGCACCAGGCCACGTCATCACTTCTTTGAAAATGCAAAACCACCTGGGAAGAATAACAATATTAAAAACAACTGCTTGGTAAAGGAATTTGTTTAATCAAGGCTTTCTTACCTGAGGACAGATTTTTGGGAGTCGGGTGAAAGGACCTAGAAAAGAAATCAAGAAGTCAGGATATTTTCCCAGCAATGATAGGTCTTCAATTATAAAGAAGAGAGCAAGGAAGCCTCAATATGCAAACTAGCATATCCAACTAATACAGATAAACTCAAGGTCAGAGAGGCAGGACTGGGCAAATCAGGCCACACTACATTCACAGAGCTAAGCAGTGCCCCCTCTTTGTAATTTGCTTTATTGCATTTTATTTTCTGTGTTTTCACTGAAATGGCAGTTTATGGAGAAACTCTCCCACTTGGCTGTGAACAGGCTCTAAGCAACAGCAACACTTCTGCAGAATT
This sequence comes from Homo sapiens, assembly GCF_000001405.40. NCBI lineage: Eukaryota > Metazoa > Chordata > Mammalia > Primates > Hominidae > Homo > Homo sapiens. Next base: position 31,566,350 of record NC_000021.9, read on the forward strand.
GGCAGGGACAGTGCTATGGAATATTTCACAAACTTCAAGGCAAAGGGACAAACAAACAACCAAAAAAAAAAAAAAAAAACACCCTCAAAATGTATTTTCAGAGGAAAGAACTTTCACTGGGAAGGGACCCATGGATCTCCAAAAGAAAACCAATTTGGTTTCATTTTTTTCTGCTTCTGCACTCCAGCCTGATGATTAATTCATCAGCATGGGACAGAACAAAAGCTCCTCTTAAACTGTAACTACTACATGGGGTGGGTTTCTATGATGATGTTGCAGATCTTGGCCTAATGGGCTTTCTCTTCACTGACACACAAGGTTCAATATTCCTGCCCCACCCACCATGAGGTGAGAGTTGAAGCTGCCCCCTTTCCCACCTCCTCCAGCGCCCGGACAAGGCACGATGCAGGGACACGCAGGGCACGTGCCTGCAACTCCACCTGCCTCAAACCATGTGTTTACTCTCTATCCTGTAGAAGTGTCATCGCTCCCCCAGCCTAACAGAATGACATGGAAAAGGCTGGAATGTAGCCACACTGCCTCAGCAAAACAATCCCTAGGCTTAGAGACGCTGCTGTCCACAGGCAAGCAAACTGGGACAGTGGAGCCACAGAAATGTGCCTCTCTTCTTGGGGGTAGGGTGACAGCTTCAGTTTCTATCTATATGGAGTTATTGCCCTTTCTCTGTCTCTCTCTCTCTCTCCCCCACCTCTCTCCTTCTCTCCCTCTCCCTAAAGAGGCAGTAGTTAAAGGCAAAGAGCCTGGTGATTAAAAAGCAGACTCTGCCCTAAATCAGACCTTTCTTCTGTCCCTTACCAGCTGTGTGACCTTGGCAAGTTAGTTAACATCTCTGTGCTTCATTGCCCTCATCTGTAAAATGAGGCTTATAGGCCGGGCACGGTGGCTCACGCCTGTAATCCCAGTACTTTGGGAGGCCGAGGCGGGCAGATCACAAGGTCAGGAGATCGAGACCATCCTGGCTACCATGGTGAAACCCCATCTCTACTAAAAATACATAAAAAAAAAAAATTAGCTGGGCGTGGTGGTGGGCTCCTGTAGTCCCAGCTACTCGGGAGGTTGAGGCAGGAGAATGGCGTGAACCCAGGAGGCAGCGCTTGCAGTGAGCCAGGATCACGCTCACTGCACTCCAGCCTGGGAGACAGAGCGAGACTCCGTTTCAAAAAAAAAAAAATGAGGCTTATAATAGTAGTGTACTTCTGATAGGGATGTTATAGGGATGGAATGAGTTGATGCAGTAAAGAACTTAGTACCTGGCCTGTGTTAGAGACACTATGGATCCCTGGCTCATCTACAAAAAGCCAGACTCACTATCCAAAGGCATAGTAAGGCCAGGTGTAGTGGCCTCCCAAATCCTAGCACTTTGGGAGGCCAAGGTGGGCAGGTCACTTGAGGTCAGGAGCTTGAGACCAGCCTGACCAACATAGTGAAACCTCATCTCTACAAAAAATACAAAAATTAGCAGGGCATGGTGATGGACACTTGTGGTCCTGGCTACTCAGGAGGCTGAGGCAGGAGAATCGCTTGAACCTGGGAGGCAGAGGTTGCAGTGAGCCGAGATTGCACCACTGCACTCCAGCCTGGGCGACAGAGTAAGACTCAGTCTCAAAAAAATAAAATAAATGCGTACTAGGTTCCTCTCTCTAGAGCCCCCAAAAGTCTCCTGAAATCAACCTGTCCATAATCTCATCATATTCACCCCACCCCATTCCCCAAACAAGAATAAACAAATCCCACTGATCTCTTCTTCCATTTTTCAGACAGGCAGTTCTTAGCCTTACCATCTAATGGAGGTACTGCCCAGGCTGGAAGAATGGGAGGCAGCTTTGACTTAACCTCCCCCTTTACCTTTCATCTGATAAATGCTGAAGCAGTTTCTGGATCTCTCTTCAGAATGACTCTGGACCCCATTTCTCCACAGGCCTCTGCTGCTCCCTGAGCCTCCTTTATTTTAGATTTTAGATTTAGGACAGGGTCTCGCTCTGTCACCCAGGCTGGAGTGTGGTGGCACGATCACGGCTCACTGCAGCCTTAACTTCCCAGGTTCAAGTGATCCTCCCGCCTCAACCTCCTGAGTAGCTGGGACTACAGGCAGGAGCTACCAAGCCTGGCCAATTTTTTAATTTTTTTGTAGAAAGGGAGGTCACATTAGGCTCCCCAGGCTGGTCTTGAACTCCTGTGCTCAAGCAGTCCTCCCACCTCCATCTCCCAAAGTGCTGGGATGACAGGTGTGACACACCGCGCCCCGAGCCTTCTTTAGAAGGTACAGAATGTGCACTGATTAGAGATGTGTGGTGATTTAACAAACATTTAAAACTGCCTGTTTTGTGCAATGTAACAGACCGGGGCTGAAGGAAAGGAGAAATACAGAGACACACTACAGACACACATAGTGATAGAGGAGGGTCAGCAGGGAAAGCAAGAACCAACATACTGCCAGGCCAGGCAGCTCAGCGCTGTGCAGGGGCTGATGTGGTGAGCACTTGCTTCAGTTTCCCACATCAGCAATGTCCTCCCGATGATGGTGCCCAACAGCAGGGTCCTTAGATAGTAAGGCTAAGAACTGCCTGCCTGGGAAACCAAAGAAGAGATCAGTGGGATTTGTTTGTTCTCGTTTGGGGAATGGGGTGGGGTGGATATGAGATGACGGACAGGTTGATTTCAGGAGATTTTTGGGGGGCTCTAGGAAGAGAATCCTAGTATGCCTTTTAATTTTATTTTTTTTTTAGACTGAATCTCACTCTGTTGAGGTTTGAGTTTACTAATTAAGTACTATATTACTTGCTGCAGGCCACCATAACAGAATACCTTAGACCGCGTGGCTTAAACAGCAGACATTCACTGTCTCCCAGTTCTGGAGACTAGAAGTTCAAGATCAAGGTGCCAGCAGATTTGGTTTCTCCCAAGGCCTCTCTTCTTGCCAGCCAAGAAGAGAGGCCTTCTTGCCTTCTCGCTGTGTCCTCACGTGGCCAGGTGTCTCTCTATGTCCAAACTTCCTCTTCTTATAAGGACACCAGTCAGATTGGATTAGGGCCCACCATCATGGCCTCATTTTCACTGAATCACCTCTTTAAAAGGCTTATCTCTGGCCAGGCGCGGTGGCTCACGCCTGTAATTCCAGCACTTTGGGAGGCTGAGGTGGGCTGATGATGAGGTCAGGAGATCGAGACCATCCTGGTGAAATCCCATCTCTACTAAAAATACAAAAATAGCTGGGTGTGGTGGCACATGCCTGTAGTCCCAGCTACTCGGGAAGCTGAGGCAGGAGAGTCCCTTAAACCAGGGAGGCAGAGGTTGCAGTGAGTTAAGATTGCGCCACTGCACCCCAGCCTGGCGACAGAGCAAGACTCCATCTCAAATAAATAAATAAAAGGCTTATCTCCAAATACAGCCATATTATGAGGAACTGGGGGTTAGGGCTTCAACGGATGAATTTTGAAGGGGCACAATTCAAGCCATAACAAGTACCCAACACCCCACCCGTGTCTTCTATATGCTGTAAAGAATAAGCATGCAGTCTGGGTGTCGCGGCTCACACCTATAATCCCAGCACTTTTGGAGGCCGAGGCGGGTGAATCCCTTGAGCCTAGGGAGTTTGAGACCAGCCTGGGCAATATGGTGAAACCCCGTTTCTACCAAAAATAGAAAAATTAGCCAGATGTGGTGGTGTGCACCTGTGGGCCCAGCTACTTGGGGGGCTGAGGTGGGAGGATTGCTGGAGCCCAGAAGTCGAGGCTGCAGTGAGCTGTGATAGTGCCACTGCACTCCCATGTGGGCAACAGAGTGAGACCCTGTCTCAAAATAAATAAGAGAAAGAATAGGCCGGGCACGGTGGCTCACTCCTGTAATCCGAGCACTTTGGGAGGCCGAGGTGGTCGGATCACCTGAGGTCGGGAGTTGGAGAGCCTGACCAACATAGAGAAACCCCGTCTCTACTAAAAATACAAAATTAGCCGGGTGTGGTGGCGCATGCCTGTAATCCCAGCTACTCAGGAGGCTGAGGGAGGAGAATCGCTTGAACCCGGGAGGCGGAGGTTGCAGTAAGCCAAGATCGCGCCATTGCACTCCAGCCTGGGCAACAAGAGTGAAACTACTCTGTCTAAAAAAAAAAAGAAAGAAGAAGAAGAAGGAGGAGGAGGAAAGAAGAAAAAGAAGAAAGACACCACAGCTGAGTATTTGGAGCTATATAGATACCCCTTCCCTTCGAGTTTCTTCCTGTTTTTTTTAGTTGAGTAACTGCTGAATTGAATTGAATTCTTTGGTTGGTTAGCAAAGGGTCATGGAAAAAGTGTCCTCTCTTCTCAGAGGCGTTTCTTTAAAAAAAAAAAAAAAAAGAATGGGAAAATACATTATTGAGATTTCCAAGGGTTTCATTTAAAAGCCTGTGAGTAAAGGAGAACAATGGTTATGAAGATTCGTATCAAAAAAGAGAAGGGCCCAAGGCAGGGTGCAGGAGCGCAGTGCCTGGAGCCTCAGGGCAGAGACCTCCTCTGCTTGGGAAAGGAGCCCTTTCTGACTGCCCTCCACATATCCCGCATTAATCCATGGCTGTGACTCCACTACCGTCTATAGGTGCCCTTCAATAGCTACATTATTCATTCCTTTCAGCATGTAAGTTAATTTTTCCCCGTCTAAAACAAGTGCTGCTTTTATCCTCTCAAAACTCATGGTATGTAAGAAGCAACATTCCAGGCCCTGTTATTGCAAATGATCAGTCAAGCCTCAGTATTCTAATGTATAAGCTGGTAGCTGAAAAGTGTAGCAAACCACAGCTAGCCAGACATTTTCCCCTGTATTTACTTCTCATTCCTGTGTCATTTCTCTGGCCAGCTGATGGAAATCTAAAAGATGAGTGACTTTTCCTTCCCCTCATTCATTACTCCAAGATAATTCCTGACTGAAAATGCAGAACTTGGACATTATTGTAATTCATTTTTAATAGCCAGCTAGACCGGGTGTGGTGGTTCACGTCTGCAATCCCTGCAGCTGGAGAGGCTGGGGTGGGAGGATCACTTGAGCTCAAGAATTCGACACCAGCCTGGGCAACAGAGCGAAACCCCATCTCTGCAAAAAAATACAAAAATGAACTCAGCATGGTGGTGCATGCCTGTAGTCCTAGCTAATCAGGAGGCTGAGGCAGGAGGATCAGATGAGCCCAGGATTCAAGGCTGCAGTGATCTAGGATTGTACCACTGCATTCCAGCCTGGGTGACAGAATAAGACCCTATCTTTCAAAAAAAAAAAAAAAAAAAAAAAAAGGAGCCAGCTAATACAGGACAAAATAATTATCTCTCTCTCTCTTTTTTTTTTTTTTTTTTTTTTGAGAAGGACTCTGTCTGTGTCACCCAGGCTGGAGTGCAGTGGTGTGATTTCGGCTCAGTGCAACCTGCAACCTCTGCCTCCCGGGTTCAAGCGATTCTCCCACCTCAGCCTCTCGAGTATTGGGATTACAGGCACCTGTCACCACATCCAGCTAATTTTTGTATTTTTAGTAGAGACTGGGTTTCATCATGTTGGTTGGTCAGGCTGGTCTTGAACCCCTGACCTCAGGTGATCCGCCTGCCTCAGCACCCCCAAAGTGCTAGGATTACAGGAATGAGCCACTGCGCCCTGCCCAAAATAATCCTTTCTGTCGAAAAAAAAAAGTGTTTCATGTAATAAACACTGGTTCTAATCCTAAGAGAAAATATATAGAAAACAGAACTCACAGGTGTTTCTTGAAAGTAGGTCACATGGCACCAAGTGGCTGAGCACAGAACACTACACTTATCTTGATTGTCTGATAAATAGTATTTTGAATTTTGTTTCTACTTGACCGATCTACTGTCTTTGCTTCCTATTGCTGCTGTAACTAGTGACTACAGTAGTGGCTGAAAACAACACAAATACACCACCTTAAAGTTCTGGAAGCCACAAGTCCAAAATGAGTGTTCCACGCTAAAATCAGGGAGTCAGCCAGGATGCGTTCTTCTGGAGTTACCTAGCCCCTGTGTTCATCTTCTGGGCAACCAAAAGATTTTGACTAATATTCAATTATTTGAGCATGGCTACTAAGTTAACTCTCCTTTGTTTTTTGTTTTGTTGTTGTTGTTTTGTTTGTTTGTTTGAGATGGAGTCTTGCTCTGTCACCCAGGCTGGAGTGTAATGGCACAATCTCGGCTCACTGCAACCTCCGCCTCCCAGGTTTCAGCGATTCTCCTGCCTCAGCCTCCCGGGAAGCTGAGATTATAGGCATGCGCCACCACGTCCATCTAATTTTTGTATTTTTAGTAGAGACAGGGTTTCACCATGTTGGCCAGGCTGGTCTCAAACTCCTGACCTCAGGTGATCTGCCTGCCTCAGCCTCCCAAAGTGCTATGATTACAGGCATGAGCCACTGCCGGCAACTCTCCATTGTTTTTAATGTCAACAAATCAGACAACCTTTTAGTCAACCAAAAACAATCTCTCAATTACACATACCTAGATATGTAGTGAATATGAATTTGAAAATGAGGAGAAATCCAATGCAATATACCCCATCCAGCACAGCCACTGTGTAACTGGCGCTGGTAAACATTTGTAAAGAAACCAACTTCAGTGACATTTGTGACATTTTAAAGAGTAATTGGATGTTTGTTATGAATCTGAGTCTTTAATATGAACCAACCATAAGAAATGTCAGTTTAAAATCATTACTCTTTTTGCTAGAGAGCACTATATCTGCAAACCCAAGCCATTCAAGTTTCACAAATAGGTGTTTTGATGCATCCCCTGGTGATTTATGTTGAAATATGATTTACTCCAAAGCTTAACAGTGTCAGTTTGATTCAGGCACATGAACCAATCAATGCAATGTGCAAATCCTTCAGTGTTGTTTGTCTCCACTGTGAGGAGGCTCACTGTTCAAGTGGTGTCCCTAACATAGATCAGTGGCTGTGAAAGACATTCTTGGTGGCTTCACTCTTTTTTCCATGCTAATGGAATGTGGATTTTGCTCAGGTGGTAATGTGCCCAATGCAGGCATATCCCCAAGGGATGAATCATGATTGGGCTAAGTCTGTCATGGATATCACATTCCAACTTGATAGATAGTCACATTCCTGGCTTCCCTTGCAGCTACATTGACTGTTAACTAATAATGAACTAGTATCGTTACTAAGACAGGGGACATCTACTGGAATGCTTCTGAAAAATATTATTTTCCCCTACTAAAAAGGAACAAGAAGAGAGTTTGCTGGCATCTCTCTCCTCTTTTCCGTAAGAGTTGTGGCAGCCATCATGAAGTTCTGAAGTGAAAATCCAACTAACCAGGAATAAAGTGAAAAAGAGAGTATGGATATGGGATAACATGGTCGATTACCAGACTATCTCTGGAAATGTTTACTTCCACCCTTTTTACTGAGAGAGAGGAATATATGTACACTATTCTCTAAGCTGGTTTTAATTATATTTCCTGTCATGAACAACTGAGAACATTCCTAATTGATAAAGAGTTTGGGGGAGCAAAATCCATTTAAAATAACAAAAAATAAGAGAATTCAGCCAGGCATGGTGGTTCACACCTATAATCCTAGCACTTTGGGAGGCCGAGGCGGGCAGATCACTTGAGACCAGGAGTTCGAGACCTGCCTGGCCAACATGGTGAAACCTCATCTCTACTAAAACTGCAAAAACTTAGCTGGGTGTGGTGGCGCATGCCTGTGGTCCCAACTGCTTGGGAGGCTGAGACCCGAGAATCGCTTAAATTCAGGAGGCAGAGGTTGCAGTGAGCCAAGATCGCCCCAGGACACTCCAGTCTGGCAACAGAGTGAGACTCTGTCTAAAAAAAAAAAAAAAAAAAAGAGAGAGAATTCCCTACAATTTAGAAAAAGCTTTTCCTGTGTTAATAATAATATCTTCAGGCCAGGCTCAGTGGTTCACACCTGTAATCCCAACATTTCAGGAGGCCGAGGCGGGTAGATGCCTTAAGCTCAAGAGTTCAAGACCAGCCTGGGCAAGATGGCAAAACTCCATCTCTACAAAAAATTAGCCGCAGGTGGTGGTGTGTGCCTGTAGTCTGAGCTACTCGGGAGGCTGAGGTGGTAGGATCACCTAAACCCAGGAGGAGGTCAAGGCTGCAATGAGCCATGACCATATCACTGCACTCCATCCTGGGTGACAAAGTGAGACACCGTCTTAAGAGACAATAACAATAACCTCTTTCTTTAATAGAGTTGGCAACTTGTTTTGAGCTCTAGTCTTTTAAATGCACCCTTTCTCTCTCTCTTTTTTTTTTTTTTTTTGAGACGGAGTCTCACTCTGTCACCTAGGCTGGAGTGCAGTGGCGCGATCTCAGCTCACTGCAACCTCTGCCTCCCAGGTTCAAGCGATTCTCCCGCCTCAGTCTCCCAAGTAGCTGGGATTACATGCGCCTGCCACCATGCCCAGCTAACTTTGGTATTTTTGGTAGAGACGGAGTTTCACCATATTGGCCAGGCTGGTCTCGAACTCCCGACCTTGTGATCCGCCTGCCTCAGCCTCCCAAAGTGCTGGGATTACAGGCATGAGCCACCGTGCCCGGCCTAAATGCACCCTTTCAACCCAAATCATATTTAATACATACTTCCTAGATTTTCTGAAGTATAGCAGAGTCTGAAGACTTAATGTTTATTTAGGTGGCAAATTGCGGACTTCCTTCCATTCATTTTTAACCCAATGACTGGACAGTGCACTTTCAGAATTTATTTATTTATTTGAGACGGAGTCTCGCTCTGTCACCCAGGCTGGAGTGTGGCGTGATCGGACGTGATAAGAGTTAGACCAAGGCAGATGTAACCCTAGCGAAGCGGCTACGTTTTCTGGGGTATATACCCTGGGGTTTGTTGTTGCGCGCCAGGAAAATTTAGGACACAGACACACACAAGGAGTTTAGGAGCGGAGGTTTAATAGGTAGAAGAGAAGAAAAAGAGAAACAGCTCCCTCCATAGAGGAAAGGGCCTCTGAGCAGAAAGGACTGAGCAGAAAAGGAGCAGCAGTGGTGAATGCCCCGAATTTTATAGTCCGGTTTGAGCAGGTGGTGTCTGATTTACATAGGGCTCATAGGCTGGTTCAATCAGGTACGACATTTACATAGTGAGTTGGGGAACGCTGGTCCCCCTACCCTAATCTTACGCAAATGGGCTTTCCAGTTGATGGCACCATCTTGTCTGCTCCTTACAATACGCATGACTGACAGAGAAGAGAAGAGGGAGCCGCCATTTTGAAAAAGTCTAGTCCTTAGTTCCTCCCCACATTCCCCCAGGCAAGCTCCCAGCTTGCTTGTCTATGTCTGCAGCTTGACTTTACAGGCTGCTCTTTGTTAGAAAAATGATTTGGGGCTGCTTTTCATTAAAAAGAAAAGCCTGCCGGGCGGGGTACAGGCTCAAGCCTGTAATCCCAGCCCTTTGGGAGGCGGAGGCGAGCAGATTACCTGAGGTCGGGAGTTCGAGACCAGTCTGACCAACATGGAGAAACCTCATCTCTACTAAAAATACAAAATTAGCCAGGCGTTGTGGCACATGCCTGTAATCCCAGCTACTTGGGAGGCTGAGGCAGGAGAATCGCTTGAACCCGGGAGGCGGAGGTTGTGGTGAGCCGAGATCATGACATTGCACTCCAGCCTGGGCAACAAGAGCGAAACTCCGTCTCAATCAATCAATCAATAGAAAAGCTTTATGGAGGACTCCCGTGCCCTTACTAGCTGCCTAAGTAATTTCTTTTTTTTTAATTTTTTTTGAAACGGAGTCTCACTTTGTCAGCCAAGCTGTGGTGTAATGGTGCGATCTCGGCTCACTGCAACCTCTGCCTCCTGGGTTCAAGCGATTCTCCTGCCTCAGCCTCCCGAGTAGCTGGGATTACAGGCGCCTGCCACCACACCCAGCTAATTTTTGTATTTTTAGTAGAGATGGGGTTTCACCATGTTGGCCAGGCTGGTCTCGAACTCCCAACCTCATGTAATCCACCCACCTCGGCCTCCCAAAGTGCTGGGATTACAGGCGTGAGCCACTGTTTCCGGCCAGTAATTTCTTCTTAACTCCTGTATCACTAGTTTGGGAGGAGGGGAGGAGGCAAGGAACAAGACAGAGAAGGTACAGTCGCCTACAGTTGTCATTGTTTTGTCCGCTTGGCACATATCTCCTCCCTTTCTTTTAGTATTAGGAACTCTCTTTCTCACGGAGAACCCATTAACCCATTCCCGTGTGATTTAGCTGGAGTTCTTCCAGCAGCATCATACAAGTGGGCACATGGCCAACCCTCCCAGGCCAATCAGAGTGCATGCCATTTTCCGGGTTACTGTGATGGGTTGAGAGGTGGGCTCAAAAGCTGTGAGTCAGAACCTGGCTGGGCCAGTCGGAATTGCTCCTCCAGTTTTCCTATGGAACTCTTGGGAGAATGACATGTTCTCTAGAGCAGAAGCCATGAAGAAAGCTAAGCTGAGAGCTGTCAGAGATGATCTTGGCTTCCATGTGGAGCTATCTGGCCAGAGAATATGGCCCAAAGGAAAGCAGAAATGACAGAGAAGCAGGGGTACAGGAAAGGGGTCTAAATGGCATAATTTGGCTTCCTGAATCCAACTCTACCTGAAGCCATTCCCATTCCTTACTTATGCTGCCCAGATATGGGGAACTAATACATCTCTTTTTTTCCTTACAGTGGTTTGAATTGCATTTATATCACAGGCAAAAACAAAAAACAAACAAACAAAAAAAACACCTTGACAAAGATGGAAAGTAAAGGAGAAAGATGGAGACTGGGTTGGACAGGATGGGTGGTCTCTGAGGGCTCTAAATGCCAGGCAGAGAAGCTTGCCTTATTATGATACATAAATCCTTTCTGGAAAGAGGTGAGAAATGCTGTTATCCACCTTTAGCTCTGATTCTTCCCTTCATGTGCTGAGGGGCACTAAGAAGACTCTTTCTTTTAACTGTAAGAAGAGGGTAACAGCCACATTTCACTCCAAACCATTAATTTAATAAGTTTAGACAGAAGAGATTATTAGCCTCAGAAGGTGTTGCTTTCATTATCATTGAAATGTGCTTTTTCTGCTTTCTACTATGTTCTATTCTTCCCTCCCTGAATGCCCACATGCAAATTAGGGAATGTTGCAATGCCCAGAGCAGAGTTATAACATCCAGCTGTACTACAACAGCAGTTTTACATAAATGGCCATCCTCTAAACTGTGGACATTTGATAAAGTATGTGGGCTCTTCTCATAATTAAAAGCCCAAAAGGGAACCAAGGAAACACAGAGAACATTATTCTAGTGACTTATAAAACTGGGCTGGAGAAAATCTCCTATGTCTAGAGGTGGAAGAGAAAGGATAAAAAAGGAGAAGGAGTAGAACAGAAAATGCAAATGAGAAAAAGAGATGGCGGTGGAAAGAAGGGCTGCAGTAGAAGACAGGAGAGAATAGAGCAAGCAGAGGCAGGAAGCCAAGTACGAAAAGGAGGAGAGGAGTGGGGAGTGTTTAGATCAAGACTCTTCTCTTGGCTGGGCGCAGTGGCTCACACCTGTAATCCCAGCACTTTGGGCGGCCGAGGCGGGCGGATCACCTGAGGTCAGGAGTTCGAGACTAGCCTGGCCAACATGGTGAAACCCCATCTCTACTAAAAATACAAAGATTAGCTGGGCATGGTGGCACACACCTGTAGTGCCAGCTATTTGGGGAGGCTGAGGCAGGAGAATCGCTTGAACCTGGGAGGCGGAGGTTGCGGTGAGCCAAGATCGTGCCACTGCAGTCCAGCGTGGGTAACAGAGGGAGACTCCATCTCAGAAAAAAAAAAAAGCCAGGCAAGGTGGCTTTTGCCTGTAATCCCAGCACTTTGGGAGGCCAAGACAGGTGGATCACGTGAGGTCAGGAGTTCGAGACTAGCCTGGCCAACATGGTGAAACCCCATCTCTACTAAAAACGCAAAGATTAGCTGGGCATGGTGGTGCACACCTGTCGTCCCAGCTACTTGGGGAGGCTGAGGCAGGAGAATTGCTTGAACCTGGGAGGCAGAGGTTGCAGTGAGCCAAGATCGCACCACTGCACTCCAGCCTGGGCAACAGACAGAGACTCCATCTTAGAAAAAAAATAAAAATAAAAAATAAGGCCAGGCAAGGTGGCTTACGCCTGTAATCCCAGCACTTTGGGAGGCCAAGGCATGTGGATCACGAGGTCAGGAGTTCAAGACCAGCCTGGCCAACATGGTGAAACTCCGTCTCTACTAAAAATACAAAAATTAGCCAGGTGTGGTGGCGGATGCTGTTAATCTCAGCTATTCGGGAGGCTGAGACAGGAGAATCGCTTGAACCCAGGAGGCGGAGGTTGCAGTGAGTCGAGATCGCACCATTGCACTCCAGCCTGGGCAACAAGAGTGAAACTCCATCTCAAGACCCTTCTCTTCTCTGGACCTCCATTTCCTCCTCTGGGGCATCCATAGGCAGAGCCAACTACATAATTTGCAGGGCCTGATACAAAATCGAAACGTGGAGCCCTTTGTTCAAAATGTACTCAAAATTTGGAGGCAGCAGCAGCACAGCATTAAACCAACTGTGGGGACCTGTGCAACCATGGAGGTCACATGCCCATGAAGCTGGCTCTAATAAATTAGATCAGGATTTTCAGAAGGTGTTCTGTAAACTCCAGATATTCCAAAAACAAAAGATTCCTTATTCTCATCTCTAGGAAGTGGGGCACATTTCCCCATCCCTTCATTGAAGATTCAAAATGCGCGTGAACTGCTCCAGAAAGCCCTGCTTGAAAGCAAGAAACGTGTGTGCCTTCATTTCAACCAGTTTCTCAAATGTATTTGACCATAGCAACATTTTTTCCCCAATTCTCCATATTAATACCCCATATAACCCATTTTGCAAAATGCTTGAAGTCGATGGTCTTGAGGTCCCTGGAGCTAGAAAAGGCATTAGCAGTCACCCACAGCAGCCCCTCCTGCCCTGAGATTGGATGCTCACAAATCTGCTCTTCTTGGCCTTGATGATGACAGTGGTCTCTTTCTTCCAGATTTGATGAGTGTGGGGCATGGGAGGAGATTACTGGGGTTGCAAAACCTGCAGCAGGTTCTCAAAGATGACATATCAACTCCCCTAAATGCCCCTCCACTCAGGCACCATGAAAGCCTTTGTTTTAATACACTCAAAATGTTGCCTCTTCACGGCCGGGCACAGTGGCTTATGCCTATAATCCCAGCACTTCGGGAGGCTAAGGCGGGTGGATCATGAGGTCAAGAGATCGAGACCATCCTGACCAACATAGTGAAACCCTGTCTCTACTAAAAATACAAAAAAAAAATCAGCTGGGCGTGGTGGTGCATGCCTGTAGTCCCAGCTACTCAGGAGGCTGAGGCAGGAGAATCACTTAAACCCGGGAGGCAGAGGTTGCAGTGAGCCGAGATCACGCCACTGCACTCCAGCCTGGGTTACAGAGTTAGACTCCGTCTCAAAAAAAAAAAAAAAAAAAAAAAGTTACCTCTTCACTAATTTCTAATCTCCCCAGAAAATTTGTAAGGGGGTTTTGATACCATATGTAGGACAGGAATAAATACAATGTTTATAGAACTCTTGCATCTCAGATCATTGTATTCAATTCAAAGTGTGTAATTTTATTTGGGGAGGATTTATGCTGAGAACTATCAGTATCCCAGCGCCTTTGATCAGGAACCCAGGAACTCCTAAAGTGTAGACCATTATCCCCTATAGAGATTAGTTAACTTTCAATCTGGGTAAGAAGAATAAAGTTTTTTTGCAAAAGAAAGCCCAAATGCCATCTTTTTCCTTCTCCATAAACACTAGGATAAGAAGAGACTTATAAGTAGAAGCTTGAGGTTGAATCTCATCTCTATCTTTGTTGCACTGAACTAATCACTACATCCCCTCTCTGCCTTTGTTTTCTCATCTGTAAAGTGGGAATAATAATAGTAGCAAAGATTCTTCTAGCAATAAGATAAATGCATGAGAAAGCTGTCTAAAAATTGAACTGTAGCAAGCATGGCTAAAGCACTTCTTACCTATTACAAATGTCTAGAGCCAAATTTCCACAGTACGGCATGGACAGATGATTTTAAAATCAGAAAGAAAAAAACAGTTATAAAAATACTTAGTGAGATTTGGCCAGGCATGGTGGCTCACACCTGTAATCCCAGCACTCTGGGAGGCCAAGGCGGGCAGATCACGACGTCAGGAGATCCAGACCATCCTGGCCAACATGGTGAAACCCCGTCTCTACTAAAAATGCGAAAATTAGCCAGGTGTGGTGGCAAATGCCTGTAATCCCAGCTACTTGGGAGGCTGAGGCAGGAGAATCGCTTGAACCCAGAGGCGGAGGTTGCAGTGAGCTGAGATCGTGCCACTGCACTCCAGCCTGGGTGACAGAGCGAGACTCCGTCTCAAAAAATAAATAAATAAATAAAAATAAATACTTAGTGAGAGTCTCCCTCACTGGTCACTTTGCTTGGGGGTTCAAATTATAACCCAAAGCTATGGAATATGCTTACTTGGGAGATTCTTACAGCTCCTATACATGAATCTTTTTGAAACATATCAAGGGTCCTTAGAAATCTGATCTGGTGTGACTCTCAGAGCACTCTGATGACACCTGCTGGCTAGGCATGGTGTGACAAGTGTGTTCTAGTCTGGACAGACGGAGATGGTCTGGAACCCCTGAGTGGAGTACCTGGGAAGCTGAGGCTGGAGAGAAATCCTGACCTTCAATCTTGCTGTGCAAAGTGTGGTCCTAGGGCCTGCAGTATCGGGATCACTAGGAGCTTGTAAATGTGGGATCAGACTCTACATTTTTTTTTTTAGAGACCGGGTCTTGCTGTGTTACCCAGGCTGGTCTCAAACTCCTAAGCTCAAGCAATCCTCCTGCCTCAGCCTCCTGAGTTGCTGGGAATACAGGCACTGGCTCAGACTCTACATTTTCATGAGATCCTCCAAGTGATTCGTGTGTGCTTTAGCGTGAAAGAAACATGTTCTAGTGTTCTAGAGGACTTAATCTAGTGACTAAGCGTCTATGTCAAAGAAAAAAATTTTTTCTTTTTTTGAGACAAGAATCTCACTCTGTCACCCAGACGGTAGTGTTATTGTGTCATCCCAGTTCACTACAACCTCCACCTCCCAGGCTCAAGCGATCTGCCCACCTCAGCCTACCAAGTAGCTGGGACCACAGGCACGAGCCACCACGCCTGGCTAATTTTTGTATTTTTTGTAGAGACAAGGTTTCACCATGTTACCCAGACTGGTCTTGAACTCCTGAGCTCAAGCAATCCACCCACATCAGCCTCCTGAAGTGCTGGGATTACAGGCATGAGCCATTGTGCCTGGCTGAAAAAAAAATTTTAGCTCCACATAGGGCTAGCAACTCACAGAAAGCTTGGCACTTCTGCTGTTTCTGGTCCAAGCCTTTCGTTACACCAGTGCATAAACAGGCCCATTGCCCCACAACAGTTTTTCTTATTTTCATTTTTATCCTGTTTTCTACTTATTCTGTTGAAGACATTTTTCCTCCCAGAGGAATATTCCTACAATTCTGTAACAAAATGATAGGAAAACAGGATTCCCATTACAGAAAATTTGCTTTAAGATCGTATTTTTCAAAATACAAAGGTTTCTTAGAAGTGTTTTTGTGCTTTTTTTAAATGTTCTGTGTACTGGTCATACCTACAAATAACAAATAATAATAATAGCACGGCCAGGCGCAGTGGCTCACTCCTGTAATCCTAACACTTTGGGAGGCCGAGGCAGGTGGATCACGAAGTCAGGAGTTTGAGACCAGCCTGGCCAACAGTGAAACCCCATCTCTACTAAAAATACAAAAATTAGTTGGGCATGGTGGCACGCACCTGTAGTCCCAGCTACTCAGGAGGCTGAGGCAAGAGAATCACTTGAACCCGGGAGGCGGAGGTTGCAGTGAGCTGAATTTGCACCACTGTACTCCTGTCTGGGCCACAGAGCGAGAATCCATCTCAATAATAATAATAACAATAACAATAATAATAATAACAGCACAAGGGAAGCAGGACTGGTGCTCTCCCCACAAACACCTGATACATTCATTTCTGTTGCCTTGTTTGTAATAGAAATAGAGTCTAGGTAATATAAGCAAAAAAGAAATAAACAAAGGAAATGTATTAGATGGATATGGTGGTGGCTTATAGAAAAACAGTACAAGCTGAACAACGACATCTCACAAAGGACAGGAAACGGTATTAGGTGTCCAGGAAGCTGGTGTTTCCAGGGCAACACCTTTGGGACAATTGTTTTCAGCCCTGCCTGTGTCACTGATCAGTATACAAATTCTGGGGATAGAGAGTCTGTTAGGCCTCACTTGGTTCATGTCCAGCCTTTGGATAAAGAAGGGCAGGACATTCTGATTTCAGGACTCCCCAAAAGTGTATCTGCGGAGGAAGGCAGGGTTGAGCATCCATTCTGGTTGGTTGAATGTGGTCATGCCCAAGCATTCCAGTTGTTGCAGATTTTGACTATCACCCTGAGAGAGGGGTAAATCCCCAGAGGTGAGGTTTTCAACGGGGTGTGGTAGCTCACGCCTGTAATCCCGGCATTTTGGGAGACTGAGGTGGGCGGATCACCTGAGACCAGCCTGGCCAACATGGTGAAGCACTGTCTCTACTACAAAATACAAAAATTAGCCAGATGCGGTGGTGGGCACCTGTAATCCCAGCTACTTGGGAGGCTGAGGCAGGAGAATCGCTTGAGCCTGGGAGGTGGGGGTTGCAGTGAGCCAAGATCATGCCACTGCACTCCAGCCTGGGCGACAGAGTGAAAATCTATTTAAAAAAAAAAAGAAAGAAAAAGAAAATTGATGTTTTCAAGCTGAAAAGAAGAAAAGGTTAATAGGCAGGTGAAACCATGCCTCTGTATTGTGAGATACATATCCCCCATAGTATTGACTGGTAAGAATATTTATAGCCTATTTACTCTAAAGCCCATGTATTATTATTATTCCAAACCCATTGATTATTATTATTCCAAAACATATCTATTTTTAACTGTTTAAGCACATTATTGGAACATGCACTGAGAGCTTGATGGTCTTTGATTCTTCAAGGCAAATCAACTTTCTACCACGTCATCGGAATAAAACAGAAATTAAACAGTTGAAAGGGCCTCTACTCCCCCAAGACCTCTGGTGTCCACCCCCATCTAATATTCTTATGTATTCATAGGCGATGTTAAATAAATGGCAAGAATCTCCTATTTCTTTTTTACATAAGAAGAAAGACTGCATAGCTATGAAAAATACACTCTGTCACCAGAGCCACGCAAGAGATCTTTAGAGGAATAAATAGCCGCAGTCTCATAGCAACATTCAGATGAACAATGCTGAGAGCTGAAAGATGTTCTTCGGTTAGAAATTCATGCCTACAAAAGAATACCATCCACGAAGTTCCTCACTGTTAATTACAGATAGTAAAGCCAGTCCACAGGCAATGGAAATGAGGGTCCATCATGCAGCCGGCTTCTTGGGAAGGACTGACCAATATCCTCAGAAAGCTAAAATGAATGAATATGCTTTTTTTTTTTTTTTTTTTTTTTTATTGATCATTCTTGGGTGTTTCTCGCAGAGGGGGATTTGGCAGGGTCATAGGACAATAGTGGAGGGAAGGTCAGCAGATAAAACAAGTGAACAAAGGTCTCTGGTTTTCCTAGGCAGAGGACCCTGCGGCGTTCCGCAGTGTTTGTGTCCCTGGGTACTTGAGATTAGGGAGTGGTGATGACTCTTAACGAGCATGCTGCCTTCAAGCATCTGTTTAACAAAGCACATCTTGCACCGCCCTTAATCCATTTAACCCTGAGTGAACACAGCACATGTTTCAGATAGCACAGGGTTGGGGGTAAGGTCACAGATCAACAGGATCGCAAGGCAGAAGAATTTTTCTTAGTACAGAACAAGATGAAAAGTCTCCCATGTCTACTTCCTTCTACACAGACACGGCAACCATCCGATTTCTCAATCTTCTCCCCACCTTTCCCCCCCTTTCCATTCCACAAAACCGCCATTATCATCATGGCCTTTTTTTTTTTTTTTTTTTGAGACAAGGTCTCTCTCTGACCCCCAGGCTGGAGTGCAGTGGCACGATCTCGGCCCACTGCAACCTCCACCTCCTAGGTTTCAGCAATTCTCCTGCCTCAGCCTCCCAAGTAGCTAGGATTACAAGTGCCTGCCACCACGTCTGGCTAATTTTTGTTTTTTTAGTAGAGACGGGTTTCACCATGTTGGCCAGGTTGGTCTCGAACTCCTGACCTCAGGCGATGCGCCCATGTTGGCCTCCCAAAGTGCTGGGATTACAGGCATGAGCCACTGCACCCAGCCAAATCTGCATATTATAGAGAGGTCTCAGTAACCAGACCCGTAACCTCACAGAGGCTTCTTAAGTGTTTTCTTTTATATTCTGTGCCCTGGTCACACCTACAAATAACAAATAATAATGATAACAGCACAAGGGAAACGAGGATGGTTTCCCTCTCCTACTTGCTACAGACCTACCTCCACAAATAGAGCTGATACATTCGTGGAGCCTATTTGAAGGCTTACTTCTCTGCTTAAAAACTCTTCCATAAAGTAAAATATCGACTTTTGTACTCTCTGGGGGATCTGGCATCCATGGCCCAAGTAGTTAGTAAATGCACATTTTTTCTTTTTTTCTTTTTCTTTTCTTTTTTTTGAGACAGAGTTTCGCTCTTGTTGCCCAGGCTGGAGTGCAATGGTGCTGTCTCTGCTCACTGCAACCCTGCCTCCCAGGTTCAAATGAGTCTCCTGCCTCAGCCTCTCAAGTAGCTGGGGATTACAGGTGCCCACCACCATGCCCGACTCATTTTTGTATTTTTAGTAGAGACAGGGTTTCACTTCGTTGGTCAGGCTGTTCTCAAACTCCTGACTTCAGGTGATCCACCCACCTCGGCCTCCCAAAGAGCTGGGATTACAGTGTGAGCCATCAAGTCCGGACTATCCTCATATGTTTTAATAAGAAGCTAATGTTTTCCCCCAGATTCTGGAGACACAGTGACCCTCTAGGAAGCGGTGGCAGGTATACAGCCATGGTTACCTGACTGAGACAGCTCAGGACAGAGCAATGGAACTGGAGTCCCCTCCTGGCTTTGTCATCTTGTTCCAGAGTGGGCTAGCCCAGGAACCTGACTTCACTGCACCTCAGTTTCCCCATTTAGACAATTAAGTGGCAGATTTCTGTTCACTCCTAATGCAGCTCTAAAAGCCTGCCTTTCTAGTTATCTTCTAGGGGTAGAAAAGAGAGTCAGAAGAGGCCGGGCACAGTGACTCATGTCTGTAATCCCAGCACTTTGGGAGGCTGAGGTGGGCTGATCACTTGAGGTCAGGAATTTGAGACCAGCCTGACCAGCATGGTAAAACCCCATCTCTACTAAAAATGCAAAAAAAAAAAAAAAAAAAATTAGCCGGGTGCGTGCCTGTAATCCCAGCTACTTGGGAGGCTGAGGCAGGAGACTCACTTGAACCCAGGAGGCGGAGGTTGCAGTAAGCTGAGATTGCATCACTGCACTCCAGCCTGGGCAACAAAGCAAGTCTCCATCCTAAAAAAAAAAAAAAAAGGAGAGGTGGGGAGGGGGAGTCAATATAAATGAACAGAAAGCCACCTCTCCCACTTTAAATATATCCGGGCCCTCTCAAAAAAAACCTCACATTTGAAACTTTCCTTTAGGTTCCCCATCTCTGGCCCATGGACTTTGGGGGAGCAGGTCCAGGAAATAAGTCCTTTAATTGGAAGCCAGAAGTATAAGAAAAATGGATCCAGGAGTTTATCCTTTAAATACCAAATCCTTGATTGGGCCTCCTTCCACCAACTGTTCTTTCTTTATCTGAACAAAACAGCAGTGGTCGGTACCAAAAGGCACCGTCCACCGTGCTGGTCTATTTCTGTCCTGCATTGTCATTCTAAATGCTGAGACGATGGCTTATCAGGACCTTGGAGAGATCAACGCTATCCTGAGAGATTGAATTAAGGTATTGGTAAATGCCTGCCAAGATTGAATTAAGATTGGTAAATACCTTGGTAGGCTAGAACAATGGATGAAATCTAACAATTGAAATTTAATCGGAAAAAAAAAGAAATTTAATCAGGATAAATGTACATTCTGGTCCACAGAATACCAAGTGCATAAAAATAACTGATACTATGGAAAGAGGTTGTTGGTCTAGAATGTTCAGGTTACTACAATCTCAATCTGTGCCAATAGGATGACTTAGTGCCCCTACTCAACTCAAACGTAGCATAGTGTGGGCTTTGATGAACAAAGCTGATCCAAGCAAGAGAAGAAAAATCCCCCCGTCCTTTGCTCAGGCCACATCTATGTCATTAGCATGACTTGAGTGTCAGGAAGGAAAGCCAGATAGACTCCAGTCAGGTGAGCGGTGGCCCTGCTGGATGGAGAGACCATGAAAAGAATACAAAATTCAGCCAGGGCCTGAAAAGGTGAATGAAGACAGCAGCAACCTTAATGCAGAATCTCAGCCACCAAAATCAGGTGCTAAAATTAAAAGGGGTTGAGAAAGAATCACACAGGAATGTGAAAGAGTTGATGGGATGGAAGTGCCAGATGGCAGGACATTAAGGTATCTTAAAAGAGCTAAAAGAAAGGCAATCAAGGCCGGGCATGGTGGCTCACGCCTGTAATCCCAGCACTTTGGGAGGCCGAGGTGGGTGGATCACCTGAGGTCAGGAGTTCAAGACCAGCCTGGCCAACATGGTGAAACCCCATCTCTACTAAAAATACAAAAATTAGCTGGGGGTGGTGGCAGGCGACTGTCATCCCAGCTACTCAGGAGGCTGAGGCAGGAGAATTGCTTGAACCCAGGAGGCGGAGGTTGCAGTGAGCTGAGATTGCGCCATTGCACTCCAGCATGGGACTCTGTCTCAGAAAAAAAAAAAGAGAGAAATAGACTTTCTGAAGAGAAGAGAGAAATAGACTTTCTGAAGAGTTCATCTGAAGAGCTATCCTGCAGGTGACAATGTGGTGAGGCTGTGATGATAATGTCCCATGAGGACCATGGAAGAAAATGAGCTTGCTGAGCTGGGGAAGAGATGGAGGTGAGATCTTCAAATCTGGGGAAGACATGTTCAAATGTGTGAAGGGCTGTAACATCAGAAGGACTTCCAAATAAACATGGCAGATTGAACACATATATACATATACATATATATCTATACGTAGATAGAGAAATGGAATATGTTGATAAATAATATTGGTCTTTTAAGAGATTTCAGTATTGGAAGTTTGATTTATTAGATTTTGAAGAGTTGTTTAAGCACCTGGGGAGGTTTTGCTTTTTAAGTTGGAAAATCAAGCCTAACAACTCTGTAGTAGACATAAAGTATAATGATCAAAGACCGTGGGAGACAAGGCAACAGCAGACAGGATGTATCAACAAAATGTCTGAAAATGGTAAGTTCTGACTGGGTGCAGTGGTGCACGCTTATAATCCCAGCACTTTGGGAGGCCAAGGTGGGAGGATCACTTGAGCTCAAGAGTTCAAGACCAGCCTGGGCAGTATGGCAAAACCCCATCTCTCAAAAAAAAAAAAAAAAAAAAAAAAAAAAGCCAGATATGGTGGTGCATGCCTGTGGTCCCAGCTACTTGGGAGGCTGAAGTGGGAGCATTGCGTCACCCTGGGAGGTCTCAGTGAGCCAAGATCACACCACTGCACTCCAGTATGGGCAACAGAGGAAGACCCTGTCAAAAAAAAAAAAAAAAGTAAAGTAAAGAAAAGAAAAGCAACAAGGAAGGGGAAGCGAAGGGGAGGGGAAGGGGAGGGGAAGAGGAGGGAAGGGGAGGGAAGGGAAGGTTAGGTTCTGATGGTGAAGGGAAGGTTCTGATGGTTACTTCACCAAGCAAGAGAAGCTCTGGTTGCTGAAGAAGTTCCTACAGAGGGGGATCCTGCTATGGTCTGAATGTTTGTTTCCCTCCCAAATTCATATGTTGAAATCCTAACCCCATGGTGATGGCATTATTTAATAGAAGGTGGGGGCCAGGCGTGGTGACTCACGCCTGCAATCCCAGCACTTTGGGAGGTCTAGGAGGGCGGATCACAAGGTCAGGAGATCAAGACCATCCTGGCTAACATGGTGAAACCCCGTCTCTACTAAAAATACAAAAAATTAGCCGGGCATGGTGGTGGGTGCCTGTAGTCCCAACTACTTGGGAGGCTGAGGCAGGAGAATGGTGGGAACCTGGGAAGCGGAGCTTGCAGTGAGCCAAGATGGGGCCACAGCACTCCAGCCTGGGCGACAGAGCGAGACTCCGTCTCAAAAAATAAATAAATAAAATAAAAGAGAAAAAATAGAAGGTGGGGCCTTTTGGGAGAAGTAGTCAGAATCAAAATGGACTCACTAATGTTAAAAAAAAAACTAAACAAACAAACCAACAAACAAAACCCCTGGCACATAGAGCCGGGGAAGACCATGAAGAGAGGATTCTCTTGCTTATACGCCTAGTAACAAAACTATCACAAAGACTGCAAAACTCACAACCTAGCACAATGGCCATGATAACCTCACACAAAAGAATACTTTTGTGACTGGGCACGGTGGCTCACCTGTAATCTCAGCATTTTGGGAGGCCAAGGCAGGAAGGATTGCTTGAGCCCAGGAGTTTGAGACCAGCCTGGGCAACATAGGGTGACTCCGTCTCTACAAAAAACACAAAAACAAAAAACTTTTGCAAGGACATCTACTCAGCAACTACGTCCAACCTTGTACTGGCATCACCTTTGTTACTGATCTTTGCAGCCAAGAATAATTATTTCAAAACAATTATGTAATCTTCTTCACTTTTTCCTTTAAAAACCTTTGTTTTCTTTTACCTCCCTGAATACGTACCTAGTTTACTATGGCATGCATATGCCCATTGTAATGCTCTTTTCCCAAGTAAACATCATTTTCTTTTGGAGAGCCTCTGTTTATTTAGGTTGACAGTCATAAGAGTGGGGCCCTTATGAATGGGACTAGTGCCCTATAAAACTGATTTATGGGCCAGGCATGGTGGCTCACGCCTGTAATCTCAGCACTTTGGGAGGCCGAGGCGGGTGGATTACCTGAGGTCAGGAGTTCAACATAGTGAAACCCCCAACATAGTGAAACCCCCATCTCTACTAAAAATACAAAAATTAGCCGGGCGTGGTGGCATACCCTTGTAATCCCAGCTACTCGGGAGGCTGAGGCAGGAGAATTGCTTGAGCCCACGAGGCAGAGGTTGCAGTGAGCCGAGATCGTGACACTGCACTCCAGCCTGGCCGACAGAGCGAGACTCAGTCTCAAAAAAAAAAAACCAAAAACTGATTTATGGTAACAGAAATATGAATGGGCTGGGCATGGTGGCTCATGACTGTAATGCCAACATTTTAGGAGTCCAAAGTGGGAGCATCACTAGTGCCCAGGAGTCTGAGATCAGCGTGGGCGACATCCCTATAAAAATAAAAATAAAACATCTCTACAACATCTCTACAAAAATAAAAATAAAAAATTGGCCAGGGGTGGTGGTGCATGCCTGTAATCCCAGCTAGTTGAGAGGCAGAGGTGGGAAGATTGCACCAGGAGGTTGAGGCCACAGTGAGTCTTGATCACACCACTGCATTCCAGCTTGGGCAGCAGAACGAGAGCGTGACACACACACATACACACACACACACACACACAGAAGTCAGAATGATGGTTGGCCTTGGGGATGGAGGTGATTGCTGGATGAAAAGGCACAGCATGCAGTGGGGGAGCTTCTAGGATGATGGCAATGTCCTAAAATTTGATTTGGTCAGCAGTTACACAAGTGTGGACATATGTAAACGTAGCAAACTAGACATTTAATATTAGCGCACTCTATGTAAGTTACAGCGCAACAAAAAAGCAATTAAAACTCTTGCGTGTGGGGAAAGATGACCCAGGATACAGAAAACCTAGGCTGCAACTCAAGAAGTCCTGGGGGGTAGTTATTGTGCAGACAGCCTGAGGAGCAACCATTCTGCCCCCCCTCCCCCCACAGCAGGAGGATGGGGCGAGAAAAACTAGGTACCAATAATAAAGCAGGTGTAGTTGGCCATATGGAAAATAGTGTTCAGATGAGTTTTGTAATTCAGTTGGAGAATTTGGCAAGAATTAGTAATGGCAGCTTAACCCACATCCAAACTAGTATCCTCAATTTTCTATATCTTCTCTGCCACATTTGGCAGAAGAAAAAGAGAGATACTTAGAAAAGATATAGAAAACTGAGGGTACTAGTTTGGATACAGGTTAAACTGCTATTAAAAAACAGACTGGGGCCAGGCACGGTGGCTCATGCCTGTAATCCCAGCACTTTGGGAGGCCGAGGCAGACAGATCACTTGAGGTCAGAAGTTTGAGACCAGCCTGACCAACATGGTGACACCTTGTCTCTACTAAAAATGCAAAAATTCCTGTAATCCCAGCACTTTGGGAGGCCAAGGGGTGGGGGGCGGGGGGGAGGGGGGGGGTGGATCACGAGGTCAAGAGTTCGAGACCATCCTGGCCAACATGGTAAAACTCCGTCTCTACTAGAAATACAAAAAATTAGCTGGGCATGATGGTGCATGCCTGTAGTCCTAGCTACTCCGGAGGCTGAAGCAGGAGATCGCTGGAACCCAAGAGGCTAAGGTTGCAGTGAGTAGAGATAGTGCCATTGCACTCCAGCCGGGAGAGAGAGCAAGACTCCATCTCAAAAAAAAAAAAGCAAAAATTAACCAGGCGCAGTGGTATGCACCTGTAGTCCCAGCTACTCAGGAAGCTGAGGAAGGAGAATCACTTGAACCCGGGAGGCAGAGGTTGCAGTGAGCTGAGATCCTGCCACTGCACTCCAGCCTGGGCAACAGAGTGAGACTCCATCTCAAAAACAAAACAAACAAACAAAAACCCCAAAACAGGCTGGGCACAGTGGCTCACACCTGTAATCCCAGCACTTTGGGAGGCTGAGGAGAGCAGATCACTTGAGGTCAGGGGTTGGAGACCATCCTGGCCAACATGGTGAAACCCCATCTCTACCAAAAATACAAAAATTAGCCTGGTGTGGTGGTGCACACCTGTAGTCCCAGCTACTCGGGAAGCTGAGACAGGAGAATTGCTTGAACCCAGGGGGTGGAGGTTGCAGTGAGCCAAGATCATGCCCCTGCACTCCAGACTGGGCAACAGAGGGAGACTCTGTCTCAAAAAAAAAAAAAAAAGGAGTAGCTATATTTCAAGCATTTTAGGTGAAATAATATGATGTCTTAGATGTCTTGGATCCAGTGGTAAGAGAAAAGGATGGGGTTATGTGTGTAGTTATATCTGCCTGATTTAGCCAGAATAAGTCAGAGAGGCCTCCCTGGAGGAGGCAGCATCAGAGTTGGGACTGTAGAGGGTTTGCCACATGAAGAGGGGAGAGGGCTTTCCACAAAGAGGAAACAGCTGGAAGAAAGACATATAAGCCATAGAGTGGGTGGTATTGAGATCTTGAGAAGATGTTATAATTATAGCAAAGAGTAAGGGGACAGAGAAGGGGACATGTTTAGAGATGGGAAAGGGTCTGAGAGGACCTTCTAAGGGTGTTGAGTCTATTCCTATAGGAACTGAGTCTGGTGTGTGTACGTGAAGATGATGCTATCTACTAAGCTATACTCTTTTCAGACATTTTCTTGAGGGTGGTCATTTGCTCTCAAAAAGGTACATAGATTGAGGTCAGGAGTTCAAGACCAGCATGGGCAACATAGCAAAAGCACATCTCTAAAAAAAATTTTTAAATTAGCCAGGCATGGTGGCACATGCCTGTATTCCCAGCTACTCAGGAGGCTAAGGCAAGAGGATGGCTTGAGCCCAGGAGTTTGAGGCTGCAGTGAGCTATGATCATGCCACTATGGTTCAGCATGGGGGACAGAGCAAGACCCTGTCTCTTAAAAAAAAAAAAGTACATAGAGAATTGAGTGCTCTAGAACCTGAAGAATCCCAGCAATCCAAATGATCTGATCTGATCCACTCTTTATGATGAGGTAAGGGCCTCAGAGAGGTCCCCCAACTAGATATCAGTGGAGCTGGGATTAGAACTGGGTCTCCTGACTTCCAAATTACCTCATTAAACAGGGATGCCAGGTTACAACTGGGACTGGGGGCACCTTTCTCATTGTATACATAAAACCATGAAAAATGTAAAACACAAGAATACATCAGCACACATTCATTGGCTGTCAGAACAAAAACATCATCACGTTGGACAACCTCTGGAAAACTCCACTACACACTCATGAGTGAATGAGAGTGAAAAAAGCAAACACTGTCTTAGTATTGTTACCAAACAGTATTTGACCTATTTGGAGCATGAAGGTACATAGTCCAGGGGCACCCATCTCTATGGAATAAAATGCAAGCGGCACCTCCTAGAGTTGTGCAGTGGCCCTGTGCCCAAACCTGGCATTCAAGCCATCCCCCAGGAGTAATCCTAAAAGCACATTCTTGAGGCTGACCTGGGTGGGTAATGGAGGCGGTGACTGAGAAAACATTGTTTCTCTATATGCAGCCAAGTCGCCCCTATAGAACTCAACCCCCAGATCCTGGCTCAATCAACTCTGCTCTAAGGATCTCATTCTGCTAACAAAGGTCCAGAGAAGGAAGGAGTCACATGTTTCTCAGAGGATACGTGGATAACAAAAACAACGCCATCCAGTTTGCCAAAACAAAGTCTCCCTGTGGCCCTGCTGTCACTTTCCAAGCTACAGACAAGTGCCTTTTTCCCCCTAACTCTCAACTCAGCATTGTGGGAACTAAACATCACAATCAGCTTCAGGAGCCTCACTGTTGCCATGGGTTACATGAATTCAAATCTAAGGATGGAACCAAAACAGGCCCTTAAATATCAGCCCTCGAGTGGGAGGTGAAATGAAGTGCTCTAACACCTTAAAGGAAAACAGGAGACGCGTGGCAAGGGGTGGGTCCCGCTACAGCAGGATGGGTGGTTGCTGCCTGGAGCCTCGATTTGTTAACAGCTGCTAAAAATATTCTCTGTGTATAGGGCTTGCAAGTCTTGGCGGATACCCAGAGAAATAAGAACGAATGTCTGAAACTAGACCTGCGCCGTCCAATGATAGCCACTGGCCACAGGCGGCCATTAAGCACTTGAAACATGGCTAGTCTGATTTAAGATGTGCTATAAGCGTAAAACCCACACCAGATGGCAAAGACTCAGGATGAAAAAGGAATGTAAAAGTCACTTTAATAATTTTAGGTTATTTTGTACAGTAGTCACTGTATTGGGTTATCTTAAATATACCATATAGTGAGTTATCATACAGAACTAAATAAATCGGGTTAAATAAAATATATTACTAGAATTAATTTCACCTGTCTCTTTTTACTTTTTAAATGTGGGTACTGGAAAATTTTAAATTACATATATGGCTTACATTTGTGGCTTTCATTTGTGAATTACATTCTGTTTCTGCTGGGCTGCAAACTGTGGGTACCTTTTTCCAAACTCATCCCAACTCCCATTCAAATCCTTCCCTTTCTTTTTCCTTTTCCACATTTCTCTCTCTCTCCTTTTTTTTTTTTTTTCTTTTTTTTTTGAGATGGAGTCTGGCTTTGTCACCCAGGCTGGAGTGCAATGGCACAATCTCGGCTCACTGCAACCTCTTCCTCCCGGATTCGAGCAACTCTCCCGCCTCAGCCTCCTGAGTAGCTGGGATTATAGGCACCACCATCATGCCCGGCTAACTTTTGTATTTTTGTAGAGACGGGGGTTTCTCCATGTTTGCCAGGCTGGTCTTGCACTCCTGACCTCAGGTGATCCACCTGCCTCTGCCTCACAAAGTGCTGGGATTACAGGTGTGAGCCACCGCGCCCAGCTCACATTTCTCTTTTAGTATCACATTTTCTATTTTTTTTGACAGGAAAAATGGCTCACTTGTATCATTAAATAGGAAGACTAATAAATAGTTAACATTATTTAAAAGACTAAATGCTAATGCTTTACCTGATTTATGGCATATAATCTCCCCCAACTATCTTATAAGGTAGGTATTGTTATTAGCACAGAGAGGTTGAGCTATATGCCCAAAGTCACACAGCTAGTAAATAGAAAAACTAGGATTCAAACCCCAGGAAGTCTGTCTCCCAAGCCCTCGCTACTCCACCTACCATAAAAGAAATGGGAAATTCTAATAGACATCTCTTGTGAACAGTTGATTGTTTTTTCCGCATTTGCAGTGCCCTGGAGCCCTAGGTAAGATGGCAGTGAAGCTTAAAAGCTAGTGGTGGGCTCCTAAAATGTGTCCACCGGTGCTCTGAACTGAATTGTGCCCCCTCCCCATCTTTACCCACAATATGATGGTATTTGGAGATGGAGCCTTTGGGAGGTGATGAGGTTCAGTTGAGGTCATGAGGGTGGGCCTCTCTTGATGGGATTAGCGTCCTTATAAGAAGAAACCCCAGGAGCTTGCATGCACTCTCTCTCCTGCTCCAACACACACTGAGGAAAGGCCACATCAGCACACGGCAAGCCAGGAGGAGTGCCCCCACCAGAACCTGACCATGCTGGCACCCTGATCGCAGACTTCCAGCCTCCAGAACTGTGACAAATACATTCCTGTTGTTGAAGCCACCCAGCCTGTTGTTTTGTTATGGTAGCCCAAGCAGATGAAAACATCAGACCCCCGAGTTTGGTCACTGCGGCTGAAACAGCCGATCTCTGAGAACTTGTTATGCATTAAGAGCCTATTGAGGGGGCTCTTAGCCTTGGAGGATGCGAACAGGCAGGAAAGACTCAATGAAAGCGCTTATAGAGACTTCAAGTGGCAGAGGACAAAGGAATGACATAGCCGGGAGGGGACAGGGATGCTGGGCTGAAGATGAGGGAATAGAAGGAGGTTAGGGGCACACTGTATACCATAAAAGATCCAGAGTTTTTAATGAGGAAAGGCTGTAAGATGTGTGCACAACAGAAGAACCAATATATACCATAAAAGATCCACAGTTTTTAATGAGGAAAAGCTGTAAGATGTGTGCACAACAGAAGAACCAATATCCCAATAAGTGGGATTTAGAGAAAGAGAATTTACCTATTGACCTAGTGAGGCTACCATATCCGATTATCTTTTTTTTTCTTTTCTTTTTTTTTTTGAGACAGAGTCTTACTCTGTCACCCAGGCTGGAGTGCAGAGTGCAATGGCTGGGATTACAGGCACATGTCACCAAGCCTGGGATTACAGGCACATGTCACCAAGCCTGGCTAATTTTTGTATTTTTAGTGAAGATGGGGTTTCACCATGTTGGCTAGGTTGGTCTCAAACTCCTGACCTTAGGTGATCCACCCACCTTGAACTCCCAAAGTGCTGGGATTATAGGTGTGAGCCACCACCCCCAGCCCATATCTGGTTATCTTAAGCTCTGGGCTCAAACCATGGTGCTTCCACCAGTTACAAAGTTGGCTGCTTATAATTATTAGAAAAAGTATTTAAGCAGTCAATGTGGTAAGGATTTGCTTCCTGTATATTTAATGTGGATTGCAGTCTTATCCCAAGAAAAGTTCCCTCTCCCTGCTTGTGTTCCTGAGGGCTTTGGGGATGGAAGAGAAAAGGGTAGGATTGATGTCAGCCCCATGGCACATCCCGGGAGCCCCCTCATCAGAGCATGTGATCTGGGATCCCAGAGGGAGCATGCTGCATATGGAGTCACAACTGTGCTTTGTTTATTGGCAGAAATGAAGTTTGAAAACAAATGGTTTATAGCAGGTGTCCCCATCCCCTGGGCAGCAGCAGCGCCTGCCAGGTACCGTTCTGTGGCCTGTTAGGAACCAGGCCGCATGGCAGGAGGTAAGTCGTGGGACAGTGAGTGAAGCTTTATCTGTATTTACAGCCGCTCCTCATCGTTCGTATTACCATGTGAGCTCTGCCTCCTGTCAGATGAGCGGCAGCATTAGATTCCCATAGGAGCATGAACCCTACTGTCAACTGCAAATGCAAGGCATAGATCTAGGTTGCACACTCCTTATGAGAACCTAATGCCTGATGATCTGTCACTGTCTCCCATGACCCCCAGATGGGACCACCTAGTTTCAGGAAGACAAGCTCAGGGATCCCAC
Source organism: Homo sapiens (assembly GCF_000001405.40). Lineage (NCBI taxonomy): Eukaryota > Metazoa > Chordata > Mammalia > Primates > Hominidae > Homo > Homo sapiens. The sequence goes on from NC_000021.9 coordinate 31,596,467, forward strand.
TGATTCTACATTACGGTGGGTTGTATAATTATTTCATTATATATTACAGTGGAATCACAATATAAATAAGGTGTACAATAAATGGAATGTGCTCAAATCATCCCAAAACCATCCCTCCCACCCCCATGTATGGAAAAATTGTCTCCCATGAAACTGGTCCCTGGTGCCTAAAAGGTTGGGGACCATTAGTTTAAACATGATCAAAGAGAATCAAAGCACATCAGAGTGATCAAGAGGAAGTGAAATGATGGTTAGAGGGCAATTACAAGGGAGAAAGTGACATGCAAAGGAAACCCAAAGGCACCAGGGGCTTCAGTGTCAGGGTGCAGTCATGTGGATAGGAAAGTGCCTTGAACCCAAGTGGCTCCAGTGCAGATCCCAGAGCTGGCACTTAAAAGCTGTGGAACTGTGGCCGGGTGCGGTGGCTCACACCTGTAATCCCAGCACTTTGGGAGGCCGAGGCGGGTGGATGATTTGAGGTCAGGAGTTCAAAACCAGCCTGGCTAACATGATGAAACCCTCTGTCTACTAAAAATACAAAAAAATTAGCTGTGCGTGGTGGCAGGCGCCTGTAATCCCAGCTACTCAGGAGGCTGAGGCAGGAGAATTGCTTGAACTCGGGAGGCAGAGGTTGCAGTGAGCCGAGATTGCACCACTGCACTCCAGCCTGGGCGACAGAGCGAGACTCTGTCTCAAAAAACAAAACAAAACAAAACAAAAACAGCTGTGGAACTGCTGAACCTTCTCCCTTCCCCTTCCCCTCCCTCCCTCCTTCCCTCCCTCCCTCCTTGCCTCCCTCCCTTCTTCCTTCCTTCCTTCCTTCCTTCCTTCCTTCCTTCCTCCCTCCCTCCCTCCCTTTCTCCCTTCCTTCCTTTCCTTCTTTCTTTCTTTTGAGACAGGATCTTGCTCTGTTGCCCAGATTGGAGTGCATGATCATAGCTCACTGCTTGAACTCCTGGGCTGAAGCAATCCTCCAACCTCAGTGTCCAAAGTAGCTGGGACTACAGGCGCGTGCCACCACACCCAGCTAGTTTTTAAATGGTTTATAGAGACAGGGTCTTGCTATGTTACCCAGGCTAATCTCACACACCTGGCCTCAAGTGGTCCATGGAACCCTTCCAGTCTGCATTACCTTCCATTCGAACAAGAATCGTGGCAGAAAAAACGTCCAACGGTGACCGCGACAACATCTCCCATCCACGGGCTCTTCTTACAAGGACACTTTAACTCTCCTCCTGCGGAGAGGTGAACTTGAATCTCAGGAAGAGTAGAAGTGATGCTGTGTGACTTCCACGTCTATAGAAGGCGGTACAGCTTGCATCCGGCTCCCTTGCCCGGGACATTCGTTCTTGGAACTTGCAATGCTGTGAGGAAGCTCAGTCCCGTGGAGGGGCCTCACGCAGGCGCACTGCAGACATCCCCGGCAGAGGGTGCAGCCGGCGGCAGCAGCAGCTGCAAGGCATGGAGGTGATGAACCTCGGGATGGATCTGGCCCCAGCCACTGGGCCTCTCCTGTGCTCTAAGTCTTCCCAGCTCAGACATCATGGAGCAGAGACAAGCCCCTTCCAAACCCTGACCCAGAGAAGCCGTGAGCATCATAAAGCAGTTATGGCTTCCCACCACTGTGGTTTGAGTCATTTGTTATGCAGTCATAGATAAATGGAACGAGTGTAATAAAAACTACCTTGGAGGCTGGGCGAGGTGGCTCATGCCTGTAGTTCCAGCACTTTAGGAGGCTGAGGTGGGAGGATTGCTTGAGACCAGTGGGAGACCAGCCTGTGGGCAACATCGCAAGACCTTGTTTCTACAGAAAATAATAATAAATAAATAAAATAAAAGCCACCTTGAGAGTTGTGAGAACCAGAGATAACATGACAAACACCTAATTCGCTGCCTGTCTTACAGCCAAAGCTCAGAAATGCTAACTATTATCACCATTATTGAGAGGTGAGAGGATCCGGATCAGCTAGCTCTATTTATCTTGTCCTGTCAATCACCTTTTCCCCACTCCCCACTGTCCCCTACACTTCCAAGAAACCTGAGAGTCAACCCAGTGTAGCAAACCCTCCTCCTCTATAAGCTCAAGCCACTTTCTTCTACCTGGAAGCAATGAAGGTGTTTTTAGGGGTCAGGAGAGGTGGGGGCGGCACGCGCCTGAAGCCAGCTGTGTGTTATGCCAAGCCCTTCGGTCCAACTGGCCAAATCTCCTTAGCCCATTGCATCATGTAGATCACATGTCTTTATTCTTTTGCCTTTTGAATACCACGATTCATTTGGATCTGGGGCTGACCCTAAATTATTATTATTATTATTTTTGACGCAGAGTGTCATTCTGTCACCCAGGCTGGAGTACAGTGGTACAATCTCAGCTCACAGCAACCTCTGCCTCCCGGGTTCAAGCGATTCTCCTGCCTCAGCCTCCTGAGTAGCTGGGATTACACGCACGTGCCACCATGCCCAGCTAATTTTTGTATTTTTAGTAGAGACAAGGTTTCACCATGTTGGCCAGGCTGGTCTCAAACTCCTGACCTTGTGATCCACCCGCCTCGGCCTCCCAAAGTGCTGGGATCACAGATGTGAGGCTGACACTAAAATTATTGCAGGGTCTCTGTTGACCCAGGTGCATCAGAATCGGCCCAGGGATGCCAGGGGAGGAGCCAGCACAGCCTTGGTTGAGAATGTAAATAGCTACAGTGTCAACTCACTCTCCCCTCAGTTGGCCGCAACCAGTGGAATCCTGCTGCAAATCACTTCACTGTGTGTTGTGACATGATGCAGGTTTAGGGAACAAAGGTTCTCCACCCTCTCTTGGAGCTGTTAGGCAGACCCACCCACCCACTCTACCATGTGTCTTGAACAAGGTGTGTCTCTTGCAAAGTAGCTCTCCCTCCCTCTGTTTTTTTTTTTTTTTTTTTTTTTCCTCTCCAAATTGAGTTGTGAAACAAATGCAGAAACAAAGACCCAACATCCAAGGTCAAACAATTCAAGGCAAAGTTTACAACCATGGAAATGAACTCTTGCATTTAGATGATCACTGAATTCAGGTTAATAAAGCCCCAGAGGCAGCCTTCCTTCGATGTTCACATTCACGGCCATCGTGAGAAACTTGTCAAATGAGTGTTATGGCTGGGCAAGTGTGTGTGGGAAATCCAGGCACCCCACTATGTTCCACGATCCAAACCGAAATGCTGGAAGGTAAATATATTTCCAGAGTGGGGACATTGTGTTGCTGTGCGGTTCAAGTCAACACACATTCCCTGAGTGCCCAACTGCAGTGTTCATGAGGCACCTGTCATGAGCCAGGCCCTCTGCTGAGCACCATATGTGCATTACATCATTTTGTCCTTATAGCAACCACAAAGGGTAGATACTCTGAGAGTTTCCATTTTACAGATGAGCAAATAGAGGCTTGGAGGGTTAATTCAGGGCCACCAGAGTTATCACAAAACAAATTTAGGATTTGAACCTGGTCTGTGTAATATGGACGTCAACCTCTGTTTCACTAGCCTCGACCACAACCTCTGCTGTAAGTGCCAGGCACTGCCCATGCTTCTGGGGGGCTCGGTAAACTCCATGGACCTTTATTAAGGCCCTATTTTGTACTATGTTAAATGTATGGAGAATAAAAAATGACTAAGGCTGGAGAATAAAAAATGACTAAGGCTCAAGACAGCTCCCTACATAATAGAGAAAGGAATAGAAAATCTTTCTTTTTTAAAGACTATTGTATAGGTGGGGCACGGTGGCTCATGCCTGTAATCCCAGCACTTTGGGAGGCCAAGGTGGGCAGATCACCTGAGGTCAGGAGTTCGAGACCAGCCTGGCCAACATGGTAAAACCCTGTCTACTAAAAATACAGAAATTAGCCGGGCGTGGTGGCAGGTGCCTGTAATCCCAGCTACTCAGGGGGCTGAGGCAGGAGAACCACCTGAATCCGGGAGACGGAGGTTGCAGGCAGCCGAGATCTTTCCATTGCACTGTAGCCTGGGTGATAGAGTGAGATTCTGTCTCAAAAAAAAAAAAAAAGACTATTGTATAAAATGTTGTGAAAATTCCCCTCCCCAACTGCGACCAACCAGGATATCCCGTTAGGCTTGCAAGAGCACTCCCAAAGTGGCCAACTGTTGTGGGTTGAATTGGGCCTCCCAAAAACATAAGTTGAAGTTCTAACATGCACGGAGGGAAGAGGATATGAAGAGACACAGGGAGAAGGCAGCCATCTGACACAAGCCGAGGAGAGGGGCCTGGAACAGATCCTTCCCTCACAGCCTCTGGAGGAGCCAGCTTGGGATCTTGATGTTGGACTTCTGGCATCCAGGACTGTGCGAGAATACATTGCTATTGCTTAAGCCACTCAGTTTATGGTGTCACAGTGGCCCTAGCAAACCAACACAGATTTTGGGACTGGTACCTGTGCATTTGGCCTTTTTTGGAAATAGGTCCATTGCACATGTAAATAAAATGTATGTTAAGATAAGGTCATTCTGGAATAGGATGGGTCCTTATAAAAAGAGAAGAGGCCGGGTGTGGTGGCTCATGCCTGTAATCCCAGTACTTTGGGAAGCTGAGGTGGGTGGATCACTAGAGCCCAGGAGTTCAAGTCCAACCTGGGTAACATAGTGAGACCTTGTCTTTTTTCTTTTTTTTTTAATTTTTTTAAATTTTTTTTTAGACAGAGTCTTCCTCTATTGCCCAGGCTGGAGTGCAGTGGCGTGATCTTGGCTCACTGCAACCTCTGCCTCACGGGTTCAAGTGATTATTTTGCCTCAGCCTCCTCAATAGCTGGGATTACAGGCACATGCCACCACGCCCTGCTAATTTTTCTATTTTTAGTAGAGATGGTGTTTTGCCATGTTAACCAGGCTGGTCTCGAACTCCTGACCTTAAGTTATCCACCCATCTCGACCTCCTAAAGTGCTGGGATTATAGGTGTGAGCCACCGCACCTGGCTGAGACTTCATCTTTAAAAAAAAAAAAAAAAAAATTAGCCAAGCATGGTGGCATGTGCCTGTAGTCCCAGCCACTCAAAAGGCTAAGGTGGGAGGATCCCTTGAGCCAGGGAGGCAGAGGCTGCAGTGAGCTGTGATTGCACCACTGCACTCCAGCCTGGGTGACAGAGGAAGATCCAGTCTCAAAAGAAAAGAAAGCAAAAGAAAAGAAATACTTCCCACGTATATGTCAACTCCTTTCTCCCTTGTCTTTCTCAGCTGAAGAGAGTGGACAGTGAAACACTAATTCCAAGCCTCCTTTGAAGCTAGGTGTGACCATGTGATGCAGCTTTGAGATGTAGGCAATGAGATATCAGTTGAAAGCCCTGGGAAGCTTTCTTTTCCTGAATATAAAGGCAAATGCTTAAGAGGAGAAGGTTTTTGCTCTCTGTCCTTTGCCATGCCTCATTTTTCACACCTGGAATATGGATATGATGGTTTAAGGTACTGCAGCTATTCAGTGTCAGGAGAAGAAAATGACAGGCTGGGCGTGGTGGCTCACGCCTGTAATCCCCCACTTGGGGAGGCCAAGGCGGGCAGATCTCCTGAGGTCAGGAATTTAAGACCAGCCTGGCCAACATAGCAAAACCCCGTCTCTACTAAGAATACAAAAATTAGCTGGGTATGGTGGCGTGCACCTGTGATTCCAGCTATGTGGGAGGCTGAGGCAGGAGAATCACTTGAACCCGGGAGGTGGAGGTTGCAGTGAGCCGAGATCGAAATTGCGCCACTACACTCCAGCCTAGGGGACAGAATGAGACTCCGGAGTCCAAAAAAAAAAAAAAAAAAAAAAGCAGCAGCAGCAGCAGCAGAAGAAAACTGGATGCTAAAGAGAGGGAAAGGAGGCAGGGCGGGGCGCAGTGGCTCAGGCCTGTATTCCCAGCACTTTGGGAGGCCAAGGAGGGTGGACCACAAGGTCAGGAGTTCAAGACCAGCCTGGCCAACATGGTGAAACCCCGTCTCTACTCAAAATACAAAAATTCCCTGGGTGTGGTGGCGCGTACCTGTAATCCCAGCTACTCAGGAGGCTGAGGCCAGAGAATCGCTTGAACCCAGGAGGTGGAGGTTGCAGTGAGCCGAGATTGTGCCACTGCACTCCAACACTCCAACCTGGACAACAAGAGTGAGACTCTGTTTAAAAAAAAAAAAAAAAATGGAGAGAGATAGAGAGAGAGGGAAAGGAAAAGAGAAGGGTTCCATCAGCAGCTGCAGCAGTCCTTGGTTACCTGCTCCTGGATTGCTTGTTACATGCTTAAGCCATTGTTTTTTGTGTTTCCTGCTGCTCACGGCTAGAAGCTATTCCAATGGACATATGTTAGATAAATCAATTTGTAGCAGGTTGAATGATTGAAACCAAGGGATTTAATCAGAGCTGGTTTCATAGGGGTGTGACCAGTGCAGTCACACAGGGCCCCACATTCAGAAGGGCATATGCTTGACTTAAACCTCCACTGTCTCCACTTTGCCTGCATTTTCATTTTGCACTGGGCCCTATAAATTATGTAGCCAGCCAGTCCTGGGTTTAATGAATCAGTAGGATCCTAAATGAAATTGGTAAATGATCAATAAGCTCTGTCCTCAAAGTTGACCATTCGACATTTTTATTAAAGTCACAGAAGAGGACATAGAAGACACTATCAGATTTGTAAGTAGCACAAAATTTGATAAATGGCCAGTTAGTTAGATGACACATTTAATATTTTTTTAAAAATCTGAATAGTCAGGAAACTCAAATCTAAAAGAAGACATCTAACAAGAGATAAATGAGAACCCCTGTATTTGGATTTATTGTTTTTTCAAACACAAGGGCAGAACAGTTCATGTGGAAGGAGCTTTGTTGTAGGGTCAGGGGGTTGGGGTCTTGCAATTGCAACACTATGTGTCTCAAGTAAATCACTCCTTCTTTGGGTCACAATGCCTTCATTTGCATGCTAAGGGGTTTAGGTGGGTGATATAGGATCAGTCGCACGATTCTAAGTGAGCGATTGCCCTGGATTTGAAAATCTTGCCATATAGTGATACTTGGTAATAATATTTCATGTAGGAAGGAGTCATGTATATATCGTCTTAAAACTTGGAGCTGGTTGGTATCAGGTGAGTGGGTTAGGATTGATACCCCCCGGCCTTTTACCCTAGTGACACACACACACACACACACACACACACGTACAATATTAATGTGCATATAATAGTTATAACTGAAGATATCATATATATGATTTATAAGTCATTTTATTTTTATCACATTTTATTATAGTCACCCAGAATATACATTATCAAATAAAGGTTTGTATATAATACACTCCTAATGAGAAAAACTCATGTAATATTACCCTAACATTTATTGTTTAAAATTGATGTAATATTTTTCTAACATTCAAAAACCTGTTGGAATTTGGGTTGTCTTTTTGCCCATTTGTGGACATCAGAAATTGCCTTGTGTGTTACAATTGCTAATGATGTTAATACTACTTGTGGAGCATACCAGGACTGGGAAAGATTGGTTGTACAAAAATACAAGGAAAACATTCATCATTCATTTTTTTCTCATCATCATACTCCCCAACCCCACAAGAAATCAAGCCTCAATTGTCATGGAATTATTGGCTAGTGACCAGCAATAAAAGAGTGAAACAATTAAATAGAATCCAGTGCCCCCAGGCTTGTGCTATTAACATCAAAAGAGAACTTGGCTGGGTGTGGTGGCTCACGCCTGTAATCCCAGCACTTTGGGAGGCTGAGGCAGGGGGATCACCTGAGGTCAGGAGTTCGAGACCAGCCTGGCCAACATGGTGAAACTCCATCTCTACCAAAAATACAAAAATTAGCTGGGCATGGTGGTATGCGCTTGTAATTCCAGCTACTAGGGAGGCTAAAGCAGGAGAATTGCTTGACCCCAGGAGGTGGAGGTTGCAGTGAGCTGTGATTGTGCCACTGCACTCCAGCCTGGGAGACAGAGGGAAACTGTGTCTCAAAACAAAATAAAACAAAACCAGAACTCACCTCCTTTTCTTATTGCAACAATTAAATGAGATGATTCAAGCAAAGTGCTGGGTGCAAGGTAAGCCCTCAGTAAATGAATTCTTATAATCATGCCTCCACCTCATGGGCAAAACTACCAGCTAAATCCTTTTCAGTGTCAAAGAAATGAAATTCAAGGAAACTAAATCAATTAGAGCCAGACAGGAGGCTACCCGTCTTTGAACCGAAACAAGAGGAACAAGGCCAGGGTGGGAAAGAAGGCCAGGGGTGTAAACTTCGTTTCCATTTACACTAGAGTTACCTACAAAATGAAATTCTCCCAATGTCAAAACAACAGTGAGGTGGTGGCGCCACCTGCTGGTCACTAAGACACAGTTCTGTGGCAACTGAGGCTTGATCTCTTAGTGGTTGTGAGGAGGAGAAAATGAATGATGAATGATTTCCTTGTATTTTTGTACAACCAATCTTTCCAGGCCCTTTTGTGCTCAGCAGGTAGTAATAACATTGTTAGCAATTTTAACACACAAAGCAATTTCCGATGTCCACAAACGGGTAATTTTGCACTTAGATGATACTAGGGAAAACACACAAGCCTTGTTTTCGTAGGACAGCCTGGTCGAAAGAAAATGGATTTTGTAGTTCATCCCAAGTTCTAATTCCAGCGCAGCCACTTGCCGGGTGGTCTTGGGTGAATTACTTAACCACCCTTAGCCTTTTTTTCTCTGCTGTAGAGTGACTAACAGAGCCTTCGAACAGGGTCTGGGTAGACTTGGGGGCGGTGGAGAGTATCTCGAAGACTTTCCAAAGGCTTCGAAAGCACATGGGTGGTTTTAAGAGAAGCAGTGTGCAGATTCCCAACCTCCACTTTCTCCCTGATACGGTTTGGAACTGTGATCTCACCCAAATCTCCTGTCGAATGGTAATCCCCAGTGTTGAAGGTGGGCCTGGTGGGAGGCGATGGGATCTTGGGGGTGGATTTCTCATCAGTGGCTTAGCTCCATCCCCTTGGTGCTGTTCTCCTGACGGTGAGTGTGTCCTTGCGAGACCTGGTCGTTTAAAAGTGTGTGGCGCATCCTCCTTCGCTTTCTGTCTTGCTTCTGCCATGTAAGACGAGCCTGCTCCCCCTTTGCATCCACTATGAGTAAAAGTTTCCTGAGGCCTCCCCAGAAGCAGAAGCTGCCATGCTTCCTGTACGGCCTGCAGAACTGTGGGCCACTTAAGCCTCTTCTCTTTTTTTTTGAGACAGAGTTGCACTCTGTCGCCCAGGCTGGAGTGCAGTGGCAAGATCTTGGCTCACCACAACCCCCCCTTCCTGGGTTCAAGAGATTCTCCTGCCTCAGCCTCTTGAGTAGCTAAGATTACAGGCGTGCGCCATGATGCCCTGCTAATTTTTTTTTCTTTTTTTGAGACAGAGTCTTGCTCTATCGCCCAGGCTAGAGTGCAGTGGTGTGATCTCGGCTCACTGAAACCTCTGCCTCCCAGGTTCGAGCAATTCTCCTGCCTCAGCCTCCCAAGTAGCTGGGATTACAGGCACCCGCCATTGCGCCTGGCTAATTTTTGTATTTTTAGTAGAGACGGGGTTTCACCATGTTGGCCAGACTGGTCTTGAACTCCTGACCTCAAGCGATCTGCCCACCTCGGCCTCCCAGAGTGCTGGGATTACAGGTGTGAGCCACCGCGTCCTGCCTCGAGCTGGTTTTTAGACTTCATGATCCTTCCTCCCCTTTACTGGAGGAACGCATGCCAGTCACTTGCTCTCAGTTTTACTAAAGTTCACTTTCTTCCCAGGTAACCCCTGGGGACTAAACAAAGGCACAAATGGAAATACCTGTGCAGGGGATGAAAATGTGAATGACTAATAATAGGGTAACAAGCCCTGATGAGTCATTTTATTTCCCAAGCATTGTTTTACCCCAAATTGAAGGAAGACCTAATTGAGTTTCCTACTATTTAAAGTATTGAAAGTTATTTCACTAAATGATTTCTGACATATAATACTGAAGGAATTCAAAGGATTGATTAACGTCACTGTAATAAGCCTCTTTCCAGACCATCTCTTGATTTACGACAGGCTGGTTTCTCAGAGCATACATCTTTTTAAAATTATTATTAAATAATTATAGATTCACTGGAAATTGCAAAGATAGACAGGACTGATGTACCCTTCACCTAGTTTTCTGCAATGACTAATCTTATCAAAGGAGAATAGCAAAACCAGGAAATTGACATTGGTATGACATATGTGTGTAGTTCTGTGTCATTTGCTTACATGTGTAGATTCACATAAGGCATGGTGGCTCATGGCTGTAATCCCAGCACTTTGGGAGCCCAAGGCAGGCAGATCGCCCGAGGTCAGGAGTTCGAAATCAGCCCATGGTGAAACCCCGTCTGTACTAAAAATATGAATATTAGGTGGGCATGGTGGTGTGCGCCTGTAATCCAGCTACTCAGGAGGCTGAGGCAGGAGAATAGCTTGAACCCAGGAAGTGGAGGTTGCAGTGACCTGAGATCACGCCACTGCACTCCAGCCTAGGTGACAGAGCAAGACTCCATCTCAAAAAAAAAAAGAAGATATGGAATGATTTCATCTAAAAGATCTCCCTCGTGGTGCCCCTTTATTGCCACACCCACCCCATGCCCCCACCATCCCTCACCCCTGGCAACTACTGATTTGTAATCCATCTCTATAATGTTGTCATTTCAAGGACATTATAAAAATAGAATTATACATATATGCAACTTTTTTTTGAGACAGGGTCTCACTCTGTTGCCCAGGCTGGAGGGCATTGGAGCAATCTTGGCTCACTGCAGCCTCCAACTCCTGGCCTCAAGCAATCCTCCTCCTTCAGCCTCCCAAGTAGCTGGAACTACAGGCACACGCCACCACGCCTGGCTAATTATTTTATTTTTTGTAAAGATGGGGTCTTACTTTGTTGCCCAGGCTTGTCTTGAACTCATAGGCTCAAGTAGTCTCCTGCCTTGGCCTGCCAAAGTGCTGGGATTATAGCCATGAGCCACCCCACCACCTGCAACTTTTTGAGATTGGCTTTTTTCAACCTTCATAATGCTCTTGAGATCCATCCAAGTTGTTGCAGGTATCTATGGTTCTTTTTTTATAATGCTGAGTAGCTTCTCACAGGGCATACCTCTTTATGTATAAAAAATGAGGATAGGCTGGGTGCAGTGCCTCACACCTGTAATCCCAGGATTTTGGGAGACCGAAGCGGGCGGATGGCTTGAGATCAGGAGTTCGAGACCATCCTGGCCAACATGGTGAAACCCTGTCTCTACAAAAAATTAGGCGTGATGTCATGTGACTATAGTCCCAACTACTTGGGAGGCTGAGGTGAGAGGATCATTTGAGCCAAGGAAGTCGAGTCTGCAGTGAGCCGAGATCATGCCACTGCACTCCAGCCTGGGTGACAAAGTGAGACCCTGAAGAAAAAAAAAAAGAAATAAATAAAGAAAGAAAGAGAGAGATGGACAGAGAGAAAGAAAGAAAGAAAGACAGAAAGAAAGAAAGAAGAAAGAGAGAGAGAGGGAGGGAGGGAGGAAGGGAAAAGAAAGGAAAAGAAAGAAAAGAAAGAAGGAAAGAAAGACAAGAAAATAAAGAAAAAAAACTAAGGAGTGCTGGGATTACAGGCATTAGCCACCTTGCCAGGCCCACAATCTTTTATCTTAACCTGAACATTCCCTTTATTTATTTATTTATTTATTTATTTTTCATTTTTTTGAGACGGATTCTCGCTCTTGTCACCCAGGCTGGAGTGCAATGGTGCGATCTCAGCTCACTGCAAACTCCACCTCCCAGATTCAAGAGATTCTCCTGTGTCAGCCTCCCGAGTAGCTGGGATTACAGGCGACCGCGACCACGCCCAGCAAATTTTTGCTTTTTTAGTAGAGACGGGGTTTTGCCATGTTGGCCAGGCTGGTCTCGAACTCCTGGCCTCAGGTGATCTGCCCAATTCTGCCTCCCAAAGTGCTAGGATCACAGGCACAAGCCACCGCGCCTGGACTGAAAATTCCCTTTCTAGCAATCCCAGGTCTTTAGACAAACTCAACCAATTGTCAACCAGAAAATGCTTAAATTCACCTGGAGGCGCCCCCCCACTTCATCCCCTGCTTTGAGTTGTCCCTCTTTTCTGGGCCAGACCAATGAATTCAATGAATTTCTTAAATGTATTTGATTGATGTCTCATGTCTCTCTAAAATGTATAAAACCAAGCTATGCCCCAACCATCTTGGTCACATGTTCTGAGGACCTCCTGAGGGCTGTGTCACAGGCCACGGTCACTCATATTTGGCTCAAAATAAATCTCTTCAAATATTTTACAGAGTTCGACTCTTTTCCTCGACAATAGTAAACACTGTAATATATTTTTGTTGTTTTAATCAATTGTATACTACTGATTATAATTATAAATTCATTCAAATTAAAGGATCTTATAATTTTATAATCAAAGGAAATTGAAAATATTTAAATATACATATATAATATAAATGAATATTTGGCCAGGTGTGGTGGCTCGTGCCTGTAATCCCAGCACTTTGGGGGACAGATTACCTGATATAAGTCATGAATCCTGGTCTTTATTTAAGGTATGTTTTTTGGATGAATTCATGTAGGTAGAGTGCTTAGAATAATAACTAGTAAAAAGCAGGTACGTGTTAGCTGATGTCTTAGGACAGCTTCTCCAGAAGCAGAGGCTGAGAGAGGGATTCTTGTTCCAGTGACTTACTGCAGGAGGATCTTGGGAGGAGGGGGTGAGGGAGCAGGCTGGGCAGGGGAGTGAGTTAACTGAGGAAGGCTGTGGTTTTAGCTGGAGACTGACTTCAGGCTGACCCCAGGGGGAGCCTGCACTGCAGAGGGGTTCCACTTCGAGGCAAGGGAGCCGGCCTTTTGCAAGCTGTGAGCTGCAGCTGACACTTGCTGCCCAAGTGACTAAGGCATCAACAGCATCTGCTACAGCTCATATAATTTTTTACTGGGGATGTGGAAACGAAGAGAAATAAGGAAGAGTTCCTGTATTCCATGTAGAAAGCTTATTTTCACTTGGGCATAAAAGGAGCAAATGATGCAATTACAGACTATTCGCCTATGGAGTGCTGCTGACCATCAAGACAGAAAGGCTCAGAGAGAAGAGGGCCCACCAGGCCAGCTCAAGGGCCTGGAGAAGGTGCTGGAAAAAATTACTCTTGGTCCCGAGACCAGCTCGGTCAGGGAGACCCTAACCCAGCGGCACTAGAGGAATTAAAGACACACACACAGAAATATAGAGGTGTGAAGTGGGAAATCAGGGGTCTCACAGCCTCCAGAGCTGAGAGCCCCGAACAGAGATTTACCCACGTATTTATTAACAGCAAAGCAGTCATTAGCATTGTTTCTATAGATATTAAATTAACTAAAATTTTCTAAATTTTAACTAAAATTAACTAACTAAATTAACTAAAAGTTTCTATAGATATTAAATTAACTAAAAGTATCCCTTATGAGAAACGAAGGGATGGGCCGAATTAAAGGAATAGAATAGAATTAAAGGATAGAATAGAATTAAAGGAATAGAATAGAAGGGATGGGCCGAATTAAAGGGCTAGTTAACTGCAGCAGGAGGATGCCCTTAAGGCATAAATCGCTCATGCTATTGTTTGTGGCTTAAGAATGCCTTTAAGAGGTTTTCCTGCCCTGGGTGGGCCAGGTGTCCCTTGCCCTCATTCCCGTAAGCCCACAACCTTCCAGCTTGGGCATTAGGGCCATTACGAACGTGTCACAGTGCTGCAGAGGTTTTGTTTGTGGCCAGTCTTGGGGCCAGTTTATGGCTGGATTTTGGGGGGCTTGCTCCCAACAACTTGGAATGGCACTTGAAGGGTTCCAGGAGCTTTGGATGATTGGCAGGGGAGAAGGGGGAAGGTAGGGTGGGTGCGGGGTAAATAAGAGAGGCAAAGAGCATCAGATGGAATCAACTCTGCCTGGGAGCTTGCCCTTAGTGGCTGGACCTGACAGGAGAGGGACAGGGGACCGAGGAGGGGCCCATGTGTATACAGAGACTGCAGTGAGTACAAAGGAGGGTCAACAGACAGGCAGAGGGGAACATTTGACACTGTCACCTTGAACTCCCTGACAAGATCCTTTGAGATACTTTTTTGTTTGTTTGTTTGTTTAGACAGCCTCACTCTATCGCCCAGGCTGGAGTGCAGTGGTGTGATCTCGTCTCACTGCAACCTCCGTCTCCCAGGTTCAAGTGATTTTCCTGCCTCGGCCTCCTGAGTAGATGGAATTACAGGCATGCACCATCACTCCCAGCTAATTTTTGTATTTTTAGTAGAGACGGGGTTTCACCATGTTGGCCTGGCTAGTCTTGAACTCCTGACCTCAGGTGATCCACCTGCCTCTGCCTCCCAAGGTGCTGGGATTACAGGCGTGAGCCACTGTGCCCAGCCTGAGACACATCTGTTATTGCTATGTCACAGACTAGAACATTGAGGCACAGAGAGGTTAACTTATTGCTCAAGGTTTCACAGCCGATAAGCAGTGGAGCAGAGAATAATTCAGGCCAGCCGGCTCTAGGGTTGCACTCTGAGCCCCCATCTTGTACTGGTACCACCTTAGAGTGTGGCAGGGGCAATGGAAGAGCAGCATGGCCCAGGCATGGGGGCTCTGAGCTGTGGGCAATGGTGTCAGGTGAGCGTGAGGCCAAGTGGGCCAAGCCAGTCCTGATACACAGGGCAGAGCCCCAGCTCCTACCTTTACCCAACATCAGGCAGGCATTGCCAAAACTTCAGCTAAGCCTTCTTCAGCTCTGCTGCAGCTCAAGGGATGAAAAGCTAGATTAGGCAACTGGGCTGGCAAGGTGAGGACAAGAGGAAGGAAAGGGAGAAGGAAGCCCAGAAGGTTGGAGCTGGGAAGCAGGGAGAAACCTGGGGCCTGGGAGGGCAAAAGAATGAAGGGCTTCAAAGGGGTGGTGAGATCAGATGACATCGCTGAAACCATGTGATGTGGTTTGGCTGTGTCCCCACCCAAAATCTCAACTTGAATTATAATCTGAATTATAATCCCCATGTGTTGGGGGAAGGACCTGGTGGGAAGTGATTGGATCATAAGGGCGGTTGCCTCATGCTGTTCTTGTGGCAGCGAGTTCTCGTGCGATGTGCTGGTTTTATAAGAGACCTTCCCCACTTCACTCTGCACTTCCCTCTCCTGCTGCCATGTGAAGAAGGACGTGTTTGCTTCCCCTTCCTCTATGATTGTAAGTTTCCTGAGGCTTCCCCAGCAATGCAGAACTGTGAGTCAATTAAGCCTCTTTCCTTTATACATTACCCAGTCTCAGGCAGTTGTTTAAAGCAGCGTGAGAATGAACTAATACGCTGTGGAAACCAAGTGAAATGATTTGAGCTCCCAAGGAGAGATGGCAGCAGGGATAGCCAAACCCTGGGGCAGTGCCCACTCTGAAGACAGAGCCCTGGCTGTGCCTCCCTATGGGAAGCAGCTAGGGAGGTTTTGTTTTAATTTTTTTTTTACTGTGGTAAGATACACACAACATAAAATTTACAAATTTAACTATTTTTAAGGGTACAAAGTATCATTAAATACCTTCACATTGTTGTTCAGCCATCACCACAACCCATCTCCAGAACTTTCCATCATCCTAAGCTAAAACTCTGTACCCATTTAACAATAACCCAACATTTTCGTGCTCCTCCAGCTCCCAGAAACCTTTATTCTACTTTCTGTGTCTATAAATTTGCCTCCTCTAAGTGCCTTATGTAAGTGGAATCATAAAGTATTTGCCCTTCTGTGACAGGCTTATGTCACTTAGCATAATGTCCGCAAGGTCCATCTATGTTGCAGCATGTGTCAGATTATAATTTTTTTTGGCTGAGTATGCTAGCTCACACATATAATCCCAGCACTCTGGGAGGCCAAGGCAGGAGGATCACTTGAGGCCAGGAGTTCGAGACCAGCCTGGCCAACATGGTGAAACCCTGTCTCTACTAAAAATACAAAAATGGGCTGGGTGTGGTCGCAGGTGCCTGTAACCCCAGCTACTCGGGAGGCTGAGGCAGGAGAATCGCTTGAACCTGGGAGGCAGAGGTTGCAGTGAGCCGAGATCATGCCATTGCACTCCAGCCTGGGCAACAGAGTGAGACTGTCTCAAAAAAAAAAAAAAAAATAGGAGAGAATGAGAGAGAGAGAAGGAGAACTAGCAGAGGTGAGGTGAGGTCCTTGCTTAGTTAACTCTCCCCTGCCTCGTTCCCCTTCTTTTGTGAGCCCCTCCTTGGTAAAGCCTTTACAAGGGATTTGGAGGTGTAGGTAGGATAAAAAGGCACCACCAGAGCCCTTCTCAGTGACATTGGACCCCAGGGCACAAGCACCCCACCCACACCCCACAAGCCTGCCCCTCTGAGGACACGGTAATTTGGCACAGTAGCACTTTCGTAGGTATTGGCCTTTCTAAGTTAACAATACAGATGACAGCCCACGATACAGATGACAGCCCACAATACAGATGACAGCCCACAATACAGATGACAGCCCACTTTAACCAGGACTTGCTGGAGGGTTGGGGCTGTCTCCTAAGCCGCTGGGCATAAGGGCTTTGAGCTTCTGTGAAGCGTGAATCACTGAGTGTGAGTCGCTGAGCTGATTATTCTCCGTGCCCTCCTTATGCTTTCTTCCTCCTTCCCAGCCCTGCTCTGCACCCTGTGGGCTTGACCTCTGTGGACACATTTTCTGAGTTTCTTTCCCCTTTGTCTTCCTGTGGGTTTGGCTAATGAGAGGCCCTGAGAAGAAGTCGGAGGGCAAGAGAAGCAGCTGGGGTCTTTCTTCCCCGTCCCTCCCTACTTCTTGTAGTGATGCTGCCTGTGGCTTGGGGCTCTTCCTCCCCAGATCCGGCTCTCACCCAGCTCAGTCACGCTCTCTCCTCCCCTGACCTCTACTACAGTGAGTGGTGCCGAGGGGCTTCACCGTCCCACTTTGTAAAAATTAGCCCCGCACGCTAGTTTGTAAACAAACGCTCTGTTGAATTCTTTCCAGAATTCCATTTGAGTGTGCCTAAGGGTGCCCTGCTTGAGCTATGATGCTACAGATATCCCCATGAGAAATTTCTATCCGTGGGCAAGGGCAGCAAGGGGTCACGGGATCGTGGTGTGATTTCTCTGCCTTAAATTAGTTCCTAATATGTTGTAATATTGTTGATGTCAGTAAGATCCAGGATGGGGCCGGGCACAGTGGCTGACGCCTGTAATTGCAGCACTTTGGGAGGCCGAGGTGGGCGGATCACCTAAGGTCAGGAGTTCGAGACCAGCCTGGACAACATGGTGAAACCCTGTCTCTACTAAATATACAAAAATTAGCTGGGCGTGGTGGCAGGTGCCTGTAATACCAGCTACCCTGGAGGATGAGGCAGGAGAGTCCCTGGAACCCGGGAGGCGGGGGTTGCAGTGAGCTGAGATCGCACCACTGCACTCCAGCCTGGGTGACAGAGCAAGACTCCATCTCAAAAAAAAAAAAATAATAATAATAATAAAAAAATAAAAGGTCCAGGATGGAAAATGGAGACTGAGGATTTGAGAGGGGTCTGGTTCTGTGTGCACTCATTCTTCTCTCCATCTGCTGAGCATATCAGGAAGATGGACTCACAGGAGGATGTTGAGCGTGGAGTAGAAATCCATTATTAACCTGACAAACTCATCCAATCCAGGAGCAATGGTGGAATCAATCTTTTTATTTGTTGTTGAGAGTTCCTGACTCGGTGCCACCACTACTGGAATGCTTGTGATCCACAAAGCCCCCGACAAGATCAGCAAACGTTTCATGCCTGATGGGCTTGGCATTCTGTCAGGCTGTAGCTGGTAATTGCAAATAGACTATAGATTTCCTCCTACATTTTTGTTTTTTAAAAGGATCAAGTGGCCGGGTACGGTGGCTCACACCTGTAATCCCAGCACTTTGGGAGGCCAAGGCGGACAGATCACTTGAGCCCAGGAGCTTGAGACCAGCTTGGCCAACATGGCAAAACCTTGCCTCTACTAAAAATACAAAAATTAGCCAGGCTCGGTGGCACACATCTGTAATCCCAGGTACTCAGGAGGCTGAGGCAGGAGAATCACTTGAACCTGGGAGGCAGAGGTTGGAGTGAGCTGAGAGATTGCACCACTGCACTCCAGCCTGGGCAACAGAGTGAGACCCTGTCAAAGAAAAGAAATGAAGAAAAGAAAAGAAAAGAAAAAAGAGAAGAGAAGAGAAGAAAAGAAAAGAGAAGAGAAGAAAAGAAAAGAAAGGGAGGGGAGGGGAGGGAAGGGCAGGGGAATAGGGAGGGGAAGGGGAGGGGAATAGGGAGGGGAAGGGGAAGGGGGGAAGGGGAAAGGGAAGGGGAGGGGAAGGGGAGGGGAAGGGGAGGGGAAGGGGAGGGGAAGGGGAAAGGGAAGGGGAGGTGGGGGCAAGTTTCTTTAATAGTCTTTTTCTCTGCTCTTAGAGATGAACAGATTGCTGTTTCTGTGTGTTGTTTTTCAGTTGAGCATCAGCTGAAGGAATTGCTTGGGTATACAGGGCCTCGTTGTATCAATAGTATGTCCTTAAAATAGAATCAACTCACAAAGTGAGATGCTCACACCATGAGAGAGATCTACAGACTCACAGCATGTGAACCCCAGAAGATTTGGGGTTTTGCAGCAGCCACCTCCACTCGGGTGACTCCATGGAGGATGGTCCCAGGAACCCCTTCCCTGGGAGGGTTCCCTGGCCTCTGAAGCCTGGCAGGAGCTCCTTCTAGGAGAGGTTCTGCTCTGCAGCCCAGAGGCTGCATCTGCTATAAGGAAGTGCTTAACAGGCCAGGCACAGTGGCTCATGCCTGTAATCCCAACACTTTGGGAGGCAGAGGTGGGCAGATCACCTGAGGTCAGGAGTTTGAGACCAGCCTGGCCAACATGGTGAAACCCCATCTCTAATAAAAATACAACAATTAGCCGGTCGTGGTGGTGGGCGCCTGTAGTCCCAGTTACTTGGGAGGCTGAGGTAGGAGAATCACTTGAACCTGGCAGGCAGAGGTTCCAGTGAGCCAAGATCGTGCCACTGCACTCCACCCTGGGCGACAGAGTGAGACTCCAGCTCAAAAAAAAAAAAAAAAAAAAAAAAAAAAGAAGTGCTCAGCAGACATCGTGCCCTTTGCCCTTTGGCTAATCATGTTTTAAAAATACCTTTTTCTTTTTTGTTTTAAAAAAAGAAGAAGAAGAGGAATTCTCCTTGGGGACCTGGTCTGCAAACTCCACTTCTGTTCCCACTTCTAAAGGCACAGCTGTTGTCCATGGAGAGTTCCAAAGATGTGTCTTGATGACAATAATGGAAAGTAGTTGGTGTTTTTCTTCCTTCATTTGGATTTCAGTTTTGTATACTAAACAGAAGTAATTGCATTTGATGACAAAGGAAAAAGAATGAAATCAGCAAAGGGATCATTTGGGGTTTTTTGGCTCAGTGATTCCTGTGGCAGCCGTTGTGGTGGTTAATTTTCTGTGTCTATTTGCCTAGGCCATGGTACCCAGTTGTTTGGTCAGGTACCGGTCCAGATGTTGTAAAGGTATAGGTATATTTTTTTTCTTGAGATAGAGTCTCACTCTGTCGCCCAGGCTGGAGTGCAGTGGTGCAATCTTGGCTCACTACAACCTCTGCCTCCTGGGTTCTGCCTCCTGGGTTCCAGTGATTCTTGTGCCTCAGGCTCCCAAGTAGCTGGGACTACAGGTATGTGCCACCAAGCCCGGCTAATTTTTTTTGTATTTTAAGTAGAGACGGAGTTTCACCATGTTGGCCAGACTGGTCTCGAACTCCTGGACTCAAGTGATCTGTCCACCTTGGCCTCCCGAAGTCCTGGGATTATAGGGGTGAGCCACCGTGCCTGGCCTGTAAAGGTATTTTTAAAACGTGATTAGCAGGATGTGGTGGTTCACACCTGTAATCCCAGCACTTTAGAAGGCCGAGGCAGGAGGTTGGCTTGAGGCCAGGAATTTGATACCAACCTGGCAAGATGGTGAGTCTCTACAAAAAAATACAAAAATTACCCAGCTGTGGTGGTGTGTGCCTGTGGCCCCAGTTACTTGGGAAGCTGACGTGGGAGTATGGCTTGAACCCAGGAGTTCGAGGCTGCAGTGAGCCATGTTTGTGCTACTGCATGCCAGGCTGGGCGACAGAGTGAGACCCTGACTCACAAAAAATGTGATTAATATTTCAATATATGTAGTATACTCTGAGTAAAGAAAATTACCCTCCATAATGTGGGTATGCGGTATCTATCAGTTGAACACCTTAAGAGAAAAGACTGATGTCCCCTGAAGAGGAGGGAATTCTGTCTCCAGCCTACCTTGGGACTGAAGGCTGCAATATCAACTTTTTCCTGGCCTGCACTGCAGATTTAGGACTTGCAGCCCCTACAATTTTTTCTTTTTATTTTTTTTTGAGACGGAGTCCTGCTCTGTCGCCCAGGCTGGAGTGCAGTGGCACGATCTTGGCTCACTGCAACCTCTGCCTCCCAGGTTCAAGCGATTCTCCTGCCTCAGCCTCCCAAGTAGCTGGGATTACACGTGCCCTCCATCACATCCGGCTAATTTTGTATTTTTAGTAGAGACGGGGTTTCACCATATTGACTAGGCCAGTCTTGAACTCCTGACCTCAGGTGATCCCGCCCACCTCGGCCTCCCAAAGTGCTGGGACTACAGGCGTGAGCCTGCAGCCCATACAATTACATGAGCCAGTTCCTCAAAACAATCTCTCTCTGTCTCACACACACGCACCCGCCACACATGTACACACACACGCCTGCATGTACACATGTACACACAACTATTTCTGTAGAGAACTCTACCTAGAACAGCCATTTTGCCGGCTGAAAACAGCAGTCTGCTTTCTCAGGAACTTAGTTATTACTATTATTTGAGACAGGGTCTCACTCTGTCACCCAGGCTGGAGTGCAGTGATGTGATCATAGCTCACTGCAGCCTCTACCTCCTGGGCTCAAGTGATCCTCCCATCTCATCCTCCCAAGTAACTGAGACCAAAGGTACACGTTACCACACCCAGCTAATTTTTAAATTTTTTTGTAGAGACAGGGTCTTGCTATGGTGCCAGGCTGGTCTTGAACTCCTGGGCTCAAGTGATCATCCTGCCTTGGTCTCCCAAAATGCTGGGATTATAGTTGTGAGCCACTTTGCCCGACCAGGAACTTACTTTTAAAGAATACATGCCTGTAAGGCTGGAATTTAGTATTGCCAAAATTACTCTTATGAATCTTTGGTTCTCAATAAGGTCTGGTGTATGGAGCCATCTTTACACAATATGTTGTTGGGTGGCATGTCAACCCAAAAATAGTCCTTTTCTCCGCTCTTAGAGATGAACATATTGCTGTTTCTGTGTGTTTGTTTTCAGTTGAGCATCAGTTGAAGGAATTGCTTGGTTATGTAGGGCCTTGTTGTATCAAAAATACGTACTTACAATAGCAGAATCAACTCACAAGGTGAGATGCTCACACCATGAGTGGTATCTACAGACTGACAGTGTGTGAAGGAATTTTGGATTCAAATCTCTAGTCTTCCTCCTACTACAGGGTATAAAATTGTTGATAGGAAGAGCAGACAAAATCTCTTTTATGATGTAAACTCATATTCTCTCCCTCTCTCTGCCTCTGCCCTCAACATGCATATATATAGTTGATTTAAGTTATATGTAAATGTAAGCTGGGTGCAACTCTCCTGTCCAGTAAGAATGAGGGCCTGGCCTACTGTCAGATTTCACTAAACACATTTCTGGACAGTGGTGTGCATTAAGAGGTCTCTTCATAACCCTCCCCAAACGAGTCTTCAGTCATTTGAGTTTGCATAGCAATGTGAAAGAGACCACTCTCTTCCTTTTTTTTTTTTTTTTTTTTTTTTTGAGATGGAGTTTTGCTCTGGTTGCCCAGGCCGGAGTGCAATGGTACGATCTTGGCTCACTGCAACCTCCGCCTCCCACGTTCAAGCACTTCTCCTGCCTCAGCCTCCCAAGTAGCTGAGATTACAGATGCCCACCACCACACTTGGCTACTTTTTGTATTTTTAGTAGAGATGGGGTTTCACCATGTTGACCAGGCTGGTCTTGAACTCCTGACCTCAAGTGAGGAGGCCTCAGCCTCCCAAAGTGCTGGGATTATAGGTGTGAGCCACCATGCCTGGCCCTCAGACATCAAATTTAACTCTTGTGAATATTATTTATTATATGACACTGTGGTAGCAGCTGCTAAGATGGCCCTCAGTGATCCTTGCCTCCTTGTGTGAAAAAGGGGTTTATGCCTCAGTGTGTCCCCCCCCAGTATTGGCTGACCATTGTGGTGAATAGAATTCTGGGAAAATGATAGTGTGGGGCTGATATGGTTCAGCTCTGTGTCCCCACCCAAATCTCATCTCAAATTGTAATCCCCATATGTCAAGGGAGTGACTGGATGGGAGGTGATTGCATCATGGGGGCAGGTTCCCTCATCCTGTTGTCATGATAGTGAGTGGCTTCTCATGAGATCTGATGCTTTTAGAAGTGTTTGGCAGTTCCTCCTTCACTATTTCTCTTTTCCTGCCACCTTGTGAAGAAAATACTTGTTTCTCCTTTGCCTTCCACCATGATTGTAAGTTTCCTGAGGCCTCCCCAGCCATGCAGCCATGCAACCTCTTTCCTTTATAAATTACCCAGTCTCAAGTATTTCTTTATAGCAGTGTGAAAATGGACTAATACAGACAGTGGCTTCCAGGGCTAAGTCATCAAAGACATTGTGGCTTCCGTCTTGCTCTCTTGGATTACTCATTCTGAGGGAAGCCAGCTGCCATGTTGCAAGGCCACTCAGTGCACCTTCTGAGAGGCTCATGCAGAGAGGACCTGAGGCCTCCCATCAACAGCCAGCACCAAAATACCAGCCACGTGGGGGGACCATCCTGGAAGTGCATGCTGCAGCCCCAGTCCAACCTTCAAATGACTGCAGCCCACTTCAGCCAATATCTGACTACAACTTTATGAGAGAATTTGAAACGGAATTGCCCAGCCAACCCATGCTTGACATTCTGAGCCACTGAAATCATGACAGAGAACAAGTGATGATTGTTATTATAAATCACTATAAATGGAGTAATTTGTTAGCAGCAATAACTAATATAGAAACATTATCTTTTTTAATTATTTATTTATTTATTTATGTTATTTTATTTTTTGAGACTGAGTCTTGCTCTGTCATCCAGGCTGTAGTGCAGTGGTGCAATCTTGGCTCACTGCAACCTCCGCCTCCTGGGTCCAAATGATTCTCCTGCCTCAACCTCCTAACTGGCTGAGATTACAGGTGCCCACCACCACACCTGACTAATTTTTTTTGTATTTTTAGTAGAGACGGTGTTTCACCATGTTGGCCAGGTTAGTCTCGAACTCCAGGCTGGAGTGCAGTCGTACAATCATAGCTCACTGCCGCCTCCACCACCTAAGCTCAAGCAATCCTCCAGCCTCAGCCTCCCAAGTATCTGGGATAGCAGATGCACACCACCATGCCCAGCTAATTTGATGTGAGTTTGACTACTTTAGTTACCACATGTAAGTGCAATCATGCAGTATTTGTCCTTTTGTGACTGGCTTATGTCACTAAGCATAATGTCCTCAAGCTTCATCCATATTGTAGTGAAACGGCGTTATTTGTCTGGGGTAAATATCCAAGGTTTGTTGTTTCATGACCATGGAAAACTAAGATGCAGACATACAAGAATGAGGTTCAGAGTGGAAGATTAATAGGTGAAAGAGAAGAGCTCGCTGCAGCAGAGAGGCGTCCCAAAAAAATGGATTGCTGCTTCTGCGAATGTAAGGGGTTTTATAAATGAGCTTGAGGAGGCGCTGTCTGATTTACATAGGGCATGAAAGATTGGTTGGACCAGGTGTGCCCTTTGCATAGGGTGCAAAAACCTGGCTGCCCCCACCCTAATCTTTTATTATGCAGATATGTTCTCTGGCCTGCGCCATGTTGCCTGTTTCTTTACTGTACACGTGGTGACAAAGAAAAGGGAAGATGGAGCCTCCATGTTGAACATACCTGGCCCCCAGGTAGCCCTTTTCTATTGGCACAGCTGCCGGCATTCACCTGTGCAAGCTTCCAGCTTGCTTATCTATGTCTGCAGCTTGATTTTTCAGGCTGCTCCTTGTTAGAAATGATTTGGGGGCTGCTTTTGTTAAAAGGGAAATTCCGCTGATGACTGTTTTATGTTTTACCCACTATCTGCCTAAATAATTTCTTTTTTTTTTTTTTTTGAGACGGAGTCTGGTTCTGTTGCCAGCCTGGAGTGCAGTGGCGCAATCCTGGCTCACTGCAACCTCCACCTCCCAGGTTCAAGCGATTCTCCTGCCTCAGCCTCCCAAGTAGCTGGGACTACTACGTGGCACGCGCCACCACGTCCAGCTAGTATTTGTATTTTTAGTAAAGACAGGGTTCCACCATGTTGGCCATGATGGTCTTGATCTCCTGACCTTGTAATCCACCTGCCTCAGCCTCCCAAAGTGCTGGGATTACAGGCATGAGCCACCACGCCCGGCCCAGTTCTTCGGGTTTTTTTTTTAGACAGGGTCTCACTCTGTTGCCCAGGCTGGAGTGCAGTGATGTGATCTCAGCTCATTGCAACTTCTGCCTCCCAGGTTCAAGTGATTTTCTTGCTTCAGCCCTCCAGATACAGGCACCCGCCACCATGCCTGGTCAATTTTTGTGTTTTTGGTAGAGACAGGGTTTCACCATGTTGGCCAGGCTAGTCTTGAACTCCTTACCTCAGGTGATCCTCCCACCTTGGCCTCCCAAAGTGCTGGGATTAAAGGTGTGAGCCACTGCGCCCGGCTCCGTTCCTCTACATTTGTTAGTGAGCATTTTACTTTCCCTGATAGTGAAAGATCTTTCCTTTTTCTTCCTATTTGTTCTTTGGTGTCACTCTGATTCATGGATTCTTGTTTTAATCAAATGTAATATTATACCGATAGTCATTCTGATGAACTTTGGGTTTTTTTTTTTTAACCTAACAATATATTCTGGATATCACTCTGTGTCAGTTCATAGAGATCTTCATTGTTGCTTTTTACAGTGACATGGTATTCCATTATGTAGACATACCATAATTTATTCAAACAATTTCTTACATATGGACATTGAGGTTGTTTTTAATATTTTGCAATTACAAATTATGCTTGAATAAATAGCCTTGTACACAAGCACATATATATGTATAAAAATATATATGTAGGCCAGGTGTGGTGGCTCACACCTGTAATCCCAGCATTTTGGGAGGTCAAGATGGGCAGATAATGAGGTCAGGAGATCGAGACCATCCTGGTTAACACATTGAAACCCCATTTCTACTAAAAATACAAAAAATTGGCCGGGCGTGGTGGCTCACACCTGTAATCCCAGCACTTTGGGAGGCTGAGGCAGGTGGATCACAAGGTCAGGAGATCAAGACCAGCCTGGCTAACACGGTGAAACCTGTCTCTACTAAAAATACAAAAAATTAGCTGGACCTGGTGGCACGTGCCTGTAGTCCCAGCTACTCGGGAGGCTGAGGCAGGAGAATCACTTGAACCTGGGGGGCAGAAGTTGCAGTGAGCCAAGATTGCACCACTGCAATCCAGCCTGGGCAACAAAGCAAGACTCCATCTCAAAGGAAAAAAAAAAAAAAAAAATATATATATATATATATATATATATATATATATATATATATATATATATATAAAATTGTTAGAGGTCATTCAGGAATTCAGGATAAGTACCCAGAAGTAAGATTTCCGCATCAGAGGGTAAATGCTGTGTAATTTTGTTGACTATTACTCAGTTCCCCTCAACGGGATCGCACTATTGTGTGAATCCCACAGCCTCATCCACAGCCTCACCGCATAGTGGTTTGTAAAGATTTTGAGTTTTTGCCATTCTGATGGGCAATAGGTGCATTGCAATTTAAATTTCTGTTTATATTATTATGTAACTAGAGCTTGCATTCACCCACCATGTGAGTGGTTCCTAAGACTTTAATTTTGAGAAATGGCTTCTACTCAGGCTCCAGGTCCTTATTCTTCAGCCCCGACCCCTCTTTCCTCCCTGTAGACACTTCCTTCCATCTAAACCGCCACGGCAGCCTCCTTCAGCACACAGATAACATCCTCCTCACTGAGTGGGCAGGAAAGGAGGTTCAAAGAATGAAGTGGTTTACCCAGCCAGTAAATGGAGAATCCAAGACTAGAGACCATCTGTTCATTTTTGTTTGTTTGCATTTTTTTCCTTTCTTTTCTTTATTCTTTCTTTCTTTTTCATTTCCTTTCTTCCTTCCTTTTCTTCCTTCCTCTTTCTTTTTTTCTTTCTTCTTTCTCTTCTTTCTCTTTCTTTTCTTGCTCTCTTTCTTCTTTCTTGTTGTTGTTTTTGTTGAGATCATGTGCTCAGATTCCTAGTACATGACTATAAAGTTAGGAAAGAGCCCCCAAGACCACTTTCCCCTCTGATACCAATTTAAAGTTTAGGGGTCCCCACAACCACCTTCAAGTTCAATAATCCACTTGGTGGACTCGCAGAACGTACTGAAAGCTATTATACTTATACTTACAGTTTATCATAGCAAAAGGACACAGATTAACATCAGCCAAGGGAAGACACACATAGGGCAGTGTCCAGGAGAGCTTCCAGCAGTCCTCTCCCAGTGGAGTAATGGACTCCTTCTGGAAACTATATGCACGGACTATATACATGGAGTATTGCCAACCAAGGAAACTCACCAGGCTGTTGGTGTCCAGAGTGTATAGTAGGGCTTGGTCTTGTGGACATGGCTGGCTTGACCTTAGTCTATTCCTTCAGGGGTCAAGCTGATATGGTGTGGCCAAATCTCCCACCATAAATCACATTGGTCTAACATGTTGTGTCTGTTTGGCATGGCCCATGGCCTCCAGGTAAACACAGTGCTATTATCAAGCAGGACATCTAAGGGCTTAGAGATCACCTCCCAAGAGCCAAGGGCAAAGCCCAGATCTCACTTCAAGTAAGCTTAAAATTCTTTACTACACAACACCCTTTCCTTGTTACAGGAGAGTGGGGGTGCCCTGCTGGCCCTCACAGAGGAAGAGCTCATAACTCATAACCCACAAAACTGTAA
The DNA here is from genome assembly GCF_000001405.40 of Homo sapiens. Taxonomy (NCBI): domain Eukaryota; kingdom Metazoa; phylum Chordata; class Mammalia; order Primates; family Hominidae; genus Homo; species Homo sapiens. Next base: position 31,623,589 of record NC_000021.9, read on the forward strand.
TGAAGGGCAATCCCATCCGACTGAAAAATGGGACTGGAAACAGGCACTGAACATTCCAGAAGGAAAGAGAGGGGCACAGGGGAGCGCGTAAGTGGATTTAATGATGGCTAGTCTACAAGAAAAAGTGCAATCGATTCAGGTTATTGAAAATTCACCCCCAATATTTTCCTCTACTCATCAAACGTGGAAGAAAGGGGCTCATTGGAGCTTGCTCATGGCTCGCATCAGGGCCAGCCGGCCTGTCTTGTTCTCTGATTATAACATCAAGGACCCCTAGGTGGTGCTGATTTCTAGCTTGGGTGGCAAATAGTTAACAACAACAAAAAAGGAATCTGAAAGTTCAGCAAACCTCTTCTTTTTTTTTCAAACTTTTTTGTTTTTGATTAAGCACATTCCACAGTACAAAGCTGTCATGAATAATATCTGTACAATTGAACAGTTTCAATAGCTGTTCAGACACAAATTTATTTCAAACAAATAATTGGCAAACATAATTAACTACAAGTTAGAATTAGACTATCCCAGTGCTTTAAAACATTAATATAGCAGTAATTTACATTTGCTCAATTATGGTTAGCAAAATAAAGTCCAGAGTATGGCTGGGAATTTACTATTATAATCCCAGAAAGTCAGAATTCCTTGGGTGCCAAAGTCCCTTGCTATAATTTAGTAGGAACAATTCAAAGGTTGTGTACATATTCAAAGGCCATGATCTCCCAAGGAACAAGGGGGACTTCTATATTAAACAAGCAAAAACAACAAAAAATCTATTCATTCATTCCGAATTGTCTCCTCCTCTGCCCCTACCTTCCCCCTGGGCTTTCCTGAGCAGTTTGATATTGAAGTTGTAGGACGAAAAGAGGTCAAAACTAAATCACTTTCACAACCACCATCAAGCTTACAACATCTGCCTTATGAATGGAGGTTTATTGTTTACGCTTTGAGACTCAACTTCTCAAAAACATAAATTAGTAACATGGGAAGGAAGGATTTTTTTTAAGAAAAACTAAAAAAGCAAAGCCAACTCGATAAATCACATACACACACATTGATCCCCACACCGTTCTCAATGCAAAGGACAAATCGGAGCCCAAGGACCTTCCCTTTAGTAGTAGAGCATGCTTCCACAGGAAGAGGTTTAATTTATAGGAGGCTGTTTATTGGTCCTTTAAAATGCTATTGATGGCCGGGCACGGTGGCTCCCAAAGTAATCCCAGCACTTTGGGAGCCTGAGGCAGGCGGATCACAAGGTCTGGAGTTCGAGACCAGTTCGGTCAATATAGTGAAACCCCGTCTCTATTAAAAATGCAAAAATTAGCTGGGTGTGGTGGCACGTGCCTGTAGTCCCAGCTACTTGGGAGGCTGAGGCAGGAGAATCACTTGAACCTGGAGGTGAGGAGGTTGCAGCGATCTGAGATTGCGCCACTGCACTCCAGCCCGGGCTACAATGCGAGACTCTGTCTCAAAAAAAAAAAAAAGTTATTGACATTCCTTGATCTTTGGAAACAACGGCAAAGGGCAAATCAAACCTAATATTGAATAAGGGAGAAGGAGTGCCAACTGGATGCCAATGTCCTTTCCATGCACTGTCAGGGTGATAGTGCCAGATGCCAACGTCCTTTCCATGCACCATCAGGGAGACAGTGCCATTTACACATTTGGGCTGTGTACTCGGGAGTACTCGGGAGCTTTGAGAACCTGCTGAGGCCGCAGCAGCACGTGACACCAGAGATGACTGGGGTGGGATTCATGGACTTGAGGCTTTACACCACTTAGGAGTGCCCTCCCCTCAGCATGGACCTCTGAACCAGCCTGACCTGACCTGCAGGCTCCAACACACCAGCGGGCCCTGCCAGAACCTTGGCAAGGACAGGATGCATGAATTCCAGAGCCAGGACAGCCCGTCAATAGGGCCTTATTATTTCCCCTTCCCAGGGCCACAACTGCACAGAATAATGATTTTTGACAGTGAAGCCAAATGAATACTACGGGAAGTGACCACTAGTACTCAGGAGTACTTATGAGAAAAAGAATAAGAACAAAAATGTTTAAGTTACCTCTCTATTGTATAATATATACTGTACAACAAATAAAACATTCATGTTCAACTTTAGAAATTACATTTTAAAACAAGATTCTCCTTAAAAACACACACAAACCACACACACAATGACAACAAAATAAAAACACTGTAGGAATACTGCAGGAAGGGTTCCAGGTAATCCACATCAACCCTGGTATCAGGTTCTTGAGTCCAGTCCATGGCTAAGCGCGAACACACTCTGTATTAGTGTCTCAAGTGCAGGGGGCCCTGACCCCAGCAACTTTGAAGTTAAACTGTTATGTACATTATATCTACATGTGAATACAGTATTTTAAATTAGGAGGCAAGCACACATATAAAGGTGTTACTCTACCAAATATCAGGAGATGGTTGCGGTTCAGAGAACAGTTAATAAAAGGGCTAACCCCCATGGCACGTGTATACCTATGTAACAAAAGTGCACGTTCTGCACATGTATTCCAGAACTTAAAATATAATTTAAAAAAATTAAAAATAAAATAAAAGAGCTATGTTGGGAGATAATAACTGACTTATAGTTCTTTTTTTTTTTTTTTTTTTTTTGAGACGGAGTCTCGCTCTGTCGCCCAGGCTGGAGTGCAGTGGTGCAATCTTGACTCACTGCAACCTCCGCCTCCAGGGTTCTGGCCATTCTCCTGCCTCAGCCTCCCAAGTAGCTGGGACTAGAGGCGCCCACCACCACACCCGGCTAATTTTTTGTATTTTTAGTAGAGACGGGGTTTCACCGTGTTAGCCAGGATGGTCTCAATCTCCTGACCTCGTGATCCGCCCGCCTTGGCTTTCCAAAGTGCTGGGATTACAGGGGTGAGCCACTGCGCTCGGCCAACTGACTTACAGTTCTTTAAATTAAAAGAAATTGGTATAGAAAGGAAGTATAATCCAAAACATATTACTAAAACGACCCAGAGAGATTTTTCCATTGTCCAACATGTTCCTAATACAGCAAGTCAAAATTCATAATGACTTGGACGGTCAAAAGGAGAATGTTAACTTTTGAAAATGAAAGCCGTGGACATTCTGAGTAGGTGTTTGGCACCCAAAATTTCACTGAAGAAGAATGCTGTTTCTTAGTATCAAACCAAAGTGCAAAGCAATATAAATTAGAGGCCAAGACTTCTCTTGGCGTCAATTTACTTCTGTAAAACAGATTCTATGTTCCTTTTCTATGATCAGTTTACATTTGAAACATTAGATTTTTTCACTAATGAGGGAAGGAAATGGGCTTCTGTGCTACTTTCAAGTCAGTGAAGCTAAGGTCTCCTTCTCAAAGTAGAGCTGGAATCAGAGGTGAGAAATGTCGGGACTTGAAGAGTTAGGCTGCTTTGCATCTACCCAGCGTCTAGAACCAATTCCAGCTTCATAACTCAGCTGTGAACGAACTCCCTTAGGCATTGGTAGCCACGTAGCCAGTAGTTCAAGACTAGAAAACCCGGAAACGGGTGAAAGTGCAGACTGTTATCTAGAGATGTAAGTGTATGTTCTGGAGGGGGAATGGGTCTCATTCTGGGCACTGGGAGGCACATTTAAGAAACCACAAATCAAAATAGTGTCATCATGGGAGCTGCTGACGATTTGAAACTCATCAAACTGTAGGCAAAACACATGTCCAGAATGTTCCACCAATGTGCGCAAACACAATGTGCTTGCTGGGGCTCGAGGGTCAAGAGCGGCTTGCAAGTCCTAAACTTTAATTTTCCCATCATAGGCCCGGCTGACCATCCTCTTGTTATCAAACTGGATGCATCGGACCAATTCTTCATGTCCCTCTAGGACTCTTAAACAGGAGCCACATTCAATATCCAAGAGCCTAATGGTATGATCTGATGATCCACTAACAACCAGCCCATCCCTGTACTGGAGACAAGACTCGCTTGTGCCCATTGAGAGTACGAGCAAATTCACAGGTGCTCATGCTCCAGACTTTGATGGTCCTGTCACCAGAGGCAGACACGATGTATTTCTCGTCAAAGTCTACTACGTTGACAGCAGCTCAGTGGACAACCAGGACACCACGTAAAGTGATATCGGTCGCAGAAGCCATGTCCCACACAGCAATGGAGCGGTCCTTGGAACAGGTCACCATCAGTCCACTGCTGAAGCGTAAGTGCAGTACATCCTCATTGTGGTGGATTAATGTGTTAAGAACTTCACCCGTGTTCACTTCCCACACTCTCACCGTAGAATCCGAAGAGCCAGTTACAATGACACGCTCATCCTACTGCAGATAGAGGACAGAACCTGTGTGGCCATTAACACTTTCAAACATTCCAGGCTGGTTTTATCCCAAATCTTAATTATCTTGTAGGCCACTGATAATTTTTTCATCATCGTACTGTAAACCATAGACACCTTTACTATTTTCAGAGTGGTACTGAATCCTCTGCAAGCTGTGTCGGCCACACCGCTAGGTGGATTCTATAGTCTCTATATCCTGGATAATGTTTGGGTATAATGACCTATAAAATGAATTTGGAGGGCTAGATATGGGTCTGTTTTGAAACAGGTACTGATCCCACCCTCTTCTTTCTGAAAGTCCTTTCCATAGGGGATCAGTGTGTACCATTCGTTCAATCAGCTTCTTCCAAAGCATTCATTCTGAGATCAATCCCTGCCATCCTTTACATACCAGCTCTGCTGCACACAGAGACCTGGTAACCAGGTACAAAAGAATGTTTTCTGCTATGTGATCTAAGCCTTGCTCGGGTAAAGCAGTAATAAAGTCCTGCTGCAACATGGGCTTCAGGTAAGAGTTGATACGTCCATGGTGATAATGACACATTCGTGAAATAAGATGTTCCACAAATTCCAACTGATCTGATTCAGACCCCTGGTTAAAATATTGAATATACAAGTCTTTTTCTTTTTGGTAGTTTCCTTCTGATGGCCTCTTTCTGGAGATGATCACAAATGATGTTCCATTACTTATCTGCCAAGGAGTATTTTTCTTTGGGGACTTATCTTCATCTTGATCTTCCAGAACTGAAGTGTTAGTTCCACATGGCTGGGGAGGCCTCATAATCACGGCAGAAGGCAAGGAGGAGCAGGTCACATCTTACGTGCAATGGCAGCAAGCAAAGAGAGAGAAGCTTGTGCAGGGAAACTCCCCTTTTTTAAAAACATCCGATCTCAACCAGGTGCGGTGGCTCATGCCTGTAATCCCAGCACTTTGGGAGGCCGAGGTGGGTGGATCACCTGAGGTCAGGAGTTTGAGACCAGCCTGACCAATGGAGAAACCCCATCTCTACTAAAAATACAAAATTAGCCGGGCATGGTGGTACATACCTGTAATCCCAGCAACTTGGGAGGCTGAGGCAGGAGAATCGCTTGAACTTGGGAGATAGAGGTTGCAGTGAGCCAAGATTGTGCCACTGCACTCCAGCCTGGGTGACAGAGTGAGACTCCATCTCAAAAAAAAAAAAAAAAATTACAAAAGTAATACATATTCACAATTAAGAAAAACAATTAAATAGAAAAAAGAGCAAAAATGATTACCTGGGCATGGTGGCAGGCGCCTGTAATCCCAGCTACTTGGGAGGCTGAGGTAGAAAAATTGCTTGAACCCAGGAGGTGGAGGTTGCAGTGAGCTGAGACTGCACCATTGCACTCCAGCCTGGGCAACAAGAGCGAAACTTCATCTCAAAAGAAGAAGAAGAAGACAAAGAACAGAGAGCAAAAATAAAATGTACAAGTCCTTCTCCTTCCCATAACTCCCCCTCGCAGGCCTGCCTTCCGCTAGCCATCTCCTGGACTTCCTCAGGCTTGACCCTGGCATCCAGGGTTTCTCCCTTACTGGCAGGCAACACCCACATTCCAGGTGGGCTTCTTTGGAAGCAGAGTTACTTGCCTTGAGTTGGAGGGGTGGGGTGGAAAATCATCCCTTCCCCACAAGCTAACCACACTCTTCACAGAAAGGATTGCTCTGATGTGCCTATGGATCCTCCCTTTCCCCTTGACAGCCTGCAGGAAAGGAATGGGTTCCAGGTCAGAGAATTGGTCCTGCCACCTCTTAGCAAGTTATGTGGGGTTGCCTTTACTCCTCACTTTGAAATGTCAGCGGCTTGTCACTTGTCACTTATATTCTCGGTTTGAGGCTTCAGCTGACATCCTCAGACAAGAGTCTGTTATGGTCTTTCAAATCTAGGGGTCCGTAGATTGACCACCTAAGACCATATTTGTCCCAGTGGCCATTTCATAGTTGGCTCACTCTTTCTCCAGCATGAACGTGACATGATCAAAATTATGACTGCCCTTCATAAGGGTCATTCTGGCTGCCCTAAAGGGACTTTGCTAGCATCTCTGGCTTCCATGCCTACTCAATTAGAAACTTTCCATCTTTGTCCAGTTTTAACAGACTGAGATCTTGGCCAAGCCTAAAATCTGAGGTTCTCACCTATCATCTCCATGAATGAACAACAAATACTACCTACTTTGCTGATTTCTATGACTCAAATATCCTTTCATTAGCAAAATGCGGAATTACAGAATGGAAGCAGCTTGCATTTTGTTTTGATATGGACTTATTCATCAAATATTTATTAGAGTTGACTCTGTGCTGGCACTATGCCTGGACTGGAGGTTTAATAATGAACAAGACAGGCAAGGTTAAATTTGACGAAAGGCCAGATGCGGTGACTCATGCCTGTAATCCTAGCACTTTGAGAGGCCAAGGCGGGTGGATCGCTTAAGCCCAGGAGCTCGAGACCTGCCTGGGCAACATGGCAAGACCTCGTCTCTACAAAAAATACAAAAATTAGCTGGGCATGGTAGTGTGCGCCTGTAGTCCCAGCTACTTGGAAGACTGAGGTGGGAAGTTCCTTTAAGTCTGGGAGGCAGTGAGCTGAGACCATGCCACTGCACTCCAGCCTGGGAGACAGAGTGAGACCTTGTCTCAAAAAACAAATGGACAAAAGATACCCCTGTGAGCTAGCTTTCAGTTCTGGAGGAAAAAATTCTCTAGGAACTGAAAATCTTAACTTAGTCTCCATGATAACTGAATCTTACCTCTTGTAAAATTTGCCTTAATAGTATTTTTAATAGTTAAAGCATTTAAAATTTTTATGTTGGATTTATTTTATTTCATTTTGGAACTCGGGTTCCAAAGGTAGATTTAATCATACTCCTCAATTTGTGGCACACTTAAAAAAAAGAATAACTTTATTGTGGTAAGAATACTTAACATGAAAGCTACCCTCTTAATACGTTTTCAAGTATACAATACAGTATTGCTAAATATAAGTACAGTGTTGTACAGCAGGTCTCTAGGGCTCATTCATCTTGCTTAACTGACACTTTATGCCTGTTGATTAGAAACTTTCCATTGAGGCCGGGCATAGTGGCTCATGCCTGTAATCCTAGCACTTTGGGAGGCTGAAGCAGGTGGATCACCTGAGGTCAGGAGTTGAGACTGGCCTGGCCAACATGGTGAAACCCCATCTCTACTAAAAATACAAAAATTAGCCAGGTGTGGTGGTGCGCACCTGTAATCCCAGCTACTCGGGAGGCTGAGGCGGGAGGATCACTTGAACCTGAGAGGTTGAGCTTGAAGTGAGCCAAGATCACACCACTGCACTCCAGCCTGGGTGAGATAGCAAGACTCTGTCTCAAAAACAAAGAAAAAAGAAACTTTCCATTGATCTTTCCCCAGCCCCTGGCAACTACCGTTTCACTTTTGTATTCCATGAATTGGCCTATTTTAGATACTAATTTTAAGTGGAATCATGCAGTATTTGTTCTTCTGTGACTGGCTTATTTCACTTAGCATAATGTCTCAAAGTTCATCCATGTAGTCCCATATTGCAGAAGTTTCTTCTTTTCTAAGGCTGAATAATAACATTCCACTGCATGTGTATTCCACACTTTCTTTATCCACTCATTTGCTAATGGACAGTTGGGCTGTTTCTGTATCTTGGCTATTATGAATAATTCTGCAATGAATATGGCAGTGTTAATAACTCTTGGAGATTCCAGTTTCAATCCTTTTGGATCAATACCCATAAGTTGAATTGCTGGGTCATATGGTAGTTCTATTTTTAATTAATTAATTAATTAATTTTTTTTTTTGAGAAGGAGTCTCACTCTTGTTGCCCAGGCTGATGTGCAATGGCACGATCTCGGCTCACTGCAACCCCCACCTCCTGGGTTCAATCGATTCTTCTGCCTCAGCCTTCTGAGTAGCTGGGATTACAGGCATGCCCCCAGCTAATTTTTTTTTTTTTTTTTTTTTTTTTTGTATTTTTAGTAGAGATGGGGTTTCACCATGTTGGTCAGGCTGGTCTGGAACTCCTGACCTCAGGTGATTCGCCCACCTTGGCCTCCCGAAGTGCTGGAATTACAGGCATGAGCCACTGCGCCCGGCCCTATCTTTAATTTTTTGAGGAACCTCTATGCTATTTTTCATAGCGGTTGCACCATTTTGCATTCCCATCTACAGCGTAAGAGGATTCCAGTTTCTTCATATCCTCACCAGAGCTTTTTGTCTTTTGTCTGATAATAGCCATCCTGACAGGTGTAAGGTGATATCTCATTGTGGTTTGGATTTGCATTTCTTTGATGGTTAGTGACATAGTTTGGATATTTGTCCCCACTCAAATCTCAGGTTGAATTGTAATCCCCAATGCTGGAGGTGGGGCCTAGTGGGAGGTGTTTGGGTTATAAGGGTGGATCCTTCATGGCTTGGTGCTATCTTCAAAATAGTAAATGAGGTCTCACAGGATCTGGTTGTGTGGCTTTGGGAGGCTGGGGTGGTGGATCTCTTGAGCCCAGGAGTTTGAGACCAGCCTGGGCAACATGGTGAAACCCAATCTCTACAAAAAATACAAAAATTAGCTGGGTGTGGTGGTGCATGCCTGTGGGCCTAGCTACTGGAGAGGCTGAGGTGGGAAGATTGCTTGAGCCAGGGAAGTCAAGGCTGCAGTGAGCCGAGATCGTGCCACTGCACTCCAGCCTGGGTGACAGAGCAAGACCTTGTCAAAAAAAAAAAAAATTGTGTGGCACCTCCCCCGAATCTCTCCCACTCTTGCTCCCATTCTTGCCTTGTGATGTGCCTGCTCCCCCTTTGTCTTCTGCCATGATTGGAAGCTTCCTGGGCCCTCCCCAGAAGCAGAAACTGCTATGCTTCCTGTACAGCCTCCAGAACCGTGAGCCAATTAAACCCCTTTTCTTATATATAACCCAGTCTTAGGATTTCTTTATAGTAGTGCAAGAACAGCCTTACACAATTAGTGACAGAGTGTCTTTCTGTTGGGCATTTGGATGGCTTCTTTGGAGAACTGTCTATTCAAGTCTTTAGCCCATTTTAAAATTGGGTTATCATTATTTTTTTTGCTATCAAGTTGTAGGTAGTCCCTATGTATTTTGGAAATTATCCCCTTATCAGATGTATGGTCTGCCAACATTTCTCCACCCTGTAGATTGCCTTTTTTACTCTGTTGATTATTTCCTTTGCTTTGCAGAATTTTTTTAGTTTGGTGTAGAACCACTTATTTATTTCTGCTTTTGTGGCCTGTGCTTTTGGTGTCATAGCCATGAAATCGCTGCCAAGACTAATAGCATGAAGATTTCCCCTATGTGTTCTTCTACGAGTTTTATAGTTTAGGTCTAATATTTAAGTCTTTAATCCATTTTTAGTTGATTTTTGGGATAGTGTAAATTAAGGCTGCGATTTCATTCTTTTAGATGTGAATATCCAGTTTTCCCGACACTATCTGTTGAGGAGACTTTTGTCATTATGTATTCTTGGCATCCCTGTCAAAGATCAGTTGACCATTATTTGCAGATTCTGTTAAGTCTCTCTCTATTGTGTTCCACTGGTCTATATGGCTGTCTTCATACCAGTACCATATTGTTTTCATTTCTGTAGTTTTGTAAAATATTTTGTAATCAGGAAGTGTGATGCCTTCAGCTTTGCTCTTCATTTTCAAGATTAGTTTGGCTATTTGGGGTCTTTTTTGGCCTCACATGAATTTTAGAATTGCTTTTTTTTTTTTAATTCTGTAAAAAATGCCATTGCAGTTTTGATAGGGAATGCATTCAATCTGTAGATGACTTTGGGTAGCATTGGACATTTTAACAACATTAAGTTTTCTAATCCATGACCATGGGAAGTCTTTCCATTTATTTGGATCTTCTTCAATTTCATTTATCAATGTTTTGTAGTTTTCTGTTTATAAGTGTTTCACCCCTTAGTTAAATTTGTTCCTAAATATTGAACGGGGTCTTGCTATGTTGCCTAGGCTGGTCTTGAACTCCTGAGCTCAAGCGATACTCCCACCTCAGCCTTTGTGACCTGCCCGCCTCAGCCTCCCAAAGTGCTGGGATTACAGGTGTGAGCCACTGCGCCTGGCCAATTTTTTTCTATTTTTTATTCTCTATATTGTCGATTTCTCCTCTAATTTTTATTATTTCATTTCTTCTGTTAACTTTGGGCATAGTTTGTTCTTCTTCTTCTAGTGGTTTTTTTTTTTTTTGAGATGGAGTCTCGCTCTCTCACCCAGGCTGGAATGCAGTGGCGCGATCTCGGCTCACTGCAAGCTCTGCTTCCCAGGTTCACGCCACTTCTTCTAGTTTTTTGAGATGTAAAGTTTGGTTGTTTGAGATGTTTCCTCTTTTTAATATAGGCATTCATTGCTATAAACTTCCCCGTTAGTACTGCTTTTGATTCAACCCATAAGTTTTGGTATGTAGTATTTTTATTTTTAATTTAATTTAGTTTTTTCAGAGATGGAGTCTCACTCTGTTGCCCAGGCTGGAGCACAGTGGTGCAATCATAGCTCACTGCATCCTTGATCTCCCTGGCTCTATAAATCTTACTGCCTCAGCCTCCCAAGTAGCTGGGACTACAGGTATTTGCCACAATGCCTGGCTAATTTTTTGTTAGTTAGTTTGTTTCTGTACAGAAGGGGTCTCACTATCTTGCCCAGGCTGTTCTAAGACTCCTGGGCTCACATAATCCTTCTGTCTTGGCCTCCCAAAGTGCTGGGATTACAGGTGTGAGCCACTGCACCCAGCTGGTATGTAGAATTTCCATTTCTATTCATCTTAAGATTTTTTTTGATTTACCTTTTTTTTTTTTTTTTTTTTTTGAGACAGAGTCTTGCTGTCCCAGGCTGGAGTGCAGTGGTGCAATTATGGCTCACTGAAGCCTCAGTCCTCCAGGCTCAAGCGATCCTCTTGCCTCAGCCTCCAGAGCAGCTGGGACTATCAGCATATGCCACCACACCTGGCTAATTTTCTTGATTTTCTTTTCTTCCTTTTTTTTTTTTTTAGTAGAGATGAGACCTCACTTTGTTGCCCAGGCTGGTCTTGAACTCCTGAGCTCAAGTGATCCTCCTGCTTTGGCCTCCCAAAGTGCTGGGATTACAGGCCTGAGCCACCATGCCTGGCCTCAGAGCTGTTTTTTTCTGCTATTGGCTTCTAGTTTTATTTCACTGTGGTCAGAAAAGATACTTGGTATGACTTCAGTCTTCTTAAACTTGTTAGGACTTGTTCGTGACTGTTATGGTTTGAATGTTTGTCCCCTCCTAAACTTATATGTTGGAGATTTAATCACCAATGCAACAGTTTTGGGAAGGGAGGCCTAATGGGAGGTGTTTAGGTCATGAGGGCTTTATCCTTGTGAGTGGATTAATGCTGCACTTGAACAAGCGATTTGGAGTGGGTTCATCATCTTCTGCACTTTTGCCATGTGAGGAGCAGCGTTCTTCCCCTCTGAAGGATGCAGCCAAACTTCGCAGCACCCCAGCACCTTGATCTTTCACTTCCCAGCCTTCAGAGTTGTGAGTAATCAATGTCTATTCTTTACAAATTATCCATCCTCAGCTATTCTCATACAGCAGCACAACATGGATGAAGGCAGTGGCCTAACACTACAATTTACTCTGGAGAATATTCCACATGCACTTGAAAAGGATGTGGATTCTGCTGCTGTTGGGTGGAATGTTCTCTGTATGTCTGTCAGGTCCATTTAGTGTACAGTGTTCAAATCATTTGTTTCCTTATCAATAGTCTATCTGGATGTTCTATCCACTATTGAAAGTGGGGTATTGAAGTCTGTTACTGTAATTGTATTGCTTTTTTTTTTCCTTTTTACAAAGTAGCCAGAGGCTCAGATATTATCGTATTGCTTTCTCTCTTTAGTTCTATCAGCATTTGCTTTACATATTTAGGTGTTCTGATGTTGAGTGAATATTTATAATTGTTATGTCTTCCTAGTGAATTGGCCGTTTTATCATTATATAATGTCCTTCCTTGTCTCTTATGACAGTTTTAAATTTTAACTCTATTTTGTCTGATCCAAGTATAACCACTTCTGCACTCGTTTACCAGTTGCATGGAATATGTTTAAGGACACACATTGCTCTATGTGTGTCCTTAAATCTAAAGTGAGTTTCTTATAGACAGCATGTAGTCTTGTTTTTTTATCCACTCAGCCATTCTATATCTTTTGATTAGGGGGTTTAATCAATTTACATTTAAAGTAATTATTTATAGGGAAGAATTTACTACAGCCATTTTATTGTTTTTTGTTTTTGCTTTTGTTTTTTTGAGACAGAGTCTTGCTCTGTCGCCCAGGCTGGAGTGTGGTGGCACGATCTCAGCTCACTGCAACCTCTGCCTCATGGGTTCAAGTGAGCACGTCTGGCTAATTTTTGTATTTTTAGTAGAGATGGGGTTTCACCATGTTGGCCTGGCTGGTATCAAACTCCTGACCTCAGGTGATCTGCCTACCTTCGCCTCCCAAAGTGTTGGGATTACAGGCATGAGCCACCATGCCCAGCCTTATTAATTGGTTTGTGTTAGTCTTATAATTCTTTTGTCCATCTGTTCCTCTCTTGCTGTCTTCCTTTTTGTTTTGTTTTTTTTTTTTTTGTATTGATATGCTTTTATTCCTTCCTCTTTTTCTTTTGTGTAATTTTTACAGATATTTTCTTTGTCATCATCATGGGGTTTACAAAAACAATCTTATGGTTAGAACAGTCTATTTTAAGCTGATAACAACTTAAGTTCAATTGTATACAAAACATAATACTTTTATTACCCCCTACACACGCTTTATGTTGTCATAATTTACATGTACTTATCTTATGTATCTATTAATGTATCCTTTAACTATAGGTATTTATAATGCTTTTGTCTTTTAACTTTTATACTAGAATCAAAAGTGATTTACCCACAACCATAACAGTATTGCAGTATTCTGTATTTGTCTTTGTATTTACCTTTACCAGTAAGTTTTATATTTTCTTATGCAACTGTTTTGCTGTTTTAGCATCCTTTTGTTTCAACTTGAAGAACTCCCTTTAGCATTTTTTTGTACGGCAAGTTTAGTGGTAATAAAATCTTTTAGCTTTTGTTTTTCGTGGGAAAACTTCATTTCTCCTTCATTTTGGAAGGAGTATTTTGCCAGGCATAGTATTCTTAGTTGACAAGTTTTTTTTTTCCTTTCAGTACTTTGATTATATTACCCTATTCCCTTCTGGCCTACAAAGTTTCCACTGAGAAATCAACTTATAGTCTTATAGGGGCTCCCTTGTACATGTCCTTATACATTCTCCTCTTAACCATTTATTATTTATTATTATTAATATTATTATTATTTACAGATAGGGCTTACTCTGTGGCCAAGACTTCAATGCAGTGGTGTGATAATAGTTCAATGAAGCCTCGAATGCCTGGGCAAAAGGGATCCTCCCATCTCAGCCTCCAGATTAGCTGGGACTACAGGCACAGGCCACAATGTCCCGCTAATTATTTTATTTTTCGTAGACACAGGGTCTTGCTTTGTTGCCCAGGCTGGTCTCAAACTCCTGGGCTCAAGTGATCCTCCTGCCCTGACCTCTCAAAGTGCTGGAATTACAGGCATGAATCACCACACCAGGCACTTCTTGACCATTTTTAAGTGTATAATTCAGTAGCATTAAGTATTTCATATTGTTGTTGAACCAGTCTCCAGACTTCTTTTCATCCTGTAAATCTAAAACTCTATACCCATTAAATGATAACTCTTCATCCCTCCCTTGCCTTAGCACCTGTCAGCCACCATTCCACTCTTTGTCTCTATGGATTTGACTAATCTGTTTATCTCATATAAGTGAAATCATATGATATTTGTCATTTAATTTTATTGTATTGTAGAGATGGATCTCACTCTGTTGCCCAGACTGGAGTTCAGTGGCATGGTCATAGCCCCCTGCAGCCTTGACCTCCTGGGCTCAAGCAATTCTCTTGCCTCAGCCTCCCAAGTAGCTGGAACTACAGGCATGCATTACCTTGCATGGCTAATTAATTTTTTTTGTAGAGACAGGATCTCATTATGTTGGCCACGTTGTTTCCAAACTCCTGGTTTCAAGCAATCCTCCTGCCTTGGCCTCCCAAAATGCTGGGATTATAGGCATGAGCCACCTCACCTGGACTATTTGTTCTTTTTTGTCTGGCACATATTGCTTAACATAAGGTCTTCAAAGTTTATCAGTGATGTAGCATGTTTCAAAATTTCCTTCTGTTTTAAGAATAAATAATATTCTGTTGAATAGATACTCTACATTTTACTTATTCATTCATCGGACAATAGAAACTTGGGTTGCTTACACCTTTTGGTTATTGTGAATACTGCTGCTATGAACACAGGTATACACATATCTACTCATGTCCTACTTTCAATCCTTGTAGGTATATACCCAGAAGTGGAATTGCTCCCTCACTATTTATTTTTACTTTTATTTTTGAAACAGAGTCTTGTTCTGTTGTCCAGGGTGGAGTACAGTGGTGCAATCTTGGCTCACCGCAACCTCCGCCTCCCACGTTCAAGCAATTCTCCTGCGTCAGCCTCCCAAGTAGCTGGGACTACAGGTGCCTGCCACCACGTCTGGCTAGTTTTTGTATTTTTAGTAGAGACAGGGTTTTACTATGTTGGCCAGACTGGTCTTGAACTCTTGACCTCAAATGATCTGCCTGCCCCAGCCTCCCAAAGTGCTGGGATTACAGGTGTGAGCCACCGCGCCTGGCCACCCCCTCACTATTTTTAATTATAAACTAAATGGCTCTGTGTTGAAAAAAGAAAGTCAGGATGGGCACACAGTCTGTTGAATATTTACCACCAGTTTGATATCTTAACTGGAGGTCCTCATTTAAAATGAAGAAAAGGGGCCAGGTAAGGTAGCTCACACCTCTAATCCCAAGACTTTAGGAGGCCTAGGTGGACAGATCATTTGAGGTCAGGAGTTCGAGACCAGCCTGGCCAACACTGTGAAGCTCCGTCTCTGCTAAAAAAGTACAAAAATTATCTGGCATGGTGGTGTGTGCCTGTAGTCCCAGCTACTTGGGAGGCTGAGGCAGGAGAATCATTTGAACCTGGGAGGCAGAGGTTGCAGTGAGCCGAGATCGCACCACTGCACTCCAGCCTGGGTGACAGGGTGAGACTCAGTCTCAAATAAAATAAAATAGCCGGTGTGGTGGCTCACGCCTGTAATCCCAGCACTTTGGGAGGCTGAGGCAGGCAGATCACGAGGTCAGGAGTTCAAGACCAACCTGACCCATATGGTGAAACCCCATCTCTACTAAAAATACAAAAACTAGATGGGCGTGGTGGCACGTGCCTGTAGTCCCAGCTACTCGGGAGGCTGAGACAGAAGAATCACTTGAACCTGAGAGGTGGAAGGTGCAGTGAGCCAAGATCGTGCTACTGTACTCCAGCCTGAGCAACAGAGTGAGACTCTGTCTCAAAAAATAAAATAAAGTAAATAAAATGAAGGAAAGGGATTTTTTTTTGAGACAAGTTATTGCTTTGTTGCCCAGGCTAGAGTGCAGTGGCACAATCTTGGCTCACTGCAACCTCAGTCTCCTAGGTTCAAGTGATTCTCCTGCTTCAGCCTCCCAAGTAGCTGGGATTACAGGTGACCATCATCATGCCTGGCTAATTTTTGTATTTTTAGTAGAGACAGTGTTTCACCATGTTGGCCAAGTAGGTCTAGAACTCCTGACCTCAAGTGATCCACCTGCCTCGGCCTCCCAAAGTGCTGGACTATTTTGGAAGGTGTGAGCCACCGTGCCTGGCTAGGAAATGGATTTTTTTTTTTTACCTTCTCACAGATTCATATAAGGTCCCACTCACTGACATTCTTTCAATCACATCTTGTTTCTGGTGTAACTATTTACACTTCTCTCTCTCTCTCTCTGTTCATAAATTGTACCCATCACAAGTATCATAATCTTATTAAACACTTCCCATACTCACATAGCTAATAGCCTTACATTGTAGATATGTAATTTCACACAATCTGTTGCTTTAAGTTTATATAAAAGATCAAGTTCCTTTCAATAAAAGAACAACAACAATAAAAAGATTATGACCTTACAAAAAGCCCTTGAAATGTCTAAAATAGATTAAATAAAATATAGACCAGCACCTCAACAGGGAATAAGAAACAGCTAGCATTTCACAGACTTACACAAAGCCAATGAACACATGAACATGTACTCATTAGCATGAATAATCAAATAAGTAGAAATTTAAAATGAGGTTTTCTTTTTCACCTCTCAGATTGGTAGGTAAAGAGACTGGTATTATGGTTTGGTGAGGCTGTAGGGAAATAAACAGAGTAGGAATGGAATTAAGCACAACCATTTTGTTTTTTAAATTCATTTTATTATTTTTATATATTTTGAGACAAGATCTCACTCTGTCTCCCAGGCTGGAGTGCAGTGGCGTGATCTCGGCTCACTGCAACCTCCGCCTCCTGGGTTCAAGTGACTCTTGTGCCTCAGCCTCCCGAGTAGCTGAGATTACAGCGGTGCGCCACCAAGCCCCGCTAATTTTTGTATTTTTTAGTAGAGATGCGGTTTTGTCATGTTGGCCAGGCTGTAAGCACAACCATTTTGAAACACAATTTGGCAACAACTTGTGAGCTGGCATATATACTTTGAGCAATTTGTATCTCAGAAGCATTCCACAAGTCCATAAGAATATATACATGTCCATAGAAAATACACATCTGTTCTAATAGCAAATAATTGAAAACATCTACAAGTCCATCCATAGGTGTGATATGTTGAATTGTGTCCCCTAAAAAGATAAGTTTAAGTCCTAATCCATGGCATACTTGCGAATGTGACCTTACTTGGAAATACAGTCTGTGCAGATGTGATTAGTTAAGACAATGGTCCCCAACCTTTTTTGCACCAGGGACTGATATGAGAATCTAATGCTGCCACTGATTTGACAGGAGGCGGAGTTCAGGTGGTAATACTTGTCACCACTCACCTCCTGCCATGTGGCCCGGTTCCTAGCAGTCCACAGACTGGTACTGGTCTGCAGCCCAGGGATTGGGGACCCTTGAGTTAAGATGAGGGCATATTGATATGGCTCCGATGAGTGGAGGAACACAAGGGTTCTTGGTCCTCATGCCGGTTTAGATAAAACAACATGGACACAAGTGGAGTGGTTTTTTTTTTGTTGTTTTTTTTTGTTTTGTTTTTTTTTTGAGACGGAGTCTCGCTGTCGCCCAGGCTGGAGTGCAGTGGCGCAATCTCGGCTCACTGCAGGCTCCGCCCCCTGGGGTTCACGCCATTCTCCTGCCTCAGCCTCCCGAGTAGCTGGGACTACAGGCGCCCGCCACCTCGCCCGGCTAATTTTTTGTATTTTTAGTAGAGACGGGGTTTCACCGTGTTAGCCAGGATGGTCTCGATCTCCTGACCTCGTGATCCGCCCGCCTCGGCCTCCCAAAGTGCTGGGATTACAGGCGTGAGCCACCGCGCCCGGCCGTGGAGTGGTTTTAATAGGCAAGTTTAATAGGCAAGAAGGGAGAAGGCAGAAGGAAGAAGCTCCCTCGTACAGAGACAAGAGGCAGAGAGGCTCCAAAGCCGAAAGAGTAGACACCAAGTGGAGTGAAAACCAGCTAAGTTTATATAGAGGCTGGAGGAGGCGGTGTCTGATTTGCACAGGGCTCAGGGGATTGGTTTGACCAGGCATGTCATTCACGCAGCCCGGGAAAAAGCTGGTCCACCCACCCTAGCCTTTTAATATGCAAATGCAGAGCACCATGATGTTCTACACACGTGGGGATACGTGGGGGCGGCCATGTTTGCCAGGCACTTGTGGGGCAAGGGCAAGAAGAAGAGGGTGGGAATTGTCATGTTTGGGTAGACCCAGTTTCTAATGGCCAGCATGTGCATATCAAAGGTTGCTGGCCTGGCTCTAAGAGCCTGGGCTTGACAAGAAACCTTTCTGGAACAGCTTTAAAAATGAAAACTTCCCAAGGACCCCTTTTCCTCTCTATCTGCCTAAAATAATTTCTTAATAACTCCTACCACAATACGGGATTAGAGTTGATCCTAAACCCAATGATGGGTGTCCTTGGAAGAAGAGGAGAGGACACACAGAAACAAGACACATATAGAGAGGAAGACCATGTGACCACATTGGCAGAGATTGGTGTGATGGGGCCATAAGCCAACGAACACCAGGAGCCACCAGAAGCTAGAAGAGGCAAGGGAGGATTCATTTCTAGAGCTGTTAGAGAGACTGCAGCCCCACTGAGACCTTGATTTTGCAAATCCGCCCTCTAGAACTGTGGGAAAATAAATTTCTGTTGTTTTAAGCCACCCAATTTGTGGTAATTTGTTATGGCAGCCCCAAAAAAATATTGTAATAAGGGTTAGTTCAATAAATAGTGGTACAGGCCAGGTGTGGTGGCTCACACCTGTAATCTCAGCACTTTGGGAGGCCGAGGTGGGTGGACTGCTTGAGGCAGGAGTTCGAGACCAGCCTGCCCAATGTGGTGAAACCTCATCTCTACTAAAAATACAAAAATTAGCTGGGCATGGTGGCACGTGCCTGTAGTCCCAGCTACTCTGGAGACTGAGGCAGGAGAATCGCTTGAACCCAGGTGGAGGTTGCAGTGAGCCAAGATTGTGCCACTGTGCTCCAGCCTGGACGACAGTGAGACTCTGTCTCAAATAAATAAATAAATAAATAGTGGTACATACACGTGACTAAAGATGGAAGTGAAAACCTCCCATCTATTCCCTTTTTTTCGTTTTTTTTTTTGAGACGCAGTCTTTGCCCTGTTGCTCAGGCTGGAGTCCAGTGGTGCAATCTCGGCTCACCTCTGCTTCCTGGGTTCCGGAGATTCTCCTGCCTCAGACTCCAAGTAGTTGGAATTACAAGCCCACACCACGCCAGGCTGATTTTTGTATTTTTACTAGAGACGGGGGTTTCACTATGTTGGCCAGGCTGGTCTCAAACTCCTGACCTCGGGTGATCCGCTCACCTTGGCCTCCCAGAGTGCTGGGATTACAGGCATGAGCCACCGTGCCCAGCCTATTCTCTTTTATGTTTTGGTTTCTGAACTATGTGAAAATAATTTATTTCATGAAAATAAAGTACAATTTAAGGGCTGGGTGTGGTGGCTCATGCCTGTAATCCTAGCACTTTGGGAGGCGGAGGCAGGAGTATTGCTTAAGCTCAGGGGTTTGATACCAGCCTGGGCAACATCGTGAAACCCCATCTCTACAAAAACTAGCCAGGCATGGTGGCATGCATCTGTAGTCTCAGCTGCTCAGGAGGCTGAACAGGTAGGATTGCTTGAGCCTGAGAGGCTGGGGTTGCAATGAGTGTGATCGTGCCACTGTACTCCAGCTTGGGGGACAGAGTGAGACCTTGTCTCAAAAAATAAATAAGTAAATATGGCTCACGCCTGTAATCCCAGCAGTTTGTGAAGCTGAGCCAGGCGGATCACCTAAGGTCAGGAGTTCAAGACCAGCCTGGCCAACATGGTGAAACCCCATCTCTACTAAAAATACAAAAATTAGCCTGATGTGGTGGCGTGTGCCTGTAGTCCCAGCTATTCAGGATGCTGAGGCAAGAGAATTGCTTCAACTTGGGAGGTGGAGGTTGCAGTGAGCCAAGATGGCACCATTGTACTCCAGCCTGGGCAACAAGAGCGAAACTCCGTCTTGAAAATAAATAAATGAATAAATAAAATAAAGTAAATGTGATTCTGAGCCTTGTTCTATATAGCACTAAAAGATTAACTCAAAGCACATGTTGTAAGAAAACTGGAAGAGGAAGAGAGTCCCGATCAAGTAGCATAGGAAGAAGAGTTTTTATTTTTATGAATATAAGAAAACCAGCCTGGGCAACATGGTGAAACCCCATCTCTACAAAAAAGTACAAAAGTACTTTTTTTCAGACGTGGTGGCACATACCTGTAGTCCCAGCTACTCCAGAGGCTAAGGTGGGAGGATCTCTTGAGCCTGGGAGAGGGAGGCTGCAGTGAGCTGTAATTGTGCCACTGCACTCCAGCCTGGGCAACACAGCAAGACCCTTTCTCCAAAAAAAAAAAAAAAAAAAAAAAAAGAGAAAATAAGATAAGCAAGCATACCCTAGAAGGCCTGGGTACTTAGCATACATTCTGTTGAATCAAGATGCATGAGAGTCTTAATGATAGTTTACTCATACTGTACTTAATATGCAAAATTAGAATAATCAAGTAAGAACAATGATTAGATGCCATTTTTAAATTCTAAAATGAATGCCATGTGGGGATGAGAGTGCTGGCCTTGAACTCAGAAAACCTCGGTTCAAGTCTGGGTTTTTCCCATTTCTAGGTTGTGATCACTTCCCTCCCTGAGTCCTTAATTAAAATATCCAGTTTAGGCCGGGCGTGGTGGCTCACGCCTGTAATACCAGCACTTTGGAGGGCCGAGGCGGGTGGATCATGAGGTCAGGAGATCGAAACCATCCTGGCTAACACAGTGAAACCCTGTCTCTACTAAAAAATACAAAAAATTAGCCGGGCGTGGTGGTGAGCACTCCCGAGTAGTCCCAGCTACTCGGGAGGCTGAGGCAAGAGAATGGTGTGAACCCGGGAGGCGGAGCTTGCAGTCAGCCGAGATCACGCCACTGTACTCCAGCCTGGGCGACAGAGTGAGACTCCGTCTCAAAAATAAAATAAAATAAAATATCCAGTTTATAAATAGGGATAACAATATCTGTCTGGCCTGATAACAAGGGCTTGTAAGTACAAAATGCAATAAGGAGAAAGCAATTCATGGACTTTGACTCTCAGTACCCAGGAAAAGTCTTGTGCGTGAAGGAAGAACATAGAGGAAGTCATTAGTGATAAGGACCACAGGTGCAGTTGCAATTCCTGCCCTTTCTGGCAAAGAAAAAGGAGAGACCTGTGCCAAAATAAGCAGCTTCTAACTCAAGTCATACACCAAGTCAGTCCCTTGCACTGCACATTGTCCTGCTGCTGGCACTGTCCTGGTCTTGCCAGTAATAGGTTGGGTATCCTAATCTACTGCCCGGAACTTTCAGTGGTTTCCTCTTCAGTTTATCTAGTTAAATGTTCGGGATAATCCTTCCCCTCGGCCCCCTCCCCCACAAGTGAAGAAACTCCATCTCAAAATGGCTTCACCAATGCTGAGGTGTATTATCTCGCAGAAGAAGAAATCCAGAGAAAGTGTGGCTTCGTGTTAACAAATACATGGACTGGAAGATGATGTCTGTTAGCTCTACCACTTTTGGCTTGTTTTATGCAGTCTAACTCTCATTACGTCTGCAAGATGATTGCTCTAGATGTCCAGGAGAAGCAGCGAGATCAAGTTTTCTTTTTGTGTATCTTTTTTGTTTGTTTGTTTTTTGAGACGGAGCCTTGCTCTGTCACCCAGGCTGGAGTGCAGTGATGGGATCTCGGCTCACTGCAACCTCTGTCTCCCGGGTTCAAGTGTTCTTCCTGCCTCAGCTTCCCGAGTAGCTGGGACTACAGGTGCCCGCCACCATGCCCAGCTAACTTTTGTATGTTTTAATGGAGACACGGTTCTGCCATGTTGGCCAGGCTGGTCTCGAACTCCTGGCCTCAGGTGATCCGCCTGCCTCGGACTTCCAAAGTGCTGGGATTACAGGCATGAGCCACCATGCCCGACCTTATATATCATTTTTTTTGTTGTTTGTTTTTTGAGACAGGGTCTCACTCTGTCACCCAGGCTGGAGTGCAGTGGCACGATCTTGGCTCACTGCAGCCTCCACCTCCCAGGTTCAAGCAATTCTTCCACCTCAGCCTCCCGAGTAGCTGGGATTACAGGGGTGTGCCACCATGCCTGGCTTTTTTTTTTTTTGAGACAGAGTCTCACACTGTTGCCCGGGCTGGAGTGCAGTGGCATGATCTTGGCTCACTGCAGTTCAAGCAATTCTCCTGCCTTAGCCCCCTGAGTAGCTGGGATTACAGGTGCCTGCTACCACCCTCAGCTAATTTTTTGTATTTTTAATAGAGACGGGGTTTCACCATGTTGGCCAGGCTGGTCTCGAACTCCTGACCTCGTGATTCGTCTGCCTCGGCCTTCCAAAGTGCTGGGAGTACAGGCATGAGCCACCGCACCCGGCCTGTATATCTTTTTTAAAAGGAAAAGAACATATCCCAGAAGTTTCCAACTGAGTTTCCCTCTGGGTCAATACCAGAATTGGGTGGGGGTCTTCAGCTCACCCCTAAACTCATCATTGATAAGCAGAATGAATGACCATGGCTGGTTTAGACAACTGAAATTTCCGCTGGCCACATAAGGAAGGATAGACACTAGAACAAAATCAGGTCTATCAGAGTGGAAGAAAGGGAAGAGGGCTGGTGGGGAGGCAATGAATAGTGCCAGCGAACTGGAAAATCATCCTGACATTTCGGTTCTGCTCTTTGACTACGGTAACTGTGTGTAAGTTAAAAGGGGAGGTCCATCCATCATTACCTTTCTTATCTCAGATAGCTAAGAGACATCATGAACTTAACTGTGTCCAAAATGAAACTACTGGTCTTCTTCCTCACATCTGCTCCACTGGCAGCCTCCTTGGCCATATTAATTAACAACAACTCCTTCTATTGAACCAACACCTTGGAGTTATCCTGGACTCTTGTCCTCTTGCATTCAACGTCTTAACCATTGGCAAATCCTACTGGCATGACCTTTGAAATACTGTACCCAACTTGGGGCCCAGGGAACTGTGGCAGGGATTTGGGGGAAGGCTATAACTCTCTACCTCAGCATGAAACCCAGCCCTGCTCCAGTACCAGAGAAATAGGGGGTATCTGGAGGTAGCACCCTTGGCATGGAATTGGGTGTCCTCATGATGGCAGTGGCAGTGGTAAAACTTCACGTGGCTCTGTGAATGATGGACAGGAACAAGAAACCAGACCAGAAGAGGAGGAACAAGACAGAGGCTGATATGGTTTGGCTGTGTCCCCACCCAAATCTCACCTTGAATTGCGACTCCCACAATTCCCACGTATCATGGGAGAAACCTGGTGGGAGGTGTGGGGGCGGGTCTTTCCCATGTTGTTCTTGTGATCCTGAATAAGTCTCATGAGATCTGGTGGTTTTAAAAATGGGAGTTTCCAGCTGGGCACAGTGGCTCATGCCTGTAATCCTAGCACTTTGGGAGGCCGAGGTGGGTGGATCACCTGAGGTCAGGCGTTTGAGACCAGCCTGGCCAACATGGCAAAACCCCGTCTCTAGTGAAGAAACAAAAAAATTAGCTGGGCCTGGTGGCACGTCCCTGTAGTCCCAACTACCTGGGAGGCTGAGGCAGGAAAATCCCTTGAATCCGGGAGGTGGAGGCTGCAGTGAGCCAAGATCGCACCATTGCACTCCAGCCTGGGCAACAAGAGTGAAACTCCATCTCAAAAAAAAAAAAAAAAAAAAAAAAAAAAAGGCCGGGCACAGTGGCTCACACTTCTAATCCCAGCACTTTGGGAGGCTGAGGTGGGTGGATCACGAGGTCAGGAGATTGAGACCATCCTGGCTAACACGGTGAAACCCTGTCTCTACTAAAAATACAAAAAATTAGCTGGGCGTGGTGGCGGGAGCCAGTAGTCTCAGCTACTCGGGAGGCTAAGGCAGGAGAATGGGTTTGAATCCTGGAGGTGGAGCTTGCAGTGAGCCGAGATAGCACCACTGCACTCCAGCCTGGGCGACAGAGTGAGACTCCATCTCAAAAAAAAAAAAAAAAAAAGAAATACCTGAGACTGGGAAATTTATAAAGAAAAGAAGTTTAATTGGCTCCCGGTTCTGCAGGCTGTACAAGCATGGCACCAACATCACTCAGCTTCATGGGGGGGGCCTCAGGGAGCTTTTATTCATGGCAGAAGGCAATGTGGGAGCAGGCATTTCACATGGTGAAAGCAGGAGCAAGAGAGAGAGTGGGGGAGGAACTGTAACACACTTCTTTTTTGGGCTATGCAAATTCTCCAGTTGCACCCCGGGTCTAATGAATCAGAAACACTGGGGGTGGAAGCGTATTTCCAGCTACAGCCATGTGAAAAGTCAGCAAATCCTCTCCCCAGAAAGCAACTATAAGTCTGAACAAAATTGACAAGAACAACTATTTTGGTGCTCTGGAAATCAATAAAACTCATACAACAATCTGAGAAGTGTTTAAGCTTGATAACATGCTGAACGTTGGGTAAGAACAGTGGATGTCTGAAGCGTTCTTTCCTAGGACTGCTCCCATCTCCTCTAGCCGAGTGGGTGTGGAGGTTCTGCCAGGGCAGGACCAGGCATGAGGACCTGCAGTGGTGCTGCCAGGTTGGAGGGGGCTTACTGGATTTGCTGTAGCAGGTGATGCCCACACCTATGGCACTGTCAGTGGAAGTGACAACAGTTTTGCCTTTCAAGAAACGCCATAGGAAGTCCTTTAGAGTGAAAGAAAGCAACATCAGAGAGCAACTTTAATGCACAGGACAAAAATAGGCCGGGCGTGGTGGCTCACACCTGTAATCCCAGCACTTTGGGAGGCCGAGGTCGGTGGATCATGAGGTCAAGAGATCGAGACTATCCTGGCCAACATGGTGAAATCCCATCTCTCTAAAAATACAAAAATTAGCTAGGCGTGGTGGTGCATGCCTGTAGTCCCAGCTACTCGGGAAGCTGGGGCAGGAGAATTGCTTGAATCCAGGAGGCAGAGGTTGCAGTGAGCCAAGATCACGCCACTGCACTCCAGCCTGGGCGACAGAGCGAGACTCCGTCACCAAAAAAAAAAAAAAAGAAAAGAAAAAAAGAAAACCATTGGAATTGTTAAATATGTGGGCTGATAGAAAAGACTCCATAAATATATTTTTCTCATTTCTTCTGTTACCTTTTAAAAAAGGCATAATATTGTGTAAAGCAATAATTATAACATTGTATTGTTGGGTTTATAGCATGTATAAATGTAATACATATGATAATACAAAAAAGAGGGAAGAGAATTGAGCTTTATTAAAGCAAAATTTCTATGTTTTATCTGAATTAAATTAGTAATAATCTGAACTATATTTAGATAAGATGCATATTGTTATCAAAATATCAAGTTGTACCCCTTAAATATATAGTTTTGTCAATTATACCTCAATAAAGCTGAAAAAATTACTTTGAGATGGCTCTTATTAAAAAATACATATTGTAATCCATACTGCAATGACTAAGAAAATTTTTAAATAGTTAAAAAAAGAATTTAAATGCTGTACTAAAAAATATGTAACACAGAAATCAGTGAAAGAGGGGCAGAGAAACAAAAATAGGAGACATATGGAAAACAAATAGCAGGTTGGGTATGGTGGCTCATGCCTGCAATGCTAGTATTTTGGGAGGCTGAGGTGAGAAGATTGCTTGAGCTCAGGAATTCAAGACCAGACTGGGCAACATAATGAGACCCCATCTCTATAAAATTATACAAAGAAAAATTAGTGGGGTGTAGTGGTGTTTGCCTGTAGTCCTAGCTACTTGGGAGGCTAAGATGGGAAGATCTCTTGAGCCCAGGAGTTCGAGGCTGCAGTGAGCTGTGATCACGTCACTGCACTTTAGCCTGGGCTATAGAATGAGACCCTGCTTCTAAAATAATAAAAAATAAAAAAAAAAAAGAAAAGTAAATTAAGCAACAACAAAAGAAAACAAATAGCAAATGGTAAATGTAAATCCAAACTTATTAATTACATTAAATGTGAATGGTCTAAACATTCCAATAAAAAACAAGATATTTGGATTGGATAAAAAAGGCAAAATCTAACTATAGGCAGTCTGCAAGAGTTACACCTTAGGTTCAAAGACACAAATAGGTGGAAAGTAAAAACATGGAAAAAGATATGCTATGAAAATAGTAGGCTGGACATGGCAGCACATGCATCTAAAATCCTAGCACTTTGGGAGGCCAAGGTGGGAGGACTGCTTGAGCTCAGGAGTTTAAGATCAACCTGGGCAATACAGCAAAACCCCATCTCTACAAAAAATACAAAAATTAGGGCCTGTTGGTACGTGCCTGTAGTCCCAGCTACTCAGAGACTGAGGTGCGAAGATCCTTGAGCCTCAGAGATCAAGGCTGCAGTGAGCCGTAATTGGGCCACTGCACTACAGCCTGGGTGACAGAGACAGAGTGAGACCGTGTCTCAAAAAAAAAAAAAAAAAAGTAACCATAAGAGAGTTGCAGTCATTAGTTATGTGGCTATCAGCTAACATAAACTTTAAGTCAAGAAATATTACTGGAGACAACGAGGAACATTTAGTAATGATAAAAGAGTCAATATGTCAGGAATGTACAAGTCATAAATATGTACATCGCTAATAAAGCCTCAAAAACATGAAACAAAACTGGCAGAATTAAAAGAGATATAAGAAGATATGGACAGTTCAACAACAATAGTTGAGGATATCAATATTCTATTCTAATTGATGAAAAAATTAGACAATAAATCAGCAAGGATATTAAAGAGTTAGAAAACATTATTAACCTATGTGACCTAATTGATATATGTCCAATGAGTCTCAACTCATTCAGTGAGAACAGTTAATAAAGACATTTTTATTACCAGAAAATAAAATTACAGAATAATATCCCTTAACAAAATATTAATACACCAAATTCTGCAACATATATAAAGGATTATATACTCTGAACAAGTGGGATTTATTATAGGAATTCAAGGTTGGTTAACGTCTGAAACTTGACCAGTGTAATATACTATACTGATAGAACAAAGGACAAAAACTACATGATCCTCTCAATAATAGATGCAGAAATACCTTCTAACAAAATCTAACACTCTTTCATGTTAAAAACTCTCAACAAACTAGGAATAGATGGGAACTTCCTCAACCTGGATAAAGTGCATCTATGAAACACCCACAGTTAACATCATACTTAACAGTAAAAGACTGAACATTTCCCTGAAATGTCAGGAACAATGCAAAATGTCAGTTCTTGCTACTTCTATTCAACACTGCCCTGGGGGTCCCAGACAGTGTTATAAGGCCATAAAGATGAAAAAAGACTGAAGTGGACATTTCATTAAAGAAGATATACAAATTGCTAATCAGCATTATGATAAGGTGCTCAACATCATTAGTCATTAGAAAAATGCAAATTACGGTTACAATGAAATACTACTATACGTTCATTAGAATGGCTGTAATCAAAAAAGAAAAACAATACCAAGTGTTGGTGAGGATGGGGAGAAAATGGAACCATCATACGTTGCTGATGGAAATGTAAAGTGATGTAGACACTTGGAAAAGCTAATTGGCAGTTTTTTAAAAAAGTTAAACAAAAGTTAAAAAACCAAAGAGAAATAAAACCATATGTGTTCAGAGGCATGAATGCCAGTGTTTACAGCAGCATTATTCATAATATTCAAGAACTGGAAATACTCCTGTATGCCTGTCTAAGGCTGTTGTAACAAACTACCATGCACACGGCTGGATGCGGTGGCTCATACCTGTAATCTCAGCACTTTGGGAAGCCGAGGAGGTGGATCACCTGAGGTCAGGAGATTGAGACCAGCCTGGCCATGATGGCAAAACCCTGTCTCTACTGAAAACACAAAAAATGAGCCGGGTGTAGTGGCAGGTACCTGTAATCCCAGCTACTTGGGAGGCTAAGGCAGGAGAATTGCTTGAACTCGGGAGGTGGAGGTTGCAGTGAGCCGAGATCGTGCCATTGCACTCCAGCCTGGCTGACAGAGAGAGACTCTGTCTCAGAAAAACAAACAAACCAGAAAAACAACTACCACAAACTGAGTGGCTTATATAACAGACATTGTCTCATAGTTCCAGAGGCTAGGAGAGATGAAGGTATCAGCAAGGCTGGTTCCTTCTGAGGCTGTGAAGAATCTGCTCCATGCCTCTCCCCTAGCTTTTTGGGGTTTGCTGACAATATCTGGTGTTCTTTGGCTTGTAGAAGCACCACACCTATCTCTGCCTTTATATTCACATGGGGGTGTTCTCCCTGTGTGCTTATGTCCAAATTTCCTCTTTTGTAAGGACACCAGTCATGCTGGACTTAGGGGTTCATCCTACTCCAGTATGACCTTATCTTAACTAATTACATCTGCAAAACCCCATTTCCAAACATGGTCACCTTCCAAGTTATTGGGGGTTAAAACTTCAGGGCTGGGCGTGGTGGCTCATGCCTGTAATCCCAGCAGTTTGGAAGGCCGAGGCAGGCGGATCACAAGGTCAGGAGATCGAGACCATCCTGGCTAACATGGTGAAACCCAGTCTCTATTAAAAATACAAAAAATTAGCCGGGCGTGGTGGCGGGCATCCCAGCTACTTGGGAGGCTGAGGCAGGAGAATGGCATGAACCTGGGAGGCAGAGCTTGCAGTGAGCCGAGATCGCGCCACTGCACTCCAGCCTGGGTGACAGAGCGAGACTCCGTCCAAAAAAATAAAACTTTAACATATGTATTTGGGGATGGGGCACAATTCAACCCATAATACATCCAAATGTCCCTCAGCTTATGAGCGGAAAAACGATCTCAGATACAGTCTATCCATGTAACAGAATAGTATTCACATATAGAAAGGCACAAATTACAGATAAGTGCTATAACGTGAACTGAGCTCTAAAACATCATGCTAAGTACAATAGGCCAGATGCAAAAGACAGTGTATTGTATGATACTATTTACATGAAATGTCCAGAAAGGGCAAATTTATTGACAGAAAGCAGGTCAGTGGTTGCCTGCAGCTTGGGGTGGGAGAAGGGATTAAGCAAAAACTACCATGAGGTAAATTGGGCTGATGGAAATGTTTTAAAACTGCATTGTGCTGGTAGCTGTCAACTACATAAATTTACTTTAAAAATCATTAAAGTGCATGCTTACAAAGGGTGAATTGTATGGTATGTAAATTGTATCTTAATAAAACTGTTAAAAAAAAAAAACAAACCAAACCTCCCAGGTTGTGGAGCAGCAATTTTTTTTAAAAGAACAATAACAATAAACCAATGCCTCTTTTTTTTTTTTTTTTTTTTTAGGCAGGGTCTCACTCTGTTGCCCAGGCTGGAGTGCAGAGGTGCGATCTCTGCTCACTGCAACCTCTGCCACCTGAGTTCAAGCAATTCTGCCACCTCAGTCTCCTGGGTAGCTGAGACTATAGGTGTGTGCCACCATGCCCAGCTAGTTTTTGTATTTTTTGTAGAGTCGGGGTTTCACCATGTTGCCCAGGCTGGTCTCAAACTCCTGGGCTGAAGTGATCTGCCCGTCTCCGCCTCCAAAAGTGCTGGGATTATAGGGTTGAACCACCATGCCCAGCCCCTTTCCTTAAAAACAGAAAGAAGTTGTGAAGCAGAATCATCCTGTCATGATAAAGGTATGACTAAATAATACGTGAAAAACATGCAACTCAATTAACTCTTCACAAGTGTAATGATCTCAAACAAAATATACTACCCTTCATCTCAACTTAAATACCAATCTTCATGCAATAAGTAAAATCTGCACTGATGAGACTTTTAAAACAGCAGCCCCACCACATATGAGGCCTATAAACCAAGCTTGTCCAACCCGCAGCCTATGGTGCCTGTGGCCCAGGAAGGCTTTGGGTGCAGCCCAATGCAAATTCATAAACTTTCTTAAAATGTGAGATTGCCTTTGCGATTTTTTTTTTTTTTTTTTTTTTTTTAGCTCACCAGCTATCATTAGTGTTAACGTATTTTATGTGTGGCCCAAGACAATTCTTCAAATAT
Source organism: Homo sapiens (assembly GCF_000001405.40). Taxonomy (NCBI): domain Eukaryota; kingdom Metazoa; phylum Chordata; class Mammalia; order Primates; family Hominidae; genus Homo; species Homo sapiens. The sequence continues at coordinate 31,653,651 of NC_000021.9, forward strand.
AGCCAATTTGAAGCCAATATGGCCCAGGTGATGGGGACCCCTGGGGTTTAAACCGCACAAACTTTAGGCATTATCATTTCAAGTTTAAGTCTCACCCAACTCCTACCCACCTAGTAGGGTAGAGGTTCATTAAGAAAATTATGTGCCTTAAAGGGAATAGATAATTACATTTTTAAAAAACAACTTTGAGGCTGGGGGCGGTAGCTCATGCCTATAATCCTAGCACTTGGGGAGGCTGAGGCAGGTGGATTGCTTGAGCCCAGGAGTTCTAAATGAGCTTGGGCAACATAGGGAGACCCCATCTCTACCAAAAAATAAAAAAAAAATTAGCCGGGTGTGTGGGTGCTCACCTGTAGTCCCAGTGAGAGGTGACAGCATGCTGGCAGTCCTCAGAGGCCTCACTCGCTCTCGGCACCTCCTCTGCCTGGGCTCCCACTTTGGCAGCACTTGAGGAGCCCTTCAGCCCACCGCTGCACTGTGGGAGCCCCTTTCTGGGCTGGCCAAGGCCGGAGCTGGCTCCCTCAGCTTGCAAGGAGGTGTGGAGGGAGAGGCATGAGCGGGAACAGGGGCTGTGCGGGCACTTCCGGGCCAGCTGGAGCTCCAGGTGTGCGTGGGCTTGGCGGGCCCGCACTCGGAGCAGCCGGCAGGCCCTGCCGGCCCCATGCAATGAGGGGCTTAGCACCAGGGCCAGCGGCTGTGGAGGCCCTGTACTCAGAGCAGTGCCGCCCACCGGCACTGGGCTCGATTTCTCACCGGCCTTAGCTGCCTCCCTGCGGGGCATGGCTCGGGACCTGCAGCCCGCCATGCCTGAGCCTCCCCCTCTCTGTGGGCTGCTGTGCTGCCGGAGCCTCCCCGACAAGCACCGCCCCCTGCTCTACGGCGCCCAGTCCCATCGACGACCCAAGGGCTGAGGAGTGCGGGTGCACGGCATGGGAGTGGCAGGCAGCTCCACCTGCAGCCCAGGTGCGGGATCCACTGGGTGACGCCAGCTGGGCTCCTGAGTTTAGTGGGGACCTGCAGAACCTTTATGTCTAGCTAAGGGATTGTAAATGCACCAATCGGCACCCTGTGTCTAGCTCAGGGTTTGTGAATGCACGAATCGACACTCTGTATCTAGCTACTCTGGTGGGGAGGTGGAGAACCTTTGTGTCTAGCTCAGGGATTGTAAACACACCAATCAGCGCCCTGTCAAAACAGACCACTCGGCTCTACCAATCAGCAGGATGTGGGTGGGGCCAGATAAAAGAATAAAAGCAGGCTGCCTGAGCCAGCAGTGGCAAGCTGCTTGGGTCCCCTTCCATACTGTGGAAGCTTTGTCTTTCTTTGCAATAAATCTTGCTGCTGCTCACTCTTTGGGTCCACACTGCCTTTATGAGCTGTAACACTCACCACGAAGGTCTGCAGCTTCACTGCTGAAGCCAATGAGACCACGAACCCCCCGGGAGGAATGAACAACTTGAGACGCGCTGCCTTAAGAGCTGTAACACTCACCGCGAAGGTCTGCAGCTTCACTCCTGAGCCAGCGAGACCACAAACCCACCAGAAGGAAGAAACTCCGAACACATCTGAACATCAGAAGGAACAAACTCCGGACACGCCACCTTTAAGAACTGTAACACTCACCGCGAGGGTCCACGGCTTCATTCTTGAAGTCAGTGAGACCAAGAACCCACCAATTCCGGACACACCAGCTACTAGGGAGGCTGAGGTGAGGGGATCACCTGAATCCAGGAAGTCGAGGGTGCAGTGAGCCGAGATCATGCCGTTACACTCCAGCCTGAGTGACAGAGTGAGATCTTGTGTCAAAAAAACAGAACAAAATAAAACAAGAACGTTGAATAGGCTGTGTGTTAATTCTGAGATGGAGTCCAGACTTAAGAATGATCCTGAGGCTTAGACCCATATCCAAGAGGATGATTCCAGCCTGGCACTTATAGGTTCTTCAGGCACTTCAGATGCACCCTGTCCTGAATTAAGCCCTTTGTCCTTGAACCTGCTTTCCTTGGTAAACAGCACCAAGGGGGCTAGAAACCTGGGGGCTGCCCTTACCTTCCCTCTCTCACCATGCACCTCTAATGGGTGGCTGGACTTGTGGTTGCATTTCCGTGATCTCCCAGCTTTCTTCCAGTGATGGCCTTAGGTGGGCTCTTATCCTGTCTCCCAAATGGCCTCTCTGCCTTGAGTCTCACCCCATCTGCTCTCAGTCCACCCACTGAGCTATTCCAGAGACCATTCTGACTCCCTGTGGACACCCCTCTGGTGGCTTCTCCTCTCTGTCAGTTAGAAATTGCTTTTGACTGCATGTAACAAATGTGGTTACGCTATTTAACCAAATAAAGGTTTATTTTTCTCGTGATGAAAAGTACACAGATAAGCAGCCTACTTCCATCGATAACCATTGAGGGTTTCTTATGACTCTTACAGCAATGAAATGTGTATTTACAGTATAAAGATATACAATTTTAAGGTTTTAATATAATTGGGCCTAAGCACAGTATTTTTTGTTTTAGTTTTCAACTGCCCAGGTGATTCTATTGTGCAGCCAGGGTTGATAAACACTGCATCTAGGCCCAGTGCCTTTGATTTGCAGCTGAGGTCTAGAGAGAATTATTGAAACTGCAGTCCCAGCTACTTGGGAGGCTGAGGTTGGAGAATTGCCTAAGCCCAGCGGGGTGAGGCTGTAGTGAGTCAAGACTGCACCACCGCACTCCAGCCCGGGCGACAGAGCAACACTCCATCTAAAAAAAAAAAAATTTCTGGTCTACCTTTTTGCCCACCTTTTAACCACAGAGGTCCCCAAACATGAATTTTCACTCTCAGGAAGGCTGAAATGACACATTACAAGCGGTTTAGTCATCTGCACGTGCCGCCATCTGATTTAAGGCATCTATTCCTCCTCACCATTCCTGACAAAGTTGAACTGTCTACATGTGCCACATTCTCCTCTTTCTCTAATTCCTTCCCTCCTTCCCTCCTCCCTTTCTTCCCTCCCTCCCTCCTTCCTTCTTCTTTCTCTTTCTTTTTCTTTCTCTCTTTCTCTTTCTTTCTCTTTCTCTCTCACTCTCTTTTCTTCTTTCTGACAGGGTTTGCCTGTTCTGCTTCTTTAAACCCTGGGGTTCAAGTGCAAAGGTCCCTCTCATCTGATTTCCCTATTTTATTTTATTTAAGTTAGATACTCCACGATGATGATGATGATTATTGTTGAGACAGGATTTCATTCTGTTGCCCAGGCTGGAGTGCAATGGTGCGATCACAACTCACTGCAGCCTCAACCTCCTGGGCCCACGCGATCCTCCTACCTCAGCCTCCCAAGTAGCTTGGACTACAGGGGTGTACCACCATGCCCGGCTAATTACATGTGCCAGATTCAACCCACGTTCCAGGGTTCCAAACAACCAAGGCTCTATCATCCTGTCTTAACAAATATACCTTCATAAAGACCTGGAAGGCAGGTTGAAATGTGGAATTCTTGGACTTCTTTCAGTTCTACGTAGAAGGGTAGCAGTGGAGAGCTGGCTGCCTGCCCGCCCCTGGCCTTTCCTCCTTTCCCCACCCCTGCTCCTTGTGGCACTGGGCAGGGCCTACGTTCAAGGCTAGCAGTGTACTCAACAAGGGACAGTCCCTGTGTGGCCTGTTCAGGATCCTATACACAGGCTCAGGGCTCTTTGGGCAGGAAATTCCAGGATCCGGGTACTCAAGTGGTGTTCTAAACAGTGGTTCTTGGCCGGGTGTGGTGGCTCACACCTGTAATCCCAGCACTTTGGGAGGCCGAGGCTGGCAGATCACTTGAGGTCAGGAGTTCGAGACCAGCCTGGCCAACATGGTGAAACCCCATCTCTACTAAAAATACAAAAACTTAGCCAGGCATGGTGTGCACGCCTGTAGTCCCAGCTACTCGGGAGGCTGAGGCAGGAGAATCACTTGAACCCAGCAGGCGGAGGTTGCAGTGAGCTGAGATTGCACCACTGCACTCCAGCCTGGTGACAGAGTGAGACTCCATATCAAAATAAATACATAAATAAATAAAAACAGTGATTCTTAACTGGGAGTGATTTGGCAACGTCTGGAATTATTTTTGGTTATCCCAGCCTGGCAGGGAGGGACAGGGTATTACTGGCATCTAGTGAGTAGGGGCTAGGGATTCTACTGAACATCCTACAGTGTACAGGACAGCCTCCACAGCAAAGAACTGTCTGGCCCAAAATGTCCATAGTGCCCACATTCGATGCCCTGCATTAGGAAGATATAAATACTCTTAAATATCACAGAGTTAAATTCCTTACCCCTGTTCTAGCAGAGATGATATTCTTGCGGGGGGAGCATCTTCTTGGCTTCAACACATTCTTTTCTCCATGGGAGATGATGCCAGAAGAGGGACAGAACAGGGCCCAGTAAAGCATGGGGCCTGGGGCCAGGGACCCCCTTGTTCAGGTGTGACGACCATCCTACGAAGGCACCACCCAGGCATCATTAGACCGTCTCAAAAGAAGAGTAATTCACTGTCCCAAAGCAGCTCTCTCGTGTCTGTGGGCGGATCCCTTGGCAAGTTTACAATGAACTGAAATCTGCCGAACTTCCTGGAACCCAAAGAAACTTTAGCCTTGGGCAAAGGCCCTTTGGCCAGCATTTGCACTGTTTATGCAACCGTTTAGAATATACGAATTATCTGGAGACTACTACCAAATACAACAGGCAAAACTGCAAATATGTATACTTCCTAGAGGATGATAAAAAAATGTGAATTGTATTTCTCTGATAGAGGATGCATTAGAGTCTGAGGGTCTAAATAGCGTAAATAATAAATAAGTAAATAAATCGATAGTAGTGTACTCCAAACGAGGCTGGAATAGCTTCTATTGTTGTTTCACACTGGACTTCAATTAAGTCTCAGTATTTTGCCATACTCAATATTAAGTACTAGGCTGGACGTGGTGGCTCATGTCTGTAATCCCAGCACTTTGGGAGGCCGAGGTGGGTAGATGGCTGGCTTGAGCTCAGGAGTTTGAAACCAGCCTGGGCAACATGGTAAAACCCCATCTGTACCCAAAATACAAAAATCAGCCAGGTGTGGTGGCACATGCCTGTGGTCCCAGGTACTTGGGAGGCTGAGGCAGGAGGATGGCTTGAACCCAGGAGGTGGAGGCTGCAGTGAGCTATGATGGCGCCACTGCACTCCAGCCTGGGTGACAGAGCGAGACCCTGTCTCAAAAATCAAACAAACAACCCCCTCGCCCCGGACAAAAGTAGTTTGCACTATTTTCTCATTTCACAATATGTTTTTGAAATATTTCCCTTGAAAGGTAAGTCATATTTATCATTCCTGTTGTATGGAGGCATCATAAATTATTTCACCATTCTACCCTCCTTGAGTGTTGTGGCCTTTAGGCCAGACAAAAACGCAGGTGATGCCTAGAAGCCAACTAGTTGCCGTTTGGTTATCTGTAGGGTTGTGGCCTTGCCAAACAGGAAAAATATAAAAAGAATACCGAATTCTGCCAACCAAATAAGAAACTCTATACTAAGGACTAAGAAAATTGCAGGGGAAGAAAAGGTAAGTCCCGGGATTGAGGTGTAGCGACTTTCTATACCCTCAGAAAACTAAAAAACAAGACAAAAAAATGAAAACTACAAAAGCATCCATCTTGGGGCGTCCCAATTGCTGAGTAACAAATGAGACGCTGTGGCCAAACTCAGTCATAACTAATGACATTTCTAGACAAAGTGACTTCAGATTTTCAAAGCGTACCCTGTTTACATCATTTTGCCAATTTCGCGTACTGCAACCGGCGGGCCACGCCCCCGTGAAAAGAAGGTTGTTTTCTCCACATTTCGGGGTTCTGGACGTTTCCCGGCTGCGGGGCGGGGGGAGTCTCCGGCGCACGCGGCCCCTTGGCCCCGCCCCCAGTCATTCCCGGCCACTCGCGACCCGAGGCTGCCGCAGGGGGCGGGCTGAGCGCGTGCGAGGCGATTGGTTTGGGGCCAGAGTGGGCGAGGCGCGGAGGTCTGGCCTATAAAGTAGTCGCGGAGACGGGGTGCTGGTTTGCGTCGTAGTCTCCTGCAGCGTCTGGGGTTTCCGTTGCAGTCCTCGGAACCAGGACCTCGGCGTGGCCTAGCGAGTTATGGCGACGAAGGCCGTGTGCGTGCTGAAGGGCGACGGCCCAGTGCAGGGCATCATCAATTTCGAGCAGAAGGCAAGGGCTGGGACGGAGGCTTGTTTGCGAGGCCGCTCCCACCCGCTCGTCCCCCCGCGCACCTTTGCTAGGAGCGGGTCGCCCGCCAGGCCTCGGGGCCGCCCTGGTCCAGCGCCCGGTCCCGGCCCGTGCCGCCCGGTCGGTGCCTTCGCCCCCAGCGGTGCGGTGCCCAAGTGCTGAGTCACCGGGCGGGCCCGGGCGCGGGGCGTGGGACCGAGGCCGCCGCGGGGCTGGGCCTGCGCGTGGCGGGAGCGCGGGGAGGGATTGCCGCGGGCCGGGGAGGGGCGGGGGCGGGCGTGCTGCCCTCTGTGGTCCTTGGGCCGCCGCCGCGGGTCTGTCGTGGTGCCTGGAGCGGCTGTGCTCGTCCCTTGCTTGGCCGTGTTCTCGTTCCTGAGGGTCCCGCGGACACCGAGTGGCGCAGTGCCAGGCCCAGCCCGGGGATGGCGACTGCGCCTGGGCCCGCCTGGTGTCTTCGCATCCCTCTCCGCTTTCCGGCTTCAGCGCTCTAGGTCAGGGAGTCTTCGCTTTTGTACAGCTCTAAGGCTAGGAATGGTTTTTATATTTTTAAAAGGCTTTGGAAAACAAAAATACGCAACAGAGACCGTTTGTGTGACACTTTGCAGGGAAGTTTGCTGGCCTCTGTTCTAGGTCATGATTGGGCTGCAAGGGCAGAGAAGGTAGCCTTGAACAGAGGTCCTTTTCCTCCTCCTAAGCTCCGGGAGCCAGAGGTTTAACTGACCCTTTTGGGGATTTTTGAGGGCAGTGATCTTAACTTTGGGTGCACAGTTAGCTTATTTGAAGATCTTACTAAAAATACACCAGAGCCCAACCTCCGACCAATTACATCAAAACCTGTCCTAGTGCAGGGTGAGTATTGCTGTTTTTTGAAAGTTTCCAAAAGTGATTTTGATGTGCACCTACGATTGAGAACTGTCGTTTGAGGACAGTGGGTGGAGTTTCGTATTTGGAAATTAGAAGACCTGGAGTTTCCATTACACCGAATTGGCACTTAATAACTGTTGTCGGAGCATTTCTTAAGCCACATTTTCGTAAAGTGGCTTTAAAATTGCTCTGCCAGTAGGCAGGTTGCTAAGATGGTCAGAGACAAACTTCTGAACGACTCTTGTAAAATATACAGAAATATTTTCAGAACTTTTATCAGTAAAATTACAAAACGTGTTGCAAGGAAGGTGCTTGTGATAACACTGTCCCCAGAACCTTAGTGAAGTTACCAACTGGTGGAAAATTTTCTCTTGCACTCGGCTTAAAAATCATGAGGGAATATTTACTATACGAATGAGATTCAGTCTTTAAAGGGGTTTACAGAAACGTGAGAGGACAGGAACAGTTAGTCTGTGTAAATGTCTGAAATATATGTGAGGGAGATAATGAGTTTAGCCTTTTTCTTTAATAGGTCTCCAGATTTTCTGGAAAAGGTTCTTTGGCATTTGACTCCATTTTGCTGTTTCATTTGTCAGACTTCTTTTTGTCCCTCTTTACTTCTCCCCACATAATTCACCAGTACTAGTGTTTTGTTTTTCAGACCAAGTCTCGCTCTGTCGCCCAGGCTGGAGTGCAGTGGCGCGATCTCAGCTCACTGCAACCTCCGCCTCCCAGGTTCAAGCAATTCTCCTGCCTCAGCCTCCCGGGTAGCTGGGACTACAGGCGCGCGCCGCCACGCCTGGCTAATTTTTTATATTTTAGTAGAGACGGCGTTTCACCATGTTGGCCAGGATGGTCTCGATCTGTTGACGTCGTGATCCACCCGCCTCGGCCTCCCAAAGTGCTGGGATTACAGGCGTGAGCCACCCCGCCCGGCCACCAGTGCTATTCTTAAGACGCCTCTGAGGAATCCCTTCTCCCTGGCCATTGAGAATCCATGCATGAACCCAGGTTTTCCACCTTCCCTGAGCAGCTTGCATAGTTCCTTCTTTTAAGCGCCTGACTTCGTTTTGTTTGGTGCCCGTTGTACCTGAGAATGAGCCTTGGATAGTGGAGCATTCCAGCTTTCCAGATATGCAGAGATAATACATTGGCTATCAGCTACTTGGCTTGGCCTATTCCGTGTTTAAAATCTTGGACTCTTTGCTAGTTTTTACAGATCAGAATTTTTCACGTATTAATCCAGTTTTCCTAGCTTCTCTTGAAGAATTTTTGGAGATCTCTTCATACTGAGCCTTCATTAGCCCAGGACAGTACTGCTGTAGCAGTTCATATATTTTTTCGCTTCCCAGGCCTGTGTTATTCACTTAAGTTCATAGCCTGGTCCCTGCAGGGTTGTACCCGAGCACAGCTACTTAGATGTCCTGAATGTATTACCGGTTAAATGGAGGTTTCAAAGAACCTGCTGTTTTTGGCCCTGTGCTCTTGATAACAGAGTGTTTGAGGGACAACTTTCACATTTGAGTTTTTCCAAAATTAAAGGTTGTAGAAGAGTCACAGTATCTATTGTCAAAAAGAAAAGAATTTAAAAAGGCAGCAATTGCCAGGATACTTCATTTGAGCAATGATATTTTCCAGTGGAAAGTCACATCTTAAGGGTTAATGCCCCTTAACTGTTGGCCGTATTTGAAAACAAACCAAGCTAAAAACAAGAGACACTGACATGTTGTATGACGGTGTGGTGTGGATGTTGTGTTTATTTTAGTCCTGAGATCTAGTTGTAACTTCCTTGATTTCTGTATGTAGCCACGGAGCACCATTACCTGTCACCATTACCTGAATGGCTATACTGCTTGCTTTCATTTTGGTAGAGTGGAAAGGTTACCTAGGTTTCAGTGCTTGAAAAGATTTCAGAAAGCAGTAGTACGTCTGGTTAGACTAGAATCAGTCCTCTCCTGGGGGCAGTGGAATATAATATTTTCTGACTGCTAATTAAAAATACCTGTGATAGCCGGGCGTGGTGGCTTACGCCTGTAATCCCAGCACTTTGGGAGGCCGAGACGGGTGGATCACGAGGTCAGCAGATGGAGACCATCCTGGCTAACACGGTGAAACCCCGTCTCTACTAAAAATGCAAAAAAATTAGCCGGGTGTGGTGGTGGGCGCCTGTAGTCCCAGCTACTCAGGAGGCTGAGGCAGGAGAATGGCATGAACCTGGGAGGCGGAGCTTGCAGTGAGCCGAGATCATGTCACTGCACTCCAGCCTGGGCGACAGAGCGAGACTCGTCTCAAAAAAAAAAAGAAAAAAACTTATGATGGACACTTAAAAACACTCACTGAGTGGGGAGTGGAGAGCAGGGGTCCCAGGGTAGCCTGTTGGACATTTCCAGGGCGACTTTTTCTTTTTTTTTTTTTAAAGTCAAGTGAGTATGCCATATGGAAAAGGGTGTGCGTGGAGAAAAAGCAAGGGGCTCCAGAGTGTAGGATGAGACATACACCTTTTGGGTTAAAAAGGCTGAGGCAGGAGAATGGCGTGAACCCGGGAGGCGGAGCTTGCAGTGAGCTGAGATCATGCCACTGCACTCCAGCCTGGGCGACAGAGCGAGACTCTTGTCTCAAAATAAAAAACGTTTACATGTACATGTATATTCAACATGTACAAATATAACCTATTCAAAAGTATTTACTACATAAATAGGTACTTACATTACCTATTTACTGTAATAGTCAAAGCCTATGAAGTATCTAACACTGATGTGTAGGTACTCACTTTGCTTGCCACTCTATTAGGTGCTTTTTATGTTATTTAATCATGAAGCCTGGCCACAGGGTGCTTGTGCATTGAGTGTGGGAACAAGATTACCATCTCCCTTTTGAGGACACAGGCCTAGAGCAGTTAAGCAGCTTGCTGGAGGTTCACTGGCTAGAAAGTGGTCAGCCTGGGATTTGGACACAGATTTTTCCACTCCCAAGTCTGGCTGCTTTTTACTTCACTGTGAGGGGTAAAGGTAAATCAGCTGTTTTCTTTGTTCAGAAACTCTCTCCAACTTTGCACTTTTCTTAAAGGAAAGTAATGGACCAGTGAAGGTGTGGGGAAGCATTAAAGGACTGACTGAAGGCCTGCATGGATTCCATGTTCATGAGTTTGGAGATAATACAGCAGGTGGGTGTTGTGCTGTGCTGGTGACCCATACTTGTTCACCCTAGTTAGATAAACAGTAGAGTAGCCCCTAAACGTTAAAACCCCTCAACTTGTTTTTGTTTTTGAGAAAGGGTCTTGCTCTGTCGCTCAGGCTGGAGTGCAGTGGCGCTGTGCGATCATGGCTGACCTTAGCCTTGACCTCCCAGGCTCCATTGATCCTCATGCCTTGGCCCGTAGCTGGGACTACAGGTACACACCACCACGCCTGGCTAATTTTTGTATTTTTTTCTAGAGGTGGGGTTTCATCATGTTGCCCAGGCTGGTCTTGAACTGCTGGGCTCAAGTGGTCTATCCTCCTCGACCTCCCAAAGTGCTGGGATTACATGTGTGAGCCACTGTGCCTGGGAAAACCCTCAACTTTTCTTTTAAAAAAGAGGTCAACTTTATTGTATATAAGCACTGTGCTAAAATTGCAGGAACTGGGACCATATCCTGATTTTTGTAATAATGCCAGCAGAGTACACACAAGAAAAGTAACTGCACTAGATTGTGAAGACTGGGGTGGACCTGCTTCTGAAGGTCCAGTGCCCTTTGTCTTAAGATTTGGTGTAGTGTGTCTTTAGAAACCAAAAAAAGAGAAGAAGATCAACCTTAAGATTAGCCACAAAACTGGGCTTTGATACCTAGGTGTGGAAAAGAAAGGGAAAGAGTTGATGTTTTGTCTTACAGCATCATTGTAGAAGAGGGTGTTTTTTTGTTTGTTTGTTTTTTGAGACGGAGTCTTACTCTGTGGCCCAGGCTGGAGTGCAGTGGCGCGATCTCGGCTCACTGCAAGCTCCGCCTCCCGGGTTCATGCCATTCTCCTGCCTCAGCCCCCTGAGTAGCTGGGACTACAGGTGCCCGCCACCCCGCCTGGCTAATTTTTTGTATTTTTAGTAGAGACGGGGTTTCACTGTGTTAGCCAAGATGGTCTCTCTCCTGACCTCGTGATCCGCCTGTCTCAGCCTCCCAAAGTGCTGGGATTACAGGCATGAGCCACCGCACCCAGCCAGAAGAGGGTGTTTTTTAAAGAAGGCAAATAGGAAATAAAAACTTGGGCTCTTAACTTTTGTAATGATCCCAGGTGTTTGAGCTGGGGGTTGAGGGTGGGTGCCTCGAGCAAAGGGGCTGCATTTATTTGCATAATGCCATGTAAGAGTAGCTCTACACCCCAAACACAGGCTTCTTAGTGGGACCAAAGTATGATACAAACTGAAGATGGAATGCAGAGGATTATTGGTACTTTGGAATATGCTTAAAAAAAATTTTTTTAAAGTATTTTTAAAAAATCAGGCAACCCCTGAACCAGAGTAGGTTCAGAGAAACTGCCAAATTTTATTTTCTTAATTTGGGATTGGAAGCAAGTTAACAGAAGTTTATGAGTTAAGTTGCATTTAGTGATCTTTTGCCATATTTGAGTAATAATCTGATTTTTTTGTTTATAGATTTCTTCTTAAATTAACTTTATTCATCTTGCTAATTTAGTTTCAAATAGTGATTTGTAATGATCAGATTTGATCCATTTCTGTAATTGCTGAAATTCCCCCGAGTTGCTTTTTGGCTTTACCGCCTCTGGTCTGGGAGGTGATTGCTCTGCTGCTTCCTGTAACTTGCCTGCCTTTCTCCCTGTGTGGGACTCCTGCGGGTGAGAGCGTGGCTGAAGACAGCCGTGTTATGAAAGGGCCTCCTGTGCTGTCGAGGTTGTGCTCTGTGAATGTCATCCCCTGGTGCACAGCAGCACCTTCTACACAGGATACAGTTGGAATGCCGCCCCCTCGAGTTGTGTAAGGCAGCAGCCTTGGCCCTTGCACATAAGATGCTGTTGAATATTCTGCCTGCACCAAGTAAAGGGCACAGATAGAACTGCTTGGCATATGTTGCTGGGGAGATGAGTTTTTTGTAAAGTATACTACGTTCTTAAGAATTTGGATCATAACCATGGGATTTTAATAATAGAAAAACTGTTGAAGATCAGTCTGGTCCCTTATTTTTACAGTGAAGAAGCCAAAGCCCAGAGAAGGGTGTTAACTTTACAAGTGTCAGACAGTAGTTAGAACTTGGTGGGGTTTTTTTTTTTTTTTTTTTGAGATGGAGTCTTGCTCTGTTGCCCAGGCTGGAGTGCAGTGGTGCGATCTCAGCTCACTGCAACCTCTGCCTCCCAGGTTCAAGCGATTCTCCTGCCTCAGCCTACTAAGTAGCTGGGACTATAGGTGCGCACCACCACGCCTAGCTAATTTTTGTATTTTTTCAGTAGAGACAGGGTTTTGCTATGCTGGCCAGGCTGGTCTCAAACTCCTGACCTCAGATGATCCAGCCACCTCAGCTTCCCAAAGTGCTGGGGTTCCAGGTGTTAGCCACCATGCCTGGCCATAGACTTGTTTCTGTTCCCTTCTCACTGTGGCTGTACCAAGGTGTTGCTTATCCCAGAAGTCGTGATGCAGGTCAGCACTTTCTCCATGGGAAGTTTTAGCAGTGTTTCTTTTTAGAATGTATTTGGGAACTTTAATTCATAATTTAGCTTTTTTTTCTTCTTCTTATAAATAGGCTGTACCAGTGCAGGTCCTCACTTTAATCCTCTATCCAGAAAACACGGTGGGCCAAAGGATGAAGAGAGGTAACAAGATGCTTAACTCTTGTAATAATGGCGATAGCTTTCTGGAGTTCATATGGTATACTACTTGTAAATATGTGCTAAGATAATTCCGTGTTTCCCCCACCTTTGCTTTTGAACTTGCTGACTCATCTAAACCCCTGCTCCCAAATGCTGGAATGCTTTTACTTCCTGGGCTTAAAGGAATTGACAAATGGGGACACTTAAAACGATTTGGTTTTGTAGCATTTATTGAATATAGAACTAATACAAGTGCCAAAGGGGAACTAATACAGGAAATGTCATGAACAGTACTGTCAACCACTAGCAAAATCAATCATCATTGTGAAACATAGGAAGCTTCTGTAGATAAAAAAAAAAATTGATACTGAAAACTAGTCGAGACTCCATTTATATGTGTATGTTTTCTGAAAGCCTTTCAGAAAAATATTAAATTTAAGGACAAGATTTTTATATCAGAGGCCTTGGGACATAGCTTTGTTAGCTATGCCAGTAATTAACAGGCATAACTCAGTAACTGAGAGTTTACCCTTTGGTACTTCTGAAATCAGGTGCAGCCCCATCTTTCTTCCCAGAGCATTAGTGTGTAGACGTGAAGCCTTGTTTGAAGAGCTGTATTTAGAATGCCTAGCTACTTGTTTGCAAATTTGTGTCTACTCAGTCAAGTTTTAATTTAGCTCATGAACTACCTTGATGTTTAGTGGCATCAGCCCTAATCCATCTGATGCTTTTTCATTATTAGGCATGTTGGAGACTTGGGCAATGTGACTGCTGACAAAGATGGTGTGGCCGATGTGTCTATTGAAGATTCTGTGATCTCACTCTCAGGAGACCATTGCATCATTGGCCGCACACTGGTGGTAAGTTTTCATAAAAGGATATGCATAAAACTTCTTCTAACATACAGTCATGTATCTTTTCACTTTGATTGTTAGTCGCGGTTTCTAAAGATCCAGATAAACTGTACTTGCAGTTCAAATTAGGAAAAGCAATTTTATTGGACAATTACGGTGAAAATGAATTATTTTATCTAGGTCAGTTAAGAACACTGTTCTGCTAAGATGCAGTAAAAAGCAGGTTACATTTGACCATATTAGATCTGAGTTTGGAAAACAGAAGTAGTCTTTAGTTTTAAAATGGCCAGATTTTCTTGCCAGGATTGGGTTTCTCACTTGTTAAACAGAACATTTTGTTAAGTTTAAAACCTGGGATGGACTTAAGTATTCATGTTCATTCATGTTCATTCAGGACTGCAGGTTATCATGACTTGTTTAACTTGTGGGAAGCTGTTGTCCCAAGTTATCCTGGGGAACTGCATCTGGTTCTTGCAAAACACCAAGTAGACAGGCTCTCTTTTACCTCCCCTTGAGGGCATTAACATTCAGTAGTCACTTCCATTCAGTTAACCCTTTATTTTTATGGTTTTTCTTGAGCCATAGTTGTAAAGCAGAAAAATCATTTATAAAGGTTTGTTGAACAAAATTCAAAATACTGTTGCTTAAAGTATTAAGATTTTTTAGGATTATACCTTACTTATAGGCCCGTCATTCATTTGGCATGAAATTTTGAGTTTTATTCACTTTCACTTTCCTTTTTTTCCAAAGCAATTAAAAAAACTGCCAAAGTAAGAGTGACTGCGGAACTAAGGTTACTGTAACTTACCATGGAGGATTAAGGGTAGCGTGTGGTGGTCTACAACATAGTTATTTGGGTTTTAGTATTTCATTTAGACAGCAACACTTACCTAATGTTTAAAGGTAATGTCTTTGCAACACCAAGAAAAAGCTTTGAGTAGTAGTTTCTACTTTTAAACTACTAAATATTAGTATATCTCTCTACTAGGATTAATGTTATTTTTCTAATATTATGAGGTTCTTAAACATCTTTTGGGTATTGTTGGGAGGAGGTAGTGATTACTTGACAGCCCAAAGTTATCTTCTTAAAATTTTTTACAGGTCCATGAAAAAGCAGATGACTTGGGCAAAGGTGGAAATGAAGAAAGTACAAAGACAGGAAACGCTGGAAGTCGTTTGGCTTGTGGTGTAATTGGGATCGCCCAATAAACATTCCCTTGGATGTAGTCTGAGGCCCCTTAACTCATCTGTTATCCTGCTAGCTGTAGAAATGTATCCTGATAAACATTAAACACTGTAATCTTAAAAGTGTAATTGTGTGACTTTTTCAGAGTTGCTTTAAAGTACCTGTAGTGAGAAACTGATTTATGATCACTTGGAAGATTTGTATAGTTTTATAAAACTCAGTTAAAATGTCTGTTTCAATGACCTGTATTTTGCCAGACTTAAATCACAGATGGGTATTAAACTTGTCAGAATTTCTTTGTCATTCAAGCCTGTGAATAAAAACCCTGTATGGCACTTATTATGAGGCTATTAAAAGAATCCAAATTCAAACTAAATTAGCTCTGATACTTATTTATATAAACAGCTTCAGTGGAACAGATTTAGTAATACTAACAGTGATAGCATTTTATTTTGAAAGTGTTTTGAGACCATCAAAATGCATACTTTAAAACAGCAGGTCTTTTAGCTAAAACTAACACAACTCTGCTTAGACAAATAGGCTGTCCTTTGAAAGCTTTAGGGAAATGTTCCTGCTTAGTCATTTTAGCATTTTGATTCATAAAGTACCTCCTCATTTTAAAAAGACATTATGATGTAAGAGAGCCATTTGATAACTTTTTAGTGAGCTTTGAAAGGCAAGTTACAGCCTCAGCTAGCTAGTAAGATTATCTACCTGCCAGAATGGCACAAATTCTACATTCAAGGGTAGACGCTGGCACAACCTACTTACAGATTAGCCCTTTAAAGCAATCTGTAGCATTAGAAGATGGAACCAAGGAAATGTTTGACTGTGGGTTCTGGCTGTTGAGAAATAATTTACACACCGAATTAGTGAAATGAGTCACTTTCTCTTAATGTATTTATGTACCTGAGAGAATGCTTTTCAATGTTAACCTAACTCAGGTTTGACTAAATTATTCAATTGGAAATTGTAGAATATTATTTCTGATAAACCAGAAATAAGTGAAATGCTGTTTGTTCATAAATATGTACTTTATCAAATGTAGGAGAGATCATTTAGGAGAGGAAAAGCTAAATTGGAAGACAAATCTGTAGTGTTTCCAAAGTTTTAAAATTATGGTAAACAACAGTATGTTCACAGTAAGTGGTTAAAACAACCATTCTTTAAATCTCAGTAGAGAATTTTTAAAAAGCAGTATTTAACACATTTCCCTAATGTAGTTTGTTGCCTATGTGGAATAACTCAATTAGAGACTCACTTATGCCTTTTGAAACTTCAAATATAATTACACTACCAGTTTTTACATGTGCATATAGGATGGTCCCAATACTTTAAATTGGAAATACAGGCTGTAAGTCCTTCAAGTCTGGATGTTGGGTAATCACGTTTTCTTCCAGAAGCCATTTGTTAGGACTTTAAAACTTCTCAGTGGGCCAGTGTAAAATTAAGGACAAGTTTTATAATTTAAATTTACAGATAAATATAAAACAATTTTCTCTCATTTTCTAAAGGCAGGAATATAAGGACATTGCCCTAGATATATTCTCCCCATCAAACCAAAGGTCTTGCTGCTGAGTATTATTTAAAAACCAGAGTAATAAAGCAGCTTCGCCTGAGGATGAAGGCAAAGACAAAGTTAACTGCTCAGCATACTGAAACCAGGAGTTTGAAAAAGTAATTCAAAACAACTTCAAGGCCATAAATACTTGGATAGTGTGACATCAGGTCTTGGCACTGGATTTCCTGCAATTTCAGATGAAGGCTTGACTTGGCTTTAGATGTTTTCATGTGATAATTCTTGGATAACCTACAACGATTTTTCCTATTTAACCCACCAACTTTAAGCAAAAGAAAGAACGTATATGTGGGGGAAAAGTTCGTTTACCTCTGCCCCGCAGGGGAATTAAAACGCTGGTGAAGAAAGGCAACAGGCAAGGCTTATATAAGGAAACAGTAGTAGGCTGCACTGAAGTCCTCAAACACAACAAAAAGCTCTTAGGTTGCAAATGTTAACCTTGATTCTTTTACCCTTTTGAAAAATTCAATGGGATGGTTGGAAAAAAAAAAAACCACAGACACACACACACACACACGCAACCTTCTAACGTAATACCCAGGCAGTCCGATAATTTATAGTACAACGTGTAACACTGGGATCCAACTTTTCACCCAGCAAAATCTCCTTACAAATTAGGGCAACATATACCACAAAGCCAATGGAAAAAAAAAGAAAACCTCGATTGAATTGCAAACACAGCTTTTCAATTGACATTAAAACAACTAACCTTTACCTTATGACTGAGCACTAAAAATCAAAAGTATTACATATGAAAGTGAGAATAACTACATAAAATGTCTATTTTCATCAAATAAGTCTAATTTAGACTCCAATACAGTATTAACAGCTCAAACTTTGACGGTGAACAATCCTTTTCCACCTTAATGCAGTGTAGGAAGAATAGCACACATTAAAGTTTGTTACGAAAATAGAGTTTATTAAAAACATCCCTATTGTTTTGAGGAGCTTTCACCGTTACCTTGTCTTAAATTAAAAAAAAAAAAAAAAATAGAGAGCACTTCTAATTACGATTTGTAAACTTTTTAAAGTCAAAACTTTTAAAAAGTTACAGCAAAAAGGGTAATATTTATTCATATTTTCAGTATTTTTTGTTATTTTGTGGCTATTTTTAAATAGAAGGGAAGCAATCAAATTGCTTACAGTTCCCCACCAGCTGGCGCGGGGCTGCAGTACAGCGGGAGCGGATATAATACAGCATCTGTACACCTCAAGCTCTACACTCCAGGAAGTGTCACTGTCACATTTTCACAAATTCCAGTCTCTAACGAGGAGCCTCTGCTGCTGAGCCAGAATCCTTTTCGGGTTCAACGGATGAGGTAGCCTCAGCAGGTAACTCTTCAGAAGGCTTTAGGACTGCAGCCTCAGACACCCCCTTCTCAAGTTCTGAAGCAGTGTCTACATTTCCCACTTGGCTAATGGGAGGTTCAACGGTTTTGTTACCACCTGCCCTGTCTGTCACCTCAGGCTTTTCCTTTCCTCGGGCTTCTTCCTTCTCTCTACGAGACTCTCTATCTCTAGAATCTCTCTCTCTGTCTCGATGCCCACTAGAGCGTCTATTTCTCTCTTCCAAGTCTCTGTGCCTGTCCCGGTCAGGGCTCCTCCTTCCCCACTCTCTCCTGTCACGGTTACTATTATCTCTATCATCATTACGGTTCCCATACCGTTCCCGGTCATTTTCCACCCTATTTCCAAAAGATCTTCTTCCAAACCTTTCTTGGTCTCTACCTGAATTGAACTGCTGCCTGTTATCATTTCTAAACTGCTGTGGCTGCTGCTGTGTTGGTGGAGGCTGTTGTGATGGTGGTGGCTGCTGCTGCTGCTGCTGCTGTGGTTGCTGGGGCGCCTGCGGCTGTGGCTGCTGCTGTGGCTGCTGCGGCGGCTGTTGCCTTCCGTCTCTGTCTTCAGGACCCCCTGGGCCTGGCCCTGGGCCCCCGAGCCCTGGCATTCCACCAGGCCTAACAAAGGGGCCATGCGGTGGGAAGGGACCTTTCATTCCATGAGGTGGAGGCATCGCAAAGCCCCCTGGTCCTGGCGGTGGGCCTCTGTGCATCATGTGCGGTGGCATGGGACGGGGCGGCATCAAAGGGAACCGCTGTAAGTGAGGTGGGGGCATTCCTGGAGGGCGCTGGAGTGGGATGAGACCGGGCCGGGCGCCAAGAAGACCAGTAGATGGTGCCTGAAGTCCAATTACAGGACCAGGGGCAACTCCTTGAGTGCCTAAAAGACGACAAAAATAAAAATGTAAACACCACCGAAGATGGCACTCCAGTTTCAGCTGTGTTCTGTGGCGCTTAAAGCAAAATAAAATTCAACCCACAATCTTCAAATTTCATAGTTTGCCACTCTGTCACAAACCCAGTGTGAGGCCTAGTAACAACCTAAGGCAAGCAATTGCAAAGACATTTTTAAAGTATCTAATACAGGTAGAGGCCAGAATAAACTGGGAAATAAAATAGTAATGGTAATACCAATTTTCAAAGAGTATGTCAAAATCTCCTGTAGCTTTCATTAGAAGCTGTCTTCCCACTCCAAATACATTTGAGAAACACAGTGTGCTAAGTCCTAATGAGATAAATACATTCACTATCAGTAACTATTCAAGCTAACTAAGCATACTGCAGGTGCACACTTAGAAAATTTACACCCCGTCTTATTACTAGAAAAAAATGAGGTCACTGACCTAGAAAACCCAGGAAAGAGGAAGATCTCTTTGACTCCATGCTACACTTAGTCCATATTATTAAAATGCCTCATGCAGTTACTATGCAATGTGCATCAAATAAACACTAATGTCTACAAAACAAAGATCCATACACAAATGTGAAGTTTACTGTTACAGTTCCTTTTTCAAGGCACAGCATGATATTTAACTTGCGAGGCCATCACGACCTGAATAATGCTCAATGTTCAGCTGTTCACCTTCTATTCATTATTTCTATTCATTCTTCCAAAGGTGGCAAGTCTGGTAAGGTTGGTGCTGCTGAAATAACAATGACTTCTTGGTTTTATTTTCCTATCTACATGAGGGTTTGCTCATACTGATATAAGAGTCACGCAAGTTCAACAACCTGTCATTTTCTGCTTGGGGTTCACCACTTAGGTACAGAAAAGCATTGGAATCTCTCAATTTATCCTTTTGCAAATATAAATAAGACAAATACTATAATACTATGATTGAAAGGAGTTATTCTGATAATGGAAAATGTTCCAGGTACTGTTAAGAACATGCTATTTACCCATGTGCTGCAGAAAGGTCTTTGAGCAAGTTATGGGTTATGATCAGTTAGCAATGGTAAGAAAAATACTTGGGTGACACTGACAGAAAAATGACCAATTGGGAAATGCTGATTACCACAGCAAAAGCGCCAGAAATTGTGAAATGGATGAGGTGATGGCTCTGTCCCTTCACAGGCTCTTCAGACACTTTGGGAAAATCCCAATGAACAAGTACAGGACACCAGCTACACTGTATCTCAGATAGAAATAAAACACTCTTCACATCATTTGGGAAATATTTACCGAGTATATACCATACACTGGGGCAACAGAAGCACATGTCCTTGCTTTCACTTTGTAAAGAAATAGTGTAGTTCCAACACCTGTGGACTTTAATCCAAAACATAAAATGTATATGCCCAGGCACAGTCTCTTTTAATAGAGGGATCATTATATAGAAACACCTGAAACAAACTGAACTTTACTTTCCCATTACCTTTTATCAGTAAAGATTTGTTTTCCAGGACTAAAATGACCAATGTTTACTGTTAACGGAGGTCAGCATAGAACATTCTGGTGCCTATCTATAGGTTCAAGTGGCCAAGCCAAATTATAATATAACACCAGAAAAACGGGGGAAACAGTTTCAAAGCATCTTATTATAACAAGAGAATTTAGTTGAGATGAGTCTTCAAAAGGAAAGTGATTCCTGAAGGGCAATGGGAAGGTCCTACTCCTGATGCCCCATTGACTTGGCTTCCTCAAGTATCTGACAGTGGCCAAAGGATGCAAAGCCACCTCAACTTTGTACAGAAGAGAGAAAATGGGCCCTGATGATAAAATACAAACCCCAGACTGAAGGACCACATCTCTTAAGTACTTTACAGCATTCATTTGAGGGTATAAATTAACAGGGTTAAAATTTACAATAATCATATAAACCTTATATAAAAGCACAATTTTTATAAAGAATTGCCTACTTGTTTGATACATGTGGATATTTGTGTGTGGGATTTGCTTAAAACATTATACACTCAAATCCTTTCCCTTCTTCGTAAATAAAGCTAAAAAGATGTGGCCAGCTGGGTTTCCTTTTAACCCTTTGAGAGCCAACTAAATTTATAGATTCCTGATAGAATATGCCCATAGCCCCAGATGGCCTTCAGACCACAAAAAAAATTTTATCTGTAGTTCCTTTTATTCCCTTTTGCAGTGAACATGTAATGCTTTTATAACCAGTTATATTAAAAACACATTAGGTGGCAGAAGACTGGCAAGCATGCTAGCTAGGAAGTCCTTATTAGGAAAGCTGGCATTAGGCATAAACCATCAGTATATTGTGAGTTACCCAGGTGAAAAGGGCATTCAAAGCAATTGTTCATTTCATTTGGAAATATGACGTGTGATATCACTGATGAGTTTTCTAAAGTTATAAATTTTTAAAAAACCCAATTCATTCATATTATGTATTAAATATCTGAATTTTCTATTAACTCATTTAATAGTCCTTTCCTTCAAAAGGGACAGTTTGGTAGAAATAGACAAATTTCAATTGCTGTAGGAGATGGCACAAGCTAGCATGGTGGTATAGAGGTGGGACTCATAAAGCTGGTGTGTGAATCTGAGTGGCAGTCATCGGGGGTGTCTGAATTGGATCTCAAAGGAAAATGCACAAGGCCAGTGAGTTAAGGAAGGACGTTACTATCAAGACATTACTAGCAGCTTTTGAAAAGGCATATAGCAAGGTAAAGCAGTGGTGTGTGTGGTTCAGAGAACCACAATAAAATGACTTGATGAAAACTAAGAAGAAAGGAGAAAATACAGATGAGGTTTATGAAGCTAAAGAGATAAGTCAGGGCAATTCACAGGCCCTATATGCCATAAGGAGGAACCTGGACTTTGACCTCTAGTGGTGCAGAAAACCAAGTAATTTTTAGCAGGGATAAATGATTCTATGATTGTTTTTGATAGATCCTTCTGGCAAGTAGTGTATAGGATAGCTAAGAGGGGAAGGCCCCTCGAGAGTAGTTAGGCACTTATTCGGAGAATCCAGCAGTGACAGTGATAGTGACAAGAGACTGAAGTGAGAGGTGCTAGAGATGGAGGACACACTGAAGACATTTAGTGGACAGGAAGGACAGGGTGTAAGCGATGTAGGAACACAGCTCTCTGCCTTAACTGAGCGGATGCAGCTGTCAACGCAAGATCAGAAGAGTGATGGTGTTAACTCCCCCGGAATATAGGTGAAACAAAAAAGGGCTCAGACCTGGGAAACAAATTTTTAATACAGCGAGGCATTAGGGCAGACCAAAACAGTGATGGCTCTAAGTGCCTGAATTCAAATTTGGGAAGTATGGAAAACACACTGGAGTTTAACTAAAAATAACCAAGAATCTGTAAATATTTCCTATGACGATCCAAAAAACAGTTGATTTACAATTACAAAAGGGGGTGGGGAGACACCATTGCCATCTACAGCAAAGATGCCTGAAATGGTGTGAAATAAAGAACAAGTACATTAAAGGGCTACGGGGGAGGTGGGAGAAAGGAAGGTTGATTTCATAGTTGGAGTCCAACGTGGACCTTGAAATCTCCGGAGAATGTGCATAAGGGATACAAAAGGCATATAATGAATAGGGTGGCTTTCTGTCAAGGACCACAGAGTGTACGCAGTCAGGGAGACAGATATAAAACATAAAATGTAAAAGGTCTGATTTAAATATTGTGGGAGTGACCAACTGCATCAGTTGCAGAGGATTTTGCAGAGGATGCAAAATTTCAGTGAGATCTTTACAGAAAAAGAGGAACGACTCAGTTCCTCTACCTGTTTTGGTCAACAACCCTATCTTCCATTCTACCAGAGCCACCATCTCTAGGAGCTCTAGATGTTTGATCACTAATAAAGTCATTACTTCCAAATTCCCAATTTCAAGTACCCCACTCTTTACCTGCTTCTCCTCTTTCCAGGTTATTCTCTCCAGATCTCCTTTCCCCAAACAATCTTCAATCCCACCAGGCTCATGCCTCACAAGGCCCTTCATGTTTTTATCTTAATCCTTACCTGCTCTGGAGTCCATGGCTCTCCCTCACCATATCTGCCTGGAAAATCCCCAACATTGGTTTTAAATGCAACTCTTCTGCCTAATCTCCACCTGGACATGGAGTATGCTGACTGCTCTCATTTCAAATTTCTGTAATTACAACCCAAGTGGACCCTTCATTCTGGCCAGTAATCTAACATTTTCCTAGTCAATCCACATTCTCATGTCCTGGATGAGGACACATGTTCAAGGTCCTCCTTCATCCTGTCTACTCTTAGTTGTTTTGTTTGGTAATTTCAGTAAGGTAAAATTCACACATCCTGTAATTTACCCACATAAATGTACTATTCAATGGTTTTAGTATATTCACAGAATTGGGCAACTATCACAATCAACTTTAGAACATTTTTATTACCCTAAAAGGAAATCCTGCATCCGTGGGCCATCTCTATTTCCCCAGCTTTCCCCTCATCTGTCCCAGCCCCAAGCAACCACATAATGTTTTCTGTCTCTGTGGGTTTACCTATTAACATTCTGTATAAATGGAATCATAAAATATGTGGTCCTGTGTGACTGACTTTTGCTTGGCGTATCTTCTCAAGGTTCATCCATGTTGCATGTTTAAGTCCTTCATTTTTTATTACTAATATTCCGTGATATGAATATACCATATTTTAGTTACCCTAGTTGGCTTATCATTTTTTTAAAAAGGTCTTTAGAAAAAGACTTTTTCATCCACCCACATGCCACCAAATCTACCAATTTACCTGCACCTGAATCCACATTACTCCTACTGTCTGTGACTGTCCGTGCTCCAATGGTTACACCTGTTATTTGTACCCTGGATCTGTCCCCTCTCACCTACATAACAACCGAGCACATAGCCCTTCTTGCTTGCACCAACATTCTCCCCTCTACTGGGCTTCCCAATCATAAGTATGCTGTAGTTTTTGCCCATCTTTCAGAAACAAGAACAAAAATTAAAAACTCCCTCACCCTGCATCTCCTTTCAGGTATCACCCCATCTTGTTTTTCTCCTCTATAGCAAATCTCCTGAGATGTTCAAAATCCTAATTGTATCCTTCATCTCCCAGTCTCTCACAACCCTATGTAACTGGGCTTTTGAACTCATCAATCCAATGAAAGCACTTTTCTCACAGTCACCAGGAGCCTTCATTTTGCTAAATCCAGCTGCCAAGTCGCAGCGCTCTTTCTTGATCCATCAGTGTCATCTGATAGTTCACCTCTCTCCCCCTCTTTCCTGCCTAGAAACTCTACTTGGCTTTCAGATTATCTCCCTCTACATTTTTATCCTAGCCCACGGGCTGTACCTTCTCAGCATCCTTTGCTGGAGAGTACAGTATAGATAGTGGTCAAAAGCACAGGCTCCTGTTGGAGTGGGGCTACCTTGAATTCTAACACGGCTACTTGTAGCTATGTGACCCTTGGAAGGTTATTTCATCTCCAAGTGCTTCAGTCTCCCCATCTATAAAATGAAGATAACCCTGAGGGCTGCAAGGGTTAAATGATTAATATACACAAACTGCTTAAGAGTTTCTGGCACGTGGAACTATGTCTACCTTAGTCTCACAGCATCATATTCTTAGCTGCCAAATGCTGAAGAATTTTGTCCTCAGACCTCTCACCACTTCTCTATTTACATTTTCTCCTTAGGTAATCTCACAGGCTCCTGCGGCTTTAAATATTATCTTTATCTGCTGAAGATGCCAGAATTTGCAGCTCTATTAGATGTTACCAGTAGTTTACTTGACATCTGTACCTGGGTATCAAAGTTAGAATATCCAACATTTTAATTTGATAGGCTCCCCTCAAACCCACTCCTACAGATTTGCGCATCACAGGAATGGCAATTACATCTACCAGTTGCTCACATAAAAAACGAGTCATTCTTGACTCTTTTTCGCATTCCGTATTTAAGTAATATGGCAATTCTGAAGGCTCTATCTTCAAAATATCTTCAGACTCTAACCACTTATCACCTCCATTGCACCAGCCCAACGTGGGCTAGCTCCCATCTCATCTGCTGCAACAGCATCAGAACCGGTCTCCTTTCCACTCTTACCAACTTCTAGAGTCTGTTTCTCTAACAGCCACAGTAATACTTTAAAAACTGCACATCAGATCATGGCATGGATAAAAGACTCTACACCATTTCCCACTGCACTCAAAGCCTAGTGCTCAACAACCTTCTCTAAGCTCATCTCCTGCCACTTTCTTCCCTTTGCTCTCCCTTCCTGCTGTGGTCCTTCAACAATCCATGCCCCATCTCAATTCAGGCCCCCTTTCCTTTGGTCCTCACTCTACATTCCTTTCCTCTGTATTTACATGGGGATATTCTCTTCATTACTGGTTCAGATGCCTTCCCTAGCAATCGTATTTAAAATTGTACATATCCGTGTTACACCCTTATACTGCCTAACTGTCCTGTTTTACTCTCCATGTTAAATTATTAGCCCAGGTCTGCGAAAATATAAACTCCAGAAAGACAGGTTTTGTTTTGTTCATTCTGGTATTTCTAGTATACCTAGAAGGGTGCCTGGCACACAATGGTTATTGATTAGATATTTATTGAACATATGAGTGAATGGTGTTTGCAGAGGTGATGACCAAACTCATCAAGGAGAAGATACCTCTCAGGGAATTAAGAATAGAGGCTACAAGCTCCAGGTCTTTTCCCAGGGTGGTAAGAATCTTCCCAGCATAAACCTAGGAGGACTTGAACTTTGAGAAAGGATGTTTTCTTTCAACCTCCTTTTCTGTTCTTTGTTGCAGTTCCACCGTTTTGATTTGATCTCTACAGAATGAGTGTCACTGTGGCACTTTGCATGAACTAAACATGAACTTTTCCCACATGAAGAAAAAGATGTATCAACCACTCATCTCTTTCATCAATACCTGAAGATCCCTAAGCATATATCCCTAGGTTTTTTTTTTAATCAGCAAGTATTATCCTTTTTCCATTTCAGACCTGCAGAAAACTGAAATAACAGTACAACCAACATGTTATTTCCTTTGCATAGATTCACCAATAACATTTAGGCCTATTTATTCTGAAAACACTCCTGGGTTATTCTTATAGAAGGCACTATGTTCTGAGAGCTGCGGAAAATGGAAGAATAAGGAGCCAATTTTCAAAGAATGAGAAAAAGCATCTTTCAGATTGTATTATACATTAAGATTATATTTTAAAAATGATGCTTAGAATGTTAGCAAGAGATTCTTAAGAGAAATTTGAGTTTTCAATAATATATAATGCAGATATACTGAGATGTGACTCATCTATTTTTGGCATAAGGGTATATTTTGATAACATCTAATACATGAAAAACAGAATTATAAGTGAAATTGGAGAATGATTACCTTTTTTAAATGCTTGGTTTTTTCAAAATAATGTACAGTAGGCTCTGCATGGTCAACTTCCTACAGATTTGCTTTTTGGAATTTCAGTTAGCATAATAATAATTACTTAAGTATGTTACTATAATTGACAAAGTGCAATAGCTATGAGTTAAAATTTCACTATTAGAGTCAATAAACTTGAAATCTAAAGTTAACTTTCTATCACTGAATGAGATTATCTGTAGGCAATTTTATTTTCAATATTAGCCGGAAAAAAATCTTACCTGAAATTCTTTACAGCAATTAACTTTGTCTACCAAAATCAATCTAGAGCCCAGAGTTACTGCCCCTCCCACCTTCCTCAAGATGTCCCTCAGAGAGATTTACATTTAAGCCATTCTTCAGACTTGCACTCTGGAGCAGCCTAACAAGTGACAGCCCAGGAGAAATGGAGACAATGTGTTAAAACATTTCAAGGTTTTCTGCAAGACTTTCTCCATGTTTCATTTGAAGTGCTTTGCCTTGGGAGAAACTATGGTGTGTTCATGTGTAAATTCATATCCACGCCAAGTATTTGTTCTAGATTAATCACTATTTTGCATTATCCACTGTATCCAATGAACAAGGTTATATACTAAGTTGAAGGTACTGTAATTCGTATTTAAGAACCATTTCTACTATATAACACTAGTGGAATAACATTAATACAATAATTAGAGTACCAATTCAAATATTTTAAAGCTTTCAAAGAAGAACACTTTTATAGGATAAGTAAACAGGCTTTTTGGGTACCAAATTAAATACCTGATATATCACTCTAGCTTATAATTTAATGTAACCAAACATCAAAATTCAAACAAAATTAAAACACAAAAATTGTTTTTTAAAAAATTACGTATTATGTTAGTACTTTGAAAACTCTACTTTCTAGAATTTTCTTCAGGCTTCCTTTTAATGTCAGTGGCTAACTAGTGCATTACTAGTAGACTGGTGCTTTAATATTCTAGTAAGTGTTGCTAAAAATGAGCTACTAAAAAATCTAAAATTCTAGACAGAAACTGGGCAAAGAAATCCAAACTTAAGTGAAATCATCAAAATCAAATTCCTATTGATATTGCTGGCAAAGTTATTCATCTTTTAGGCAGTTTCAGGGATCATAACGATAGCATAAAAACATTTGCGCTTGTTTAAATATAATTCACAAACCAATTCTGTCCCCACAATTTCCTGAGGTGTCCAAATCTGGAATCATCAACTCAAATGTCTACTGAAGCCATGCCAGGACTGCAGCGCAGCACACCACTGCCTAGTAATTTAGCCACAGGCCACCAACTTGTTACTCTTGCTTTAAAACCTTTGGTAACAAAAATTACAAGTAGGAAGTGATCTTACAAATACTCAACTCTTATTTATAAATTTTACCATCAGCTACAGTAGTGTGACAAAAACTGGTGGTAATCTCTTCATATTGATAATTAATGAATAAACATACTTGTCAAGAGGCTTTAATTTTCCATAAAAGGAATGAGTTCGACCTAGAACAGTTTTTGCTTGAAAAGATATTTTGGATATACTGGTAACACAGTACAGATAGGTAACACAAACAAACATTTTTTTGTGTATTCTTTTTTATTGTTTGGAACACCAAAGTAACCCAAACTTTACATTTACAATGAACTTTTTAATAAAAATAGGTTGTACATATTAGAGATACATGTTATACAAAAGTTTTTGAAAAGTAAAACACAAACACTTATACAGTAAAGAGAATGAACTGAATTGCTATCATTTGTAATATTCCTTCTCTCCTAAGTGACCAACAACTGTAGAATGTTACCTTTAGCTTTTATGAAACTACCACCACTGTAGCTATTTGGGTGTGTGAGATTTCTTTAAAATCAAGTAATAATTATTGCGCATCAAGTAATTTTATATTTTCAGATTATCAGTATTACTAAAAGAATCAAAATCTCTAAAAGTTGGTTTTATTCCCTCCAAATTCAGTAGTACAACTCAACTAATTACTCCCAAACTAACACCCGCACTTAAGTCTGATGATACAACCAAACCATCCTTAAGGCACCCACTGCCTCTTTCCAGTATAATCAGGCTTCACTACAGAATTTTTGGAGACCCACTGAACAACTGTTTGGTGCCTAGTACTTTAAAAATATTGCCACATTTCACAAATTAAGATCCAAGAACTCAGTTAAGTCTCGCTCACTGGAAAAACTACAGATATCTAGTAGGTGTGCTATTTATCACTAAACTGACACATTTTCTCATTAAGCCAACTGATGGAACTTTAATATGTGTAAATTTATGATCTAATCTATCTCGAAAATATCTGAGGCAACTATGTCAAGATAAATTTTTTCCTAAAAAGTAGGCCAGGTGCGGTGGCTCACGAGGTCAAGAGATCAAGACCATCCTGGCCAACATGGTGAAACCCTGTCTCTACTAAAAATAGAAAAATCAGCTGGGCGTGGTGGCACGCGCCTGTAGTCCCAGCTACTTGGAAGGCTGAGGCACGAGAATCGCTTGAACTTGGGAGGCGGAGGCTGCAGTGAGATGAGATTGCGCCACTGCACTCCAACCTGGCGACAGAGTGAGACACATCTCAAAAAAAAAAAAAAGTTTGCTTCCTCTGTCTGCCAATATAACAGTTTAAAACGAATCACAGATGAAGTAATGTAATTTTAGAATTGCAAAAGATATTCTTCTCTAGGTCTTATAAATAACATCTATGACATTTCTTACCTGTAATATAAGCACCCACCACTCACTAAGTGCCTGCCCTACAGCAGGCCCCAAAGCAAGTGTTTTATAGATGTTAGCCCATTAAATCATCGTGACACCATTGTGTTTGTCATTTTTCTCCCCCTTTAGAGATGAGAAAACTGAAGTTTAGCATCAACTTCTAGACTTATAGTTTTCTGGTGAGCATAACAATTCCTTTTATTATCTTAAAAGAAAACATTAGAGCACCAAGAGGAAATACCAAAGCATCTTAGTTCTGGGATTCCATCACTTGTTATCCCAACCTAATTACTGATCCTTTAGTACTGCAATACTGCAGTGTGGTCACCACATTCCTTTATCAAAATGATAAAACTGGTTAGTCTTAGATGAACCCTTCTTAACTTGCATACACATTTAAAACTCATTCCTCTATAAGGTCAAAATTCCTGTGATATTCTTTTCAAGACTGCTGACTGAAGGCACATGGAAGGCTTTCTTTCTCATGACTGAACTAACATATTGCATTTTAGTTCAAAGTGCTTATTTTAACAAAATTGTTTTCACTTTTCTTATGTCAAATTCTAAACCCTTCTGGATTTAGAATAGCCTTCAATTTTAAAATTCTGTTTTAGAACGAAGATAATCATCAGAAGTAAAATATGAACAGTCCTGCATTGAAAACCACCCGCTCATGTAACAAATGTTCCCCTCTCATGGGTCCATCTAGTGGGAGGAAGATGGACATGCAAACAGTATGTCAGGTGATGATAAACGCTACGACTGATTCAGAATTTAATTACTTTTCTAGCCATGCCTAGCTTACTATGTTTTTCCAAGCTCACCGACTTCTCATCTGTGTTTGGTTGCACATGTTGGATGCAGAGGTTAAATTGTATGTTCAGTAGTGATAAGAAATAACAGGCAGGGTCTTCAAGACCTAAATGTTAAATCACAGGCAGGCTACTTACTACGCTTCACAGTTGCTTGAAAGCAGTGGTTATTAAACTCCTGGAGTTCATGAGATCTTTTCACTCATTCAATAAATTTATTAAACCCAGTAAAAAACACAAATGCAGCAATTTTACAAATAGTTTCAGGTAGTCTAACATCCATGGACCTTAGATTAGGATTCATAATCAAGGGTGTGTATGTGGGATGTGAAGAAGGGGTTGCTATCCAGATTCTGTGATTCTTGTGCAATCATGTTAATATGAAAAAAAAAAAAGCATAACAAAAAAGATGCAAAGATGTTCCCTGGTTCCTAGTCCAATGTTCCTTCTATGATATGACTTCCATTGGAAGGTAGACCTCTTAAGCAACTTCCTCATTAAACAAATCATTTTCCATCATTATGGTAACTACACTCCTGTATCACTTGTGATAAATTTTAATCCCAAATCCTCTTTTACCATTACCCAATCTGTGTACTAAGGGAAATAAACTCAAGGCTATTATCAGCCTAAGCTTAGTCTAGGGGAGGGCAGAATACAGTATACCATTTAAAAACAAATTGTTTTTTTATTATAAATATAGTACATGCAAAAAATAAAAAATTC
The DNA here is from genome assembly GCF_000001405.40 of Homo sapiens. Classification (NCBI taxonomy): domain Eukaryota; kingdom Metazoa; phylum Chordata; class Mammalia; order Primates; family Hominidae; genus Homo; species Homo sapiens. Next base: position 31,684,053 of record NC_000021.9, read on the forward strand.
CAACAGTACTGAATAGCATAGGTGAAAAGTAAAAGTCCTCCATTACAAACCAATGTCTCACAGTCCTACATCTCAGAGGTAATCAATAGGTTCTTTCCTAAAACAACTCAGATTATGAAAGCAAACAGGCATATGCATATACCTTTGAAAAATACTATGGGCTCACAGGACTAGAACACTGTAATACTCTCAAGATATTAACTTCCAGTTAGGGGATTCAAGTGTTAATTATATTTGGCAATACCACTTCAAATACAACAATTTGTTAATTTAAAAGATGGTCTACTGTAACAAGCATGTGATGTATTTATTCATAACTTAAGCAGGCAAGAGTAAGCCTGCTTAAAGATGTAAAAGATCTAAGTCACATCGCCCTTGATCACAGTATTGAAGTTGTGGGTAAAAAGTACAACAGATAAACTCCAGCCAAGTAAACTGAGAGTGAGTGGGAAAGTGGTACCTCAGGCTGCGCAACTGTTACTTAGAAAACAAAGCCATTTTATTGGAATGTATCAAAGATGATTTCTTTGCTAGCCCACAAAGAACGCTACCCAAGTCCAGGGGTTTCAGATAGATAATAATTGGTCCAGACAGAGAAAAACCTATGCCGTTAAAGAAGTATCTCCTAAAAGCTGGGAAGAGACTAAGGTTAAGTGAATTACGAACTCTGTACCAATTCCTTTGCACAGAGATTACTTTTAATCATTTTTCTATACCAAATAAGGATGTGAAGATCCAAACTTTTATTCAAGACAGACAAACATGATTTTGTCTTTGAGATTCTCTCTTGGTAAAGATCAAGTACACATATTTGACTTTAAGAGGAAGATCTTCCTCAAAAACAAACAAACAAACAAAACAACCAAAAAAGCCAGTCTTGGAAATAATTTTACCAAAATTAACATTGTTTTTTTAAAAAAATCTAACTTGGGGATGGGTGGGGGGGTGGGGGGGGGGTGGGGCAAGGAAAACTAATGATAAAAAAAAATAACTTACCAAGAAGTGAAACAGGCTGGGTTACAGGAGGGGTGGGCAGATTCGTGGGTGCAGCAGGTGGCACGGCAGAGCCATACATTTTCACGCTGTCACCAGACTCGGCGTTTCCTCTAGCCCCAGACACCACTGTTGGAATGGGATTTCCAATAGATAAGTCTTTTGTAGTGTCTTCATTTATACCAGCGATAGTAGCTAAGGAATATAATTATATCAACATGTGAAGCTGAATAATTAATTATCTCCCGGTCAACATTCTTATGCCATACTATAGATCCTATTACCGCTTCACTCTCCCTCCTACACCCAGCTCCAAGAGGATAAGCAAACACAAAGAAAAAAACATGCTTACAGTTTGGGATGCTTATTGGTGGAGTGTGAGGAGGAGGAATGGATACTGGTGGAGTTATAGGAGGTGGGGGTCCAGGAGGCAGAAAACCTAGAATAAGAAAAATAATGTCAACTTATGCTGTATCACTCCATCGCAGGCTCTAAAGTATGTTCACAGACAATTTAGTGTACCTGGTGGTAAATGCATTGGGTTGAATCCTGGGCGCAAAAATGGTGGAGGAGGAGGGGGAGGAGGAACACCAGGACCAAAGCCTGGAGGCGGTATTCCCAGAGGAGGCGTGAAAGCAGGCGGCTGGAGAGCACCAACTACAGGTGGACCCGGTTGATGTGGTGGGACCTAGAAAGAAAGATAAAAGAATAAACCACCTATCTAGACACCCTCCCATCCACACAGTAAGCACAGATAAAAGAGCAAACTGTTGAAAAAATAGATGTTTCTTAATTTGTGCTTATTAGACCAATTTATTAAATAACAGGTGGTAGTTAACTTCTATTCATACCAACTGATAGAAATCAAAGCTGTGGGCCGGGTGTGGTGGCTCACACCTGTAATCCCAGCATTTTGGGAGGCCGAGGCAGGCGGATCACCTAAGGTCAGGAGTTCAAGACCAGCCTGGTCAACATGGCGAAACCCTGTCTGTACTAAAAATACAAAAATTAGCTGGGTGTGGTGGCAAGCACCTGTAATCCCAGCTACTCCGGAGGCTGAGGCAGGAGAATTGCTTGAACTCGGGAGGTGGAGGTTGCAGTGAGCCGAGATTGCACCACTGCACTCCAGCCTGGGCGACAGAGCAAGACTTGGTCTTCAAAAAAAAAAAAAGAAAAAAAAAAAAAAGGAAAGAAAGAAAGAAATCAAAGTTGCGCTCTTCACTTTATGACAGCAATTTCACACTATATTTCACCAGTGTTTATTGGTGTTCTGACATCATGTAATACATTTTAAAATGTTCCATGGTCCTTTCAGCAACACAGCTTTAAGACAGGCTACTTGGCAATTTACACAATGGCTAAGATCACAGGTCCTGGAGCCAAACTGTCTGCTTCTCCCACCCGCTTTAGTTAGCTGTGTGACCTTGAGCAAGCTATTTAAATTCTCTAAAACGGCAAAGTGCCAACCACACATAATTATGCAGATTAAATGAGTTAATACATACTAAGTGCTGGTGCCTGGCACTTAAATACCCAACAAACGTTAGCTATTTTTTTTTTTAAGATAAATTTTAACAACCCCCCCAGCCACGGACCATTACCAGTCTATGGCCTGTTAGGAAACGGGCCACACAGCAGTGGGCAAGCAAGCACCACCTCCTGAGCTCTGCCTTCTGTCAGATCAGCGGCAGCATTAGATTGTCATAGGAGCATGAACCCTGTCGTGAAATGCACATGTCAGGGATCTAGCTTGTGCAGTTCTTATGAGAATCTAACTAATGCCTGATGATCTGAGGTGGAGCAGCTTTATCCTGAAACCATCTTCCACTCCAGTCCATGGAAAAATTGCCTTCCAAGAAACTGGTCCCTGGTGCCGGAAAGGTTGGAGACCACTATCTGAACAGATCAGGCAGCTTTCTGTAAATGAGTGCTGACACACATTGAATTTTGCTTAGAACCTGCACTGGAGGGGCATATCCAGAAGGTCAGCTGAAGAGTTTGCCAACTAGGGGAGTCCATTTAAATCACAGCCAAGAATGTACCAAAGCATACAGTTTTCCCCTCACATTGAGAAAATGAAGACACAATTCACTTTCATGATAGCTCAGATTTATCTGATTCAGATTTAATGTGAGAAACTGAGGAAGGAAGACAAGAAAAATCCAGTAGATCACACATAGAACTATGGGTCAAGTTCTTATAATTTTCAAAGGGTTTTTCATTTTTCGGCCCTTATGACGTGACAAAAAACATACTGAGTACTTAACATATATTATCTCATTTAACCCTCAAAACAACTCTAACACATGAGGAATGCCAAAGCCAGGAAAGGGAATTTGCACATTTACAAATAGGAAACTGAAGCTTATAAGTGAAGTTACATGCCAAATACCATACTGCTGAATATAAACAACAGAGTTGAGAATTAAACCCAGTTCTACCAGAATCTAGTATTGCTTTTCAAGTAACAGGTTGGCTGACTAGACAGCAAATATTTTATAATAAGAACACATCTTCATGTTAAATGGCATTTATTATGAAGTTTTCAATCCATTTAAAAATTTCATAAGGATAGCATCCAAGGTGAAAATTAAGAAAATCCCTGTCCCTCAAAGCAGCAGCTTATTGGGTACATATCCAAGTTTCTTCAGGACACAAAGTCCCTGAAGAATGAAGACTCAGAAAAAAAGTAGGCAGAGCCTATGAAACTTGATACTGAATAATCTGGATGGATAGATGTAAGACAATATACATTTATTTTGGTTGTATAAACATTTATGGGCCAGGCACGGTGGCTCACACCTGTAATCCCAGCACTTTGGGAGGCCAAGGCAGGCAGATCACTTGAGGCCAGGAGTTTGATACGAGCCTGGCCAGCATGGTGAAGCCCCGTCTCTACTAAAAATACAAAAATTAGCCAGGTGTGGTGGCAAATGCCTGTAATCCTGTAATCCCAGCTATTCAGGTGGCTGAGGCAAGAGGGTCGGCTTGAATCTGGGAGGTGGAAGTTGCAGTGAGCCAACATCACCACCACATTCCAGCTTGGGCAACAAAGAGAGACTCTGTCTCAAAAAAAAAAAAAAAAAAAAAAAAAAAAAAAGTGAAGAATATAAAATTTAAATCTGATAAAACATGAAAAATGTAATATGCACATATATGTACTCATGTTTTTTACTATGAATCCAGACATATATCTACAGTAAGATTTAGAAAGGGACCTTTCAGGCACTTAAAGTTTAAGTCATGTCCCAATATTCTCACCTGTGGAGGTGGCACTGTTATAGGTGCAGGAACAGGAATAGGAGGGACAGGCACAGGTAATGGTTTAGGTATGGGTGATACTGGTTCTGTGTGTGAGGTTTCAGCACCTCCATTTTGAGCAACTTCATTTTCAGGCTTCTTAGGAATTCCTTTCCAATCTGTGAGCGTGAAAGAAATTTAACAAGAGTTTACCATTTTCAGTTTGTAACTTTAAATCTAGAAATGAAAAATGTTGATTATAAAAACCTAGCCCAGTTATTAAAGAAATTCCCATGCTAATTTTAGAAATAGTAATTATTTAAATTAACAACAATAGAAACATGTAAAAGAATGCATACTGTGTGCCAGGCACTGTCACAAGCACTCTATTTATACTAGCTTATTTAGTTCTCACAACCATTTACAAGTAGATACTACTATTATTCCCATTTCACAAATGAGAAAAGCAAAGACAGCTTGCCCAAGATCACATTCTTGGTAAATGGCAGGGACGGATTCAACTCAGACACATTTGGTTCTAGAGTCCATGTTCTTAACCACAAGAATGTATTATTTAAAGTATTAGAAATAAAGGATAATGAAACACCCAATATTTCCTGAACACATTTCACTAATATTAAAGAATAACTTAAACTTCCCACCTATTTCCACATATCTTCTAGTCAAGTGAAAACAAAACTGTCTTTCTGCTCCGTCCTCTGAGGCTCTGGCTCCATCAGATTCTCCTATATTCTTGAGCTTTTCAATACATTCTCCACTGGACCATGAGCCCCAAGATTACACCATCTTCTTCTTTTTACCACTGTCTAGCGCCTCCCAGATGTCCAGCACATAGTAGGCCCTCAATACCTGATTGCCTTAACACAAATCTAGCTCTATCCTTAGATGAAGGCTTTGTACATCCAGGGAGGGAGTGGGATGTGGGAATAGTACAGCATTGTTTCATCTCTTTTTGGCTCTGAAACCGTCACTCCTGCTTGAAGCTTCCTTTATTTTATTTTAATTTTTTGAGACAGAGTCTTGCTCTGTCTCCCAGGATGGAGTGCAGTGGCGCAATCTCAACTCACTGCAACCTCTATCTTCTGAGTTCCAGTGATTCTCCAGCCTCAGCGTTCCAAGTAGCTGGGATTACAGACACCCGCCACCACATCCAGCTAATTTTTTTTTTTTTTTTTGTATTTTTAGTAAAGATGGGGTTTTACCATGTTGGCCAGGCTGGTCTCAAACTCCTGACCTCAAGTGACCTGCCTGCCTCAGCATCCCAAAGTGCTCGGATTACAGGCATGAGCCACCGTGCCTGGCCTTGAAGCTTCCTTTAAATGTTCTTTCTGAGGGCGGTGAGGGTGAGCATGGTGGCTCACGCCTGTAATCCCAGCACTTTGGGAGGCTGAGGCAGTAGGCAGATCACCTGAGGTCAGGAGTTCGAGGCCAGCCTAACATGGTGAAACCCCTTCTCTACTAAAAAAAATACCAAAAAAATTAGCATGGCACGGTGGCACGCGCCTGTAGTCCCAGCTACTTGGGAGGCTGAGGCAGGAGAATCACTGGAACCCGGGAGGCACAGGTTGCAGTGAGCCAAGATCATGCCACTGCACTCCAGCCTTAGTGACAGAGCAAGACTCCATCTCAAAACGAAACAAAAACAACAAAAAACATTCTATACTGCCATGCCATCCTATGCTCCTCCTGTTCCTCTGTCTAGCAATCTCCAGGTCATGCCCATGCATTCTGTGATTTTCCCCCCTGCAATCTCACTGTCAATCTGGCATTTTAAATATTTATGCCCACAAATAACTGCAATTCATTGTCTTACACGTTTACTTTAGATTGCTTCTCTGGACATCTAAAACTTTCCAAGGTAATTATCATGAAGCACTGGATTAAAACCCAATACCAGGCCAGGTGCAGTGGCTCACGCCTGTAATGCCAACTCTATGGGAGGTCGAGGTGGGCGGATCATTTGAGGTCAGGAGTTCGAGACCAGCCTGGCCAACATGGTGAAACCCCGTGTCTATTGAAAATGCAAAAATTAGCCGGGCAAGGTGGCACGCGCCTGTAGTCCCAGCTACTCGGGAGACTGAAGGAGGAGAGTGGCTTGAACCTGGGAGGCAGAGGTTGCAGTGACCCAAGATTGCATCACTACACTCCAGCCTGGGCTACAGAGACTCCACCTCAAAAAATAAATAAAAAAAAACATAATACCAAAGATGCTCAGTTAAGACCTATATGATTTATTAAGTTTCACAGGAAAAGTTCTACTTAATTCTGTAATTCATAGATCCCATAATCAGTTAAGTATTTCACTTGTGTTTGCATCTCTTTTGTCTCATTCACTATTTAACCCTCAGTTTATAATGGAGATACTGACACAGGAGGGATCCTAAAAAATCTCAAAAATCACGTCCTAATGCAAGGAACAGGACATTCGATTTGTCATATGTACTACCAAGCAAATAAGTGAACTGTAAGAGAAATTAAATACTGCTTTACCTGGGTTAAGTGTGTCACTGTCCAACATTCCTCCTTCACAAAAACTCTCCAGTTCCTCAGGCTTGACTTTGTCCCATGGAATATAAGTAACACCAAGTTCTACATCCCAATACTGCTTATAATCTGCCTTTATTCCTTTGTTTAAGGCCCAGGCAATCTATTTCACCATTAGTGAAAATATAAAAAGAAAACAAAGCAAGGTCGTAAGTCTTGAGGGTATTATTCTCTATCATTCTATCCATTCCGACTCGGGCACCAAGGGAGCAATCTGGACCAGCTAGGCTTGGATCTCATTCAAAGCCTTATTCTCACTACAGAACTGGTTACCCTTTAATTCTCACTTTGTCCTAGGATGGAAATTTCACTGGCATCTTCTCCTTACCAACTCTCACCCAACCCAGCCAACATAAAACTTAGAGAAAAGGAAAAAGTTTAACAGGGAAAGGCTGAAGTTCCCTGAATAGCCTAGTAGTATACTGGGGACTACTTTTCCAAGTCTAGGGGTGCCTTGTAATTACTTAACATCAGACAAAATCTTTTTGCAGTGCAATCCAGCGGTAGAATGGGGTGTTAAGACACTGAAGAAACACTGACTTTAGCTCCTTAGGGGAAAAATACCCATATACCTATATGTTTTTCTCCACCTTTGGTGAATATTTTTCAGTTAATTCTAAGATGGCAAACTTTAAAAATACAGTATCCAAATTTTTTGAACAGGACAAAACATATTGCTAAAAGACATTATATTTAAAGCACTAATTTACCATGATGAACCCATCTACATTTAGGAAAAACAAAACAAAACAAATTCTACCATGCACGTAACATTTACAATTTTATGCTGAAACACTGGAGTTCTTTTAGGAAATATTCTTTAAAAAAAAAAAAAAAAAAAGATGCACATGAAATGCCTCAGTGTTGAAAGTCATTTCGAAGACCCAAATTAGTTTTTATATGCCACATATTTTTCCCCTTCTGCCTATTTAAAAAAAAAATTAATTATAACATGTAAGACTGTACCTTTATGGATTTCTGGTTCACTTTATAGTTTCCTCGGCTCAGTTTCTGCAGGGCACGATAGGCATCTTGCCTATGAACCATAACAATATAGGCACAACCCCTGGGAGGAATCATCTGCTCCAAAACATTTTAATATTATAAAAGATAACAAAATTGAAAAGCAACAAGATACAACACCAAGTAAGCAGTTCCAACAATCCCATCCCTCACCCCATGCTATATAATGTAAGGTTAAATTCATTTCTAAGTTGGCAATTCAAGTTTGGTCTCAACTGAGTCCTCCAAGCTTTGTTATATAAAGACTTACCTAGAAATGTTTGAAATTAAACTTGGTTATCCAAGAAATGTTAAATACAAAGAATTCTAAGAAATGTTAAATACAGATAATTCTAAACGTGGACTCTGAACACCTAAATTCTAGTCACATCTATAAACCTGGGCAAATTGTAACTTTGGTCTCAGGTCCTCCATTTCATAAAATGACATTAATCACACCTGTCCATCGTACTTAAAAAACTGAATAAACACTCACATTAATTGATTCAATTGGACCAAACTCTTCCAAGAGACTGGCAACATCCTGCTGAGTAGTTCTTTTGTCCAGCTGCCCCACCCAGAGGGTAGTACTGCAAACTTAAAATAAAATTACAATCATAAAGAGATTCACATTTGATAATGAGCAGCACTGTAGCTTACATTAAAAAATCATTACACAAAATATTCATGAACTATATTACAACACCACAAGTTTAAATAGTAAATCTCACATACATTTTAAAAATTCTAGAAAACTGCATTAGTACTTCCAGAAAGAGAACTGGGATAGTGAAAGATATACATAAAAGTTGGAAAAAACTGGTTTTTTTGTAGATGGATCTAAAGATTACATCTATAAAAACTGAAGCCAGGGAAGCAATAACTTGCCCACCTCACCCTGCCAATGAACAGCAGAACTAGGATTGGAGCTCAAGTCTCTTGATTACCAACCAGCTCAGTGCTTTGTTCACTTGCATGTAACTGTCCTTTCTCCACTCTTAAGTGTTGATGGTTTTTCTTTTATGTTGTGTCCTAGGTGATAAGCCTTATGGAATCAGAAATCTTACATATGCCCTAGTCATATTATAAATTAAAATCTTAGTCATCTTAATAGTTACTGATTTATATCAAATATATGTCTAGCACACCTTACTAAATGTATTCTGAAGACATCTGATGAGATTCAGAAAATAATGCAAGTGAATACATTCTGTAAATTTTTGGTTCACTCCTTACTGCTGCTTTATAGCTGGTTTAAGGTACGAAAGCAAATCTAAGGGTATACATCAATGAATAAACAAGGCACAAGAAAGCAATATTTCAAATAAAAATCAACACAGTGGTAACATTTCTTTTATAGTTTTGCTAACAGTTATAAAACACTTTAAACCCAAGACATGAAAAAATAGTACATGAGGTTTGAATATAAAGGTTGAGTTACCACTTGCAGTTTCCGGTTTCACTTGAGGGAGGCCTTTTTGTCGACGTTCTCTCTCTTTTTCTCGATCCCGTCTTTCTTGAGATCGAGATCGGGGAGAATGTCGGCGTCTATCCCTGGACCGAGATCGAGAACGTCGATGCCGAGACCTTCGAGATCTAGAACCAGATCTAGATCGCCTCCTTTTTGGTGACCTAATGTTTTCAAGAGAAGGGAGAATGCATAGCATATAGACAAAAACCAGAAAATATAAGCACATACTAATTAAAACAGAACAAAAACTAGGTAATTTAATGTTTGGGTATGTAAGAATGCAATACCTGAGAATTCATTTTACAGATTTAGTATGTCCCAAATTAGAAATCATGCACATTATTTAAATAAAATACACAATGTTGACAGCTTATATAAGTATCTGTCATCTTCAGTGCCGTCTGGTACTATATAAAATTACATCCTTGTAATTTAAGTAGCTAATTTTCACAGTTGAGATACACTGCTACTACTGTTACCTATCTTCTTAGTAAAGTCTTTTCTGCAGCAATTAAAAACATTCTCTGATTACAGCATTACTGTGATCTTTCCACTTTTGCTGGCTGATAAAGCTGTAATGGAACTTTGAAAATATAGTTCTTCTAATATCACATACTGATTACCTATGTATAGAATTATATCTTCAAAATTCCGTTACATCTGAGCAACTTAAATATAGGGAAAAAAAGTAAGATGAATGATGTAGTTTTTTTTTTTACATCAATACTTCACCTGCCCCCTTCTACACACATATACAAATACAAACATACCAACTGTTATTTTACTAACATTCTGAATATCTGAAAATAACCCAATCTAATTTTAATTTCTATGTCCCCTAAGATATACAGGGTTGGAAAAAACATTTTCTATAAATTACCTGGATGCTGACCTAGATCTTGACTTTCTGTTATCAGACATATGTCGCTTAACCTCTTGAATACAAGGTTGTTCTACTTCCATTTCCTTAAAAAACAAAAACCATGATAAAATGAGAAATTTAAAAAGTATAAAAGCAAGAGGACAAAATCTAACAAAAGCTATATTAAAAATCTCCTTCCCTGAAGCAATTCTCTTTTGGTTGCCTGGGACCAAATTACTAGTAACAACTGGCCATCACTGGGAAAAAAAAACAAAAACAAAAACCACTTTTATATTGTTTAAAAGATTAAAAGAAATATTTCTCTACTTCTGGTAAAGTTACTTTGCTTAAATTACATACCATTTTAATAAACCATTATCTAATGCAGTGAAGTAGGCACTAGTTAAGCCTTCAACACTCTATATCAAACCTCACAGAATCCTATGGAAGTTGGCAGTATTAGCATGTCCACTTTCCAGATGAAAAACCTGGAGCACTGAGAGGGTTTAATATGTACCCAGGTCTTTCTTCATATTCAAAAATGAAGACAGCAAGCAAATAAGGAGAAATCTGCATATAAGTCAAGGCAACAAAAAAAGATAAAACTATCTGAGAATAAAGTTTTACCTGCTGATGCGGCTTCTGTGTAAGTGGTTCATTTTGTGCCTGAAAAGAAGCTTGGAAAGGCTGCTGCACTGGTGGAGTTGGAGGAATCACAGGCTGAGCCATGGGAGGAAATGGAGGTGTAGGAAGAAGTCCAAATCCTGGCATTTGTCCATTAGGAGGAAGTGGAACCTTTCATTTTTAAAGAAAGTGTATGAGTAATAGCTATCAAAATAATTTGGAAAACCTTTAGTTATATAAAACTAAAATATCCTCAATAAAGTTTGATCAAGGAAAAGTTACAACGACATTCAACATTGTTTAACAATTTCCATATGTACAATTTCCACGCAAGAATTGTTACATACCAAGTATATAGGTTAAAAATCCTGTAACTCTTTTTAAAATTATGAACACACAGGTTTAGTTTTAAATATTTAAAGAAATACCTTCATTTACATAAGGAAGCAATGTGATAAACTGAACTTCAAGTCAGAAGTACTCCATTGCAAATGGTCTCTTTTCAGCTTTAAAGACAATTAAGCCTTTTGGGAGGAAAACTGGCTATCTAGAAGCAATGACTTCTAGGTTTACTTTAAAAAAAAATAACCAAGGGGGAATTTCAACTAACATACCCAACTTTTAGAGTTTCAAATAAAGTATCATAATAATAATGAAAGTAAACTACAATCTAACATATTTCTGCATGTCAGTTTAAACACAAATAAAACTATAAATATAATGCTTTAAGTATTCTTTCTAAATTATTTATGAACTTTCAGTAATTGTTAAACACTTGAAATAACAAAAATGCTTCCCACCCCATCCCCATAATTTAGATACAGAATCAAGTTTAAGAAACACTCAATGAGAGAATTTACTGGAACAAATTTATCTCTACTAACTTCCTGCAACTCTCCAGTGTGCTATGTATGCTCCTTTTATTGCGGATTTCAAACTATATTCCTGAATGTTCAGAGCTCAGAGCCCTCTAAAGTATCTAACCACACAAAATACAGAAGGAAGGCCCTTCCAAGGGAAAAAGCTGTATAACTAAACAGGTCGGTTTCTTCAAATAGAACTGTAATCTCTACATTATTTTAACTAAAAAAATGCCTATTATTAAAATATGAGCATGTGATTTTGGCATCCTTGTTTTAATTACAGAAAAAAGCAACTCAAAATAGTTACGTGTTCAACAGCTTTTATCAGAGATATAGTACGACTTAGCCAATTACATAGCTGCAGAGTGCTCTGTGGAATGCAAACCATACGCTCTATAATGAATAGATCTTTCTTTGAACTGCAAGAAAAATGCTTGTACCTGATGGTGCATTGGATCCTGTTGTATTCCCATCATTCGTGGCTGAAACTGATCCATATTTTGATGCTGTGTGTATGCTGGCTGCTGCATGCCATCTCCAGGAAAGCCACTAAAAAAAGGTGGATAATCTTTTACCCATTCAAAAGCACAAGCTTCTCAGCCACACTTAAATTACAGAAACAGAGTGTTGTTCATGAGTCATTAACATTTTACTGAACCATATATTTACCTATATATTAAATTTAATTTATAAACTCAGTATTATTCCCAACATAAAAGCCATTTTTTGGTTTTAAATCTTAAGAGGATCCCTTCCTCATTCAAGAGAAAACTAATACCACAAATTTTACAAAACAACTTCATAGAACATTGTTGTCATTGCTAAATGTTACTTAGGTTATGCCTTACAACTATTACCAATTTTCTATCTGCTGAGGAATAAAAAAAAAAACTAACAATGGTGCCTGTGGAGGAGGAGGAGAGGCAGCAGCGGGTGCAGCAGCAGCAGGCACGGTGGCGGTGGGTGCAGGGGGTACTGCGGCAGCAGGTGCTGTCGTGGTGACGGCAGTGGTATCCTCTTTCTTTGATTCTTCCACAGCTTCTGGCTCATCATCATAGTCAAATCTATCAAGCAACTTCTGGAATAATTATGTCAATATTTCATTTTAAAATTTAGACTGATTCACTGCACAAAAAACTTTATGAAAACAAGGGATGTTTACCACCATCTAGAAACCCACATTGTCAAGCACAATCTTATTTTCCCTTATGCCCCTCAGGACCTTGGTTTGTAGATATAAACAATTTTTACACAGATGCCAGTTTGGAAAACACACAGTGTTTTCATTCTGTTTTCCTTCCTCAATTGTAAGTACAGTGCTTTCTATTTTCTATTGGTGTATTTCACAAGTAATTTAGCAGCATACATGTTTTTCTAAAATACTCATTTCCCTAGCCTAAAAATGTCTGGAACTTTGTGCACATGAAAATGGGTATACATTTTCAGTCAGCATAAAATGTACAAAAAGACTGTCTTATTCAATCACCATAATGCATATAGAAAAGTGTCCATATACTGCTTCCTCAAGAATATACTAATATAAAAAAAGAAAAAAAATGGCAAGGACACAAAAAAGTCACTAGCAGTTCCTAAGAGGTTCGCTTGCTTCTTTCTCATAACTTCACAGCTTACCAGAAACTTTCATGTAAAAAAAAATTCAAGAGACTTAATGAGATCACATATCTAGAAGAACAATTTTAAGTAAGATTTATTCAGAAAAAAGATAATGCTTAAATACCTACTAATGTGTATCAGATCATATAGACTTCATCACAAGAACACTGCAATGTAGATAGTTTCTTCTTTTTTACAGACAAGGAAACAAAGGCTCAGGTGATTAAGAAACATGATTAAGATTGCACAGTCAGTGAATGGTAGAATCAGGATGCGGACACTAGTCCTTTTGACTTCAAAGCCCTCAGTCTCTGGCTTTCAATAAGCAATCTTTCCTTTCAAGCCGTGCTCATTCTGCTTATAGACTTCAACCTTAAATTCCTGAACCTTGTCATTCTATAATAGTTCTGCCTAGAGATTCTGGTTTTGCTTTATTGAACAACACATTTCTAAATCAAATGAAAAGTTCTGTCCTTAGACAACACAGTATATAGGACTAAACTAAGTGTAAAGTGTGTTTTGGGATAGAGCTAACTTATGTTTCTTTGTAGTTCTAGGCCAAGTGAGTAAAGTTCTTACAAATGAGCAAGTTAGTATTTTCTGAACAGGAACCATCACAGCCCAGGTACCTTGCTGTTTTACATATTTTTATTTAACCCTCATGGCAACAATAAAATATTTTTACTACCATCTTTATTTTACACTACTGAACAGTAAACATTAATTCAACAACAGGACAGTCTGTAAGTAATTGGAGCCAAAATTAAAATCTGGTCAAAGTCGCCTATAAAAAACAAAACCTATGATCTTCACAGTTTATTACATATTAATATGTTCTTTAAAGTTTGAAGAATACTGCTTTAAAATACTTAAAGCAATTAAAAAATTAAAATGGGGTCTACCCAAAAAGAAATTTTAGTTGCTTTTTAGGAAACTGAAGATCTATAAAGTAGCTGAAACAGACAAATTATTTCCAGTGAGAAGCTTGAAACAGACCTTTTTAGTCAAAAGAAAAGCACAGAATTCCTTTTTCTAAACTTATGGGCCAGTCCACTTAAGGTTAAATACTAGAGGAATTAGAATTCACATTAATAAGAGAAACATGCTCACCATCATGGCTTTTCCTAAATTTACCTATAAATTCAAAGGAATTCTATACACTGACATAGAAATGTACAGAGTTTTCCAGTTCATCTGGAAAAGTATGCTGTGACTGTTAATTTTGTGTCAACCTGCCTAGGTTATGTAGTACCCAGCTGTACAGTCAAACACTAATCTAGGTGTTGCTGTGAAGGTGTTTTTTTAGATGAGAAGGTGTTTTTTAGATGAAAGTAACAATAAATCAGTAGACTCTGAGTAAAGCAGATTACTCTCAATAATGAGTGGGCCTCAATCAATCAGTTGAAGGCATTAAGAATAAGAACTGAGATAGAGGGAATTATCCTCAGCAGTGCAACAGAGAAACCCTGGCCTGAGTTTTTAGTCTGCTATCCTGCAAATTCAGACTCAGGCCTACAATGTTAACTCCTGAATTTCCAGCCTGCTGACCTGCCCTGCAAATTTCAAATTTGCTAGTCCCTACAACTGCGTGAGCCAGTTTCTTAAGATAAATCTATCTTTCATTCAAGAATCTAGATAGACAGATGCAGATGTAGATTCAATTACTGGTTCTGTTTCCCTGGAACTCTTGACTAATACACTTCATGATAAATGAACAAAGTTTGAAAAAGTATGAGGGGGAGTTTGAAAAAGAGTGAAGTGGGAGGGGGAGAGACGGGATACCAGGAAATGAAAGACAGTCTGTCACAAGAATTATTATGATGCAGAAATAAACAAATATATTAGTGGGATAGAACAGTGTCCAGAGATAAGACACAGAAACATACAGGAATTTAGTGTATAAAAAAGTAGTGAGGGAGAACTGGCTATTTTCAAAAACATAATGGTTTAACTATCTTCAACCATATTCTAAAACAGATTCCAGAGGGACTGAACAGACAATCATAAAAAAAACCTTACTAGAATATAGAAATCTTTTCTAATACAAATGAGGAGTTTTCCTAATCACAACATAAAACAAAAAACTAGGAAAACCAAATATGTGAGTTTATGTTCGTATGTGCATGCAAACAAGAGTGCAAGAATATACACGAACAAATCTGTTCAAACTGCAGTGTGGAATTCTTTCCTTATTTTATAACTTTCTGTATTATTTGTTTTTTTTTTTTTCTGCAAGTATATATTTCCTTTTTACTCAAAAAAATGTATCCAACTTTTGTTTAATCAGTCATCACTCATAAATCACTAAGATATAATGAAAACTGGTATTTACTAGGTGGATTTTTAATTTAGACTATTGGCAATAAAGTCCTTCTGTTTTTATAGTTAGGATGTTGGAAAGAATCAGATATTTTAAAGATGATGAAACCAAAGGCATCAGTTCTGATTTTCAAACTTTTGAGTTTTTTTGCAGTGAAAACTGAAAAGTCAAATGATGTTTTATAAAGCCATAAACCAAATAAAACAGACAAGAGTGGAGCTGTTAGGGTTAAATTTCAATGAGAAGCTCTAAGCTGTTCAGCATATCCATATCCTTAGTGGCAGCTTCTTAAACATGCCTAAGAAACCTATAGGCCCGATAGAGCAGCTGAGACACTGACCTAACTCAAATCCTCTTTTTTGTTGTTGCTTGTTTTTTAGAGACAGGATCTCATTCTGTTGCCCAGGCTAGTGGCACAATCATGGCTTACTGCAGCTTTGAATTCCTGGGGCCAAGCAACCCACCCACCTCAGCATCCTGGGTAGCTAGGGCTACAGGTGCACACCACCATACCCAGCTGGTTCCCAAACCCTCATATTATATATATGGTAACTAAGGTTAAAATACACACACACTCACACACACACACACAAATAATATATAATTTTATATATTTTTATATATTAAAAATAATACCTATATATTATTAATACACACACATATATATTAAAAATAAATAAACACAGACGGAGTCTCACTATGTTGCCCAGGCTGGTCTCAAACTCCTGGGCTCATGGGATCCTCCGTTCTCGACCTCCCAAAGTGTTGGGACTACAGGTGTGAGCCACCACACTTGGCTGTCAGGTTTTTTTAACAGCAAAAAACTGAAAGCAATTTGAATGTCTATTAGTAGTGGAATGGCTGAACTGTAATGTGCCCATGTAGTGGAATACTATGTATTACATGCATTCAGTAAAAATGTAGATCTAAATCCACTATTAACCTTAACAACAACAAAAAAGATACAAGAGTATTAACACCAAAACAAGTGGGTATGTATTATACTCAATTAAAGAAAAGCATGTATCTGTAGGAAATTAATTCTGAAAAGATGTAAGGCAAAATGTTACACAGTAATCCCCAAGTATTGGGGTTAATGAAGAATTTTCTGTTTCCTTTACTCCCTAACTTTTTCTTTTTTTTTTTTTTTTCACTTTTTTAATTTTACACTAGTAAATTCAGCTTCAAACCCTGGAAATTTTTGCACTGAGCACATATCACATTTAAAACCAGGGAAAATAATCGATGTTTTCTTGTTGAGGGGGAAAATCTCTCAAATTACAAAACGACATAATGAACAATCCACAGAAGGGATACAGAAGTGATAATTTCCATAACTCAAGTTGAGTGATATAAATGGTGGGGTGGGTTATGTGAGAGAAATATACCTTGTCAAATGCAGTTTTCTGTTCAGGTGGGGGGAAAGCAGCTTTTTGTTCAGATGGTTGTGTAGGAGTTGTCTTTAACTGAGCTGTGATAGCCTGAACCTGAGCCATCACAGCATTGTCAAGGGCAGGAGACTGTGGTTTTGGAGGCTGTTGAAAAGTCTGAAGGATCTGCTGAAGCTTAAAGAATGGGAAAACCAATAAATCACAGAACAAAGTATAATCATACTATCAAAAGTTAATTTAATAAAAAAATGTCTTAAAGGTGATTCAAAGTAGCATAGGCACAGAACAAATTGGGGAAAAAATCCTTTTATGAATGGTTAAATTTGTTGTGAATGAATATACAGAGATATAATGTGCATTTCTTAAGGTTAAAAATGTATGCTGACAATGTCAATGATATGATGGTCAAAAAAAGAGAAAATACACTGAATTGTGAACAAAGTAAGCATAAGTTTTCTAGAAAAATGGAAAAATTCTCTCCGTTAAAAATAATTTTGAAATCCATCAGAAATGCTAGAATTGTGAGCAACATGAGCCACTTAGTAGTTCTAAAGTCCTCTTCAAAGAGGTACTGTCATTTCTAAGTGTGTTGTTCCCTTGTTTATCACTTCTACATTTTCCCTGTTCCTCCTACATTACTTCTCTTGTGAAGGCTTTTCTAGTTGAAAAGCAGACGTATTTTCTCCTTTCAATGTGCTTATTAATGAAGAATAGAAAACAAGAAGTGACAACAGTACCTAGTCCTGCAAACAATTTCACTTTTGAGTAGACAGTTTACCTGTTGGCCTTGAGTTGTCTGAAACAGCTGAGCCACAGCAGCAAAAGCATCAGAGCTGGGCAACTGTGGTACAGCTGGGACGGAGTTTGGAGTGGCTTGTGTGGGAGGTTCAGAAGAAACTTTTACTGGAGGTGGAGGTGAGCCTAAAAAAGAAAAGGGCATTAAGGCCTAAAAAAAAAGTTAACCTACAAGTTTTCCTAATTAAGCTTCTTTGCTAAAATAACATTTTATCCAATTTAACAAAGTATAAAATATAGAGATTGTGGCACTAGAGTTTATACTGTAACAACTACCAGAAGAGCAGACCTTTATTATAAATAGGAATTATGGAAAGAAAATCATACCTTCCAAGATGTAAACTCAAGTTTCCTTCTTATAGAAAAATTCCTTCAATACACATAAACTCTGACTGTTTCATGTGCAAAAAATCATACCATTGTGTGAGCTCACAGATACATCTGACCATACCTTCATTATTGGTAACATTTTCTGCTACTGGGGCTGCATTACTGGTTCCCGCTGCCATGTCCAAAAGAGGTTGAATAATTTCAATTTTGAACACTCCATTTTTTTGCCAAAGGTTCAGCACACGAACTATTTTACTCTGTTACGCATGAGAAACACAAATATACAATAAATATTTGCATAAATAACCGATTATACTCTTACAAAAAAAAGAGAGGAAAACTCCCTAGGCTAATATTTCCATACTATGTGTGTTTCATAAACAAGGAAAAAAAAAAATCAGAATTACAACCTGGTTAAACTAATTAGTCTTTCTTCAGTGGTATCATCTAGAGTAAGGAACAGAGATGGACTATAGACCCAGACAATAAAAAGAAATTTATTATTTGACATTTTCATTTTATTTTACTTATGGTTACAAATAAACTATCACTGACCCCCCAAAAAAAAGCTATCTTGAAGTAAATGAAGGAGAATTTCTTCAGAGTAATTATAACAGCTAAAATATTTAAGCAACTGGCCTGTAGTCAAAACTTAAATTATGTGGCCAAGCAAATATGAAGATCCAGAGAATATATGTTATTCATGGGCACAACTTTTATCTTTACTCAAGGAATCATCTTGGTTTTGGGTGTATTTTTCCCACAAGAGCATTCTTCCAAGAATATAAAAACAGCACCTATGACACTGAAATTTATATGCTGTTTATTGTAAATGTCTCCGTTCTTCATTATTCTGAGTATGTTTACTAGTATAATTCCTCCTATCTACTTATAGTCAGCTACTATATCTGTAATGTTTTTCTACTTTTATATAGTATGTTGTAAAGCCAACTGTATATATAAGGAATTAAATACTGTAGTCTGATTGCTAATGAATACCACTTAAACTTTAGTATCTCTATATGTTGGGGAAGAACATCTATTATTGGCTCTTTCTTTCTGGAATAACCACAATCAGATGATCGCTGTCTTTTCCTACTGCACAATTTCTTCCTTACTCAACTACACAAGCACATCTTTCCAACGATATCTTCTTTAAAGATGATGCGCCTTTCATATTATTTTTTAAAAATTTTACTTTACTGTGATAAGAACACTTAACATGAGATCTACTCACTTAGCCAATTTTTAAGTGTACAATACAGAATTGTTAACTATAGGTACAAGGTTGTTCAGCAGATCTCTACAACCTATTCATCTTGCTTAACTGAAATGTCATACCTATTGATTAGCAGCTCCTAATGTTTCCCTTACCCCTAGTCCCTGGCAACCACTATTAAACTCTTTGATTCTATAAATTTTGTTCCTGTCATATTTCAACAGTATGACTGATAATCCTGAAGAACTCATAAGAAAATAAACACGAAATGACCACTGAAGAAAAAAACTGTTTTGTTTCAAGCTCACAGACATCGCTACATGAAAATCTTATCTGGTAATATAGTAGGCTCCAAATATCTAACATACATTTAAAATAATATTTTTTAAAGAATACAAGTTTTAGTTTAAAAATTAATTATACCTTATCTTCAGATGGACAAAGATATAAATATTGGAATGTGGCAGTTATGTTTTTAGAGAATCTTGGCCCAAAAACATCTTTATCAGTTCCAAACTGATGACGAGACTGTCGCACAATTGAGTCAATTACATATAATCCCGGAACCTTGTATTCTGGTTTACACTGCAAGGATAAAGATGTAAGATCAGTACAGAAAAAGCAAAGTCACAATCTGACACCCATTATTTTCACATTTATGAAACTTTTATATATCCATCCAATGATTGCTTTTGTTTAAAAACTACTTGAATGTTTCAGCTCTCTAAATGGCTAACTTGTCAAATTTCCCATGTCTATAATGGAACTACCATTCTCTTGATACTACTGACCCCCAAGATTTTACTCTTCTTTGATTTCTCTACTTCCCTACACCCAATGTCCCAAAATCGACATTACTTTACCAATCCTTAAGCCAGTTCCATATAAATTCACTTATTATGATAGTCTCTACAATTCACCCTGCTCAAAAAGGTAATTTTTATCTTTCAAAATTAACAAAACATTTTTTAACATATCAATTTTAATTCTATTACAGTACCAAATAAAAATTAAAAACAAGAAGTAGTTTTTGGCTAACCGAACTGACAACAGCAGAGAAAAGCAGAGAAACAGACACCTATATATATTTCTGGTGGTAGTGGAAACAGGTATAACCCTTTATAGAAGACAATTTAGCAATAAAAGCAAAGTCTTATTTAATCCACCAATTCTACATCTAGGAATTTATGCAAAAAAAAAAAAAATTAGGTCTAACAACTCAGAAAATGGCTGTGTGCATCACTGTAACAACCGCAGAGGAGTATTTTGCAACTGTTTACGATAAACTCAGTGGGAAAAGCAGCCTAACAACCAGTATTATGTCCATTTTTACTTTTATAAATGTACATGTACATAAAAAATAAATCCAAATGTATTAATAAATATTGCAGTTAATTTGTTGACAGTGCCTATAGGTAATTTTTTCCATTTTATTTATTTGTACTTTGATGTACTACTATGCAAAGCGTTTACTAACCATCTTTTTTGCCTGTTGGAACTTTAACTTTTATACCTAAGCCAGTATACAAGGGCCATGGATTAGAGACATTTTTATAAACACTGATTAGTAGGTACTACATGTCACAGCTCCAGGTCAGGGGTTAAGACAAAGATGTCTCAGTCTCTGTTTTCTATTTTCTACTGAGACAGATGTGTGCCAATCACACAGTTATAAAACAACAGACAGCTGAACTGAAAATAATTTTATTCTGATGGGAAAAGGGAAAAATTGGGAAAATTTGACAAAGTAATTTCATTTGAAATACTCAAAGGTGAGTTAAACACCTAAATGTCAACAGCAGTCAGGGCAAGGGGGTAGAGTAAGCACTTCAGGTTTAGGGAAGGGTCATAACCAACATATAAGAAACTGCTGTGAGTTGAGTGCTAAGTTCACAGTAAGTTAAGTACCAATTAATGGTACTGCTAAAAATGTGTTTTTATAAACTTCTAGTGATTAAAAAGAACCTCTAGTGACTAAATTTTTATGAAGTGGTTTAGAAACAAGCATTGAGATTAAAATTTACAAAGTAAATTACAAATCATATTGTAACTAAAATGAGGTTATAATGAGAGATAGTTACCTTTTTGATGAACTTTTCTACTATTTGAACTACATGCTTATAAAGCTGAAAAGAATTAAGAGAAAATTACTGTTCAGTTTACTTATTTCTACATTTCCTATAATTAGAAAATTCTTAAAACTCTGAAATCTATACAATCTAAATATTATCAATACTGAATGAACCATGAGAAATACATAATAAAAAATTTAATATTAAAAAACTCAGAGAAAAATAAACTAAAAACAGAAAACTACAAAAATTCCCCAAACAGAAGATCCCTTTTCTTAAATTTTAAATCAATAAACCTTCATGAAGCAGAATATTTGGCAACCTTATGGGACAAAACCAATGGATTAGAGCTAAACAATGTAGTTTCTAAAATAAGTCACATTTTAAAGTGTGATTTTGGGTAAGACATTTAACTTCATGGAGCTTGAATTTTTTCTCTTTAAATAAAAATGAAACTAAATAGTTGGTTTATGATAAGGAATAAATGAAAATTTAAAAAACTGCTTTGAGGCTGGGCGTGGTGGCGCACACCTGTAATCTCAGCTACTCAGGTGGCTCAGGCATGAGAATCACTTGAACCCGGGAGGGTGAGGTTGCAGTGAGCTGAGATCGCACCACTGCATTCCAGCCTGGGTGGCGCAGTGAGACTCTATCCCCCTACCCCCACCAAAAAACCACACTGCTTTGAAACAATATGTTACAATGCAAATGCACGCTTATCATGTACCTTCAGCAAAGGCTGGTTAGGGCTCTTTGATTTAGGCCTGAACTAATTCACAAGTTGACTTCTCATGTTTAAAAGTAATAAATATTTTCAAAATTTCAAAAAGATTTCTCAAATTGCTTTATTTTATCATTACCTTAATAGCTTTAATAGCAGCTTTAGTGATGAGAATCATCTTGGCTCTAGAGATGGGAGGTTTCATATCCATAAGCGAAAAGAGCTTAAAAGACAAAAAACAAACAAAAAGTAAAGTTTAACTATTTGGCTAGTAAATAAGCACCTTTCCTACATATCTACATCACCACTTGGAAAATACAAACGGGGCCGGGGTGGTGAGGGGGGTCTTAGCAGCTAGGGCAGCAGGAAGAGCTTTGGTGGCCAGGCACCCAGCACACACCCTCCCCACTGCCGTGATACCCAAGAAGAAGGTTAGCTCTGCCAAAGGGGTGGCGAAGGGGTAGTGAAATGAAGGAAGAGCCCAAGAGGCAATCGGCATGGCTGTCAGCTAAACCTGCTCCTGCAAAAGTGGAAATGAGGCTGAAAAAAGGCAGCAGAAGTATAAATCCTTAGACAAAGATGTGCAAACAAAAGGGAAAGGGAGGGGGAGCAAAGAGAAAACAGACTCAAGTGACTAACCAAGAAACTAAAGATTTACCTGCAGAAAACGGAGAAACTAAAACCAATGAGAGTCCAGCCTCTGATGAAGCCAGAGAAAGAAGCCAAGTCTACTCAGTACATACCATGTCTTATCAGTGGTCTCTGTCTCCCCTCTCTTCAATCCAGAGGAGTATTTTTATCAACTATTTTGTAAATGCAAGATTTTAGTAGGTCTAGAAACATTTTTAAGGAGGGAATCCCAGTTCATCCCATTTTTTATGTATAAATGCTTTTTTTTAAGAGGTAAAATCATTCACTGGTTGTTTACTTTATTTTTTGGTACAACCAGAACAGAGTGTGGGATGTTGTATTATGGGAGGCTTTGACTGTCTTGGGTGTCAGCTTAACATTCCATAGATGGGGGGGTTACTTTTTATATCCTATAATGTCTCTACTAAATATACAAATATTAGCCAGCCATGGTGGCGCACACCTGTAATCCCAGCTACTCAGGAGGCTGAGGCATGAGAACTGCTTGAACCCAGGAGGTGGAGGTTGCAGTGAGCCAAGACTGCATCACTGCACTCCAGCCTGGGCAACAGAGCAAGACTTTGTTTCCAAAAAACACAAACAAAAGGGGAAAACCAAATTTAACAAATCTCACAACAGTAAATCTACAGCCATCAGGTGCTTCCATGAGACTTAACCACATACTTCCCCCAAAGGGTTAAATCCAACCAAAACATAGAGTCCATAGAGGGTTATAAAGATAAAATCCTGACATTAAGAAACATATCTACCTTCTTAAATTATTGTTTTTGTTTGGTTTAACCATAAGCATACACTTACCTGGGACTTCCAAAAGATATTGTGAAGTAAGTTTCAGAGATCCCAACATTATGAAACTCATATGAATCACATTTCCATTCTTTCAATTTATGTCAATATTCCAAATATGGAGCCCTAGGGTATGAACCTTTACTAGACCACTAGCTAAGAGGCTAGACTAAAATATGAGTGTTTTCTCAGAGTAAACAGCCCCACCTAGCAGTGTATCCTAAAAATTTAGACAATTTTCACATCTTTTCAAAACTACAGACATCAGTAACAATTTTAGAAAAGGCATGGAATGCCAAATATAATCAATAAAAAACCAGATAACTACTTAAGCAGAAAATATAATTTTTCCATAAGATACAGAAAACAGAGAAAACACTAAGATATTAACACAGGATTTCATTTTAATAAAAGGATTCTCTAAATACGGCTGCAATTCTTCATTGTATTACTTCATTTACCAATGTAATAAAAAAATTATCTTTGAGAATAAAACGCTCACTAACTGAAAGGCAATTAGAAAAGAAACAGTAAGGCCAGGCGCGGTGGCTCATGCCTGTAATCCCAGCACTTTGGGAGGCCTAGGTGGGCGGTTCACCTGAGGTCAGGAGTTCGAGACCAGCCTGGCCAACGTGGCGAAACCTCATCTCTACTATAAATACAAAATGGTGGCGGGCACCTGTAGTCCCAGCTACTTGGGAGGCTGAGGCAGGAGAATCGCTTGAACCCAGGAGGCGGACAGAGGTTGCAGTAAGCCAAGATCGCGCCACTGCACGCCAGGCCAGGCGACAGAGCGAGACTCTGTCTTTAAAAAAAAAAAAGAAAAGAAAAGAAAAGAAAAAGAAATAACAAATCCTTAAAATTATACAAACCAGTAAGAAACAATTTAACATATTTCAACTTAAACACAAATTCTAAAAATATCAACACTGTATGATTTATAAATATGTAGCATACATTTATAAAAGGTATATTCTGTTATAAAATCTATTAAGACAGTTGCTTATTATTGTTCTATTTTCTATACCTTAACACAGTGAAAGGGGATGCAAAAACAAAAACAAAAACCCATAGGTCTTAATGAACACACCCACACACATTTAATTCTTGGGTTGTCTCCACAACTCTTCAATGATTTATGCAAAAATCCTGAAGAAACTAGAAACCCTCCCTTCCTTGTTCTCAACCTCCTGAGTCAAGACCACTTCTTGATGTGATTCATGCCAAACACTTAAGACACTGCTATATTTTGGATAGATTAAATCTTTAATAATAAAGTAGAAGCAATAAGGGGCCTTTCCACGTAGAAAGTCAAGAGGGTGAGGATGGCCAGGAGCCAAGAAAGGGAATCTAAATGTATATCCAAGGCAGTCTGGAACTTTCATGCAGGTACAAGAAACTTATGTCAAAGTAGCCACAAGATTATTTCATAGGAGATGAACAAATGTGACGCCCTGTTTACTGCTAAAAATCAAAGCTTTGTGTGAAATCTCTAATTTATGGAGAAGCTAGGTAAGAAAGCCTTCACCTGTCTGTTCTTTTCCTGATCCCTTCTCCTCATTTCCTGAAATGTAGAGACTGAGGCCCACTGGGCACTGGTATCCCCATCACTGTGGGGGTGGGGGGGAGCGTCTATTTTGATGGTTGATTTTGCTGAACCAGGTACTTCCTTTCCCATTTTCTAATGATTTTGTAACATACAAACTGACTCTTTTCCCTTCCCTTCTCCTTCCCCTGGGAAAATACAACGAATAAATACTTACTGGTACTGAAACTGTCAAAAAAAAAAAAAAGAAAGAAAGAAAGAAAGAAATGAGCAACAGTAAGAACTACTTCTCTGGTCATTAAAAGCTTAGAGTAAATTTTAAGGAAACCTAAGCCAGAGCTAATATTCATCTAATGCCCCCAAAAAGCACTTCTTTATCATTTCAGCAGTAAGCAACTCACTAAATTAACAGCCAAATGAACATACAAGACAGACTAGTGTAGCTTTTAAGGAAACACTCTATAGTCTCTATTTAAAAAATTAAAAGTAAAGACTATACCACCTAACAGTATAACCATCATTCAGACAAAAGACCAGCAAGAGAACAGTCAGGTACCATAATCTGAGACAGCTGCAGAGTATTACTACATTCCATAAAAATATTATTTGGGAAGAGAAGAGGTAACCAACATTTGAGTGCTTTACCAGGCAGCAATGAGTTTAAGTGATATGTTGTATTTTTTACTTAATCATGTTAACTAAGGCAGATCTGTTACACCTGTTTTGAGATGATACTTAAAAAAAAAAAAAAAGGGTCATATCTGTTTTAGATGATGCCTAGGCCATGATCTGAACTAATATTTGTTGATTCTAAAGTTCACACTCCCTAACAACATACCCATACCCATACCTGATACAATGCTGCATACAGACTAAATTTGTGCAGAGACCATTAACTATGAAAAGGAATATAGGGGGAAAAAAAAAATCCAGGAAGGCATCTGTGCCTGCCTGTATATTGTCTGGATTCAGGGATAACAATGAAACATACTGAATTTAATTTGGGATGCCTACTAAATATCTAGGCAGAGAAAGAAATATGGATCTTGAATGTGTAAGAGATCCAGGCTAGAAATGGAAAGGTTATAGAACTATGAGGATGGATTAGAAGGAGCCTGGAGTAAGAAGGCCACCAAGAACACATACACCAGGCTGGTGCGGTGGCTCACACCTGTAATCCCAGCACTTTGGGAGGCCAAGGCGGGCAGATCACCTGAGGTCAGGAGTTCGAGACCGGCCTGGCCAACATGGTGAAACCCTGTCTCTACTAAAAATACAAAAATTAACTGGGTGTGGTGGCATGTGCCTGTAGTCCCAGCTACTTGGGAGGCTGAGGCATGAGAATCTCTTGAACTCAGGAGGCGAAGGTTGCAGTGAGCCGAGATGGTGCCACTACACTCCAGCCTGGGATACAGACCGAGACTCCGTCTCCAAAAACAAAAAACAAACAAACAAAAAAACCACAAAACAGAAGAACAACATACATACCAAAAATTTCAATGTAGCAGAGAAAAAACCTGCAAAAATGAGCACCAGGACAAAGTAGAATCCCAGAAATTAGAGACATCTGGCATAGCCAAATGCTACAAGAGGTTAATCAGGATGCAAAACAAATCTTGTTTATTTAGTTTGGCAATTAGGTGAATGCAAGTGACATCAGTTTTTGAAAGTGATTCCAAATTCCAACTGGTTAAGGAATGAGTGGCAGGCAAGGAAACAGAAATGCATTTTTGGCTCATTTTTCATTAATTCAACAAATATCTGAGAGCTTAGTAAGTGGCAAGCTGAGTGTTTCGTATATAAAAAGGAGACAGGACCATGTTTCAAAGCTTTTTTATAAATGACCACCCTTACTTATATCTTATTTGTTAGCATTATAAAGTTTCCATCACATCACTTTCTTTCTTTTTTTAAACTCCTGAGTTCAAGTGATCCTCCCATCTCAGCTTCCCCAGCAGCTGGAACTATAGGCATGTGCCACCCCACCAGAGAAGTTTCTTTTGGGATGACTTTTATTCTCCTTTACCAACATTTTTCTTAAAATTTCAAGCTGTGCATTTGCATTTGATATAATTTACGAAGAAAAACACTACAGGGAAATACAGATTTTTCAAAATTGGAGGTTTGCAAAATCACCTTTTAACAGTCAATGAATGCTGTTAATATTTTATTGACTTATTTAATGCACAAATTCACCAAACGGTCTCTACCTTTTGCAAGACAAAAAAGTTCCCTGATACCTACAGCAATGCCTTCACTGAACAGATACAGAAATCCAGAAATTACGCTGATACTTTGACATAGAGGATATGAATTGATATACTTTCCTGGTAAGCATGTACATTGACACTGTCCATTTGGACAGAAATAGTAACAACCTTTATGGTGAGGCAGATGTTATCATTCCATTTTACAGATGATAGCACTGAGGCTCAACAATCTGCTCAGTTATAAAGTTAATTAAGTGGTAAAATTCAATCTGTAATCAACCATTTCCCAAAACTCTAATTCTTTTAACTAGTACCTAACAATAACAAAATTATTTCAAATATATTAGCCCAGAAGAATAGTGTACAGATAGTAAAGATAAAAAGGACTGTACAGCTATGTTAAGTGGGGAAAAATTGCAATGTGGACCCAAACTAGAAAGTAATATACTAATATATAATTGTTATGAGGAGTTGAACCCAAGAATTTTTTAAAGAAAAAAATTAAGTGGCACAGAGGTATAAAGTGATGTGCCTACCCAAGCAACAAGTTAGAGGCGATATAAATTACTAAAATAGGGTCAATTTTTTGATGCTTTAAATGACCCTACAATACTGAATGTGGTGACTTAGGAAGAAAGTGTCAGCATGATTTATTTAGATGATCAAAATACTGATCAAATTTCAATTTCTCAAGACTAAAGGTCAATACACTGTTTTTATGTTTTAGAACTCAATTTTACCTTAGGGCATGAGGGAAAGCTTTAAATAGCCAGCATGTTATACATTCAGAAATTCTTATTTCTGAATATTGACTCATCCAAATATTTCCAGGTAAGACATGGGCCCTCTACTGTTGCCAGTTCTGCTGAGTTTGATTCTCCCATTTGTTTGTTGCTTTTTTTTTTTTTTTGAGACAGTCTCACTTTGTCTCCCATGCTGGAGTGCAGTGGTGGGATCTTGGCTCACTGCAACCTCTGCCTCCCGGTTTCAAGCGATTCTCATGCCTCAGCCTCCTGAGTAGCTGGGATTACAGACGTGCACCACCACACCCAGCAAATTTTTGCATTTTTAGTAGAGATGGGGTTTTGCCATGTTGCCCAGGATGGTCTTTAAATCCTGGCCTTGTGTGATCTGCCCACCTCAGCCTCCCAAAGCGCTGGCATTACAGGCGAGAGCCACCATGTCTGGCCTGATTCTCCCTTTTTTTTTTTTTTTTTTGAGACAAAGCCTTGCTATTGTCCCCCAGGCTGGAGTGCAATGGCGCGATCTCGGCTCACTGCAACCTCCGCCTCCCCGGTTTAAGTGACTCTCCTGCCTCAGCCTCCCGAGTAGCTGGGATTACAGGCGCCTGCCACCATGCCTGGCTAATGTTTGTATTTTTAGTAGAGACGGGGGTTTCACCATGTTGGTCAGGCTGGTCTCAAACTCCTGACCTCAGTTGATCCACCCACCTCGGCCTCCCAAAGTGCTGGGATTACAGGCGTGAGCCACTGTGCCTGGCCTGATTCTCCCATTTTTAAAATAAACACTGATGGCCTTCTTTATAAAACTGTTAATAGCATGAAATGAAAGCATCTAAAATAATCAGTGCTTAATAAATGTCTTGGTCTCTAACTCCTACCCCCTCTCACATACACCAATCCCCGACTTTTGTTTCTCTTAATTAAAAATCAATTATACTGCTCATTGCTATATCTGTTTTATTTTCCATTTATGCATGGTATATTTTTCTCACTCTAAAACAAAATGAACTTGTTAGTTGTAAATGATTTATTACTGAGTCCTTACTTGTGTCTAAAGCAAAGTTGCAATTTATTAATCTTAAATAAAAGAGTTAATTGTCATGGTCACCAATATTGTTTGAGGAATCTCTCAAGAGAAGTATATAATGTTGTGGTGATCTAAGATTTTGATTGATTTTCCACAATAATTTGTTAGAATAACGGTAAGTGCACAGGCTCAATAATAACTGCCCGAGAAATCTTGGCTCTACCACTTGCTACCTATGAGAATTCCTCCATCTGTAAAATGGGGATAACAGTAGTCCCTCCTTATTTAGTTAAGTCTAAGAATTAAATACAAACAATACATACAAAAGCACTTAGAGCAACACCTAGCACAGAGTAAATACACAATAGATATTAATGAGTACTACACGTAATTCTTTTGAGAAAAAGAGAGAATCCTGGAGTTAATCCAGAGCAGTGTTTTTCAAACTGTGGGTTGAGATCCAGGAATGAATTACATAATTCCTACTGTGTGTACTGTGGTCAAAAATATGAAGGACAACAGCCCAGGGAAAAATTATTTTGTTTTTAGAAATGAGGAAAATAAGGCCCAAAATAACTGCTAGTCACCTTTCAATAATGTGTAGGTTCCTTCAAACCATTAATAAATTTCTCATGGGCAAACCGGAGCGGGGGTGGGGTGGGGGGGGCAGGGAAGAAGCACTGCCATGTCAGAAAAAAACTTCATGTTTTTCAATCAAGTTTAGATACACATAAGTATTATACACAGAGTAGACAACAGATTCAAAGATAATTCAGTTACTTATGACCAACATCCAATTTCAGTCAACAAACCTCAGGAAAAAAGCTATTAGCTTTATATATCAAGTCTAAAAGCCACAAAATTTAATATAATTCCAACAAAATCTACTAGTGAGAAAAACCAGAAATTGTGGTCTTCTATAGAGAGTGAGAAAGATTTGGTTTTGAATCTGGGTCTGGCCATGCAGATGACTCTGGGCAAATTAATTTCTCTAAGCCATAATGTCCTCATTTGTAAAAAGGATATACTGATATCTGCTTGATAGGTATCAGTTTCAGTTAGAACTAAATGAGTTTTTGTATATGGAATGACTCGTACTATGTCACCCCGCAGAGGACAAGTATTCAATAAACACCGTTAGGTGCAGAGCTCCCCCAACATTATAGCCTGTATTCACAATTAATGTTATCTGTGAATGAATAAAAAGTGTCAAAGCAGCCAGAGAAAACCATGAAATCCTCCTGCATAAAAATAACAACAGCCCCTCCAAATACAAGACTTCTTTAGAAGGGATAAGCATAGTGGAAAAGAATGCTACTTGTCAGCAGTAGATATGAGCTTGGCTCTTTGCTTTGTCACTAGCAGAATGACTATGAAAACGTCTAAATATGACCACTGCCCTGCTGCATGACATATAGAAGCCTGAGACACAAAATCCTCTAAAAATTATGAAGAATGATTCATCCTGATCCCTCATACCAGTAAAGAGTTTCAAGTGAAGATAAAGAAGAACGAGGGTATCTGGCCTGTGATACCTGCAGAATTCACAATGTTTAGGGATTAGTCAAAGTAACATGGGTACTCTGCTATTTACCAGTGGCATAAACCTTAACAAGTTTAGTCAACCTTTCTAAACTCCAAGGATTTTTAAAATCTGAAAAACAGGAATTAATGGGCTCACCTCACCACATTGTTAGGATTAAATAGGATAATGTATGTAAATCTCTTAGCCCAGTACCTAACACATAAGTGCTGAGTAAATGGAGCAAAACAATGTGAAGATAACTAGTATTTCCTCTCTGTTCTTTAACTATTAGCCAAATGATAAGGTTTCCAGATGATCCTGGTTAATTCCCTTTAAGTATGGTATCCTCAAATGGACAGGGTCCGGACGTAGTCCTGCACTGTGAATTGGCTTTTGTATTAGTTTCCTATTTCTGTAGTAAGAAATTACCACAAATTTACTGGCTTAAAGCAACACAAATTACACTTTTGAGGTCAGAATCTCACTAGCATCAGCAAGGCGACATTCCTTGTAAAGGCTCTAGGGAAGAATCTATTTCTTGTCTAATCTTGCTTCTACAGGGTGCCTACATTCTTTTGGCTCATGGCCTCTTCTTCCATCTTCAAAGCCAGCAGTATAGCATCTTCTCCTTCTATCTCTTCTGTTGTTTTATTTCCTTCTTTGACTCCTACCTCTCTAGTATAAGGACCCTTATGATTACACCGGGCCCACCCAGATAATCCAGGATAATTAACCCGTCTCAACATTCTTAACCTTATTCACATCCCCAGTCTCTTTTGCCTTGCAAGGTAATATATTTACAGGTTTTAGAATTAGATTATGAACATCTTTGGAGAAGGGGGCATTATTTATTACCTAAAAAAAATAGGGCTTAATTCATTAACTCCAATTTGTAATCATCTGAAATCTTCAGGCTGCTTTCACCAGAATTCCCATCAAAACTAGATCTTCACATTGACTTTGTGTTGGTTTCTAACAGACCTTTCAACCTATTTAGCAAGTCTAGAAGTGATTTTCTGCTATTTGATGTAGCTCCAGCTATTCCAATCAGCTTGTAAATTTCATGAACTCATTTGGTATGCTTTCCTCCAAGTCAATGTTTTCTAAAAATTAAAATAGGACCTATTTGAAAGATGACCTTAACTGATATTCCTTGGGTATTTATAACCAGTCAGCTAAAATCCACTTAGCAATACTGTCATCCTGCCCATATTTTTCTAATTCATTCATAATGCAATCATATACAATACCTTTCTGAAATATTTGGTATATAGTTTTCACTAGACATAACATACTTTACAAATGGTAGTCTGTTATAAATTGTTAGTGAATCTGTTCTGGCTCTTAGTGACTAGCAATTTCTAAAATTAATAAAAACTGGCAGACAAAAGTAAACTGGCCCAGAGTCTACAATTTCTAAAGTATGCTTTTTCCTACTTTTTGAAATAAAGTTGCCGAGGCAATAAGAATTAGAAGACTATATACTAATCTAAGCCATCTTTTTAAAACTTAAATCTCTCAAGCAATATTTCTTTCTGAATCTTTCTCAATGGGATATTTATCCCTTTCTTTTCGAAACCTAAACTTTAAAAAATGTATTTTCCTAAATTTACTTTGTAACGGATTACACTGATTATTTCCAGTATTCCTTCCTTTGGTAGTATGACCTCCAAGATGACAAAGCAATTTTCCCTTAAGCTCCTATTACTATGTGAAGTTGAATTTAAAGAAAAAATAGAAATGTTTCCTAAAAGAAATACATATATACTCACAATGACAGGCTAGTATTCAAATCTCCTTCCTGTTAGATGCAAATATCAAAGCATTTAGTTCTACAGTCTTTCCTCCTCTTTCATACTCAACTTAATATATCAAAGACACTGTCTTAAACCAAATAGTTAAATCCAACACAACTTTTATGTTTATTAGCAACACATAGACACTGTATAACAAAGCACACGCTAAATTTCTTAACAAAAGATAATTTTAAACAAGTTTTAAAATCATCTTTCCTGTAAAGATGCTTTATCCATCTAATTTAAACCTGAAGACAACTCCATAAAACACTACTGCTAGAACAACTAGGTAAGGGATCATGTACAGTCCTTTTCTTAACCTGGTATTTCATCTTATGCCTTCAATATATAATTTACTAAATGTGTGTCTGGGTTAATACTTTTTTAATATCAGGTAATATAATGGGGCGAGGAAAGAAAGCCAATCACATGTTAAACAAGTACCACTATGTCACTTTACCTGAAAGCAGAATACTGTGTATGAGTTAATCAATGGTACATACACACAGTAAGAGGTACAATGAAACTGAAAAATGTACAGAAGCAATTCATTTAACAAACAAAATCCCAATATCTAATTAACAAACACAGGAAAAAGTGTTCAACCATACCAATCAATAATCAAAGTACAAATTAATACAAGGAGATAAAATTCTTACATTATCCAACGGACATGCATGTGGACTAGCATAAAGCAAAAAGAGTACTGGGCTGGTGAGATCTAATGGACGAGTTTTAATTCCGAAGAGAAATTTAAAACTATAAAACAAGAACTAAAAAATGTCCATACCTTTTGAACCAGTAATTCTACTTCTAGAAATTTATCTAAGGCAATTATTAGATATTCTCAAATTTTCCACAATAATTATTGAGAAAATGACAGAGAATTTCATGCTATTAAAAAGATCTGGTAACTACATAAAAAATTCCAAACACAAGTGGAGGAGAAAAAAAGACAAAGGAAATACTCTAAAATGCTAATGGTGTTTGATGGGATTGTTTTATCTACTAATTCAAATTTATCTAACTTGCATTAATTTTTAAATGAAAACAATTAAATTCATGGATTTAAAAATGAACTTTAATTTGTATCTGTCTGAGATACATCTTTGTTCAACTTTTGATTATAAATATAACTAAGTGATAAAGAAATATGGTTATACAGAATCACCATTATCACATAACTTGTCCACAGAGTAAATCTTGTCTTTGAAGCTCAGTTACTATGTTTAAATCAGTAACTTGCAAATCTTTAATAAAGCCTTTCAAAATTAGTAAATTTTTAAATTAAAAAATTAAATTAAAAACACCCCTCCCCCCACAAATCCTTACAATAACTGAAGCCCTGTGGATAAAATGAACAACATACACTGTGCAAAAAAAAAAAAATTTTTGGGAAACTGCTGCCATATATATATATATATACACACACACACACACACACACACACACATATACACATATATACACATATATACACATATATACACACACACACACACACACACACACACACACACACACACACATATATATTTTTTTGAGATGGAGTTTCACTCTCATTGCCCAGGCTGGAGTGCAATGGCGCGATCTCGGCTCACCACAACCTCCGCCTCCCAGGTTCAAGTGATTCTCCTGCCTCAGCCTCCCAAGTAGCTGGGATTACAGGCATGTGCCACCACACCTGGCTAATTTTTTTGTATTTTTAGTAGAGATGGGGTTTCTCCATGTTAGTCAGGCTGGTCTTGAACTCCTGACCTCAGTTGCTCTGCCCACCTTGGCCTCCCAAAGTGCTGGGATTACAGGCGTGAGGCACTGTGCCAGGCCTATATTTTTTTCAACATCTCTTCATTAAAGAAAGTGTCCCTTTAATTATTGATATACAGCTTACTTCCATATAAATTCCACTTGCTTGTCACAGACTCAAACCTTTTGAAACCTAAACATTTAACCACTTTTCCACTTGCTTAGAGGAAGGTATGAAAACAAGATAAATCTGGCATTGTCAATATGAAATACTCCTAAGGTAGAGAAAATTTACAAAGCTTTTTCTTTTTGGTACAGATGGGATTTTGCCATGTTAGCCAGGATGGTTTCGAACTCCTGGTCTCAAGGGATTTGCCAGTCTCAGCCTCCCAAAGTACTGGGATTACAGGCGTGAGCCACCTCATCCCACCCCGAAAAGCTTTTTAAAACAAATAGGGGAAAGATGCTCTACCATTTTCCTGCTCCGACTGAGCAGAGTCTTGTTTGAATGTAAACATTACAAAACAGTTCCATCTACTTCTGTACAAAATTTACTCTTCAGATTTCAAGAGATTCCAAACCAGGTACTTTCATAAGCAACAAAACCGCACATAATATTCAAATTCAAAATTTTCATACTTACTTCTTCCTAAATTTCTTTACTATACCATATTCTCCTCCACAATCTTGTTGACTTTTCTTCTAGTTCCGGAATTTAAAGAAATGTTTTACCAAATAAACACATGGAATTGCTAAATTACATTTAATAATAAATATAACACCATTTTTAGGTTAACTACTTATATTTCTATGTGCAGTAAGAACATTAAGAAAACAGAATATAGGTGGGGCACGGTGGCTCATGCCCGTAATCCCAGCACTTCGGGAGGCCGAGGTAGACAGATCGCCTGAGGTCAGGAGTTTGAGACCAGCCTGATCAACATGGAGAAACCCCATCTCTACTAAACATACAAAATTAGCCGGGCGTGGTGGCACATGCCTGTAATCCCAGCTACTCAAGAGGCTGAGCCAGGAGAATCACTTGAACCCTAGAGGTGGAGATTGCGGTCAGCCAAGATCACGCCATCGCACTCTAGCCTGGGCAACAAGAACGAAACTCTGTCCCAAAAAAAAACAAAAAACAAAAAACAAAAAAAACACAACAGAATATAATACACAATGGTTTAAACTTCATCTGCATTATTTTTCACTCTTTAATTGTACCATCGAGCCCTTATTCTATTACCATTTACTCCGGGCAGAACTAATTTTCTAAGTATTAATAGTTAATTTCTGAAAACTTACTCTATAAAGCATGTCCTAATGTATTATTATTCTTCTTTTTTTTTGTTTTTTTGAGATGGAGCTTCACGCTTGTTGCCCAGGCTGGAATGCAATGGTGTGATCTCAGCGCACCACAACCTCCGCCTCCTGGGTCTAAGCGAGTCTCCTGCCTCAGCCTCCCGAGTAGCTGGGATTACAGGCATGTGCCACCATGCCCGGCTAATTTTGTATTTTTAGTAGAGACAGGGTTTCTCCATGTTGGTCAGGCTGGTCTCGAACTCCTGACCTCAGGTGATCTGCCTGCCTTGGCCTCCCAAAGTGCTGGGATTACAGGCGTGAGCCACCGCGCCTGGCCATGTATTCTTCATTTTACACTACCTCCCCTACAATTTCCAAGGGTCTAGCCTTCACTCAAACTTTCCACTTTTAGAATCAAGGCTGTATACCTCACCAGGGTTTTTAACCCTATTGGTTCCAGCTTATCACATTAGGTCATTTTCCAAATGTACTTCCCAAATCAATCCACAACTTCTTCCTTTTCACTTGCTTGAAAGACAGGCCAGGAGGTGATTTTAGGAAATGCCAAATGTTTTATCCATGCCAGTGCTCTCCTTTAGCAGTACAGGTGCCATACCTCAGCATCACATTTACTGTGCCTCACTAATGAACTTCTGGTCTCCCTCCCCTCACAGTTGGCTATTAAAACATTTTTGTGAATTAAACACTTCTTCCTAGACATCAATACAAGAAATAAAAATTGATTCCAGGACATAAAATCATTTAATTAGAAAACAATATTAATGCTAGCATTTATAAAATCCTTAATGAGTTAAAATTTTTAATGGAGTATAAACTGGTAAAAAGAATAGACATCTTTAGTTTTAAATGCTGATTACATTTACTGCATTACTGTGGATGGCTCAAAAACTTAACCAAACCTTGTTATTCTTAAACTGTGACAAGTCCTTCCAAAAGTACACATTATTTTGATAGTTATCACTTGCTACCATGCTTCAGACGTATAAAAGCTGTTCACTGAGTCTTCTCCCCACATAAATGGTCCATTAGATAAGGACTCACTGCTCAAAAACTTCACAGCAGCCATGTGGGGCTGTGGACTAGACTCAGATGGGCTCTTCAAAGGACTGTGTCAAATCTCAGAACTGTTACTTTTACACTGTGTGACCTCAGACCATTCGCCAAACTTCTCTAGTTTCCTTACCTTTAAAATGGAAAGAATGCAAAGACATGTACACAACACCTAACTCATTAGCCAGCACCTGGTTATTTAATGGGCAAATGCAGGATTCTTTTCTTGTCCTTCCCTTAAACTGTTCCCACTGGATTACTCCTTAAAATAGTACGTCAAAACTAAACCTATCCTTTGAACAAACTTAGGATTCGGGATCAACAAAATAATTTACAGAGCCATGCAGAGGCCGCTAGATAGTTTTCATCTTGACAGAAAATCAGATAAGGCAAGTAAACAACAAAATGGTTATGATATAACCTGACATTTCTGTGTATTTTACAACAGCTTTGTGATATAAATCACATACCATAAAAATCCATCCATTTAAAATGGACAATTCAATGGTTTTTGATATATTCAAGAGTTGTGCACCCATCAACACTTTATAGAGTATTTTCATCACCCCCAAAACAAATCCCATCCCCATTACCAGTCACTCTCCATTCCTCCTTTTGCTGTCTGCCAGCCAATAATCTACTTTCTGTCTCTACGGGTTTGCTTTATAAAATATATCCCTATATTTGTTAAAATAGATAGTGGTAAAAGACCTTCATAAAGATTTGGACTTATTTCAACTGATCCCTAAACTTGGCTGCCCTATCTAAAGTGATTTAACATTCAGCATCTTTTAATCAATGTAAACTAAGTCATGTATGGCCATTAAAGTTTAAAGACTATTATATATTTCTTAAAGGCTTTAAAACGGATATCACAGTAATTTTCGGTATTACAGGTTTCCTTTAAGCAGGGTATTATAATTCTACTTTAACTGAAAGTCAAAAGGAGGAAATATAGAGGAACACTCATGACAGAATGCATTAAGATATACTGGGCATATTGCAGAGGGAGACTTTACAGACTAGTGGATTGGTCAACTATTGCTCTTTAATGCAACTGCATACCTAGAGTGAGGCAAGAGGAGCAGTCCACCCAGGTGCAGGCAGTAAGTGGGTGAACTATCAAGACTAAATAAAACAGCAAGACTTTGATTTTGTTCTTTTATTAACATCAAGCAAGAGCAATTCTTTTTTTTTTTTTTTTTTTGAGATGGAATCTCGCTCTGTTGCCCGGGCTGGAGTGCACAGGCACAATCTCGGCTCCTCGCAACCTCCACCTCCCAGGTTCAAGTGATTCTCCTGCCTCCTGAGTAGCTGGGATTACAGGCATGAGCCACCACACCCAGCTAATTTTGTCTTTTTAGTACAGACAGGGTTTCTCAATGTTGGCCAGGCTGGTCTCAAACTTCTGACCTCAGATGATCCACCCACTTTGACCTCCCAAAGTGCTGGGATTACAGGCGTGAGCCACCACGCCTGGCCTGAGCACAGGCAATTCTAAAAAACCCAGGGATAAAATATATCGCCCCCAAAATATTTTGGCAATACTCTTTAAGTTTTAAGGGGTTGCTGTGGTTACTGCTGAGTTTTAACAACATAAAAATGTCAAATCTGCACATTTTTATTACATACCCTTTAATAAGCAATCCATCTTAATTGGAAGTTTATTAGGAAATCCCCCAGTTATACAGTCAGTTCCCAACACATGCAGATTTGATATACCTGTTCATTTGGAGAGTAAGTACAAAAAGGTTCAGGATAGCTTCAGCTCTCCTCAGGCTCAGCATGACTCCAATCCTATTGTACCTATATACATTCCTCTGTTTAAATAGTATATTCAAAATTATAGCTGTGTCCAATTTTTCTGAGATAAATTTTTTCTGGCATAAATATTTACAAACAACCAGAATCGGCCTCAAACAAATATAGAGATAAATAAAACTTTAAAAGTGAAGACCTGTGAACAAAAATTATAGAGATGCCATCACTAAGCAACAAAGTACAAGGAAGCTGTACTTCCTTGTACGTGAATATCAAAAGTGGTTATCAAATATAATAGACATTTACATTGAATTTTTAGGTGATAACCATTTCAGTAAAATTTTGACTGAGGCATTTCAAAGTCATTACACTCAAGGTCGGGTGTGGTGGCTCACGCCTGTAATCCCAGCACTTTGGGAGGCTGAGGCAGGTGGATCACGAGGTCCAAGTTCAGGACCAGCCTGGCCAACATTGAGAAACCCCGTCTCTACTAAAAATACAAAAATTAGCCGGGTGTGGTGGCACGTGCCTGTAATCCCAGCTAGTCAGGAGGCTGAGGCAAGGAAACCGCTTGAACCCAGGAGGCGGAGGTTGCAGTGAGCTGCGATTGCGCCACTGTACTCCAGCCTGGGTGACAGAGCAAGACTCCATCTAAAAAAAAAGTCATTACACTCAATGCTGAAAAAAATACATGGATAGTATTGTGATTTCTAGAATTTATTGTGAAGTATGCTTATAAATCGCTGCCAAACACAGTATGATGTTTAAAACTTCCTATTTGTGTATGTGTTGCTGTATGTACAACATTTTGTAATTAAAATTAATTAAAAGTGCTCTTAACTGTAGGTGAAAACAGATGAATAAATCTGGTTGTAACTGTCTACCGAACACAAATATGTGAAGATCAATTTTAATAGTCATTGACAAACCTGCCTAAGACTTTTAAAGATAGTGGCCAGCCTGGCCAACATGGTGAAACGCCGTCCCTACTTAAAATACAAAAATTGGCCGGGCCCGGTGGCGTGCACCTGTAATCTCAGCTACTAGGCAGGGCTGAGGCAGGAGAATTGCTTGAACCCAGGAAACGGAGGTTGCTATGTGCCAAGATCATGCCACTGCACTCCAGCCTGGGTGACAGAGCAACACTCCGTCTCAAAAAAAACAAAACAAAACAAACAAAACAAAAAACAAAACAAAAAATCCTGTAACATTTGTATTCATTATTGTGACATATCAGTATGCAGATAAGTTTTTCCACTATTTCAAAAAACATATATTAATGCAATTTAAAAGTCTGGTATGATTTATATGATGTGTGTGTGTGTGTGTGTGCGCGCGCGCGCGCGCGCACATACAGTTCAAGTTTTCTTTCTGGCCATTTCCATTACTCATTTCATGATTATTTCTGAAAATAATTTTGCTATACAAAAAGGGTGTGTTTTAAAAAAATCTGCTCTGGATGTCAAATATGCCAGCTATACCACTGCTCTCCGGTCTCTTCCAACTGGGATTATTGACCCACATGGATTTACACCAAGAATCATCAATTACCCAAACATAAATTATAACTTTCAAGAGGTATTTGGATGGCCATCCACCTTTCACTGAGCCCTGCTGTTCTCCTCTACCCCCTAGTAAAAACCCGGGCTTCTAATTCTTAACTCCACTGCTGAGTTACACTGGTTTTCTTCCTGAATTTACTACTAATCTGGTACAGTGCACTTTACTGGAATATAGGGTTTCTGTATACTTACTTATCTATGTCTTAAAAAGCACCAATAAAAAGCTCAAACTACTCAGCAATGAAATGTAATCAATAAACGATGCAAATATTGAACAGAATGAAGGTGATCAGGGTATAATAAATTATAATATTGTTTGTAAAATCTCTTGTAGTTCTCAAAATCACAGCAGCACAGTATTAATTACACTTAATATTAACACAGAAATGTAGACATGTCTCTCCTAAGCTCTCAACAGATCCTGGTAAGGCCTCTTCTAACGCAAATTTAACTATTACCCACCTCTATATTTTCTGTGGTTTGACAGAAACATAATACTAATTAATATACCAATGTTACCAAAATTTTGAACTGTTAATAGGTAAGCTGCTTATTCTGCTATATACCTGACAACACAGTGTAGTTTTCAGCTTATCATGAAAGTTGTATGCTGTTGCTCTGAAGTGTGCTAAAAAAGGATTTGGCATATTGTCTCAACAAATGTTATGAATAACACTAAAGGTTCATTACTGATGTAACATTTTTTCCCTACTATGTTATCAAGGTGTATTTCAAATGAGATTTGAGTGTGCGCAGATATGTACAAAAAAGTTACTTCCAATTCTGAAGTAAATTATATTTGTTCGTGCCCCATGACACAGAACAACCTACAATTTTTACAGTGGCTTCGTATGTGGTAAAGAAAACAAACAAAAAAAAACTACCAATTGTGTCATCTCTCTAGTAGGTACAGTTTTAACCTGAATTCTGTTTCACAAGGTTTAGAAACCAACTTTTCCATTATTCTAATTGCTCTCTGAATCAATTCCTCATGTGTTCATGTAATTTTTTCTGAAACAGAATACTAGACAAAATGATAGACTAGGGAGGGAAATACTTACAACAAGAACATCAGTGATAAACCCCGCTACAGAAAGCTCTGAAGAATCACTTTATCGCAATCACTATAAAGCCAGACCAATACCCTTGTCAGAAACTAAGAATTCCCTGGGTCAAGAAAGTAGAGAAAGAAAACACTGTATAACCAACTTTCAACATTCAAAAACTCCTGGGATAACAGCACAACATGGTCAACTTTTGCAAGGGAAATCTCCAATTTTACTGCCAATAATCGACCTGGTCCTCTACATCTTTTCCATACAGTAAAGAACTTTGAACCCTCTGTCTACATGTCTTTAGATAAACGTCTCAGAAATGATCAAACCCCAAACATTAACACTACAGGTTAAAAAAAAAATACTTAATAAGGCATCCCCATCAGATGAACTAAATTCTAGAAGACAATCATCCCTAGTAATCAACAATAGTCATACAGAACAATTTACAGTAAGAGAAGGGAGTACCAAGCTCCCACTAAGATGTAAAACTCAACTCTTCCTTCAGAATAACATGATTGACAGCCCAACTGGATAAGTGTACCAATGTCAATTCGTACATTAAGTATTCATAAAGCCTAATTTATGTCCAATTTTAAAGATAACCATGAATATACAAGTACTCGCATTTTTTTTCTGTACTGCAAAGTAGCATTATATGCATACCACCTCAGCACTGCAGTTCTCAAAGAGTAATCCAAGGACCTCTGAGAGGTCTTTGAGTCCCTTTCCGTGGTTTGAGGTCAGAACTGTTTTCATATGAATACTAAGATAGTTCTTGCCTTTTTGTTCGTTTTCTCAGAAGTATGTAGCAGTATATTCCAGAGGCTACCTGATGTGTGTTACTGCAACAGACTGAATGAAAAAGTGGAATGAGGATCCAGGTTTTATTAAACCAAAGTTTAAATGACGTGCAAAAATGCAAAATGATGTCACTCTTTATTAATTTTTTTGTTTTAGAAACGTTACTTTTCATTAAAAATGTTATTTATATTAACATATTGTAATAAGTTTATTGTTATTTTTAGTAAATTAATAAACACTTGCATTTCTCAGTTTAAATTTCTAATATGGTAAATATCAATAAATATAATAACCAATAGATAGATACAAAAGCTCTCTGTGGCCCTTAACTTTTTTTTTTTTTTGAGATAGAGTCTCGCTCTGTCGCCCAGGCTGGAGTGCAGTGGCGCGATCTCGGCTCACTGCAAGCTCCGCCTCCCGGGTTCACACCATTCTCCTGCCTCAGCCTCCCAAGTAGCTGGGATTACAGGCGCCCGCCACCACACCCAGCTAATTTTTTGTATTTTTAGTAGAGACGGGGTTTCACCGTGTTAGCCAGAATGGTCTCGATCTCTTGACTTTGTCATCTGCCCGCCTCGGCCTCCCAAAGTGCTGGGATTACAGGTGTGAGCCACCACGCCTGGCGGTGGCCCTTAACCTTTAAGAATTTAAAAGGATCTAGCCAGGCATGGTGGCTCATGCCTGCAATCCCAGTACTTTCAGGGGGCTAAGGTGGGCTAATCACTTGAGCTCAGAGGCTTGAGACCAGCATGGGCAACAGAGCCAAACCCCGTGTCTACCGAAAAAAATTGAAAAATTAGCCAGGCATGGTGGCAGAGGTTTGTGGTCCCAGCTACTTGGGAGGCTGAGACAGGAGGATGGCTTGAGCCCAGGAGGCGGAGGTTGCAATGGGTGGAGTTTGTGCCACTGCCCTCTAGTCTGGGCCACAGAGCCAGACCCTGTCTCAAAAAACAAATAAATGGGTCTAAAACCAAAAAGTTTGAGAACAGCTGTCCTACAGAAATTCCTACACATGCGCACCAGGAGACATGTTTGAAAAGTTCATTGCAGCCTGTCAGCAAAATATTAACTAATCTTAATAGACAGTATTAATATTTGAGCAAACAAAAAAAGCAGGTCAAAGCTGCAGTAAGCCGTGCTGGTGCCACTACACTCCAGTATCAGAGAATATTATATATTGTTTATGGACCACAGAGATTAATACTAAATTATTTGATTGCCTCTCCTGCAAGTGGGAGGAGGGTTGGGGTTGGAGTGAGGATGAAAGGAAGACTTTATATTTTATTTGTAAATTAAAAACACAAAATAGTAACAACTGTATATTCTTAACTGTTTTATTTTCTCTGCACTATTTTTGTACTTTTTTTTCTTTTTTTTAAGATGGACTCTCACACTGTTGCCCAAGCTGGAGTGCAGTGGCCCAATCTCGGTTCACTGCAACCTCTGCCTCCAGGGTTCAAACAATTCTCCTACTTCAGCCTCCCAAGTAGCTGGGATTACAGGCGCCTACCACCAGGCCCAGCTAATTTTTTGTATTTTTAGTAGAGACAGGGTTTCACCATGTTAGCCAGGCTGGTCTGTAACTCCTGACCTCATGATTCACCCGCCTTGGGCTCCCAAAGTACTGGAATTACAGGCGTAAGCCACCGTGCCTGGACTATTTTTGTACTTCAAATGTCTTAAAACTGCAGATGATGCAAAAAAAGTGGGAGGGGCAAGATACAATTCTTCAGGATTTAGGCAAGATGGGTTAAAGACTAAAAATACAATCAATGGGTTAAAAAACACAATCTGGCTGGGCGCAGTGGCTCACACGTGTAATCCCAGCACTTTGGGAGGCCAGGAGGGTGGATCACGAGGTCAAGAGATCAAGTCCATCCTGGCCAACATGGTGAAACCCCGTCTCTACTAAAAATACAAAAATTAGCTGGGAGTGGTGGTGTGCTCCTGTAGTCCCAGCTACTCGGGAGGAGAGGCAGGAGAATCGCTTGAACCCAGGAGGCGGAGGCTGCAGTGAGCTGAGATTGCGCCACTGCACTCCAGCGTGGTGACAGAGCGGGTCTCCACCTTAAAAAAAAAAAAAATTCCATACTCTTTATTCTATTCCACAAACTTTAGCAAATTCTTCACATTCAGAAGTATATAAACTATACAACAGACACCATTAAGTATTAGCCATAATTGATAACTGATACTTTTTCACTACCCTTTTCAATCTTTCACAACACTTAATACATGTCTTGCCATAAAAATTCTCCAAATATTCTGTTAAATGGGTATCTTTAATAACCTCTCTTATCTTCCTTTCCTTCTGTATCAGAGATGGACGTCTTTTACTACTGCTTCTGATTTGTCCCATTTCTCTTATCCATAATTTTGCTTCAAGTTAGCCATCCCCTCTTGCTGGTAAACTATGCTATTCTACACCCCCTTCCTTGAAAATGCTAAAGCCTCTACTCCCATCTAAAAGACTAGGGATTCAACACTACTAACTAAAGCTAAAGACTTATATATATACATATAATACAAACAAACGTACTGCCTATCACCAGTGCCTAGTACATTGTTAACTGCCCTTCCTTCCCTCATCCTTAAGCAACATTTCCCTCTAATCCCTCAAAACCAAACCTCTAAAGACTACTTTACACTAGCTACCTCTTATTTCCTTATCTCCCATCACCATTCAACCCTAAACCTCAAATCCTGTTATCCTCAAACATTTCAGTGGCCAAGTCCCCTCATACTATACAAAATATTATCTTCGGACACAATTAAATTGGAGAGATCCCAATTCAAATCCTAGTTCTGCCATTAACTAGCAATATGCCCTTAGGGGAGTTACTATTTATTATAATTTCTTGGAAAATCAGTTTCCTCATCTGTAATTGGACGTCTATGCAGGGTTGTGGGAATACATATTAAATTAGATATGTGTACATATCTAATGCCTGACATGCCATTGGTCTTATATTAATTCCTTTTTCTCCCCCTTTCAATTTTCCCCCATCTTTCCCATCTGAACTCCTGGATGTCTCCCTCTATCTCTTAGTTGCTTCCAAGTTTAAGTCCTATAAGCCCAACTACTTGCCAAAAATTTCCACATGATTGTTCCACAATTAACCTGTTCAAAAATCAAACACATTTTCTTCTCTACTAAGTAGGCTTTTGATGACTTGTGATAAGGGTATCACCACTCTCTCAGCCCTTAGGATGTGGGGACAAAAGGTGCTTATAAACCTATCAGATGCCAAGGTCCAT
The DNA here is from genome assembly GCF_000001405.40 of Homo sapiens. Lineage (NCBI taxonomy): Eukaryota > Metazoa > Chordata > Mammalia > Primates > Hominidae > Homo > Homo sapiens. Next base: position 31,728,978 of record NC_000021.9, read on the forward strand.
GGATTCCTTTGGCCCACATCCTTTTCCTATTCTCCATTCCCACTATACACTTGCCAAGTTCAGGTTTTACTTATCTTTCCTACCAAGTCTCTGCCTCCTACAACACATAACACTACGAACGAAACAGTTTTGATTACATTATCCCACTGCTTAAAACCTTCAATGTTTACCCACAGCCTAAAACTGAAATTCAAACACATTAGGCAAACATGAAACTTGTCAGGCCCAAACTACTTTACCATCCTTACTTTCCAGTAGCCTTCAGAATCAAAATACTCACTTTTCAGCACTACTGCCCTTCGATCACTGCTTCCTACATCTTCTGAAATCCTAAAACTGATACCTGCTCCTCTTCCCAAGCCTTCACTTATCTCCAATGGCTATGCCACACTGCAATGGAAGGATCCCAAAGGAAGCTGTTCTACCTCCTATTAAAATTATTTGTCTAAGTCTTATGTCCTCTATTGGATTAGACTTTTAGGTGACTGAAATCCTTGGTAGCTCTACAGTATTCAGGACATGGCTGTGCAGGTGAGCAGGCACTCAAAAGTTTAAGTGAAGATCAGATCTCAGAGATTCAAGATTATATGGGGAACGAATCAAGAACATTTCATGAATGGGGAGAAATAGTTGAGAAGCACTACAAATCAAGTAGGCACAGTAAGATGAATTTTAAACTCAGATTAATTTCTCTAGAGGAGTTTTAATTTAGCAGAAGAGAGCTGGCATTCTTTGCAGTTCATAAAGACTAGGAATAGAACTGAAATGAACTGGAAAATGAACAATGATAAGAAAATGCTCATTTTGCACATTTAAAAGGTCAAATATCACTTCCCTTTTTCAAGGAATCAATACCATTCCTAACTTTGGTTTTTCAAAGTAAAAATTACTGATTGTGCCTTTTCAGGATTAATAGAAAATACTTTGCTTAACAATGTGCTTGATGTCAACTTCCATAATGCCTGAATCAGAATACTTCTGATCTTAAGAATAAACTAAAAATCCTCTTCTTTCATCAAAAACATTCATTCTTCCGATTCTGAAATAAATTTTTAAAATACACATTCATTGTTGGGAGAAAAATGTACTTGAAATATTTTAACTATTGTTGTGCCATTTGTTTAAATTCTCATTCAACAATTATTTGCGAGGCACCTGTTTTGATTGGTAGAGAAGCGGGGAAAAGAACTGAAACTTCCTGCCCTCATGGAGCCAGGAGCCAACATGCCAGTGAATTCTACCTTCAGAAAACAATCAGCTTCCAACCCTGAAATGTTTGGAGCATTATCACAAATTCTCTGGCGATCAAAAACTAGGACATATTATTTTTATTGTTTTGAAAATCATCACAACTGAACTTTTACAAGACACTGTCCAATACCAGTTGCAACTTCTGCAGTTAGGGCATTTTATGTACCCATCAATTGAAGAAAATCACTTTTAGGATAATTTATATGGCAATAAATTGTCTCAACTGCAGTGTAATTGGAAAGTCCCATATATTATGGCACTGCAAATCTAAAGGAAAGTTATTGCACCATAATTGTTACAAGTAAACCTACAAAATCTGTGAGATGCAGCACGTTTTTAACGCCACATCCACACATCTCGAACTACAACATTTGATTTTTCAATGTTGCTTTATCTTTGGTATTTGGAAAGGGAAGACAATACAACTCAACCCATGACAATAGTTCCCATTCTGTAACTGCATTTTAAATCATCAATGGTCAAGTCTCCTCCTCCCAAATCGATTCTGACAAATAGGATGTATGGACTCTACACTCCAAAAGCAACACCTGGAATGATCAGAGAAACAACTAGAGAACTTTAAGGCCGCAGGCAGCTTTGTTCCCAGTTTGGAGAGGTTTTCACATGTAAATGTCCTCGTAGAAGGGAGCCGAGGATTAACTACCTCGGGAGGGGGTGCGAGGGTAGGGAACTGGAGGACAACGCCAGCTTTCTAGCGGACTAAGGCGGAGCGAATACTCTTCTCTCCCATTCAACTTTTTAGGCGTCACGTTGGGGCCATAGAGCCTATAAGAGGGTTATGTTCACGACTTTAAATTATAACGAGCCACCCCCTCTCCGTTTATTAGCCCTATTTCCCAAGTGCGTGAATCCCGGAGAAGGGGGATGAACACCCTCTTCAACTCCTCCCAGACCCGGGATCAGAGTCCAGCCGTCGACGCGCCGCGGCCTGAGCAACAGGAGAGCTGAAGCCACCTCTCCGCCAGCCCCACGACCGGCAGATGCTCCCGCTCCCCCGCCCCCAACCCCACACGCCCGCCCGCGCTTCTTTCTTAGCCCTTTGCGGGCTCCCGGCACTGCGAACCCGACAACGGGGCTCGCGGAGCAGAGAGCGAGGGCGCCCAGACCCGAAAAAGGGCCAAGTTAGAGGAACAGGCACAGACTTGGGCTATGGGAGGCCGCAAGGGGGCGAGGGGAGAAGCCCGAGGTCGCGGTCCGGGGGTGGGCAGTGGGGGGAGGGGTGCGGGGTCAGTTCCCGTGGTCGCCGCGACCTCTCCCGGGCCACAGGCCCCGCTCCGCGCAGGCCCCGCCGCCCCGGAACCGGGGCAGGAAGCGTCCCCACCCGGACCAAAGCTTTAAACCTCCGGCGGCGGGAGAAACGAGCCCCGGCTCCCGCAGCAGGCCCGGCACCCCCCTGCCCCAAACACCCCTTACCTCCTGGTTGAAGGCGTTGACGGCGTCCATGTTCGCGCTGCGGCGGCGGCTGCTCCGGGCCCGCCGGTCACATAGACCTCGCGCCGCGGCGGAGCGGGGCTGGGAAACCAGCCGGGCCTGGTGGCCGGGGGGAGGCGACGAGCGGCGGAGTCCGAGGCCCGGGCAGGAAGAGGCTGCGCCCGAAGCGGCGAGGCGGGCGGCCGAGGCAGAGGCGGAGAGGTGGCGGGCCCCCTCTCAGTCCCGTTCGCAGGATGAGGAAAAGGAGGCGGCGGCAGCGCTGGTCTTCAACATGTCCGTTTGGTGGTGGCGGCTGCGCTCTGCGTCTCGCTGACACGGCCCCCCGCGCCCTCACGCACTGGCTCACACTGGCCCGGCCGGCGAGCGGGCGGGCCTCTCTCTCCCTCTCTCCAGCGGGATGGCGGCAGCGGCCCGAGTCCACGCCGCGCGGGGCACCCTGGGACGGCTCAGGCCTCCCGGCGCTTCCTGTGCCCGGCGTTCGCCCCGCCCCGTCGCGCTGGCCCCGCCCCCTCCCCGCCTCGTCCCGCCCTGCGCCGCCCTGCACCGCCCCGCGTGCAGGGCTGCTGGCGCGTGACGCCGGGACGCTGGGCGCTTTCCCGCCGGCGGCGGCGGCGGCCGCGGCCGCGGGCCGGGGAGACGGCCTTGCAGAGCGCGGGATCCCAGGGCTGCGAGGGTGACCCAGAGCAAGCCCTGGCGCACGCGCGCTCCGCTCGACGCGGTGCTCCCGGGGTGCGTCTCTGCGAAACGCTCGGCCCTAACCGGCCCTGCACCCGGCGGGGGCGGCGGGCACTGAGCCGCTGGCTCTCGGCTGCCGCGAACAAAGGGCGCAGGATTTAACCTCGGCTCTCTGGGCGTGCCTTTGCAGGCCCTCGTGCGCTCTGCTGGGGAAAAGAAAAAAAGCTTCTGCCAATGCCAGTGCAGCTGTGTGTCCGCTGTAGTTGTGCAGGTTAATTCTGCGCGAGCGAAAACACCGAGAAAGACGTTCAGGCACTGGATATCCACGCAGGCCTTAAGGAACCCCTGTGCAGCCTTGTGCCACGAGAGGAGTGGATTCACTAACTTTCACGCTGATTCCTCAAACCAAGTTGTTTCATTTTTGGCCAAAACTCTTTATGTTGATCACTTTCCTTGAGTACCTACTGTCTGCCTAGTGTTGGAGACATGGAAATAAACGATAATTGTTTTGCCTGAAAACAGCACAGTTTAGTGGAGAGGACAGACAACTGAGCAGATACTTACCAAAGCATGCTTAGTGTTAGGGCACAGGCCCTGGGAAACGAGAAAGATGCGCCTCCGACAGGAAGTCCAGGCTACATCTGGAGGGAGGAGAGGCCTGCAGAGCCTGATGAGGACTGCCACCATCACCTCCCCCGAAGGAGGACCAGCTGGAGCTGAGGAGCAAGGTGGACTGAGAGAGGAGAGTGAGACCATAAAGAGGCTTTGCTCTTCCAGAGTTTGGATTTTGCCCCCATAAGGCAGAGGGGAGCCCTTGAAAGGGGAAGGTGGAGTGATGGATGCAGTGTTCTCTCAGAAGGATGGTGCAAAGTAGTAAGAGGAGACAGGGAAAGAATGACCCCAGCCCCCTGGGAAAATGAGGGCTGAAGGTGGTGGCGATAGAGAAGGAAGAACAGATGTTTAGGAAGTGGAGTGGAAGGGCTGAGGCAGAGTAACTGTGAGGTTAATAAAGGGGGTGTCAAGGAGGATGCCCACAGCCTGACTTGATGAATGACCTGGGTGGTGGGTTTATGAGTCAACGTAGGGGATTTATGGGGAAGAAGGCGTGGGTTTGAGGGAAGACAGAATGATGGTTAACACTTGTCGCTTACCATGTGCCAACGTCTGCTGACATGCTATTCTGTACTCTCCGTAACAGGCTTCTGGGTGAGGTGTCCATTAGTAATGCCCTCATTTTATAATTCAGGGAGTGAGTTAATTAATGTGCCCAAGGTCACACAGCTGGATCATTTCCCTTTGGTGCCTGTGGAGTTTGAGCTGCGCCTGGGACAAGTAAGTGAGGATGTCTAGGAGGCAGTTGGGTAAACACTTGCAGAGTCAGGAGCGATGGCTGAGATGATAGAAATCTGGGAGTCATTAGTGCACAGCTAGTGGTGGAAGGAGCTGAAATAGATAGGGGGAAAAAGCCCAGGAACACGGGTATGTAAGGGATAAGTTGGAGGCAAGAAGAGGTGAAGAGAGAGCTCTGAAGTGATCAGCTCTGTCTGGTGCTTGGAGTAGAAGTCCAGCAAGATAAGAATTGGAAAGTGCCTGACGGGTGCTACATGCAGGGAGCTTGTCCTGCGTGTAGGCTGGCGTGGTGAGGGCAAAAGCTAGACTGATGTGTATCAAAGAGGGGAAGGCAGGCAGGAGAAAGTTTATAGAAACTTGGCTGTGAAGGCAAGTTGTGAAGACAACAGAAAAAACCTGCAGGAGGAAGTGAGAGTGTTTGCTTGTGTGTTGTTTTGTTTTGAGATGAGAGTAATGTACTCTTTTTTAAAATTATTTTATTTTATTATTATTATACTTTAAGTTTTAGGGTACATGTGCACAATGTGCAGGTTTGTTACATATGTATACATGTGCCATGTTGGTGTGCTGCACCCATTAACTCGTCATTTAGCATTACGTATATCTCCAAATGCTATCCCTCCCCCAGAGTAATGTACTCTTAATTACTTGTTAAAGGAACAAAGAAAGTAGTTTTCAAATTTTATTTTCGGGTCCACTCATCTTCTACTTCATTACCACTTCCTATCACTACTTTTTAATCTTCCAACTGAACTACCATTATATTTTCCAAATCCATCTTGTTTCTGTAACAGCTGTCATCCGCAAGACCACTAACATTGCATTAGAAAGTACAGACATGAGGCTCGCGCGGTGGCTCATGCCTGTAATCCCAGAATTTTTGGAGGCTGAGGCAGGCAGATCACTTGAGGTCAGGAGTTCGAGACCAGCCTCGCCAAAATGGTGAAACCTGGTCTCTACCAAAAATATAAAAAATTAACCAGGTGTGGTGGCACGTGCCTGTAATCCCAGCTACTCTGGAGGCTGAGGCAGGAGAATCGCTTGAACCCGGGAGGCAGAGGTTGCAGTGAGCCGACATCATGCCACTGCACTTTAGCCTGGGCAAGAGAGCAAGACTCCATCTCAAAAAAAAAAAAAAAAGTACAGATGTGAGTAGATCTCTGTTTCCTACCCTTTGGCATTTGGCATTTGGCATTTCTGGAGATCTACTGTCTACCAAATTCTGTCCAAGATCCCCACACCATGTTTCCAGCCTGTTGCCAGGGCACAACCCAGGTTTTGTCATTCCCTGGACACATCTGGGAATTGACATGGCTGGGCCTTTGCTCTCATAGAAAACCCCTCTCTGCTCCTCTATATAGGCAGGCCCATTTAACATCTAGTTGATATTGAGATGTCACTGCCTTTTCATTCATTAATCATGTATTGAGCATGTACTTTGTGCCAGGCACTGTGCGGAAAAGCTTCCCCACTCTCCTTTCAGCCAGTCTTGGCATCTTCCACCATATGCTTCTATGACTCCACCATAGCACCTCTTACCTTGTATTGCTGTTATCTGAAAAAAAAAAAAAAAAAAAAAAAAAAAAAAAAAAAAAAAAAGTCTGCATTATTCTGACATGATGTGCCCCCGCTGTATCTCTACCTGTTTCTGTGAAGAGTGGCAGAACTTAAAAATGGGTCCACAAAGCCAAATGAGATCCCCCTTCCCCAATTCATACAGTCTGCTTTCCTCTTGTGAGTCAGGGAAATAGATCTGGCTAAGGAAGGATGAAGTCTTAAGCTGGGGTTGGAAAGGGGGACTTGGGAGGAGAGTAGTGAGTTGAGCTTTGGACAGGTTGCCTTGGGACTCGGTGCTTTACAGCTATTGGGGCCTATAATGGTTGTTGAATGAGGAAGTGATAGTCCAAAGGGGGTATTTTCTGTGTACCATCCTACTGAGATTTGAATGCACAAGAAACAAGATTTGGCTTCTAAGATCCATGTGCTTGAGATAGTTAACGGATTTTGGAGGTTCTTTCCTGGATAGGATTATTTGGTTTTTATGTTGACAGTGTTTGAGAGGTCTTTTAGCAAGTAGTTGGTATCAGCTAGACTTTGGGTGCCTTGGCAGCATTTTCTAGCATTTTCCTGTTCTGAAGACAGCAGCACCTGTATCTGTTCTGGAACATCTGGTGGCCATTTGCACAGCTACTGCTGGACTTCCATCTTTATCTCTCCAGGCAGACGAGTCGAACCTTCCAATAGGAAATTTTGGGTAAATGACAAAAACTTATGAGGGTTGTCCTTTGTGAGCAGACTTTGAAGCAGTAGGAATGTAGCCTATTGAAAAGATGGCCAGAGGTTCAGAAATAAGCGTGACGGATAAAAATCAGCAAGACATTTAATACATCTGCAAACTTGCCTTCTTTCAAAGAACATTGATTGAAACAGATTCGTTTGTTCATAATGTGGGTGTGAAAATAGTTCTGAAAAGCCATTCTAAACAAACTTATGTTTTTAAAAAGAGTAGATGAAATCTGTTTGCGGAGGAAGGAAAAGATGACATTCAGGAAGCAATGTTCTGGTTAATTCTGTGTTCTTCAAAAGCCAGCTCATTTTCTTGAAAAGAATGCTGGCCACAATCCACAGGTATAGAGAATATGGAGAGAAAGCATCTCACGCCTGAAGAGTCCAATAAAACATTTATAGATAAGAATTTAAGAGAATATGGGTTCTTTCTGTTTTTTGTTTGTTTGTTTGTTTGTTTTTGAGACAGGGTCTTGCTCTGTCGCCCAGGCTGGAATGCACTGGTGTGATCATGGCTCACTGCAGCCTCGACCTCCTGGGCTCATACGATCCTTCCACATCAGCCTCCCAAATAGCTGAGACTACAGGTACAAGCCTCCATGCCCAGCTAATCTCCCTGTGTTGCCCAGGCTGGTCTTGAACTCCTGGGCTCAGGCAATTCTTCCATCTCAGCCTCGCAGAGTTCTAGGATTACAGGCATGAGCCACCAAACCTGGCCTAATTTTAAATTTGTTTGTGGACAGGGTCTTCCTATGTTGTCCAGGCTGGTCTTCAACTCCTGTTCTTAAGCAATCCTCCTGCCTCGGCCTCCCAAAGTGTTGGGAATATGGGTGGGAATATGAGCCACTGCACCCAGCCTTGAAAATGAGTTCTTTCTAATGCTTTATGCCATATACTTTCTGGAGAGAGTATAAACTGGCTGTATTATATGAGACTTCTTTCTCCTTGGTCTGCTTTCCTTCTCTGGCCAGCCTCCTGGATTCAAGTCATTTGTCAGATATGTGTATCGTAAATACTTCCTCCCAGTCTGTGGCTTACCTTTTCATTATCTTGCCTCCTCCTCTCTCTGAAGCTTTCCCTGACACCTCTGTGATTCTTCTTCCTCCCCACTTAGGGATGTGACTGAACTCTCTCCTGGTTTAGAACTGCATTTCAACTGCCCACTGGGGAATTCCACATGGGGATCCCTCCATCCCCAAGGGACCCACCTGACTCCTTTTGTGCATCTTCTGTCTTCATGCCCTTTATGTTGTTGGGGCCAAAACAATGGAATGAAATGTGTGGAAAGCAGGAACTCCAAGAAGGAAGAGCTCAACGGCAGTTGGGCAATGGGATTTTAGGGAATTTTCATTTTCTTTTTAATTTTTCAGCATTTTTCATACTCCTCACAGAAGGCATGTATCACTTTTTTTTTTTTTTTTGAGAAGGAGTCTCACTCTGTTGCCCAGGCTGGAGTGCAGTGGGGTGATCTCGGCTCACTGCAACCTCCACCTCCTGGTTTCAAGCGATTCTCCTGCCTCAGCCTCCTGAGCAGCTGAGATTATAGGCATCCGCCATCGTGCCTGGCTGGTTTTTTTTTTTTTTTTTTGTATTTTTAGTAGAGATGCGGTTTTGCCATGTTGGTCAGGCTGGTCTCGAACTCCTGACCTCAGGTGATCCGCCCTCCTTGGCCTCTCAATGTACTGGGATTACAGGCATGAGCCACCACACCAGGCCAGTTTTATTGTCAGAAAGAGTAAGCTCCTTAAAAAAGTAAACATACAAGTAAGTATGCAGCAAACCTAAAATGTTCTGGATGTCATCTTAGCTATGATTGCAACAGTGAGCATATGAGTAACTAATAAAGGAAAACAATTTCTCTTCATCACTTCCTATCTTACTTAGGATTAGGAATCCAAGATTCTCTTTCCAAAATGGAAAGTATTAAAAACCAGTCTCATCTGAAGTGAAATGTCACCTTTTAGGACTAGGCCACGCCAGTCCAACATTTGCTGTTTCATTCATTCAGAAAATAAATGTGTACATCTCTTGTGGACAGGCACTGTGCTAGGTGTGTGGAATACTGTGATAAGCCCAAACACAGATAAGTTCCTTCCTCGAGGAACTATTCCTCCAGAGTCTGGCACCTTGCCCTGATGTTGAGTATTTTCCATGTGTATATTGGCCATATGTATACTTTCTTTTCCTTTTTTTTTTGAGATGGGGTCTTGCTCTGTCACCCAGGCTGGAGTGCAGTGGCTGGATCTCGGCTCACTGCAACCTCCGCCTCCCAGATTCCAGTGATTCTCCTGCCTCAGCCTCCCGAATAGCTGGGATTACAGGCACATGCCACCATGCCCACCTTATTTTTGTATTTTTAGTAGAGACAGAGTTTCACCATGTTGGCCAGGCTGGTCTTGAACTCCTGACCTTGTGATCCCCCCACCTCGGCCTCCCAAAGTGCTGGGATTACAGGCGTGAGCCACCGCACCCGGCCATGTATACTTTCTTTAGTAAAGTGTTCAAATCGTTTGCCCTTTAAAAAAACGGATCATTTGGAAGCTTCAATAGGAAGCTATTGAATGATATGAGTCCTTTGTCAGATATGTGTGTTGTAAACATTTCCTCACAGTCTGTGGCTTTCCTTTTCATTTTCTTTTGAAAAGCAGATGTTTTTAATTTTGATGGATATAATTTATACTTTTTTCTTTTATGGTTTGTGCTTTTCTGTCATATTGAAAAATTTTTGCTTATCCCCAGGATATGGAAATGTTCTCCTCTATTTTCTTCTTGACTCTTTATAGCTTAGCACTTTTGTTTAAGTCTGTGATCCATTTTGATTTAATATATGTGTATGAGATAAGATAAATATCAAGCTTCATTTTTTTACATTAGGATATCTAGTTGTTCCAGCACTATTTGTTGGAAAAAAAGATCATTTCCCCCATTGAATTACTTTGCCTCCTTTGTTGAAAATCAGTTGACCACATATGTGTGGATCTAGTTCCACGTATGTGTACTCTGTTCCTTTATATATATCTATATACTTTTCTTGCATATACATAGCCCACTGTCTTAATTTCTCTAGTAATTCAAGTAAATCAGTTAAAGTCTCCAACATAGTTCTTTTAAAAATTGTTTTCACTATGCTGTAATCTTTGCATTTCTATATAAATTTTTAAATCAACTTGTTAATTTCAAAAAAAAAAAAACACCCCACACAACTGAAAACAAGACAAAATAGGAAGTATGCTGGCTAGGCGTGGTGGCTCACGCCTGTAATCCCAGCACTCTGGGAGGCCGAGGTGGGCGGATCACGAGGTCAGGAGTTTGAGACCAGCCTGGCCAACGTGGTGAACCCCCGTCTCTATTAAAGATACAAAAAATTAGCTGGTCATGGTGGCGCTCGCCTGTGCACCTGTAATCCCAGCTACTTGGGAGGCTGGGGCAGGAGAATTGCTTGAACCTGGGAGGCAGAGGTTGCAGGGAGCCGAGATCACGCCATTGCACTCCAGCCTGGGCAACAGGGTGAGACTCCGTCTCAAAAAACAAAACAACAACAACAACAACAAAAATCACAAATGGGTGTTAATGTTGTCAGATACCATGGCTATATTCATTGGGATGATTATGTGATTTTGTCTATTCTATTATATTAATGAATTACTGTGATTGGTTTTTGAATGTGAAACCAACCTGGCATTCCTATAATAAAATCCACTTGGTTATGGGATATTACTTTTTTTATATGTTGCCGGGTTCAATTTGCAAAGATTCTGTCTGTCAAAATATTTCCTTCTATATTCATGAGTGGTATTGGTGGTCTCTGTTTTCCTTTTCTTGTAATGGTTTTGGTGTCGGGGTAGCTTGCTCTCATCAAATTATTTGATAAGTGCTTCTCTCCTTCCCTGTTATCTATTTTTTTTTTTTTTTTTTTTAGATAGCGTTTTGCTCTTGTCACCCGGCTGGAGGGCAGTGGTGCGATCTTGGCTCACTGCAACCTCCTGGGTTCAAGCGATTCTCCTGCCTCAGCCTCTCAAGTAGCTGGGATTACAGGCAGCTGCCACCATGCCCAGCTAATTTTTGTATTTTTACTAGAGATGGGGTTTCACCATGTTGGCCAGGCTGGTCTCGAACTCCTGACCTCAGGTGATCCACCTGCCTCGGCCTCCCAAAGTGCTGGGATTACAGGTGTGAACCACCACACCCGACCTCCTTCTCTATTTTCTAAAATAGCCTGTGTGGAATTGATATTATTTCTTTCTTAAGATTTGTTAGAATTCACCAATGAAGCCACTTGGGCCTAAAGTTTTGCTTATGAGAGGGTTTTATATTAATCAATTTTTAAAATTGATATAGTGTTCTTCAGGTCTTCTGTTTCTCGAGGGAGTTTTGATCATTTGTATTTTTTTCAGAAAATTGTCCATTTAAAGGTTGTCAATTTATTGCATAAAGTTTTTCCATGATATTCTGTTATTACCCTTTTAATGTCTGTAGTGATATTTCCTCTTTCATTTCTGATATTGATAATTTCTATCTTCTTTTTTTTCTTTTCTTGTTGAGTGAGGTTAGAGATTCATCTATTTTGTTGTTCCAAAAACCAAAGAAACAGTTTTTGGTTTCATTGATTAGCTCTATTGTTTGTGGACTTTCTAGTTCATTGATTTTCACTCTTATTTCCTTTCTTCTGCTTCCTTTATATTTAATTTGCTCTTTTCAAGTTTTTTTTTTTTTTTTTTTTTTGAGACAATGTCTCACTCTGTCGCCCAGGCTGGAGTGCAGTGGGGTGATCTTGGCTCACCACAACCTCTGCCTCCCGGGTTCAAGCAATTTTCCTGCCTCAACCTCCTGAGTAGCTGGGACTACAGGTGTGCGCCACCATGCCTGGCTAATTTTTGTATTTTTAGTAGAGACGGGGTTTCACCATTTTGGCCAGGCTAGTCTTGAACTCCTGACCTTGTGATCTGCCCACCTCGGCCTCCCTAAGTGCTTGGATTACAGGGGTGAGCCACTGTGTCCGGCCTCTTTTCCGGTTTCTTAAAGTGGAGGCCTAGATCATTGATTTTAGCCTTTTTTTTTTTTTTTGAGATGGAGTCTCGCTCTGCCACCCAGGCTGGAGTGCAGTGGCACCATCTCGGCTCACTGCAACCTCCACCTCCCTAGTTCAAGCAATTCTCCTGTTGCAGCTTCCTGAGTAGCTGGGATTACAGGCACATACCACCATGCCCGGCTAATTTTTTTTTATGTTTAGTAGAGATGGGGTTTCATCATGTTGGCCAGACTGGTCTCGAACTCTTGACCTCAGGCGTGAGCCAACACGCCCAGCCGAGCCTTTTTTTTTTTTTTTTTTTTTGTATTGTAAGCATTTAAAACTTTAAATTTACTTCTCAAATTTTGGAGTGTTGTATTTCTTAAATATTTAGTTCAAAATATTTTGTAATTTCCCTTGGGAGTTTTTCTTTTCCCTAAGTTCTTATTTATGAAAGTATTGTTTAAATTCCAAATAGTTGGGAATTTCTGTTATCTTTCTGTGATTGATTATACTAATCGAATTCCATTATAGTCACATATCATACTTCATATGATTTCAGTTTTTTTTTAATTATTGTGACTTGTTTTGTGGCTCAATTCATGGTCTACCTAGATGATTGCTCCATGTGCACTTTAAAATAATATATATTCCGCTCTTGTTAGGTAGGATAATAATATATATTCCGCTCTTGTTAGGTAGGATAATAATATATATTCCGCTCTTGTTAGGTAGGATAATAATATATATTCCGCTCTTGTTAGGTTCTGTTAACGTCTCTTGGATCAAGTTGGTTGATGGTATTATTTAAGTCTTCTAGATTTCTATTCTTTTTCTACCTGCTTATTATGTCAATTAGAGAGGAGATTTGATGTCTCCTGATGTGATTGTGCATGTATTTATTTCTCCTTTCAATAGCTTTGTGTATTTTTTTCTTTGTTTGGTTGGTTTTTGAGATGGAGTCTCCCTTTGTTGCCCAGGCTGGAGTGCATTGGTGTGATCTTGCCTCACTGCAGCCTCCGCCTCCCGGGTTCAATCGATTCTCCTGCCTCAGCCTCCTGAGTAGCTGGGATTACAGGCATGTGCCACCATGCCCCGCTAATTTTTGTATTTTTGGTAGAGACAGGATTTCACCATGTTGACCAGGGTGGTCTCAAACTCCTGACCTCAAGTGGTCTGCCCACCTCAGCCTTCCAAAGTGTTGGGATTACAGGTGTGAGCCACTGCGTCTGGCTGACTCATGTATATTGAAGCTTTGTTACTAGGTACGTAAAAATTTAGCATTATTATTTCTCCTTGATGAATAGACTCCTTATCAATTGGAAAATTTTCTCTTTTTTCTGGTAACATTCCTTGCCCTGAATTCTCTTTTACCTGATATTGAAAAGCCACTTTGGCTTTCTTGTGGTTAATACTTGCTTGGTATATTTTTTTTCCATCCTTTTGCCTTTAATCTATCTGTGTCTTTATTTTTAAAGTGGATTTTTTTGTGGACAGCATATAGTTGGGCCTTGCATTTCAGTCCATTCTGACATGTCTGACTTAACTGAATTGTTTAGACCATTCACATTTAATGTAGTTGTCAATAGGGTTGAGTTTCATTCTACCATTTTGCTGTCTGTTTTCGGTTTGTCCTGTCTGCTCTACTATTTTTCTCTTCATTTGGCTTTTTTTGGCATAGTTGAGTATTTTATTAGTATTTTATTTGAACTCTACTAGTTAACTTACTATGTGCACCTCTTTTTCTTTAGTGGTTGATCTAAGGTTTACAATATGCATCTTTTTTTTTTTTTTTTTTTTTGAGACGGAGTGTTGCTCTGTGGCCCAGGCTGGAGTGCAGTGGCGCTATCTCAGCTGAGTGCAAGCTCCGCCTCCCAGGTTCATGCCATTCTCCTGCCTCAGCCTCCTGAGTAGCTGGGACTACAGGTGCCTGCCACCATGCCTGGCTAATTTTTTGTAATTTTAGTAGAGACGGGGTTTCACCATGTTAGCCAGGATGGTCTCGATCTCCTGACATTCTGATCCACCTGCCTCGGCCTCCCAAAGTGCTGGGATTACAGGCGTGAGCCACCGCACCTGGCCTACAATATGCATCTTTAAGTTATTACAGTCCACTTTCAAATAAACTTATGCTACTCGACATATAATGTGTGATTCTTATTATATGCCTCTATTTCCTCTCCAATCCTGTGCTTATTGTTGTTTTATATTTTATTTCTACATGTATATTTTATAAGCCTACAATACATTAATATTGTTTTTTCTTTAGTCATTATTTTGAAAACAAGAAAATACTTTTTGTATTTTCCCACATATTTAACATTTTCAGTACTCTTCATTCCTGTGTATAGATCCAAGTTTCCATCTGTTGTCAATTTTCTTTTTCATAGGGAAGTTTCTTTCATATTTGTTTTAGGCCAGGCACAGCGCTTGCGTCTATAATCCCAGCACTTTGGGAGGCCGAGGTGGGTGGATCACTAGAGGTCAGTAGTTCAAGACCACCCTGGTCAACATGCCAAAACCCTGTCTCTACTAAAAATATAAAAATTTGGCTGGGTGAGGTGGCTCACACCTGTAATCCCAGCTACTCAAGAGGCTGAGGCAGGAGAATTGCTTGAACCCAGGAGGGGGAGGTTGCAGTGAGCCGAGATCACGCCACTGCACTCCAGCCTGGGCAACAGAGCAAGACTCCGTCTCAAAAAAAAAAAAAATTTTTGTTTTAGTGCACATCTGCTGTCAGTGAAACCTCTCTGTTCTTGTTGATCTGAAAAAGTCTATATTTTACCTGAAATTCTGAAAGGGATTTTCTGTGGGTATAGAATTCTACATTTACAGGGTTTGCCCCTTACCTAGCACTTGAAAATGTGTCATTCCATTGTTTTCTGGCTTGCATAGTTTCTCATGAGAAATCTGTGAGATAATTCTTATATTTGTAAATAATTGCCTTTTGTCCAATGTCTGAAAATTGTTATTTCCTGTATATTTTCCAGTTTTCTGGTTTGTTTCTTTTTTATGGTGAAATGGTAATTCTGTACCGTTACTACCTCATGATGAGAGACAGAAGTTCCATACTTAGAGCCTTTTTGTGTTCTAAGAATTCTTTGCCTGTCCTAAGATCATGAGGATATCCTCTGTGTTTCTTTTAAAAGCTTTACAGTTTTAGTGCACAGATTTTAGGTCCATGGCCTATCTCAAGTAAATTTTTTTGTATGTGCGTGAGACAGGAATAAAGGTTCATTTTTTAAAAAGTTATTTCATCATCCTTTATTGAAAAGCTTTCTTCCCTCCATTGAACTGCATTGGAACTTCTGTCTAAAATTAAGTGGCTACATATGTGTGGGCCTATTTCTGACCTCATTATTCTGTTCCTTTCATCACCAGTACCACACTGTCTTGATTGCTGTAACTTTATAGTAAGTTTTGAAATTAGGAAGTCTTCCAACTTTGCTCTTCTTTGAGGTTATCTTGTCACAAGGACCCAAGTGGCAGTAATTTTTAAAGCTCCTCAGGTGATTCCAATGTGAAGCCAAGGTTAAGAAGTACCGTCTTAGGGGCTGAGGAGTCCTAGGCTGGTCCCGCTGGGTTTGTGGTTTTGTGGTTTTGTGTTTTCAACGCATTTCCTTCAGGACAGTATGTTTATAGTCTGTTTGCTTCTGAATAATTTCATGTGTAAGTAACCACATCCAAGGGCTTTGTGGAGAAATGGCCTTTAAGCCTAAGAACTCTTGGCTCCAAGCTGCTGATCATTGTGCCCTGTCCCGTCCCCTCTCCCATAGGTTCAGTGGCTATTGCATGAGATAATTTGATAGAAAAGAGTTACATGGGGAACACTGCCCTTAGTCACCTCTTTGGTGTCTAAGTGCCCAAACTCCCCTGCTTAGACAGTCACTTTCCTGCGTCCCCTTGTATTAGCTTCAACTGAAGTAGAGGAAAAATTGCCTTTATTAACCCTGCCAGGCTTAAAATTATGGGACTCTCTGTTAAATTGGATTGGAGAAGAACTTCACATTTAGTAAAACTGATTTTCCCCCCACTCACCTCTCAAACCAGGTGTCTCTAAGTTAAGATCTCCTCTTGGCCGGGTGCGGTGGCTCACACCTATAATCCCAGCGCTTTGGGAGGCCGAGGCGGGTGGATCACAACGTCAGGAGATCGAGACCATGCTGGCTAACATGGTGAAACCCCGTCTCTACTAAAAATACAAAAAATTAGCCGGGCGTGGTGGCGGGTGCCTGTAGTCCCAGCTACTCGGGAGGCTGAGGCAGGAGAATGGCATGAACCCGGGAGGCGGAGCTTGCAGTGAGCCGAGATCGCACTACTGCACTTTAGCCTGGGCAACAGAGCAAAACTCTGTCTCAAAAAAAAAAAAAAATTCTCCTCTCTTGGTAAGTTAGGGTATAAGATAAGCTGCTGAAACAAAGGGACCCCCCACCCCCTAACACAAATATGTGTTTTAAAAAGTTTATTTCTCTCTCAGGTAATGCTCAAGAAGTGAGCAGTCCAGAGCTGGTGAGGTGATTCTGCCATCCCCAACATGTGAACTCCAGGGTGACTTTGCCATTTGTCATGATTTTCTAGCCACAGGATGGAGAAAGAGGAAGTAGAAGGCCTGCAGTTTCCATTTTAGGATGTTACATACTTCATGTTCACTCATATCCCATTGGTCAGAGCTTGGTCACAGGGCCATGCAAGGTGCAGGGGAGGCTGGGAAAGGTATTTTTGGACCGGATGACCATGTATCTTGCTGAATCTCAGAAAACTTCTATTATTAAAGGTACTAAAGTCTGAATGGATATGGGAGGAAAATCATTAATCTTCACCATGGCTGTCTTTTGCCAAGAGCCCAATAAGGTTTGGCTGTGTCCCCACCCAAATCTCATCTTGAATTGTAGCTCCTATAATTCCCACGTACTGTGGAAGGGACCTGGTGGGAGATAATTGGATCCTGGGGGCAGGTCTTTCCCGTGCTATTCTTGTGATAGTGAATAAGTCTCACAAGATTTGATAGTTTTGTAAAGGGGAGTTTCCCTGCACAAGCTCTCTTCTCTTGTCTGCTGCCATGTGAGATGTGCCTTTCACCTTCTGCCATGATTGTGAGGCCTCCTTAGCTACGTAGAACTGTGAGTCCATTAAACCTCTTTCTCTTGTAAATTGCCCAGTCTCGGGTATGTCTTTATCAGCAGTATGAAAACAGACTAATACAGAGCTATAACAATGAATAAAAAAATCAACATTCTGAAATTTCATACCATTCCTCCCAATAGCACAGCATGTAGAGTTGGCCACATTTTACCTAAATCTTTTGCCATCACCAAATTACTGACCTGGAATAATTTAATCTTACTGCCTTCTATCCTACCTCTTCTGCTCAGCCAATTAATATTTTAGAGTCTATTTCTCATAGCAAACCACTTCAAAACATAAAATTCTGTCTCAAGTAGGAATGCTTATGGCTGCAAGTAATGACAACCTGATCAATAGCTTAAAAAGGGGTTTATTTTTCTCATTACATAAAAAGTCTAGAGTAGTGGTTTCTGGCATTGGTTCCAATGCTGCAGCCGAGGACTAAGACTCTTTCTTTCATTCTGCTTGACTTTTCTTAACATGTTGGCTTTTTGACTTCTTCTTTGTTATTTTGTGCTTGCAAGATGATTGCTATGGTTCCAGCCATCACATCTATTTCTTTTTTTTTTTTTTTGAGATGGAGTTTTGCTCTTGTTGCCCAGGCTGGAGTGCAAGGGCATGATCTCAGCTTACCGCAACCTCCACCTCCTGGGTTCAAGTGATTCTCCTGCTTCAGTCCCCCTAGTAGCTGGGATTACAGACATGCGCCACCATGCCCAGCTAATTTTTTTTTTTTTTTTTTTTTTTAGTAGAGATAGGGTTTCTCCATGTTGGTCAGGCTGGTCTTAAACTCCCAACCTCAGGTGGTCCACCCGCCTTGGCCTCCCAAAGTGCTGGGATTACAGGCGTGAGCCACCGTGCCCGGCCCATCGTATCTATTTCAAAGTGTGAATCAGGAGAGAGGGTGGTATCTGCTGCGTCTGCTCCTTACTTACGTAAAGAAAGGAGGTTATTCCACCAAGATCATGCCATTGCATTGCAGCCTGGGCAACAGAGCGAGACTCTGTCTCAAAAAAACTAAACTAAACTAAAATAATAAAAATTTAAAAATTAGAAAAGAGGCTATTCCAGAAATGTCTCCCCACAGGTCTCCTTACCTCCTTATTGACCAGAAATGAGCCATGTGCTCATTCCTAAACCAATGGAAAGAAGAAAGGGATTGGATGAACACCAGTCAGGATTCATCTGCTAGGGCTAGAATATGAGCAACTTTCCTTTAGAACAAGGGATCTTTGCCTTCTATCTGAACAAGTAAGTTCTATTAGCAAGGGAGAACAGGGAAGAAGGAAGCTAAGGTATGGCTAATGAGTGAGAACAAAGACTAACGGCCACACAGACAGGACACTGTGAGTGTGAGTGTGGGCTGTGTGATTGTGTAAGCACGCAGGAAGTATGGAAGGATGTATACTTGGTTGTCAGCACATGCCACATCACAGTGGGAAAGGGGGCATGGATACAGGTGAAGGTGGGAGGGGAAGCAAACAAAACTGAAAAGAAAAAGTGGCCTAAAAATATGGCGATCACGTTTATGCATTTATGTCCAATTGTGTACTTATGTGAATATCTAAATAAATTTGAAAAATGTTTAAAATAATCCTGATCCCATCCTAAATACAGGTAGTTTTTTGCATTATGTCAGCACCCTGGCTGAGCCCCTGCATTCAAGCAAAAAAACTAAATCAATGAATGATGAGTACATGAATAAATGAATAAGTCCATAGCAGCCACAGTAGATATCCCATTGTCCACGGATTAAGATCGTTCATGCCACCAGCTAGAGGGACAGCCACTCTGCACTCACTCCCTAGCATAGTTATCTAGTGCAATTCTAACATCTTGAATCTTCTTCTTTTTGTTTTAAAGTCCCAGCATATGAAAAGTAGAAAAATAGTTAAGGAGGCTACTAGAGATAGGGAAACTGACAGCAACTAGAGGTAACAGCTGACATGTTGACAGTGAAGAAGACAGCCATCTATAGGAAGCAGACACAAGAACACACAAAGAACATACACAAGAACACACACGATCTATAGACAGCAATCTATAGGAAGCAGACGAAAGAACACACAAAGACAACACTGTCAGGCCATTTTGTTTAGGAGGAACTTGTTCCAGGCACCTCCATAACCCCCGGTGGCACTGGTTTTACAGCAAGTCACAACAAGGCTGCTATACACATCAGGCCCCAGTGAATGAGGAATGGGAGAGTATGCGCCACATTCTCTGTTTAAGAAGGCAAGGCGGTGTGTGATAGAACAGAGGACAAGGGCTATGCCCAGTTCATCCTTGTGACTTTCAAGGCACAACTTTCAGCTCTCAGCTGGATGCCACATCTGGACTCCGCAGCCTTCTCAAGCTCAGCACATTTTAAACTCTTCCTGCGTCATTTCCAACTGAGGTGCCAAGTTGTCATTGGCTACCAAAGCTATAGGCAAATCCATGTATTGAGATTTTCAAGGGCAATGTCTGAAAAAGTGTTTCTCAGCAATTCCTCATCCTTCCCTACTTGGAGATAATAAACATGATCAGGGTGCAGAGAGAGAGAATTTGGGATAAGGAGATTGGTAGTGAGAGTTTTGGGGGAAAGGAGTTGACCGTTTCAGGCTTCTAACCCCCCTCTATTTGGGGTGAGAGGCCAGCAAGCTTTTGTCCTGTGAGCCAAATCTGGTCATAGCCTATTTGCACAAATAAATTTTAATTGGCACACTGCCACGATAATTTGTTTGAGTATTGTCTCTGGCTGTTTTCTTTTTCTTTTCTTTCCTTTTTTTTTTTTTTTTTTTTTGAGACAGGGTCTCGCTCTGTCACCCACACTGGAGTGCAGTGGCTTGATCTCAGCTCACTGCAACCTCCACCTTCCAGGCTCAGGTGATTCTCGTGCCTCAGCCTCTGGAATAGCTGGGATAACAGCCATGTGCCACCATGCTTGGCTAATTTTTGTATTTTTAGTAGAGACAGGGTTTCGCCATGTTGGCCAGGCTGGTCCCAAGTGATTCGCCCTCCTTGTCCTCCTGAAGTGCTGGCATTACTGCCATGAGCCACCACGCCTGGCCTCTCGCTGTTTTCAAGTATCAGTGGGAAGCTTGTGACAGAGGCTGAAGCCCATAAAGCCTAAAATATTTGCTGCCTGGCTCTTTCCAGAAAAAGTTTGCCATCCCTGATTGTAACCTCATGCCTCATGAGGAAGACCACAGGGGTCCCCAGGAGAGTTTTAAGATATGTCCCTGCTAGGTGGGCAACATAAAGGATGAGTACCTAGACTGTATCTAAGGCGGCCATGGGCTAGGCTCTGACTCTCCCAAGGGGGAGAGAAGGGTGAAGACCTGCTTTGGTGGCATACCCCGTGCTATGACACTGGGATAGGAGGTGACGCTGAGTGTTTCCCAAGGACCACACTCAGGATTGAGTGGGAGAGAGAGCAGCCACCTGGAGACCTCAGCAGATAGAGGCTGGAGTGGATCAACTCCTGCCCAGGGATTAAAGACATCACAAGAGACCACCCAGAATAGGTGCATTCTTTGCAGTCAAAGGAAGTGGGGGAGAAAAGGTTGCAGAAAAGAATCTCTAGGCTGGGCACGGTGGCTCACGCCTGTAATCCCAGCACTTTGGGGGGCTGAGGCGGGTGGATCACCTGAGGTCAGGAGTTCGAGACCAGCCTGACCAACATGGTGAAACCCGGTCTCTACCAAAAATACCAGAATTAGCCAGGCGTGGTGGCACGTGCCTGTAATCCCAGCTACTTGGGAGGCTGAGGCAGGAGGATCACTCAAACGCGGGAGGCAGAGGTTGCAGTGAGCAAAGATTGC
Organism: Homo sapiens; assembly: GCF_000001405.40. Classification (NCBI taxonomy): domain Eukaryota; kingdom Metazoa; phylum Chordata; class Mammalia; order Primates; family Hominidae; genus Homo; species Homo sapiens. The sequence goes on from NC_000021.9 coordinate 31,749,930, forward strand.
ACCATTGCACTCCAGCCTGGGCAACAGAATGAAACTGTGTCTCAAAAAAAAAAAAAGAAGAAGAAGAAGAAGAAAAAAGAAATCTCTAAAGAGCTCACCAAAGTGAGAGAGAGCCTCCTCTAACCATCTGCCTGCCCTGAGACAGCATGAAGCCAGCCGCCAAGTTGGAGCTGGGCTAGACCCTTCCTTCTCCCTACCCACTGCTTCTGATGCACCTGGTGGGACTGCACCCACAACTGGCAAGTTTGGGGGACACATGAGTAAGGGAAGAGGAGGACCAGAAGGCCGTGTTACCTTCCCCGCTGCAGTCTTCCAGCCAAACAGTGAGGGAGATTTAACACTGTCATGTTTGGGATTCTGACATTCTTCTCTTTTTTGAGAGAGAGAGACAGGGTCTTACTCTGTTGCCCAGGCTGTAGTGCAGTGGCCTGATACTAGCAGCTCACTACAGCGTCAATCTCCTGGGCTCAAGCGATGCTGCCTCCTCAGCCTCCCAAGTAGCTAGGACTGCAGGCATGCGCCACCACACCCAGCTAATTTTTTCTTTTCTTTTCTTTTCGTTTTTTTTTTTTTTTTTTGAGACAAAGTCTCACTCTGTCGCCCAGTCTGGAGTGCAGTGGCGCGATCTTGGCTCACTGCAACCTCTGCTTCCCGGGTTCAAGCGATTCTTCTGCCTCATCCTCCCGAGAGCTGGGACTACAGGCGCGTGCCACCAAGCCTGGCTAATTTTTGTATTTTTAGTAGAGATGGGTTTCCCCATATTGGTCAGGCTGGTCTTGAACTCCTGACCTCGTGATCTGCCCTCCTCAGCCTCCCAAAGTGCCGGGATTACAGGCATGAGCCACCGTGCCCGGCCAATTTTTTCTTTTTTTGTAGAGACAGGGTCTTTCTGTGTTGTCCAGGCTTGGTCTCAAACTCCTGGCCTCAAGAGATCCTCCAGCCTCAGTCTCCTGAAGTGATGGGATTATAGGCATGAACCACCACACCCAACCCATTCTAACATTCTAACTACTAAATTGAAACTGTTTGTGACCTAATATGACTCATCTGTTCCAAGGAATGAGTGGAAAAGGTTTGGGACCTGCCAGAGTTTCCCAGCTCATGAGAAGGCCACCTCCACTAGGGAGAGCTTAGGGGGATGATAGGAACACACTGAAGTAAGGTTTGGTTTCTGGCATGACTCATGCTTGTTCAACATGCTGGATCCAATAACATATAGAATGAGTGTCCCTAATCCCCAAATCCAAAATATGAAATGCTCCAAAATGTACTAGTTTTTGAGAACTGATGTGACATCACAAGTGCAAAATTTCTCATTTGACCTCATGTGAAGGGGTGGCAGGCAAAACACAGTCGAAACTCTGTTTCATGCACAAAATTGTTTAAAATATTGTATAAAATTTCCTTCAGGCTGCGTGCATAAGGTGTATATGAAACATAAATGGCCAGGGGTGGTGGCTCACGCCTATAATCCCAGCACTTTAGGAGGCCGAGGTGGGTGGGTCACCTGAGGTCAGGAGTTTGAGACCAGCCTGGCCAACATGGCAAAACTCCGTCTCTACTAAAAATGCAAAAATTCGCCAGGCGTGGTGGCACATGCCTGTAATCCCAGCTACTTGAGAGGCTGAGGCACAAGAATCGCTTGAACCCAGGATGGGGAGGTTGTAGTGAGCCGAGATTGCGCCACTGCACTCCAGAGTGCACTGCAACAGAGTGAGACTCTGTCTCAAAAAAAAAAAAAAAAGCAAACAAACAAACAAAAAACCGTAAATGAAACAAACAAAAAACCGTAAATGAATTTTGTGTTTAGACTTGAGTTTCAACCCCAAGGTATGTATGTGCAAATATTCCAAAAAGTGAAAACATCTGAAATCTGAGACATTTCTGGTCCCAGGTATTTCACACAAGAGATATTCAACCTGTATTATTAAGCACATGCTGGACATCATGCTAAGCCCTTTTCATGCATTACACATGAAACCTCCCAACCAGCCTTTACTGTTAAGCCAATTTCACAGAAGAGGAACCGAAGCAAAGGAAAGATAGGCTATGGTCTAGAGGAAGCTTGTCCAACGCACAGCCTGTAGGCTGCATGTGGCCCAGGACAGCTTTGAATGCAGCCCAACACAAATTTGCAAACTTTCTTAAAACATTATGAGTTTTTTGTTTGTTTTTTGTTCCTGTTTTAGCTCATTAGCTATCATTAGTGTTAGCGTGTTTTATGTGTGGCCCAAGACATTCTTCTTCCCATGTAGCCCAGGGGAACCAAAAGATTGGACAACCTTGGTCTAGAGCCTCATTATTAAGTGGTGGAGATGAGATTCGAACCCAGGCAACCCAGGACCAGCCTGAGTTCTCAATCGCTATGTCATGCTGACTGGAAGCACAGCAACCCAAGCCTTGGTTCTCAAAAGGTTTGTTATTGGCTGAGAGGTCTTGACTTCCCCTAGAATCCCAGGGTTGCTGACTTTGTTTCTCCCGTCAGAGCCTGCCACAGACTCCTTATTGGATCCGAGTTGGCCAGAGACCCTTCAGACCTCATTGAATCAGCTGGGTCACAAGTGCCAAGTTGCTCGCAGTGCAGCCTGGACCGGCTCTGGAACTTCTCATTGTCAAAGCTAAGAGTCAATTGAGTCACCCACTGAGTCAGATGGCATACTCAAATGTATTGCACAAGTCTAAAATCCTGTGTAGGCCCACAAACATTGCACCTGAGTCCTAGTGATAGGGCATACCAGGCACAGCAACTTGCTTTTCATTTTGGAGAAAGAGCCCTAGTCCCCCAGATCATTGAACACCTTCCCCCACCTCTGCTCCAAATCCACTGTCCCAAATCTTCTGTAGCTTTGGGAGATTTCTCTTCTACCCATTGTTGTGAATTTTTTTACCCAGGCATCCTTGGTGTCTGCTACTTCAGCTCCCTAGATTCTATCAACTTGATGTCCCTTGAGATGGTTCAGGTTCCCACAGACCAAACTTAAGCCCAGCACCAGAGAGGTAACAATACTGAGGTAAGTAAGGAAAAGATGTACTATTGTCCTTGCCAGGTACAACAAACAAATGAACGAACAAATGAATGAACAACTAACCTGCTTCTGCTTCTAGTGTGTGTCATAATAGAGAAATATTTGGCAAATCCACGGATGCATACCAAGTGCCAGAGTCTCTGTATATCTGTTTTGGTCAAATGAAGCCACCTGGAACAGCACATGTAACTGATTAAGTTTATGATAATGCACTGTCATTCCCCAAGCCCCATCTGGTTTTCTTCACTAGTCAAACTAGAGAGTTAAAAGGGAATGTGATAGCAATCATCACCTCTGGATCTTTCATGTCTATTAATCTCTGAAATTCTCCGAGGGATATGGTATCACTTGTGATGTGCCATTTTGTACATGAAGAGCCCTTTGAGTTTACACTTGGCCATTTGAGCCAATGTGGGGATTTGCTATTGGTACATGTATATGTTCCACTTATACCCCTATGAGCCAGGGAAATAAAGACAGATTTGGGGACTCTTTGGGCCTAGTGACAAACTTAAAACTTAGTTTCTTACCTAACTCACCATAAATCCCTTCTCTGACTGGTGGGCAACAGTGGTATTCCAGGTCCATAGGAATTAGCATTAGTAATGGATGCAGTTTTCAATAATCCTTCAAAGATCTAGGTTTTCTGTTTCTCTAGTACACATTTGCCTTGATTAATGGTGGCAGTGATTTTGGGGGCAGATGAGGATGAAGATTTACAGCAGAGATGTCCAATCTTTTGACTTCCTTGGGTCACGTTGGAAGAAGAAGAATTGTCTTGGGCCATGCATAAAATACACTTAACACTAACAATAGCTGATGAGCTAAAAAAAAAAAAAAACATATATATATATATATATATCATAATGTTTTAAGAAAGTTTAAGAATTTGTGTTGGGCAGCATTCAAGGCCAACCTGGGCCACATGGGGCCCACTGGTCTCAGGTTGCAAAGGCTTAATTTAGAGTATGTATCTGTGATCTTATTGTAACATTCTTCATCAAGAATACCTGGTCTGTTTTCATTCAAGAGCCTCTGGGTCTGTGATACAATTCAGGTCTTGAATTGAGAATGTCTATCCCAGAGGCTCGATCCATGCCTCTTGTTAATCAGGTCTGAGTGGGCTCCTTAATGCTCTTGGTCCTAGAAATTCCTTGGTCAATTAGCATGGTGAAAGACCCCTGCTAGGCAGAGCAGTTGGATTCTATTCTGGCCCTACTTCCTTGTGCACTAGGGGGTGGTTTGGGGATAGGCTGGGGAAATAAATACTGATTTGTATTTGCTATCTGGAGGTGGTTTGGGGATGGTGGTGGTTTCTAGTTAGCCAAGTGTAGGTCACTTATCCATAGCCTTGCAACAGAAGAGCCTGGGGAGTTGTGAAACAGGGATTTTCAGTTTCAACTGCCGGAAATAGTCTGCCTTTCAGCAGAATTTATAATCTGGGGAAATAAATTCAGATTTTCATTGTAAACATAGGAAGAAGGTTCAGAGGTTGCTCAGCCAAAAATGATGACAAATGCTTTTCCACAATTCATCTCACCTTCTTCTGTCATTTAACAACTGTAAGGTTTAGAAGATTAATCTCAGCTTCAAACGTAGTTCATGTTTTATTCAAACCAAGTTGAATAATGCAATTCTCTTTGCCAGTGACTTATTCAGAAAATCAGACCTAAGCTAGTTAGGCACATGGCATGCCTCTGACCTCGGGGGTTGGTTCAGGAGCTCAGGAGTAGGCATCTGACACACTTTGGTCTAATGAGATGCAAGATGACATGTTCTGGGAGATTCTGGGGAAAAGTTTCTCATGTTCCAGAGAGCCAGAGAAAGACAATAGTATCTTCTGTACTTGATCCCTGCAGGCATCTTGATAGCAACATGGAGCTCCTGCAGGACAGCGGGCAGAGCTAAGAGAATCCTAGAGGAACTGAGCTGGATCTGCTGGGGTTTATTTATGTATTATTTTATTTTATTTTTTTAGAGACAGGGTCTCACTCTGCCCAGGCTGGAGTGTAGTGGAGCAATCGTAGCTCACTGCAGCCCCAAACTCCTGGGCTCAAGCGACCCTCTGGCCTCAGTCCTTTCCGCCTCAGCCTCCGGAGGAAATGAGAGTAATGGCGCATGCCATCACACTCTGCTAATTTTTTTATTTTTAAATTTTTTGTAGAGGTAAGTTCTCGCTTTACTGCCCAGGTTGGTCTCAAACTCCTAAGCTATCCTCCTGCCTTGGCTTCCCAAAGTGAGGGGATTTACAGGCATGAGCCACCCCACCCAGACTGGATCTTCTGGTTTAAACCAACCCTGAAGCCTTCCTTCAAGACTCACTAGATTTACTTCTACACATTTCCTCATTGTTTAAGCCAGTTTGAGTTGGATTTTCTGGTATTTGTGATCGAAAGCATCCTAATTTGATTCCATATAAAATCGTCTGTGTTTACAGCTCCTAGTGGCATCTTCCAGAACTGGTATTCCTTTATAATAATCACTACTGTCCTGACAGATGGGAGTGGCTGGAATCTGGACTAAAATGGCAATATAACAAATGTAAATTTTGATATGAAAGGAAATAAATATCGATTAAATGAAATAACGATTAAAATGTATAGTTTGTATAATAAAAGAAATAAGTTTTAGTTACCCAAATTTTTCTTTTTCTTTTTCTTTTTTTGAGATAGAGTCTTACTCTGTCACCCAGGCTGGAGTGCAGTGGCTCGATCTTGGCTCACTACAACCTCCCACCTCCTGGGTTCAAGAGATTCTCCTGCCTCAGCCTCCTGAGTAGCTGGGATTACAAGCGCCCGCCATCACGCCCGGCAAATTTTTGTATTTTTAGTAGAGATGGGGTTTCACCATGTTGACCAGCCTGGTCTCGAACTCCTGACCTCAGGTAATCTGCCCACCTTGGCATCCCAAAGTGCTGGGATTACAGGCATGAACCACTGCTTCCGGCCCCCAAATTTTTTAACATACGGACCATTCAATTCCATATAATACAAATAAATGAGGCACCATTAAGTGTTTAGAAAATACTTATACAAGTAAAATTATAAGCCTATTTTCGTCTCTCTCCACCCTTCCCCTCCCATTGAGCTGCTTCGTTATTCTGAGGCATTGCAAGTCAGGGGAGCTGGTTTGTGATATGTCCTTAGGCAGGTGAATCTGCTTTTCTCAATCTTAGGCTTCTAGTCTGCAAAACAATTTCTGTTAGTATCAGATTAGTTCATATGTGTGAAAAATCATCATAAAGGCCAGTGCAGAGAAGAGGCAGGTATTATTCTGGGTTCTGGAGGGATGAGATAGTCACACTGATCATTAATGAATTTTAGTTCTCATGTACATACTTTGTTTCCTGCTTTGGTTGCTGATTTTAGTATTTGAAAAAAATAACAAGGCTGGGCACAGTGGCCCATGCTTGTAATCCCAGCACTTTGGGAGGCCGAGGTGGGTGGATCACTTGAGGTCAGGAGTTTGAGACCAGCCTGGCCAACATGGTGAAACCCCTGTCTCTACTAAAAATACAAAAATTAGCTGGGCATGATGGCGGGTGTCTGTAATCCTAGCTACTCAGGAGGGTGAGGTGGGAGAATTGCTTGGAGCTGGGAGGTGGAAGTTGCAGTGAGCTGAGATTGCCCCACTGCGTTCCAGCCTCGGCAACAGGGCAAAACTATGTCTCAAAAAACAAAACAACAGCAACAAAAAACAAATCAATTGGTGTATATCTTCATCTCCCATGGCATCATAATTAGTATTCCACATATATTTGATAGACAACTGAGTATTAATAACTAACAGTTTATGAGAGTGAGCAGAAGTAACAGAGTACTTTCAAATACGTAATCACATTTGAGATATGCAGGAACTCTGTAGTTGGGAAAGAGGGCAGTGTTATGATCACAACTTTGTGTCTCAATTTGTATGGCTAGTTCGTGTTAGAAGCAGAATTTTAATCCTGTCTTCTGATAATATTTCTATGAGAGTCTAATTTCACATTTGTGTTTTTCCCTGACTACTAGCTTTGTGACCTTGGACAAGTTACTTAGCCTCTTCATGCCTTGGTTTTCTTATCTGTAAAATGGGGATAATAATAGCATAGGGTTTTTTGAGAATTAAATGAGCAAAGAGTTTGGACTAGAACTTTGCACTTAGTAAGCACTATGAAAGTGTTTTTAAATAATATATAAATATTTGAGAATTAAATGAGCAGTGTTTGGACTAGAACTTTGCACTTAGTAAGCACCACGAAAGTGTTTTTAAATAATATATAAATATTTTTTTCTTCCCCTGCTACTACATCATCACCATGGTTAATTCCCATCTTCAAGTATTTCTCCTCAAATACTTGTGTCATCTTGATCTAGTTGGTTTTTGCCTACTATGCATGAAATAATGTTTTACATTACAGTGTGTTGTTACTTTTCACACAGGGATTTAGATCAGGGTTGGCAGAATTATGGCCAAATCCAGCCCACCATCTGCTTTCATAAATAAAGTTTTATTGGAACCCAGCCACTGCCATCATTTACATATTTTCATATGCTATGATTGGCAGAGTTGTGTAGTTACAGCAAAGAACGTATGGCCTGCAAAGCCTAAAATATTATCTAGCTCTTAACACAAATAGTTTGCCAACCCCTGTTTAAGAGATATATATCTTTTTTTTTTTTTTTTTTGAGATGGAGTTTTGCTTTCGTTGCCCAGGCTGGAGTGCGGTGGTGCGATCTTGGCTCACTGCAACCTCCGCCTCCTGGGTTCAAGGAATTCTCCTGCCTCAGCCTCTCAAGTAGCTGGGACTACAGGCGCACACCACCATGCCCAGCTAATTTTTTGTATTTTTAGTAGAGACGGGGTTTCACCATACTGGCCAGGCTGGTCTCAAACTCCTGACCTTGTGATCTGCCCAACTTGGCCTCCCAAAGTGCCGAGATTATAGGTGTGAGTCACCGCACCAAGCCCCAAATATATATATTTATTTTAGACAGAGTCTCACTCTGTCACCCAGGCTGGAGTGCAGTGGCACAATCCTGGCTCACTGCAACCTCTGCCTCCCGGGTTCAAGTGATCCTCCTGCCTCAGCCTCCTGAGTAGCTGGGACTACAGGTGTACACCATCATGCCTGGCTAATTTTTGTATTTTTAGTAGAGACGGGGCTTCACCATGTGGGCCAGGCTGGTCTCCAACTCCTGACCTCAAGTGATCCGCCTGCCTCAGCCTCCCAGAGTGCTGGGATTATGGACGTGAGCCACCGTACTCAGCCCTAAGATACATATTTTTTAGAGAAATACTTGGAGTTTTAAGGTCTTCAAGAGAAAAGAAATTGTACACTTAAAAAAATTCAAAGACAATAAATATTTCCTTTCTTGTTCCTACTGAATAACAAAGGACAAATATAGATGATTCCCTGCAAAACTATTCACTTACCTTACCTACATCACAGACAAGGGGCAATTAATATTATCATTATTAATCTGTTACTATTATAACAATTGCAAATTGCTCTTGCCCAGCCCCATGCCTGCCAAGAAGCTTATGGATTTGCCTCTTTTAAAGAGGCTCATTTCCCTCCTCAAACATGACTTACAATTAGAGACTGTCCCTTGCGATCAAAGGAGTGATTTATTTCCCCCTGAGATCAGATCAAAGCCAGTTTTGGAGCGCTAGGTCTTGTGCTGTCGTCCCCCCACCAGCCCCCATCACCTCACAGATACTTCCTAGAGGAGAGCAGTTTCTTCTAAGTTTGATCCTGGGTTATACCAGGCAGATTTCTACATTGTCATGACTGCAAGTCACCCCCCTTAATCTTGGATATTTGTCTCCTAAGTTGATGAGAAATTCCAGGAGAAGAATTGGGATGGACCAGACCCAATCCATTATGATTTCTTCCCTGGGAAAACATTTCAGAGCACATGACAAGCCCCGCTGCGTAAACAGGACTAGATCAAATGCCTGGCATGGGACTGTATCATTGTATATTTCTACTGTTCTGATGTTTTATGTTTTAAAGTGATCTATGACACAGTGGCTACCTCAGTTCTGTCCCATCTAGTTCTTGCAGTGGAATTGCTTTTTCTCAGGGCCTCTGCCTATACAGATCACTTTGAGCAATTTGTCTTTAAAGCTTCTTGAAATGATCCTAATATTCTCCTGTAATTCTCACTGCTCTAAGAATCTGTCTCCTCTAGACATAATTCCTATCATTTTATAATGCAATGATATTGCTTAATAAATCCTTAATGTATGTTACTATTCAGATTGACAGATTGTATACTTATTATGTATGACATTTTCATTGACTTCTTTTGCGAAGTGACATTATTGCCATCCCAGCCTGGGAAAGATTTAATACCTGATTCTTCCTCCGTCCATTTATCAGAGTCATTCAGAACTCCCTCCTTTTTCCCTCCCGCCTCAAAGTATAAATTAAAATATTTTTCTTTCAAACATATTTCCTTGGATATTTTTCTCTAGTAATCACTTTGTTAAAGAGATATTACTACCTAAAGGACAGTCACGTTCCCAGTCCCTGTCTGCATCCTGATTTATCGAGATAGCTTATAGGCATTTTTTTTTTTTTTAGACAAAGTTTCACTCTTGTTGCCCAGGCTGGAGTGCAATGGCACGATATTGGCTCACCGCAACCTCCGCCTCCTGGGTTCAAGCGATTCTCCTGCCTCAGCCTCCCGAATAGCTGGGACTACAGGCATGCGCCACCATGCCTGGCTAATTTTGTATGTTTAGTAGAGGCGGGGTTTCTCCATGTTGGTCAGGCTGGTCTCGAACTCCCGACCTCAGGTGATCCGCTCGCCTTGGCCTCCCAAAGTGTTGGGATTACAGGTGTGAGCCACCATGCCTGGCCAGTTTATAGGCTTTTAAAACCAAATTTCCCTCCCTTCCTCTTCCCTCCCCTCCCTTCCCCTCCTCTCTCCTCTCCTCTCCTTCTCCTGCCTCAGCCTCCCGAGTAGCTGGGATTATAAGCTCCTCTCCTCTCCTCCTTCCTTCCTTTCCTTCTTTCTTTTTCTTTCTTTCTTTTTTTACTTCAGACATGTTTTATTATAATCTTATACAGCCTACTTGTATTTATTTGGGTTCAGTTATAACATAGCATAATAAGAATAAAATACCTGGGTGATGAAATAATAGGTACAAAAAAATCCCTGTGACATGTGTTTACTTATGTAACTAACCTTCACATGTATCCCAAACCTAAAATAAAAGTTAAGGCCGGGCGAGGTGGCTCACACCTGTAATCCCAGCACTTTGGGAGGCCGAGGCGGGCAGGATAACTTGAGGTCGGGAGTTCATGACCAACCTGGTCAACATGGTGAAAGCCTGTCTCTACTAAAAATATGGAAAAAATTAGCTAGGCATGGTAGTGCACACCTGTAATCCCGGCTACTCAGGAGGCTGAGGCAGGAAATATTGCTAGAACCCAGGAGGCGGAGGCTGCAGTGAGCCGAGATGGCGCCACTGCACTCCAGCTTGAGTGACAGAGAGAGACTCCATCTCAAAAACAAACAAACAAACAAATAAATAAATAAAATAAAAGTAAAAAACCAAAAAACAAAGCACTGGTCCTCTGAAATAAACCAGGCAAACACCATTCAATAAATACACTTGATTGATTTTGTATAGAAGGGCTAAGTTTACAACTAAACTTATATAAAAAGTTTAGCATGAATCAGTACATCATTACACCTTTTGAGGCAGAAATATACATCTTTGCCACTATACAAGAAAACTCTAAAGAGTTTACAAGGTTTCACTCAATAGATATATATTCATGTATAAATATATAAACAGCATTCAGCAGGCTTGTGTCGAAAAGGTAATTTCTGACCAAAAGACTTCATTTAAGTGACTGAATCCTGGATCCTTCTGTTATTCATGCTCCGCTCTTGAAAAAAGGCAAAGTCTGCTCACGTTGTGCAATTCCTTGTGATTTTAACATTTTTGTTTTCATTCCCCATGGTGGGAATAGTGTATAAAGAAAACCTTCCAACTGCAGAAAGGGCATTTAAATGTCTCTTTCATAAATAACAAATATCACAGTCCAAGTCAGAGAATACCCTGCAAAGATGATCGTTCTTAGTTTTCCTTCCATATTTTCTCTCCCTTCCTTCCTTCCTTCTTTCCTTCCTTCCTTCCTCTCTCCCTTCCTTCCTTCCTCCCTTCCTCCCTCCCTCCATCTCTCCCTCCCTCTCTCCCTCCCTCTCTCCCTCTTTCTCTTTCTCCCTCCCTTTCTCCCTTTCTCTCTCTCTCTCTTTCTCTCTTTCTTTCTTTCCTTTTGAGATGAGTCTCGCTCTGTCACCAAGGCTGGAGTGCAGTGGTGGAATCTCGGCTTACTGCAACCTCCGCCTCCCAGGTTCAAGTGATTCTCCTGCCTCAGCCTCCCCAGGAGCTGGGACTACAGGTGTGCACCACCACGCCTGGCTAATTTTTGTGTTTTTAGTAGAGACAGGGTTTCACCATGTTGGCCAGGCTGGTCTCGAACTCCTGACCTCAAGTGATCCACCCACCTCGGCCTCCCAAAGTGCTGGGATTACAGGCATGAGCCTCCATGCCTGGCCACTAAACCAAACTTCTAAGGTATTATCCAAATATATTGCTGATGACAAAGGACCATTGTTTGATTAATTCCTTACAAATATTATTTATAATGTCTCTATTAGAAACATTATAAGTGGTTTCTAAGTTGCTTCTATTTAATGTTTATGGAAATTTAAAACCTTAAACTCTATTTTTAAAGAGACGATTTTTAACAGCCTTGAAAGCATCTTCAATTTTGATGACAAATTGTTAAACTTGAAATATTAATTTGTGTCTTAATTCAAAGGCAGTGGGATGCAGATCAGAATGGTGCAGCGTTCCTGCCCTCATGAGGTTTGCAATTTCAGGTTAGAGTCCGACACATTTTAAAAAATATCGCAATGTGGGAAATGCTAAGGGAGCTACTGTTCTGGGTGGATTCTACAGGTTTTACTGGAGCAAGTATGATGGCATCATCTAGGAGGGCTTCCTGGAAGAGGTAAACTAGGTCTTAAGGGAAGCATCAGATGTCACTGGCTTGGGAAAGATATTCCAGAAGGAAGGAACAGGTTGTACAAAGTAAGGTAATTTTGTTTGGGGAAGCTCCAGCAGGTCCACATGAGGACACAGTTGAGATTGTCTAACTCTATGCTCATAACTGTAGGTGCTTGGGAAAAGCTGAACTAAGCCAGTGTTAACAGACGTTGTCTGGACAATGCAGTGGGTCTAGAAGCAGGTTAGAAGGACTAGAAGAGATTAAAAAAAACAAAACTCTGATGTAAGAAATGAATATAGCTGCAGATAAAAGTAGTTTGGCGCTATCTGTATGGTTCCCATCTAGGTTTATTTTATTTCATTTATTTATTTGAGATGGAGTCTTGCTCTGTCGCCCATGCTGGAGGGTAGTAGCGCGATCTCGGCTCACTGCAACCTCCACCTCCCAGGTTCAAGCAATTCTCCTGCTTCAGCCTCCTGAGTAGCTGAGATTACAGGCATGCACCACCATGCCTGGCTAATTTTTTTTTGTATTTTTAGTAGAGATGGGGTTTCACCATGTTGGCCAAGCTGGTCTAGAACTCCTGACCTCAGGTGATCCACCTGCCTCAGCCTCCCAAAGTGCTGGGATGACAGGTGTGAGCCACAGCACCCAGCCTCCCAACAAGGCTTCTAACAGGGCAATCAGAATTTTCTTTAATTTTCCTCTATGGTTCTATTGGGTAAGATCCTTATTGAGTGTACAGGTCTGCAGATAGAAAGAAACAAGCCAAGGAGAACACTGCTTCCTCTGTTTCTGTGGGTTATGTCTAATTTTAGGAAACAGCGCAACAAATAATAAAAAATGGATGTTTCTAAGTAGATTTGTGTGTGTGTGTGTGTATGTGTGTGTGTGTGTGCGTCCTTTAATGCTTTTACCCCCATCCTGGCCTCATGCAATGTCAAAAAAAAGTAAGTGAGCAAATTGACACTTTCTTCTTTTAGTGATTATTATTATTTGAGATAGGGTCTCACTTTGTCACCCAGGCTGGAGTGCAATGGTGTGATCTCAGCTCACTGCAGCCTCAACTTCCTGGGCTCAAGTGACCCTCCCATCTCAGCCTCCCAAATAGATGGGACTACAGGTGTGCACCACCACGCCTGGATAATTTTTTGTATTTTTAGTAGAAACAGGGTTTTGCCATGTCGCCCAGGCTGGCAGTGATATTATTTTTATCTCCAACATGCACCTATGGCAGGTTGGCCTCTGCTCTCTCATCCCCAGAACCAAGTTATTTGCTTAAACTCTCTCTAATGCAGTGGCTCTGAGGAGAGTCCCTGGAGCCAAGGCGCCTGGATTTGAATCCTGGCACTACTACTTAACTATTCACTGGGATGAGTTATTCAACATGGCTACATCTCAGCTTTCTCATCTGTAAAATGGGGGTATTAATAACAGTACCAACTTCATAAGCATCTTGTGAGGATTGAATGAATTGAACATATATAGGTGCTTATAAGAGTACCTGTCACGTGCTAGTACAGCTTGAGTTTGGCCAGTCTCGTCTCTCAAACAGCATCTAGGGACATATGCCCAGAGCCGCAAGAGCACTGATCTTCAGTACTCTCCCTCTTCCTTCTTTTCCCCACTCTCTTAATCACCATTCAGTGTGTACGCCCCTATCCTCACCCCAGTTAGCTCCTGGGGCTCACACTTAATTTGTTCAGAGGAGAAGTGGCCTGGGCAGTGTCAGTCCCTGGTAGTAACGAGATGTGTTACGTGTTGATGCCTGGAAAAGAGGGAATAAGAAGAAATCCTAGGTCTGCAGCCATAAAAAAGGATGAGTTCATGTCCTTTGTAGGGACATGGATGAAGCTGGAAACCATCATTCTGAGCAAACTATCGCAAAGACAGAAAACCAAACACCGCATGTTCTCACTCATAGGTGGGAATTGAACAATGAGAACACATGGACACAGGAAGGGGAGCATCACACACCGGGGCCTGTTGTGGGGTTGGGGGAGTGGGGAGGGACAGCATTAGGAGAAGTACCTAATGTAAATGATGAGTTGATGGGTGCAGCACACCAACATGGCACATATATACATATGTAACAAACCTGCACATTGTGCACATGTACCCTAGGACTTAAAGTATTAAAAAAAAAAAAAAGAAATCCTAGGTCTATTTCTCCATCACTGCTTACCAGCTTTAGGAAAATCTAAAAAGCCTACAGCCCTCAGTTTCCTCATCCTTAAAGCTGGGATGATAATAATTATCCTCATCCCCCTTGGTCCTCGTGAAGGTCACAGGAGAATACTGCTTATGGAAATCTTTTGTAAACTGTAAAGTGCAAATAGATATATAGGACTGTTTTCATTCACCCAAACACTTGTCAATGAATAGCATTAGCTTTTCTTGGTCTTAATATATTATTGAGTACCCGCCATAGAATGTCAAATAGAAATCTTGTCTTAGTCCTGACTTTTATGGGAGGGATTTGTAATATCTGACTTGTAAAATCATGCTTGCTTAGATTGCTAACATGCTTGATTAGGTTTAAGACATTTCTTTTCCTGGGTTGCTATCATGAATGGATGTTGTATTTTAGCAAATGCCTCTAAAAGATCTGTTAATACCACCAATGGTTTTTCTACATATATATATATATTTGAGACGGAGTCTTGCTCTGTCACCCAGGTTGGAGTGCAGCAGCACGATCTCAGCTCACTGAAATCGCCATCTCCCAAGTTCAAGCGATTCTCCTGCCTTAGCCTCCCCAGTAGCTGAGAGTATAGGTGTGCACCACCAGGCCTGGCTAATTTTTGTATTATTAGCAGAGGCAGGGTTTCACCATGTTGGCCAGGCTGGTCTTGAACTCATGACCTCAAGTGATCCACCCGCTTTGGCCTTCCAAAGTGCTGGGATTATAGGTGTGAGCCGCCATGCCCAGCCTCTACCTTGAAATTTTTAATAGACTGTTAATATGGAAACATCTTAACATTCCCAGAATGATCCTTTGTACCTTTAATACACAGCTGGATATGAAATTTTGTATCTTTGTTTTTACTGATATGTAAATATATATATTTGTATACACACATATGTACACCATATATATTGTGTGTATGTATGTGTGTGTGTGTGTGCTGATTGATAGATACAGATAGATATAAGGTTGATATGGTTTGGTTGTGTCCCCACCCAAATCTTATCTTGAACTGTAGTTCCCATAATCCCCATGTGTGGTGGGAGGGACCTGGTGGGGCAGTTTCGTCCATGCTGTTCTCATGATATTGAGTGAGTTCTCATGAGATTTGACAGTTTTATAAGGAGCTTTTCCCCTCTTCATTCTGGACTTCTTGCTGCTACCATGTGAAGAAGGACATGTTTGTGTCCCCTTCTGCCATAATTGTAAGTTTCCTGAGGCCTTCCCAGCCCTGTGGAACTGTGAGTCAATTAAACTTGTTTTCTTTATAAATTACCCAGGCTTGGATATGTCCTTATAGCAGCATGAGAATGGACTAATACAATAAGTTGGTACCAGGTAGTGGGTGCTGCTGTAAAGATACCTGAAAACGTGGAAGCAACTTTGGAAGTGGGTAACAGGCAGAGGTTGGAACAGTTTGGAGGGCTCAGAAGAAGATAGGAAAATGTGGGAAAGTTTGGAACTTCTTAGAGACTTGTTGAATGGCTTTGACCAAAAAGCTGATAGTGATATGGACAATAAAGCCCAGGCTGAGGTGGCCTCAAATGGATATGAAGAACTTGTTGGGAACTGGAATAAAGGTCACTCTTCCTATGCAAAGAGACTGGTGGCATTTTGCTTCTGCCTTAGAGATTTGTGGAACTTTGAACTTGAGAGAGATGATTTAGGGTATCTGGTAGAAGAAATTTCTAAGGGGCAAAGTGTTCAAGAGAAAGCAGAGCATAAAAGTTTGAAAAATTTGCAACCTGACAATGCAATAGAAAAGAAAATCCCATTTTCTGGGGAGAGATTCAAGCCAGCTGCAGAAATTTGCATAAGTAAGGAGGAGCTGAATGTTAATCACCAAGACAACGGGGAACATGTCTCCGGGGCATGTCAGAGACCTTCATGGCATCCCGGAGACCTGAGAGGAAAAAATGGTTTTGTGGGCCAGGTCCAGGGCCCCCGTGCTGTGTGCAGCCAAGTGACTTGGTGCCCTGTGTCCTAACCACTCCAGCCGTGGCTAAAAGGGGCCAAGGTACAGCTCGGGACATGGCTTCAGGGGGTGCAAGCCCTGGTCCTTGGCAGCTTCCATGTGGTATTGAGCCTGGGGGTGCACATAAGTCAATAATTGAGGTTTGGGAACCTCCACCTAGATTTCAGAGGATGTATGGAAATGCCTGGATGTCCAGGCAGAAGTTTGCTGCAGAGCCAGGGCCCTCATGGAGAACCTCTGCTTGGGGAGTGCAGAAGGGAAATGTGGGGTTGGAGCCTCACACCGAGTCTCCGCTGGGGCACTGCCTAGTGTAGCTGTGAGAAGAGGGCCACCAACCTCCAGGCACCAGAATGGTATATCCACCAACAGCTTGCATGGTGCACCTGGAAAAGGCGCAGGCACTCAACGCCAGCTGTGAAAGCAGACTGGAGGGGGATTTTACCCTGAAAAGCCACAAGAGCAGACTGCCCAAGGGTGTAGGAACCCACCTCTTGCATCAGCATGACCTGGATGTGAGACATGGAGTCAAAGGATATCATTTTGGAACTTTAAGGTTTAATGACTGTCCTATTGGACTTTGGACTTGCATGGGGCCTGTACCTCCTTTGTTTCGGCCAATTTCTCCCATTTGGAATGGGTGTATTTACCCAATGCCTGTAGCCCCATTGTATCTAGGAAGTAACTAACTTGTTTTTGATTTTACAGGCTCTTAGGCCTTGTCTCAGATGAGACTTTGGACTTGGACTTTTGAGTTAATGCTGGAATGACTTAAGACTTTAGGGGACTGTTGGAAGGGAATGATTGTGTTTTTGAAATGTGAGGACATGAGATTTGGGAGGGGCCAGAGGTGGAATTATATGATTTTGCTGTGTGTCCCCACTCATATCTCATCTTAAACTGTAGTTCCCATAATTCTCACATGTGGTGAGAGGGACTCGGTGGGAAAATTGCATCATGGGGGCGGTTACCTCCATGCTCTTCTCATGACAGTGAGTTCTCACGAGATCTGATGGTTGTATAAGGGGCTTTCCCCACTCCTTTTCTCAGCACTTCTTCTTCCTGCCACCATATGAAGAAGGATGTGTTTGCTTCCCCTTCCATTTTGATTGTAAGTTTCCTGAGGCCTCCCCAGCCCTGCAGGTATGTCCTTATAGCAGGATGAGAATGGACTAATACAAAGATATCAGTGTTTCTTTCTTTTCAGAGACAGAATCTCACTCTTATCAGCAAGGCTGGAGTGCAGTGGCATGATGGCATAATCATAGCTCACTGCAACCTTGAATTCCTAAGCTCAAATCATCCTCCCACCTCAGCCTCCTGAGTAGCTAGGACTACAGGCATGCAACACACATTCCTGGCTATTTGTTTTTTAATTTTTGTAGAGATAGGGCCTCGCTTTGTTGCCCAGGCTGGTCTCAAACTCCTAGCCTCAAATGATCCTCCTGCTTCGGCCTCCTAAAGCGCTGGGATTACAGATGTGAGCCACCATGCCTGGCCAGGTATCAATGGTATACTGAACCTCTAAAATGAGAAAATGTGTTAGGTAAGCTTCCCATGTTTTCCTAGGATCAGAGGCAGTTTATATAGAATTATCTCTTCCTTAAAGCTTTGTCAGAATCTACCTGAAAAGCCCTCTGGACTCAGTGTCTGTTTTAGGGATAGATCTTTGAGTATCTCTTTAAGTTCCTTGATAGTAATGATTCTATTTAACATTCCTAATTTTCCTTGAATGAATCTTTGTAATTAATATTTTTCTAGGATATTAGTCTCTTCATCCAGTACTTTTCAAAATGCTTGCCATGAAGATAAACATTCTTAGTTTTTGACTTGTGATTTTTTCTTGAAAGATAAGCCAAAGTTTTGCCTTTCTATTACTTCTCTCAAAAAACAAGTTAATTTTTATTTTTTAACTTTTATTTTAAGTTCAGGGGTACATATGCAGGTTTGTTATATAGGTAAACTTGTGTCATGGGGGTTTGTTGTACAGATTATTTCATCACCCAGGTATTAAGCCTAGTACCTATTAGTTATTTTTCCTGATCCTCATCTCCAGCCCCTGATAGGACCCCGTGTGTATTGTTCCCCTCTATGTGTCCATGTGTTCTCATCATTTAGCTCTCACTTAAAAACGAAAACATGCGGTTTTGGTTTTCTGTTTCTGTGTTAGTTTGCTAAGGATATTGGCCTCTAGCTCCATCCATGTTCCTGCAAAAAATATGATCTCATTCTTTTTTTATGGCTGCATAGTATTCCATGTGTATATGTACCACATTTTCTTTTTCCAGTGTATCATTGATGGGCATTTAGGTTGATACCGTGCCTTTGCTATTGTGAATAGTGCTGCAATGAACATACACATGCATGTGTCTTTATAATAGAACAATTTATATTCCTTTGGGCATATACCCAGTAATGGGATTGCTGGGTCAATTGGTATTTCTGCTTTTAGGTCTTTGAGAAATCGCCACACTGTTTTCCACAATGGTTGAACTAATTTACACTCCCACCAACAGTGTATAAGTGTTTCCTTTTCTCTGCAACCTTGCCAGCATCTGAAAAACCAGTCACCACATGCTATCACCTCTTTATTTTCTATTTTTATTAATTTCTACTCTTATCTTTCTTAATTCATTCCTTCAACTTTCTTCAGGTTTATTTTGTCTCTCTCCATCCCCTGCCAAGCTTCTTGAGTTGAAATCTTGGTTGATTCATTTATTTTCAACATTTCTTATTTTCTGTCACATGCACATAAGGCTATGTATTTTCCCTGTGAGTGCTGTCTTAGCGTGTCCCAAGGGCCTTGATATCCATGGACAGCTCTTACTGTGATTCAGTTCTAAATGGCTTGTAATTTCTGTGCTTATTTCCTGTCAAACCTAAGACTTATTTAGTGGAATGTTTTAAAATATCCAAGAGGATAGATTTTTGTTTGTTATCCATCTTTTATTATTTTCTAATTTTATTCCATTATAGTTCATGAATGTATGCTGTCACAGTTTTACTATTGGGGATTTGTTGTGATTTTCTTTGTGGTTTAATACATTCAGAGAATGTCTCATGAGAGTTGGAAAAAAATGTGTAATGTCTGTTGGATAAAAACTTGTTTCTCTCCATATGCCTATGAAGTTATAAATGTTAGTTTTGTCAGCCAGGACTTCTTAAGACATATTCATTTGGGTAGTAGTTGATCAGCCTGTTTTTGAGAAATGTATTTAAAGCCACCCATGATGGGGACTTACCAGTGATTCCTTGCATTTCTATCAGGGCTTGTCTTACTTACAGATTTTGAGGCCAAGGTTGTAGGTACATAAATGTTTATGATTCATATTTTTGTGGATTATAATGTTATAATTATGATATATTCTTTTAATGCTTTTCATTTTGAATTTTATTTTGTGTGAGATGACTACTATTAATATATACCTGGCATGCCTTTTTCTTTTATTTTCTTTTTTTGTCATCCAGGCTGGAGTGCAGTGTCATCCAGGCTGGAGTGCAGCCTGTCTGTCATCCAGGCTGGAGTGCAGTGGCACAATCTTGGTTAACTGCAACCTCCCTGCCTCCCAGGCCCAAGTGGTCCTTCCACCTCAGCCTCCTGAGTAGCTGCGACCACAGGCCTGCACCAGCATGCCTGACTGATTTTTGTATTTTTGTATTTATTTATTTATTTTTTGAAACAGAGCTTTGCTCTTGTTGCCCAGGCTGGAGTGCAATGGCATGATCTTGGCTCACTGCAACCTCTGCCTCCTGGGTTCAAGCGATTCTCCTACCTCAGCCTCCCAAGTAGCTGAGATTACAGGCATGCACCACCACACCCAGCTAATTTTGTATTTTTAGTAGTGACAGGGTTTCTCCACGTTGGTCAAGCTGGTCTCGAACTCCCTACCTCAGGTGATCCGCCCGCCCCGGCCTTCCAAAGTGCTGGGATTACAGGCGTGAGCTACCGTGTCTGGCCTAATTTTTGTGTTTTTTTTTTTTTTTTTTTTGAGACGGAGTCTCACACTGTCACCTGGGCTGGAGTGCAATGGTGCGATCTCAGCTCATTGCAACCTCCGTCTCCCAGGTTCAAGCGATTGTCCTGCCTCAGCCTCCCGAGTAGCTGAGATTACATAATTTTTGTATTTTTAATAGAGATGGGGTTTCGCCGTGTTGGTCAGGCTGGTCTCGAACCCTTGACCTCAGGTCATCCACCTGCCTCAGCCTCCCAAAGTTCTGGGATTATAGGTGTGAGCCACTGCGCCCGGCCTAGCATGCCTTTTTCGATGTCTTTTCCATCTTTCCTGTGTTCTTTTCATTAGGTGTTAGGATTGCTGATATGTTTGGCCTTCTTTCTGGCTGTGGCAGAAAAGTCACAATGGTCTTTCCCAAGTATATGCCATTTGGCTACCAAAAATGCATCCTCCCTTTCCTAGCATGGAAAGTGACAGCCCAGTCAAGGGCTATTTTCTCAACCCTCTTCATGCCCAGTTATGGTCATGTGATTAGTTCTCAGCAATGAAATGTGGGCAGCAGTGATGGGAATCACTAAGGACTTAATGTTTTTCTCTGCTTTTATTGAATGCGCACTTAATTGGTGATGATTTGCAGAGAAGTGGAGAAAGCAGGGAACTAAGGAGTTTCTATTTGTTTACTGATTCTAAGCCCTGAAAATGCCAGGTGATCGGGGGTGATCAGACGTGTCTGAATCACGTTGGTGGTGCCAGTGACTTGCTTGATGTTTGCCTTCCCCATCACTTCAGCTCCCTGAGGCCTGGGACTGTGCCTACCAAGTGCTACATGGTCTCCCTAAAGCTTGGGTTATAGTACACTCTTTATTAACATTTATTGTGTGAATAAATGAAATGCTTTACATTTACTGGTGACCTCATCAACTAATTCTTTTTTTTTTTTTTTTTTTGAGACGGAGTCTCGCTCTGTCACCTAGGCTGGAGTATAGTGGCGCACGTCGGCTCACTGCAAGCTCCGCCTCCCAGGTTCACGCCATTCTCCTGCCTCAGCCTCCGAAGTAGCTGGGACTACAGGCGCCCGCCACCACGCCCAGCTAATTTTTTGTATTTTTAGTAGAGACGGGGTTTCACCATGTTAGCCAGGATGGTCTCGATCTCCTGACCTCATGATCTGCCTGCCTCGGCCTCACAAAGTGCTGGGATTACAGGCGTGAACCACCGCGCCTGGCCTTCATCAACTAATTCTTTTGGTAAATGAATTTCTGCTTAAACCAGGCCAAGACCTTTCTTTATAAGAAGCCAGGCCAGTGAATCAGGGAGTGAGATCAGAGGAAAGGAAGTCTCCCTTTTGTGTCTTTAAGTCATGTATTGTGCCGTGACTAGCTGGAAAAGCTGCAAAATAGTATAATAGAAGCTGTATATATCAGCAATAGCAAGGATTACTTGTCTGAGAACCTGGTTTGTGCCAGGCACTGACCTTGATGCTTTTCATACATTGCTTCATTGAATACTCATAAAAGCTACCACACAGGTGTGATTCTCCCTATTTTACAGATGCATCAGCTGAGGCTCTGTGCGGTAAATAAGTTGTTCAATGACAGAGACCAAGTAAGTGGCCAAGTCAGGACTCATATCCGTCTTCCTGACTTCGAGCTTGAATTCCCTTCTACCATACCTTATAAAAAGAATTCAGCAGCCTGAGGTTCAAGGTTCAGCTGCATGATATTGAGAATTCATTTAGTTTCTCTGAGCCGCCATCTCCTTATTTGTGGAATGGAGATAATGATGACACTGATTGATGCTCAGCTCCTCACAGAGTTATTGTAAAGACAAGTGAGAGAATGACTATGTGTTTTGCAAGTGATTAAATTCACAAACACAAGTCACTTTACTTACAGTATACTGGAGACACTTACATTAGGCTTTTAAACATTTATATATATATGTATATATATTTTTTGATACAGGGTCTCACTTTGTCACCCAGGCTGGACTGCAGTGGTGCAATCTTGGCTCACTGCAGCCTAGACCTCCAGGACTCAAGAGGTCAGATCCTCCCAACTCAGCCTCCTGAGTAGCTGGGACTACAGGTGTGTGCCACCATGCCTGGCTAATTTTTTTTGTATTTTTTTGTAGAGATGGGGTCTCGCCATGTTACTCAGGCTAGTCTTGAACTCCTAAGCTCAAGTGATCCATCCACCACGGCCTCGCAAAGTGCTAGGATTATACGTGTGAGCCACCGCTCCTGGCCAGACTTTTTTTTTTTATTTAAAAAACTTTATTTTTAAACTTTAATTTTTGAGACAGGGTCTCACTCTGTCACCCATGCTGGGTTGCAGTGGTGTGATCATGGCTTACTGCAACCTTGACTTTTTGGGCTCAAGGGGTCCTCCTGCCTTAGCCTCCCAAGTAGCTTGGGCTACAGGCATGTGCCACCACGCCTAGCTAATTAAAAAAAATTTTTTTTGTAGAGACGGTGTCTTGCCATGTTGCCTAGGCTGGTCTCGAACTTCTGGGCTCAAGCTCCCACCTTGGACTCCCAGTGTTGGAATTACAGGTGTGAGTCAATGCGTTGGGCCGCATTAAACTTTAAAGTTTCTGAATTTGAGGACACGACTTTATGACAGGCAACCTCTCAGTTTTTCAGAATAGAAATAATCCTTTCAGTCACATGAGAGAACAGTGTCTTCTATTTTAAGTAGTCAACTTTCTCTTTAGTGTTGTTTGTATGTGGGCAAACCCTACCCAAGTTTCTGTTCCTGAAATCAATTTCTTAATTTGCATTAGGCAAAAGTGTTGCATAAGCTTATTTTATTATCATCCAGCTTTTTATAGATCTTTGCTGAGAGACAATACGGGCTTGTTGAAAGAGGCCCTGTTTGACTGTCCCAAGCCCTGGGATGGAGTCCTAGCCCTGGCACTTAGCAGCTGTGGGATCGTGGGTGAACTACTTCACCTCCCTGCTTCTCAGGCCTCTACATCTGCAAAGTGAGAACAAGGGGAGCTCTTTCCCTAAGGGCCCTTTCACTGTACTACTTAAAAATGATTGCAAAGAGTCTTGCGTTAAGCAAAACTGAACACCTGCTGTAAATGTCTGCACCTCAGCAACATGACCCACAGTAGAATCTATATTTAGTTGCATTTGGATAATCTTCCTTTCCCCTTTTGCTTTAGCACTTTCTACCTTCAATTATTTCTTTATTACAGCAATGCCCCCTTTTTGCTCTACTGATGTGGGTGAGATGCAAATGGGCCTTTTGAGACTCTTGCTGTGTCCCCTGGGCCCCAGATGGACAGATGGGAGACAGAACGATTGTGGAGTACATCTTGGAGCTGACAGGTTTTGGGGGCAGGAAGTGTTAGTCAACACATGAGAAAAATGGGGTAAACAGCTGGAAAAGGCTGAGCATTAGCTGACAGGCTCTTTAGCCAACTGTCCTAGGACTGGATCAGGGCCTTGTGCATGGTGGGAGAGGCACCTAGGACCTGTGGAAAGGACAGGAAGCCAGACCCAAGAAGCCTCAGGCTGCAACCTGGCCCTCAGTTATTATCACAAAACTTACAAAGGTGTGAGCCTCGTGAATCAGCTGCAATAGATTGTTGCCTTGAGGACAAGACAGTCTAAACAACTAAAAATTAGCCAGGTGTGGTGGCTCATGCTTGTTATCTCAGGGCTTCAGGAGGCTAAGGCAGGAGGATTGCTTGAGGCCAGAAGTTCAAGACGAGCCTGAGCAACACAGTGAGAGCCCCCCCCCAACCCCCCACCCCTCAACTTCTACAAAAAAATTTAAAAATTAGCTGGGCATGGTGGTGCACACTTGTAGTCCTAGCTACTTGGGAGGCTGAGGTGGGAGAATTGCTTGAGCCCAGGAGTTTGAGGTTGCAGTGAGTTATGATTGTGTCACTGGACTCCAGCCTGGGCAACAGAGCAAGACTCTGACTCAAAAAAAAAAAAAAACAAACCCAAAAAGCAAAAAGCAAAACCAAAAACCACACATACACAATGAAAATTATTACAAAATAGCCTGAACTTGGTAGATCCATTTCTTACACCAGGCATGGTGGCTCACATCTTTAATCCCAACATTTTGGGAGGCTGAAGTAGGCAGATTGCTTGAGCCCAGGAGTTCAAGACCAGCTTGGGCAATATAGGACACCCCATCTCTATGAATTAGCCAGGAGTGATGTCATGGGTCTGTAGTCCCAGCTACTTGGGAGGCTGGGGTGGGAGGATGGCTTCATCCTGGAAGGTAGTGGCTACAGTGAGCTGAGATTGCGCCACTACACTCCAGCCTGGGTGACAGAGAGAGACACTGTATCAATCAATTAATCAATAAATAAAATGAAAGAAAAGAAAAGAAAGCATTTCTTGAATACCAAGAAACCCAAGATATGACAGCTGATGCACATGAGGCCGTGTCCCTTCATGCAGTGAGGTGGCAAGGCCTGAACAGGCGGATGTGGCCTCTCAGGAAACTTGTCCATGATTTCTGCCTTCCTCCCCTGGGGCAGTCCTGCTTGGTTGTGTAGGAGGCAAAGGAAACTGATGGCTTGGGAAAAGTCCTGTTGATACGAAACTAACCTGTTTAAAATTTAGTGAGATTCAAGTTGTCTCTGAAAAGTAACATTTAGGCTAGTCCTGTTGGATTGTGCTTCCACCCTACTATATGCGTAACCTGTTCCTACTATAAGCAGCACTCAGCATTTACATCTGGTTTTACAGGGACCAAGGACCCATTACCATTAATGATCTGCCAAGCCACACAACAGTTCTGTGGAGGCAGATAATGATGTCCAATTTACAGACAAAGAGGGTTAGATTTGAAGATGCACAGTACTTTTCCTGGGGCCAGATCCTTTTACCAGACACAGGGAAATACATTAGAATTTTCAAGTATGTAACTCTTTGCTTTTTTGCAAGCCATGCATCCTGTTGGGTGCATTCCAAAGATTGTGGATTCTATTGGTGGATACCAACTCATACACAAAAGAGAAACTGTAGGAATTCTGCCCAAAAAGGAGGCCGTGTCTTGCTAGGCCCTCGGGTCTCTGTAGGGATGCACCTGTTGATGTCCTCTGGCCTCTTGTCCATCTTACCTGGTAAGGGGCTTCTCCCCTCTAACCCCCCCTCCCCTCACCTAATGGATCTTCCCTAAACCTAGCTTTTATCTGGTCAGTCCTTTGGAAGTTTCCAGAGTAAGAAATATGAATAAAGGGAACATGTGTACACAACTAGGGGGACAGTGAGTCCATTAGATCATTTCAGAAAACAATTTCAGAGAACCTAGGAAAGCTGGAGGCGCCCTGCCATCCAGAAGCCCTTGCACGTTCTCAACAGACAACACACATAAGAACATCCTGGCAGCATTTTTATTAGAGCAGAAATATGGAAATCAATCCAAAGTTTCGTTAATCAGATGAAAAAGTATGAGATATGTTCTCTAGTGGTGCTAGAGAACAATGGAGATGATATGTTCTCTAGTGGTGCTAGAGAACAATGGAGATGAATGAACCAGAGCCAACACCTCACTGTGGGTGAATCTCTAGAACACAAAGTTGAATGAAGAAGGAAAGTCATGGAAAAATATGCACAGTAAGATCCTATTTATATAAGGTTTGGAAATAGGTGAACTAAACAGTGTCTGTGGGGAACAGACAAATGCAGTTAAACTATCAAAATAAACAAGAGAATGATGAGTGTCTAAATCAGACTGAGTGGTTTCCTTTGAGGGGATGGGAGGGACAGAGACCAGGGAGGGGACTGCAAGGGTTTACTTCTTTGGTGATGTTCAGTTGCCTAAGCTGGGTAATAGGTCCCTAAGGATTCATTTTATTATTATCCTGCAAATCTTGCATCTGACTACACACAAACACCTGCATACATAAGTATTCTTTACTTTGCATGACATATTTTGTAATGAAAAAATACACAAATAAACCACCTCTAGGAAAACTTGCCTTTTCCCATAGCACCTCTGTCTAACTGGAAGACCCTTCCCAGTCTGGCAGCTCTGGCCTTGTAACATCAGCCAATGCTAGTATTACATTGTGCCAGGAACTGTCTTACGTGCTCTATGTCGTATTGCCATATTCAGTCCTAACAACTCTACAAGACAGGCATTATTATTATCCACATTTTATACATGAGGAAGCTGAGGCCCAGAGAGGTGAAGTCACCAATCCGAGTTAACGTGGTTAGTTCATGGCAGAGAGAGTATTGGAACCTATATGGCCTGATGGAAGAGTAGGAATATTGCTGATTTTTTTCCCTCTAGCTTTCCCTTCCTCTCTGGCTTTGCCTTTCCTCTTACTATTTCATGCACATTCCCACCTTTCCCACCCATACTCGCACGTGCCTGGTTCTCTTTGATCAGAATGGTCTTTCTCAAGTATATGCCACAAAACATCACAACCACAAGATCCTCCGTTTAAAAAATGGGAGTGCCACAGTCAGATAAATGGAGCAAACATTGAAAAGTAAAACCCACTCTCAGAAAATTACAATGGTCATCAGCGATTAGATCTTCTAAGATGTTCTAAGAATCACTTGAGCCTAGGAGTTAGAGGCTGCAATAAGCTATGATTGCACCACTGTACTCCAGCTTGGGTGACAGAGTGAGATCCTGTTTCAGAAAACAAACAAAAAAACAAAACAAAAGAAAAAGGCATGCAGAATACACACACACACACACACACACACACACACACACACACACACACACAGTATATGTGCGGAAAAGATTTTGGATTGGTGAAATATTGAATATTGTGCTCTATTTGCTCTCCCCCCTCCTTGGATTTCTAATGTGAGGGGAAAAAATCTTCCTTCTCGTGATGGTTAATATTGAATGTCAACTTGACTGGATTGAAGGATGGAAAGTATTATTCCTGGGTGTGTCTGTGAGGGTGTTGTCAAAGGAGATCAACATTTGAGTCAGTGGACTGGGAAAGGCAGACCCACTCTTAATCTGGGTGGGCACAATCTACTCAGCTGCCAGCATGGCTGGAATAAAAGCAGGCAGAAGAATGTGGGGAGACTAGGCTTGCTGAGTCTTCTGGCCTCCATCTTTCTCCCATGCTGGATGCTTCCTGCCCTCAAACATCAGACTCCAGGTGCTTCAGTTTTGGGACTAGGACTGGCTTTCTTGCTCTTTAGCTTGCAGGCAGCCTATTGTGGGGCCTCATCTTGTGATCAAGTGAGTCAATGCTCCTGAATAAACTCCCCTTTTATATATACATTTAACCTATTAGTTCTGTCCCTCTTGAGAACCCTGACTAATACACTTCTTCAACTTCATTTCTTTATACCCTCTAAGATTTTCCTATGTCTACCAAATTTATGCTCAGTGCAAAAATATAATTCATTCCTCTGTTCTTATTCCTTGTATTCATCTTCTATTGCCACTGTAACAAATTACCACAAATGTCGTGGCTTAAAACAATACCAATTTATTATCTGACAATTCTGGAGGCCAGAAGTCTGACACAGGCCTCCAGGGGCTAAAATCAAAGGGTCGGCTGGCCTGTGTTCCTTCCAGGAGGTTCCAGGAGAGGCTCTGCTTCTTTGCTTTTTCCAGTGTCTGGAGGCCTCCTGGGGACCTTGGCTCCTGGCCCGTTTCTCTGGTTTCAAAGCCAGCAATGACCAGTCAATTCCTGATGCTGCCATCTTTCTTTAAAAACTCATGGGATTAGCTTGGGCCACCTGGATAATCTGGGATAATCTCCCCATCTTAACATCCTTCACTTAATCACGTCTGCAAAATCCCATTTGCAGTGTAAGGGAAAATATTCACAGGCTCTGAGGATTAGGGCATCCGTATTTTTGGAGCCATTAGTCTGCTTACCACAGTGCCCCAACTTTCAGGAAGACTTTGAGGAGTGAGCAGAAGTCATTGTGTGACCAGGGAACATAATTCGGTGCAGAGTCAGCTGTGTTCCTCAAGCTCACTATGAGACTCTGAAAGTCCTAAGTCCAAGGAAATCCATGGGGAGTGTCGGTGATCTGGTTTGGCTCTGTGTTCCCACCCAGATCTCACCCTGAATTGTAACAATCCCTACGTGTCATGGGAGGGACCTGGTGGGAGGTAATTGAATCATGGGCGTGGGTCTTTCCCATGCTGTTCTCATGATGGTGAATAAGTCTCATGAGATCTGATGGTTTTATAAAAGGGCAATTCCCCTGCACACACCTTCTTGCCTGCTGCCACGTAAGATGTGCCTTTGCTTCCCCTCTGCCTTCTGCCATGATTGCGAGGCCTCCCCAGCCATGTGGAACTGTGAGTCCATTAAATCTCTTTCCTTTATAAATTACCCAGTCTCGGGTATGTCCTTATTAGCAGCGTGAGAACAGACTAATACAGTTGGAAAGGAGAATTTTGGAGGAGCCGTGTTCTTCTTGTCTTGGTTTGTGGATGTCTCATTAAGTATGGGAGGGTTTGTTCTTTTAGCAGAAATGTTGGTCTGTACTTTCAAAGTATTTGTGTTGCTTGGAAATTTGTATTGTTAACTTGTTAAGTAGGAAATTTGCTTAGTTAACTGTTACTGAGTGGGGCAGACCGAAAGTGTCTGGGCAGAGGCAGTTCCCTGGTGGATGCTAAGGAAGGGCCTGTATTTGGGGCTGGCCAGAATGCTAAAGGATAGGGCAGGGTAGTCTGTGGTCAATGCCAGCAGATGAGTCATGGAGTATGATACGGGGATTGGCGTATCTGATGGGCGTGAAGAGGATGGCCACTGGGAGCACCGAGTACCCAGCAGGTGGGCAGTCAGGCAGCAGGCCACAGGGAAGCCTGTGGAGAAGGACTCTGGTCCTTAAGACAAAGGGGAGTAAACCAAGATAGCACCCAAGACCTACAGGGATGTTGCTATAAGGCCCTTGGCTGAGACACGAACTCGGGCACAGAGAACACAGCAGCAGCCCGTTTATCAAACTGGGATCCAGGGGGGATTGTGGCAGTGTTCCCCAATGGTGGGTCTGCTGGGTTACAGATAGTTCAATTCTGCATTGTGTGGCTATTTCCTGAATATTGCAGGAGGTTTGGTATCCCTGGTTCCCACCCACCAAATGCTGGTAGCCACCCTAAGTCATTTTATCAATCATTTTGGGATAGTGCTCTAAGACATTTTCAAATGTCCCCTTAGGGGGTGGTAATTTGCTCCCAGGTGATACTGAAATATGACCAGCCTAAGGTTGGAATGGATCCCAGGACTAGGGGCAGCTATGAGCCTGGGGAATAACCCGCCAGCCCTAGGAGTGAGCAGATGTGTATATAGAGGTAGGCCTCATAAGTACGAGAGACGCTGTTGTTGTTTTGTTGTTGATACAATGGAACTTATTTTTCAAGGCTTTTTGTAGTAATTTATGCCCTGGCTCCTCCATTCTCTCAGCCATCTTCCTTTTTTCCCTTCCTACTTGCAATGTTATTATTTTTTCTTTTCCATGCTGACTACCCTAGCTGTTGACTACCCTACCCTTGTTGTGTCTGTGGATGGTTGTAAGAGGTCCGTAAATGACTATTCTTTATCCTGTCCCTTCGTTGCATCAGCTGCTCTCCCTTTGCCTTCTGGAACATTCTTTCAAGCTCAGATCTGATCATTGTTGCCCAGTTAATGAGTCTTTTGGGGTCCCTACTGCCAGCCCAGTGAAGGCCAAACTTGGCTGGCACTGAAGACCCTTAGCCGGTCTTGCTGGGTGGTCTTCCAGCTTTATGTCCCAGCTCTAGAATCTACGATTCTTTTGGTTTCAAGGTCTTCATTCCCCCTGGCACACCCTTGGCCATTTGCTTCCACAACCTCTACATCATCAACGACCTACCCCATCTTTCCCTTTATGCATCTCCATCTTTTAAGGACTGATTCAAATGCCACCCTATCCATGAACAGTAAAGCACACTAATAGATATGATAAGGCTTCTCAATTTTTTTTTTTTTTTTTGAGACAGAGTCTCACTGCGTTGCCAGGCTGGAGTGCAGTGGCACGATCTCGGCTCACTGCAGCCTCCACCTCCCAGGTTCAAGCAATTCTCCTGCCTCAGCCTCCCAAGTAGCTGGGACTACAGGCGTGCGCCACCACACCTGGCTAATTTTTTTTTGTATTTTTAGTAGAGATGGGGTTTCACCATGTTGACCAGGATGGTCTTATCTCCTGACCTTGTGATCTGCCCTTCTCAGCCTCCCAAAATGCTTGGATTCCAGGCATGAGCCACTGCACCTGGCCTCAAAACTTTTTAAAAAGTATTAAATTACTGATTTTATGTGGTGTTCCTATGAACAGACATTATAAAGGTTTAGATGCTTCTCACCTTCTTTTAGCCATGAAATGGCATCCATGTTGATGCAAGGACCATATCTAGATTTGGGTAGTTAGTGGTGGAAAAAAGTAAGTCTTAAACATGAAACCGCTTGGTTTCTCTCTCTCAATGTTGTTTTCTTCAAAAATAAAATATTGAGTTTTCTAATATGAAGGTGGTATTTTTTTCTGTTTTTTTTTTTTTTTTTTTTTTTTGAGACAGAGTCTCACTTGGTCTGTCACCCAGGCTGAAGTGTAGTGCTGTGATCATAGCTCACTGCAGCCTCGACTGCCCGGGCTGAATTGATCCTCCCACCTCAGCCTCCCGAGTAGCCGGGACTACAGTATGTGCCACCATGCCCTGCTAATTTTTTATTTTTGTTGAGATGGGGGTCTTGCTATGTTGCCTTGGCTGGTCTCGAACTCCTGGGCTCAAGTAATCCTTCTACCCTGGCCTCCCGAAGTGTTGGGATTATAGGCATGAGCCACCATGCTGGAGGTATTTTTAATTATGACAAGTTAAACTATTTTTAAAATTGTTGCTCATTATGTAAGATATCTACCCCAAGAGCATTTTACAAAAGTTAAAGAGAAGTCTGATTCAATCTTTCATACTGTTGAGCTGGAAAATCTCGAGTAATAGATAAATCCACTCTGAACAGCAGAGGGCTCTTATGTACACAAAAAAATCTGACTGCTTTTAAAGAGCATCAGCACAGGTGTGTGAATCATATGTTCTCATCTGTGTGCCTCTACAGGTACGAGTGTCAACAGGTGTAATGACTGCTCACGGCCACCATCACTCATACCTTTCTATTTCCCAGTGTTGTTAGAAAGAGCAAAATGAGACAGCCTGTGGGAAAGTATTGTAGCAACTTTAAACCGAGATGCAAATGGGAAATATTATTATTAATCAGTAAAACTACAGAAGTAATAATTTCACAAGATTGCTGTAAGATGAATGAGCTAAGGCACACAGAGGTGTCTGTAAGCTGTAAGCTGCTGCACAAATGCTTATTTATTTTATTATTTTTTTAACTGCAGCCTCAAACTCTTGGGCTCGAGTGATTTTCCCACCTCAGCCTCCCAAGTAGCTGGAACCACAGGCACGTGCCACCACACCTGGTACAAATGCTTGTTGTTTGTTGCCTGCTTGCAAGGGGCTCTCAGCTCTGTGTTTCCAGGCCTGGGCTCTCTCTAGAATTCCAGAGCTGCATCTATAATGTTCTGCTTGGAATCCCTTCTTAATGCCTAATAGGCATCTCAAAATTAATGGAGCTGAAGCTGAACTCTTGATCCACTCCCTACCCCACTTCAAAAAGAAAAAAAAAATCAATTAGTCCATCCCCAGTCTTCCCCATCTCTGTCAATGGCACCCAGCTGCTCAGGACACACATCAAATTTTTAATTCTGCTGTTTTTCTCATTTTGCTGAATCCAGAGTAGGTCTTGCCCACTCTCATTCTGAGGCACATCTCAACTCTGCCCTCCCTCTCCGTCCTCTGTGCTTCCAGCTAGCACGAGGCCCCACAGTTGCTCATCTGGACTCCTGCCAAGAGCCTACTAATGGTTCTCTCTTCCTCCTCCAATCCATTCCTCAAACGCAGCAGGGTGTTCTTCCAAAACAAATCACATCATGCCACTCCCTTGCTTAAAACCCTCCCAAGTCTTCTCCATTGCACTTAAAATTAAAACCACCATCCTTTCCTTGGCTGAGAAGGTCCCACCTGGTCAAGACCCTTCCTACATTTGCAGACTCATCTCCCACCATGCTCTGTCCTCTACCCCACTCCAGCCCCTCTGTCCATGCTGTGGACACAGCAGGCATGGATTCCTCATCTTTTCGTGGCTGATTTCTTTGATGCATCCCATTCTTGGCTTAAATATCACCTCCTCAGATAGGTTCTCCCTCACCCACCAGTCTAAAGCAGTGACCCATTCTCTCTTTCTTCATTCACCCTACCTGGACTCTCTATGAAACATTTCCCAGTAGTTGGTATTACACACCAACCACATTATGTCCTTAATAAACCATTTACTTTCATATTTCATCTAGTGACATAATTTCATTAATGAGATCATTGAGCTGGTGTACCATACCTCTTTGGGATTACAGAATACAAGAAATGAATACAGAAAATGCTTTAAAAAATAAGCAATGACATGGGTTGTAATAGAAATAGCCACAACCTGTTAGTGTTCCCCCTCCACTCAGAGAATCAGTGACTTTAGAATGTTGGGGAAAAAGGCCAGGTGCGGTAGCTCACGTCTGTAATCCCAGCACTTTGGGAGGCCAAGGCAGGCAGATCACCCGAGGTCAGGAGTTCGAGACCAGCCTGGCCAACATGGTGAAACCCTGTCTCTACCAAAAATACAAAAAATTAGCCAGCATGGCAGTGGGTACTTGTAATCTCAGCTACTCGGGAGGCTGAGGCAGGAGAATCACTTGAACCTGGGAGGCGGAGGTTACAGTGAGCAGAGATTGTGTCATTGCACTCTAGCCTGGACAACAAGAGTGAAACTCTGTCTCAAAAAAAAAAAAAAAAGAATATTGGGGAAAAAATCCACGCAAAATATGACTACAAATGAGTTATCCATCAACATCACCAGTGTCGAATCAGACTTCTTACTTTAGGAATATCCCTGACTTATTTTGTGTGCTCTTCCCTCCAGTTATCATCAAATATTTATCGAGCATCTACTCTACCAAATGCAGAGGAAATCATGAGAAATAACAGCAGCCCACTAGGACCACTTCCCCTGAACCTTTTTTTCTCCCCTCTCCATCACTCCCCTCTTCCTTGTGTGAAAACATAATTTGTGAATACATAGAATGTTCTAAGCCTGTTCCTAAATGCATGTTTTGCTTATTTGGGGGAGGCAGCAGCAATTACTAGGCAGTTGAATCAATTATGATAATGATTTGAAATGACTATTTTAACTAATACATGGTCTTGGGGAAGTGCTATATTCACCTTTTAAAAAGTGAATCCACTGTAGTCTTGGAAAAATTAACCAAGTCTGTACATGCCAATGGCAGTCTCTTGGAAAATCTGCAAGGCAAATAACCCACATGTTTGGGACCCGCTCACCTTCAGACATCCTCTTCCTGACCCAGATGTGTCTGCCTTCTGGTAAGCCCCTCCAACTGTAAAATCCCCTCCACCCCCACCCCCGAAACTATCCTTCTTCAGAGGCTTCTCCTCCAGTGCCATGTCTCCCTTTCCATCTTCAATGAAAACTCCTATGTATTTGCAGTAATGTTTGATTAAGGTCATTTATACACATGTGTGAATGACTGATAGTCTTAACTCACCAGGTTATACTTTTTCTTTGAAAGAGAACTTTAACGAAACTCTAATTCGGAAAAAGCTATTAGCAAAATATTTTAGAGCAAGGTATTGGGAGCCTCTCTTTATGAGCCGTATTACCTTGGGCAAGTGACATAACCTCTCTGTGCTTCATTTTCTTACGTGTAAATGGGGATTGTAAAACTCATAAGATTGCTGTCAGGATTAAATTAATGTATGTAAAGCACTTAGAATAGAGCTCGGCACAGAGAAATGCTACATATATATTAGCTATTACTGCCACTGCCACCACCACCATCACCACCACCACCACCACCATCACCATCATCATCATAATCACAGCCACCACCACCATCATCACCACCACCACCACCACCATCACCATCACCACCATCACCGCCACCACCATCACCATCATCATCATAATCACAGCCACCACCACCATCATCATCACCACCACCACCACCACCATCACCACCATCACCATCACCACCATCACCGCCACCACCATCACCATCATCATCATAATCACAGCCACCACCACCATCATCATCACCACCACCACCACCACCATCACCACCATCACCATCACCACCATCACCGCCACCACCATCACCACCGTCATCACCACCACCATCATCACCATCATCACCATTATCACCATCACCACCACCACCACCATCACCATCATTAGCAGCTATTTAATCACCACCACCACCACCACCATCACCGCCACCACCATCACCACCATCATCACCACCACCATCAACACCATCATCACCATTATCAACAACAACAACAATAACAACAACAACAACCATAGCAACAATTACATCACCACAACAACCACCACCAACACCAACATCACCACACCACCAACAACCACCACCACCACCACCATCACCACCACCACCATCAACAACCACCACTACCATCACCACCACCACCATCATCAACACCACACACCACCACCACCACCACCACCAACCACCACCACCACCACCACCACCACCACAACAAACACCACCAACAACAACAACAACAAC